>NC_000021.9:40249161-40916726 GCF_000001405.40 Homo sapiens | reverse complement strand
CGTTTAAATCTTTAATCCATCTTGAATTGATTTTTGTATAAGGTGTAAGGAAGGGATCCAGTTTCAGCTTTCTACATATGGCTAGCCAGTTTTCCCAGCACCATTTATTAAATAGGGAATCCTTTCCCCATTGCTTGTTTTTCTCAGGTTTGTCAAAGATCAGATAGTTGTAGATATGCGGCCTTATTTCTGAGGGCTCTGTTCTGTTCCATTGATCTATATCTCTGTTTTGGTACCAGTACCATGCTGTTTTGGTTACTGTAGCCTTATAGTATAGTTTGAAGTCAGGTAGTGTGATGCCTCCAGCTTTGTTCTTTTGGCTTAGGATTGACTTGGCGATGTGGGCTCTTTTTTGGTTCCGTATGAACTTTAAAGTAGTTTTTTCCAATTCCGTGAAGAAAGTCATTGGTAGCTTTATGGGGATGGCATTGAATCTGTAAATTTCCTTGGGCAGTATGGCCATTTTCACAATATTGATTCTTCCTACCCATGAGCATGGAATGTTCTTCCATTTGTTTGTATCCTCTTTTATTTCGTTGAGCAGTGGTTTGTAGTTCTCCTTGAAGAGGTCCTTCACATCCCTTGTAAGTTGGATTCCTATGTATTTTATTCTCTTTGAAGCAATTGTGAATGGGAGTTCACTCATGATTTGGCTCTCTGTTTGTCTGTTGTTGGTGTATAAGAATGCTTGTGATTTTTGTACATTGATTTTGTATCCTGAGACTTTGCTGAAGTTGCTTATCAGCTTAAGGAGATTTTGGGCTGAGACAATGGGGTTTTCTAGATATACAATCATGTCGTCTGCAAACAGGGACAATTTGACTTCCTCTTTTCCTAATTGAATACCCTTTATTTCCTTCTCCTGCCTAATTGCCCTGGCCAGAACTTCCAACACTATGTCGAATAGGGGTGGTGCGAGAGGGCATCCCTGTCTTGTGCCAAAAATTCTGTTTCTTTAGAATCACTTTTGGTACCACAATCTGCATTAGAGATTGAATTACTTATTGAATCTTACTGATTGAATCAGTGAGATGTATGGAAGGGGATTTATTAGGGGGAATTGGCTCACATGATCACAGAGGCAAAATCCCATGATAGACCCACTGCAGGCTGGAGAAGCAGAGAAGCCATTCATGTGGCTCAGTCCCAATCCAAAGCCTCACAACCAGGAATCCCCTAGGGTAGCCCTCAATCAGGCTGAAAAGCCCTGGGAGGCTGTGGTGCAAGTCTCAGAGGCCAAGAGCTGAAGAACCTGGTGTCTGACATCCAAAGGCAGGAGGAGAAAAAGCATCTTGCTCCAGCAGGGAGAGAGAAAGCAGAGACAGCACGCAGTCCCGCTTCTTCTGCCCGTTTTGTTTCAGTCACGCCCTCAACCAATTGGATGCTGCAAACTCACATGGAGGGTGGATCTCCCTCCTCAGTCCACTGACTCACACACCAGTCTCCTCTGGAAACATCTCACAGACATACCCGGAAACGATGCTTCACCAGCCATCTAAGCATCCCTCAACTCAGCCAAGTGGTCACCTAAAATTAATCATCTCACAGCTCCACTGCAGCTGACTACATTTTTGGCCAGGCCAACTGGAATCAATGTGTGCCATGCTGGGCACCTCTTCACCATGCTTCCTGCCCAATGCCCCTTTCCTGGCCTCACGTTCTTTTCTCATCTTTTACCTCTTTGCAGACCACTCAATCTCCAGTTCCTGAACGACCTGCCCTTCAGACCCATCCGGCCTCCAACTCTTCTTATTTAGTTTGGACACACACAAACCCATCTCAGATTCTTTCTCTTTTTCTTCTCTCAGGAACATCTTCTGACACTTGCATGGCACAGTGTCTGCCTTCTTTCATTCTCTGCCCACATATCATCATCCTTGGGATGGCTCTCTGAGGACCACCCTCTGGAAAGGGACACACTGGCCATTTTCCATCCTCTTACCTTGCTTTATTTTCCTTCTTAGTTGATATGGTTTGGCTGTGTCCCCGCCCAAATCTCATCTTGAATTGTAGTTTCCATAATCCCAACATGTCGTGGAAGGGACCAGGCGGAGATTATTCGATCAGGGGACTATTTCCACCATGCTCTTCTTGTGATAGTGAGTGAGTTCTCACAAGATCTTATGGTTTTATAAGGGGCTTCCCCTTTCACTTGGTGCTCACATATCTTCCTGCCACCATGTGAAGAAGGACATGTTTGCTTTCCCTTCTGCCATAATTGTACGTTTCCTGAGGCTTCCCCAACTATGCTGAACTGTGAGTCAATTAAACCTCTTTCCTTTATAAATTACCCAGTCTTGGGGATGTCTTTAGTAGCAGCATGAGAATGGACTAATACGGCAGTCTTTTCTTTTGCCATGATATTTCACATTTCCTTTTTACTTGTTTATTGTTTTTCTCCCCCGTCTTATTCACTACCATGGACATGTGCCTTTTTCATTCACTATCATGGCCCTTTATTTAAAACAGAACCCGGCACATAGCAGGCACTCAATGCATATTTGTTGAAGAAATGAATTCACTCCCAAAGTCTCCTTTTCCCTTCTGATGTACAAATAAGAGTTCTCAAAACTTGCCTTTTTTTAAAAAAGGAAGAAAAATCATTTCATTCCAGAAAACAAAATGCTTTCTTTCCTCCTCTTCCTTCTCCAATTCCTTCCACCCAGCCACAGCCCACGACTCAGTGCCTCTTAGAGACAGTGTCCCTTGGTGGCATAATACACATGGGGTCAGCATTTGACTTCTTGATTTGGGAGTGGCATGGACACAGCTCATTTGCCCAAGTCAGATAAGATTTCCATCCCCACATCAGGAACTCCAAGTCATTGCCCAAAGTGGGAGTGGGAATGAGAGGAGAAAGGAAGAATTTTATAATTCATCCAGGCTTCAACTCTAAACATTTATTTTAAAAATACTTTTTTTTTTTTACTACGACAGCATATGTATTGCAGAAAATTTGAAAACTATAGAAACTTAGTTTTATTGATTGACTGATTTTGATATGCCCATGTAGAATGCTTATCCAGTGCTAGACACTCTTCACAACAACCCTGTGAGGTAGGTACTATTATTATCTTCTTTTATAGATGAGGAAACTGAGGCACAAAGGTTAAGTATTTTGCCTGAGGTCACACAGCTTTCAGGGGGAGAAGAGGTTGGGTTTAAACCTGAATCTGCATCCAGAGTCTGTGCTCTTAAACACTATGTGAAAATAAAATAAAAATAAGATGTGTGATTTAGAGATAACCAGTGGCTATTTTTCTCTTCTTTGTGAGATTTTGTTTTCCTTTCTCTTTCTCTGTTTCTCTCTGTGTGTGTGTGTGTGTGTGTGTGTGTGTGTGTGTGTGTGTCTATACACAAATTCTGGGCCATATTGTATATTGCTGCTTTGTTTTTAAGTAAAGTACTTCATAAATTATTACATACCTTACATTTTCTCGTGTCATTAAGTGCTTTTAAGACATGATTTTAGGCCGGGCGCGGTGGCTCACACCTGTAATCCCAGCACTTTGGGAGCCGAGGCAGGCGGATAACGAGGTCAGGAGATCGAGACCATCCTGGCTAACACGGTGAAACCCTGTCTCTACTAAAAATACAAAAACAAAATTAGCCAGTCATGGTGGCGCATGCCTATAGCCCCAGCTACTCGGGAGACTGAGGCGGAAGAATGGCGTGAACCCAGGAGATGGAGCTTACAGTGAGCTGAGATCACGCCACTGCACTCCAGCCTGGGCGACAGAACAAGACTCTGTCTCAAAAAAAAAAAAAAAGAAATGATTTTAGTGGCTTCATGGCATCTCATCCTATGGATGTCTCACTGTGAATGTGACCTGCTGTGATTATTGAACACTGAGGTTGTTCTGTGTTTTTATCATGAGGAATCCTTTCCATCTGCTGGCCACTTCCGTGAAGCCTTATGGTGACAGCTCAGCAGTGGACGCTCTAACCTCACTGCTGTGGTTCCGCAGGATTGAGTTAGGAGAGTGAAGCTTTGGCTGACATCACTGATGGCTTTCTTGTATTTATATATTCTTGATATTTTTACATCTGAATCCAGGCATGGGTTTCCATCATCATCCAATGACACTGCAGTCAAGAACAACCTCATTTGCTTAATATACAGTGAACATGCAGGTGTGACTCGCCCACCCCATGCCGGGAGTGAATTGCCTGATGGTCCTCACCGAGTAGTGGATTTATGAGGATGTGGAATAACCTTTGCAGGAAACAGAGAGCTTTTATTCAGCCACTGCCCCATTCCCAGACTTTCCATCTCAGCACGCCAGTATCACTAATCTGCAAGCATCTTTGAGAGACACACACTGCTGGAGCACATTTTCCAAACAACAGAAGCCATTACGTTGGACAACATTAGCCATTTTTGATGGAAATAATGCTAACATTCAGCTTCCCTGGAGCAGGGATGTTCACAGCATCCCCAGGGATCTGGCCTATGATCAGGCCCTGAACAAATGCTTGTTAATGTCCGGAATGAATGAAGGTGGTGAGGCAAGCCCCCGGCATCTGATTCTGCAAAGTGAACCTGCCTTTTGCCTTTCTCCAGGACTCAGGATGATCCTCCCCAGCTCTCAACCTTCCCTGCATATTCCCCCAGTGGCAAGCAGGCAGATGGCCACTCCTGCAGCAGGGACCCTCTGCTGGGGTCTTAAGATTGCACCTGCTCTTAGTGGTTTCTCTCTCCCCACACCCACTGCTGGTGTGGTGCAGCCTCTAATCTGATGTGGGCCGATAATGACCAATGAGGATTTGTGAATAGTACAGTTAGCAAAGAGATGTTTACCCATGCTGTATAAAACAACCAGCAACCAAGTTTGTTAGCACGTGGGTGTATTTTCTATGTCTGAGGAGTGTTTCAGCCCACTGATGACAAGCCTGTGGCCTGTAGAGCTACTGTGTGGGTGCCAGAAAGCTACAGGTGCCTGTGAATGGGCTCAGGACCTGGTTTGATGCCATTTTCATCACTATTTTTCAGATATACAGAGACATTTGTTGCAATTTATAAAGTAACAGGGACTTGAATGATTTTATTAACATTTCTAAAGAAAGAGCATTTATTAGCCCTGGAGAAGGGCAGCAGCCAAAAAGGAAGAGCATTTGGCCTGAGTCTGAACATTGCTTGAGGACAGGGCTGGCTTCTGGAAGCTCAGTTATAAATAGAGAAAAGAGGGTCCCTTTATTTTAGGTGAGGAGGGGATCCTAGCTGCTGGGCACTCTGTGCACAAAGTTTCTGAGACTGTGCGTGTGGCTTGGGGTCCTCCAGGAAGCTGTGCCCAGCAGAATTCGATGTGCAGGAGACTTCCTGGGGGGCTGTCTGTAGCGCAAGTGAGCAGAGAGGGCTTCAGGACATCATGGGGATCTGACAACTATAAGGAAAGGAGGAGGAGGTAGAGTTGGGTAGAAAGATCCTCACTCTGAACTAGAGCCCCCAGAGAGTCTTGAGCAGGCTGACAGGGATCCCAAGATTGCCTTGGAGGTGGCCTGCATTGGCAGAAATGGCCTGGCTCTTGTACTGTATCAGAGCTGCCTGGGGAGAGAGTGGTCTCAGCGTAAACACTGCAGCAGATATGGGAGATGTGGCAGATGGGTGCTGTCCACAAACTACACTCCTGGCTGTAGCCTTTTCTCAAAGGGTGGGCTGAGATGCCCATACCCAGCTGCCCCATGGCTCATGTCCACTCACATAGGTGGAGGGGCCCTGGGGAAGGTGGACTCTCAGGGGTGGTCCCCTTCTCCCACCTGAGCTCATCCTGAACTGTCCTCATGTCCCTGGACCTGGCTGTGCACAGGAATTCCTCTCCCAGGAATGCTGGTCCAGATCAGAGAAGGGCCACCACGGTGAGAAAGAGGAAATAGCTGATGGAGAAGTGGAGTCATCAAGAAGGTATCAGGCAGGAAAGCACATGGCCCTGGTGTCATTTTCCAACACCACAGTTACCAGGAAAGAAGCCACAAGCTATAGCTGCAACACTGAGGGACCGAGTGAGGGTGAGACCTTTGACATGGAAGCTAGAGCAGAGTTGGCCAAAGAAACATGGGGACAAGGACCATGAAGCCCTGGGTGGGTAGCACTACATAAGTGGAAATCCACCACCACATGTGTCCCTACACACGGCTCATAGCTTTCTTTTGTTTTCTTTTTCAATGGGCACTGAGTAAATTTATATTTTCTTGTACACAGGAGCAATTATTCTGAAGCTGGCAGTGGCTGGGTGCTAGAAATGGCCACTAGTTTAGGCAGTGCCGGCTCCTCAGCCATTTGTAAATTTACATTTTCTTGTACAGAAGAGCAATGGTTCTGAAGCTGGCCATGGCTGGACTACTAGGCATGGCCACTAGTTTAATGCAGTGGTTGCTCCTGAGCCATTGGCCAGCTCGGGCCTGAGCTGAGCAGAATGGTTGTCACAATGGTGGCACCTTTTAGCTCAGAAGATGCAGATACCACTGAGAGCCATCGTGGCAGCTCTATCTTTCCAGAAAAGGTGTGGGAGCTCCAGGCAGGTGAACCTGCCACACTTGTGTTCTGAGGGCCTTTCGTCTTCTCCTGGATCATTCTTATCTCCTGAGTAAGTGGGGCTCTGTGCTTCCTCATCTGCTTTGGGTCTGTGGTTGTTACTGTGAGGCTCAGCCTGGCATTGACCTTCCTATGTGCCATCTGACCCTTTTCCTCCCACCACTTACATCTGGCTCTGCCCTGGTTCATGAAACGCCTTGGCCCACCCTCACCTGTAGATGTCTCTGCTTAGCACTTTGCTCAGTCAAGAGGTTTACCTGTCATTTGCTGTAGATAATTAATATGTATTTATATATATCCCAGGATAAAAATATATATTTACATTTTAAGATAAATATATATAAAAGTATATATATATATATATATATCAGGATTAAAACATATATATGTGTATGACCTAAAATGTGTATTTCTTTAGCTCAAAATGTTTACTTTTGTTTACATTCAAAACGCTTTTCCACTTTAAAACATATTTACCATTGTCTAGAAATGTTTTGAACATATCAGTTTTCCTGATGGGTCACTGAGCACTTTCTATGATGGCTATGTTGTTTGATTTTGGAATGGTTCTACAACTGAAATGTGCCTTGGCAAATTTAATCACCTAATTATAGCATAGAATCTTTCCCGTGTGGTAGAGGTAAAGCTGTTTATCACAGTGACTTTTGACATCACACACATTTTTCAAAGTCACATTACTGGGGTTTCATCGTGAGAAGAGCCACAGGTTAAACGCCTCTACATCAAGGCTCTGTCCTGGATAACAGATGTGACTTGTACACATTTAAGAAGATTTTCATCCTTAAGTTACTGACAGCCTGATTCAAGAGAAAAGACACAAAAATTCCTTACTAAGTATAGACACTAAATAGGTGCTAAGTGAGAGACGGTGACATTAAATTCCATGGAGAAGAGGGAGAGAGGTCTATGGCAATGTCACATTTAGCTTGTGGCTGTACGTATGCAATAAAACATGCACTAATAATATTTAATTACTGTGATGGTGTCTGCCAGGAGCACCGGGGTTGACTGTGCCCCACTGAAGGGGGAAATGGGAAAGTGATGGGGGAGCCAAGCAGGTGCTCTGGGCAGGGAACAGCATGGAATCATGGAATGGTTCCAGGAGACTTGAAGACTAGGCTGAGACCTACTTGATTAGAATGAATGGTTCATTGAAGTGGGGGTGATGAGAAATGAAACTGGAAATTAAGTGAGACACCTCAAAATTGTGACTTCCAAGATGAGCCGTAAGTATCTTCTCCCATGCAGGGTGTGGATTCGAGCACAGATGGCCAGCCCACCTGCAGCCCGTGGTTCCTCAGCATCTCAGCCATCATTTTATTTTAAAAGATGTAATCCTGTGTGCCTACTGATTCATTGATTTGGGGTTACAACGATGGAGGTGTCAGCTCAAACAAGGGGGTTGTGCATAAGGAGAAACAGTGCATGCATTAGGTGTGGAAACCCAGAGCCCAGGACACTGAGGATTCCCCACGCTTAGCATGGCTTGGAGGGAGCTCCCACCTTATAAGAATCCTCAAAGGGCTGAGTTTACTGTTATTGCTGAAAAACTCATGTTCTTTTCCTCCCAGCTAGTAAAGCTATTTCATTTGGTAAGAAAGATAAGCAGGTTGCGTTCCCTGTGATACCTTGCTTCATCACAATTTAATCAAGAAATAAGAATAATGGATACTCAGATGTGGGACTTGCCACTTTGAGCCCCACTGGGGAGAATGAGAGAGCCCCGCTTACTCACAGAGCTGGTTACGTGCAGTTGAGCCCTGGTGGGGGTGTCTCTGCCTCTGCTGAGCCAGGAGGCTGACCTTGATGAACACATCCTGAGGCCACTTACCCTCTAGCCTCTCACAGCTTCCCCAGTGAGAGGCAGGGGAGGGAGATTTGAGGGGGAAAGGGAGAGATGAATTATGTCCAGGGACAGAGATGGCTTCCCACTTTGGTCCCTGGGTACTGTGCAAGCTGTCTTGTACCTGTATTTCAAGACATGGGCCTTTCATTGAACTCTCTTCACGAACTCTTTGTGGGTGCTATCTGATTCTTGCCAGGTCTTTGATGGTACCACCATACCTCATCCTGTGTGTGATGTAGGCAGCATCTTCCAAGAAGTGTATGAGAAGAGGATGAAGGCATTTCTCCCTTTAATCTTGACAACAGAGGGGACACTTCCAAGGAGAAGAGCTAATCCTCTCTATGTACCATGGACCAGGTACTAAGCAGGAAGCACTTAGCCATTACATGTATTGCCTTATTTCCTTCCCATCCCATTGGGTACTGAGGCCATTTTACAGAGGAGGAAACTGAGGCACAAAGATTAGATAACCATGCAGCTAATGCATGCTAGAACATGAGATTAAACCCAAGGTCTCTGAGTTTATAGTCCACTTACAACCATATGTATGTTTTCTTCTTGATAATTATTTCATTTCCTGATTTTTCTTTGATTTCCTCAATAAAATTTTTCTAAAGATCAATAGCTAAAATTGATATTATTTTAAAACATTGAGGTATGATAAAGTATTTTTCCCATTTTAGATGATTAAACAAACAAATAAAATGTTGTGTCATTGATCTAATTTGGACTTTTTCAATTCTATTCTTAATATTTTCTTAATAGTCCAAATGTCTTGACTTCGTTTTTAACTGTAGAGGAGCTAGTATATGCTGGACTTAGTTCAATTACATTGTCAATGAATAGTGAGGTAACATTTCTCATAGAGACACTTGGTTAAAAGTAGTTATGAGAAGCAAACGAAATAGAATGAAAATATAATATTAAATAAAACATATTCATGATATGCCATAGATGAGATTAAACTTACAAGCAGACTTTACCCATATGCTTTCTTAGTATAATTTATTTGTTAAAATTTTTATTTGTAGATAAATTCGTTAAACATAACTGTTTTTAATACAGGGCTCTTATTTGAATTGGTTATTTATGTTGAAATGATGGTTTGAAGTTCCCTTTTCATGAGTTACCATCACTGAATTTCAAATGGTGTGTATACTAAAACCCACATAAGCATAAGATGGAATCTCTCTGACATCGTTTCTAAATGCATTCCTGGCTCCAAACCCAACATGAGTGAACCAAAACTTATCACCAAAAATTTGTCACAAGAGGTAAGACACACAAGACACTTTGACTTTCAGCTCCTCCTCTAAAAAATAATTTACTCCACCTCTAAAAAATAATTTAGATATTATAACCCTGTCTCTCTCAGCTATAAGAATCTTTTCTCTTTCATGTTTTTTTCATTGTGGTAAA
Source organism: Homo sapiens (assembly GCF_000001405.40). NCBI lineage: Eukaryota > Metazoa > Chordata > Mammalia > Primates > Hominidae > Homo > Homo sapiens. Next base: position 40,906,908 of record NC_000021.9, on the reverse strand, counting down.
ATATACACAACCAAAAATTTACCATTTTCACTATTTGTAGCGAACAGTTCAGTGACATTAAGCACATTCACATTTTTGTTCAAATGTCTCCAGAACTATTTTATTTTCCCAAATGGAATCTCCATACTCATTATATCAATGTGTTTGAAGCGTGATTCAGCACTCAGCATAGTGCCTACCTGCTACAGCTAGTGTCACATGAACAATTGATAACCCTATGGCCCCATCCAATTGCTGATAAAATATGAATGCCAGAAGTCAAGATTATAATCCTTTTCCATGCCAATACTGAATCCATTGATCTCTGTAACAACTCATTAATCAGCACGCTGGAAGCAATTGTCCAACTGGCTTACAGTTCTTCTAATTATTCCAAGTTTTCCTCTTCAGTCTCCGCTGCATTCACAGAATGGAGGAAAGTCTTTGTCAAAGGACTTCCTGAACTCAAGCCAACTTTCCCCTGGGGTCTTAATCTTTGAGATGAGATCTAACAGATCAGTAATCTTGCTAGAAAAAGAAAAATGATGCTTTATCAGGACATCCTCTTTGTGACCCCATGCTCGCTATTAGTTGCTGTTTTATGCTCATGAACACATCCGCAAGGCCAACATGTGTCCAGCATGTTCAGTTGTTTACATCAGGATTAGCCAGGGTGCCTCCTTGTTCATACTACAAAATCAGAGGGACGGCAATGTGAGCAGGAGGCACGCCTTCCATGGCTGCTCACTGCCTGGCTTGGCCATGCCATACCCTGGTCCCGGGTGGCACACATGCCCTCCACTTTGGCGATCTATCACCTCCTCCACATCCTGGCACTGCTTGGTACTCCTTGGGCTGCCTACCAGACCATTAAGTGACCCTGAGCCCTCCCAGGTGTCACCATCTCCTGTATCTCTTTTACAACAGCATCCCTTCTGAATTTTCTAGTAAGCTCAAATCCACCTTTTCTAAACCAGCTTTGTGTGTCTGATTTGTCCTGAATTCCTTCTTACTATTAGGGTTTTCTTTTTTTTTTTTTCTTTTTTTTAAATTTATTATTATTATACTTTAAGTTTTAGGGTTATTGGAAATCATCGTTCTCAGTAAACTATCGCAAGAACAAAAAACTATTAGGGTTTTCATGAGACCACATTCACTTTCTCCCGGGATTTCTGGAAATTTACTTTAGCAAATGTTTATTCAACACCACCCAGCACTTGCCAGGCATTGTTCTCTTTTAACCGTCATGACAATCCTTTCAGCTAAGTACTGTTTATTGCCTCCATTTTCAGATGCAAGATGGGTATGAAAAGGTTAAGCAGCTTCCCAAGCCTTGGGGCCATGTGAGCCTGTCTGGTCCCGGAGTCCATGCTCCTAGCTCTGTATTCTCTGTATGCTGTGTCTCCAGAACAAACCAGTTCTTTCTTGGCAGTTATATTAAATGTCCCCTTGTTCCTTCTTGGGATAAAATTTTTAGCATTACTGGTAAGCCAATAATGCATTAGATGTTCTCACTAAGATGAATGAGATTTCCCTTAGACGCTCTTAGGCTGGAAACCCCCACCATTCTGGCCCCAGAAAGATGCAGATGGTGTTTTCCTAAGGCCGGTTACAGGGGAGCCCCTTCTTTTCCCCTTACACACATGGCCTTCACTGCATAATCACACTCTGTGGACTTTCACGTAGTCCAGTGTCCTCTGAACACAGAGTGCCACAACTTCGTCTCTTCAATTAAACATTTAATTATAAAAGGAATAAAGCAAGGTAAGTGTTGCAAGTGCCAAGGAAAAAGTGTTCTTATCTTTGGTCTAAAATTGTAAGTGTTCTTTATAGAATGCCTAGCTCATCTTCTTTCTTTCTGCCTTGCTCTTCGCATCTCTGAAATGCGGTATTATCCATAGCTAGCTCATAAGATTGTTGTACATGTAATCAATAAATAGCAACTAATTCACAAAACTATATTAGCAGATGCGGCATAGTTATTGCTTTCTACCCTCCCCCTCGAAATTATTCAAAAGACAATTTTAGCTAAATACATCAGGTACATTCTCTAAACAATTTATATTTCTCCTCAAATAAAATTATATAGCTGCTTAATTCAAACAGGCACTTAAATCCATTCCCCCTTTAGAAGTAATTCCAGATAAAAAAAGGAATGAAGCCCATATTTACTGTATAAAGAAAACAATCCAGAGAGATTTTTGTGAGCTCAAAGAAGTTCGTGAAGTTTAAAAAAATCGCTTAAGTCTTACAGCTTTGGGTCTGAGAAAGCATATATTAAAACTCAAAGCTTCAGGTAACCACAAAGACACTTCTTAATAATAAGGTATTTCCTGTATTTGTACCATGAACAATTTGAAGTTTTTTATTACTCATGTTTGTGCCCCCAGAAGTTACTATTAAAATTATTGTAGCCCTTCTGGTTTCCTTTTTGTAAGATTTGTAATAATGGATCTTTCTTCAGTGACATTTACCTGACTTTGGACATCCCCCATCATAGAATTCCTGGAATAGAATAGATTATTCTTGAACAGAGCTTTATGAATGATACAGTTTACTAATTCTGCTGTCTCACTGAATCCTCCCAGCAGCCCTGGGAGGTACTATAATCATGCCCACTTCACAAATTCAGAAACTAAGGCTGTAGAGTTGCACCTGTCTTTTGGGAGTGAGATGTAGGGGTTTATACAGTAAAGTTTTTTAGGAGGCTGAGGTCCTGCTAGAAAAGGGAGGGCTCTGGTTACACTTTGGATAAATCATATTGTCCTATCAGACTTTTTTTCCCTTATGCTACTAGCAGTTTCAATCAATGATCTGTAAATTCACTTCTGGGATCAATGATGTATGATTCTAAGCTCTCAGAATGAAAAATATCCATATGTACCATGTGGCAAAACCTCTTTGCTGTCTCTGGGTTGATGTGTTTAATTTGGCTTGTCTCAGAAATTTAGACTTGAGGCTTTTAGAAGCAAAGTCGCATAATTCTGTGGTTTGACTCCCAGAACAGCCAACATGTTTCCTTAAGGTCTGGTTACAAATGCCTGGGATGCTGTGAGTTTCTTTACTGGACAGAGAGTTCCTTGAGAAGCAAGAGCATGCCGATGATTTCTTTCTTCCTTAGTCCTTGCCACATGGCCGGTGATTACTAAACATGTTTCCAATGGAGTCCCTACAATATGGACATCGTTAGGTTAAGGGCTACGGGGGATACACACCATGTTCTGTGCAGAGCTTGCTCTAAGGACTTCCAAGCTTGGCCAAGGAAACAAGGTGTGGCTTCCTTAGAATGAGGGCTGTCACTGTGCCTGGTTGGACTGCAAGGGCTCTGAGTCTGAGAAAGGAACAATGGTCAGGCTGGAGAGAACTGGAAAGGCACTGGGAGGAGCTGGCATGGGGCTGGGCCTGGAGAATGGCCAGGGATTAGATGGGAATGACAAGGCTGTCACCATGGAGGATGGAGCCTGTGGTCCAGGTGTGTCTGGGCCATGACCATTAGGACTGATTCCTCACGGGAAGGGGTTTTTTGTTTTTTGTTTTGTTTTGTTTTGTTTTTTTGGCAGAGAGAGGACAGGGTCTCAGGACCCAGGCTGGAGTGGAGTGGCACAAACATGGCTAACTGCAGCCTTGACATCTGGAGCTCAAGTGTTCCTCCCACCTCAGCCTCCTGAGTAGCTGGGACAATAGGCACACATCACCATGTGATAAGGTTTGGCTGTGTTTCCACCCAAATCTCATCTTGAGTTGTAATCTCTGTAATCCCCACGTATTGTGGGAGGAACTCTGTGGGAGGTAATTGAATCATGGGGGTGGTTCCCCCATGCTGTTTTCATGATAGTGAGTGCGTCTCACAAGATCTGATGGTTTTATAAGCGTCTGCCATTTCCCCCTTCACTTGGCACTCATTCTCTCTCCTGTTACCCTGTGAAGTGGTGCCTTCTGCCATGACTGTAAGTTTCCTGAGGCCTCCCCAGCCATGCAGAACTCTGAGTCAATTAAATCTCTTTTTTAAACAAATTACCTAGTCTCGGATATTTCTTCATAGCAGTGTGAGAACAAACCAGTACATCATGCCCAGCTAATTTTTATACTTTTTGTAGAGACAGGATCTCACTGTGTTTCCCAGGCTGGTCTCAAACTCCTGAGCTCAAGCAATGCTCCAGCCTTGGCCTCCCAAAGTGCTAGGATTACGGTTGTGAGCCACTGTACCCGATGTGGGGAGAATTTTTAATAAAAGTTGTGGGAAGGTTGGAGATATCAGCTCTGACCTCCCGAGGTGATGACCCTCCTCCCAGATCCCCCGCCTCTGAATGCTGCCTTTAGTAACTGGACTGCTGACAGGCATGAGATGCCTGCCAGCAGTGGCACTGAGCTAGCCCTGGGTGCTGCCAGCCACTCATCAGTGAAAAGCAAAGGCTGTTTTCCTTTTAGGTAGAAGAGAGAAAGGGAAAACACAAAGACCAAGCTGGGAGACCAAACACTGTCAAGGTGGCATTTTGCCAACATGCCACAAAAGCAAGCACAGAGAGACGCCAGAGAGTGAGCAGTTGGCTGGAGTGGAGAAAACACCAGGAAATGGAAGGAAAATGGTGAGAAATGAGGCAGAAGCCAAGTGGATGGAGAAATATCAAGATGACATGCACATTCTAACGACAAGCCTGCAGCCATAAGTATGGATGGGTCAGAAGTATTTTTTTCTCACCCCATCCCTCACTGTGTTGTCTTTTGTTTATATCGAACATTTTCTACCTCAATCACTATATACATCAGCATGCTAGGACACAATACTGTGTGGTTCAGGTAAAACAGGCAAATTTTCAAAACTCATGTTTGAGATATTCCTAGTAACCACCCAGAAGTCATAATTTTTGCACAATGTGTGAGTTAGGGAGTTGTTGACTTTGCCTTCTTGTTTTTCAGATTTGGTTAATAGTGAATGGTGTGTTGCTACCGATCTTGGCAATGCTCATGTGGTTTGGAAGGTTTTCCCCTGGACCCACTGGCAGTAGGACATAAACAAGCCATGTCCCAGTAGGGCGATGTGCAGGCTTGGTTCCAGCTTGGCACCTTTCCTCTGCTATCTTCATAAGCACTCCCTGGAAATACCACCTCCAATCTCATGATGAACTGCACGGTGGAAAAACACTTATTTGAGTAAAACCAAAAGCTTCCTAGTCATCATTCTTAGACAGTTCAGTCCAGTCCAATGGACTGCGCATTTTGTGGGGCAACCAAGGAGTTACAATGATTCCCAAATGCTACGTGGACTGATCAGTAATATCAGAGGCAAATACTTGGCAGGTGAAGTGGCTGGAACTCTTGGAGTTTTGGCCAACACAATGTGGATGTTTTTGAATTGTTGTACTTTTTGTCAGCTCACAGCTTCAGTGGTTTACCACTGTCCCCTTCATTCTGTCTTATATCAAATACTCCCAACCCTTCTGTTTCTCACCTGGTTTGAACTGGCTAGGCCTCACAATTGTAGATTCTCATGGAAGCCTGAAGTCTTCCTCAGTTACTGTATTACAAATTCATTTTGAATACTTGTCTGTTTATGTAAGTGTCTCTTCTCCAATATCAAGAAATAACCATAAAGGTAGTAACCACATTTCTCTAGTTGTCTGTTGCCTTCCCAGGATCTAGCAGAGGCTGCATGCACACTTGTTGAAAGAATTGTTAGTTAGCTGGTAGGCACTGCAATGTCCCTGAAAGGATGCAGGAGGGATCTGTTACTTCACCAAGATTAACATGTAAATTAGAAAACAAATCATTTTAGTGTCTTCACTCCTGTGTGTGTTGTGGGGGGGGGGGAGGGGGCGGGGGCCTGTTTCTGGTCCAGCCCTCAACTTTGAAAGCCTGAAATTTAAATCTTTTATGTCTGTTCAAGTCTTGGTTTTCTCTTCCAGAATGCAGTGTACCAAGTGGCCTCCTTCATTGCCTGCATTTTGAATGCAGTCAGGCTGCACAGTGGAATGGAAATCCCTGGCCAAGATATACCTCTTAAAAGAAAATAATCTCTTCCTCTGTGTGTATGCCTGCGTCTACATATGTATTGTGGGGACCAGAATATACCACCCCAAAATATAAATGACTGTTGAACTGAAGGCAATTAAGAAGAAGTAGGTACAGGAAAGAGCTCTCCTCTCCCTTTATTTGCCTAAAAGTAGGACACAGGCTTATAAGGACAAAAGGAATCCTGCCCTGCCTTCTTCTCCTATGGGAGAACAAAGGTTAACCACGGAAGACAACCTTGGGCACTGATGACCCTGGAGATGATACCAGAGGCATCTCCACGAGCAAGCTTCCCTAACTCGCCTTTATTTACCATTATGTGTCTTCCTGCAAGCTGCTGCCCTGGAGAACCCAAGTCCTTTTCTTTGTCTTGTTACTTCCTTAAAAATGTACTGTTCTTTGTTAAAAATGCTATACAAGCCAGAATTCAAAGCCATCCCTTTGAGGACTACTCATTCCCTTGGCGTCTTTCATGTACCTATGAAATATACACATTAATAAACTTCCATTTGTTTTTCTCTCATTAATCTGTCTTTTGCTACAAGAGTCCATTCCAACTCTGAACTTATGAGTGTTAATTATCTTTATTCCCCCAGAGTTCATATGCGTGTGCGTTCGTATGAATACAAGTGAAACACTGTTTTTCCTCATATGAAACATTATTTTTTCTTCAACATTTTGCATTTTATGTTATCTATCTTAAGCATTCAAATAGGATCCCAAAGAGTAAGTTCATTTTTTTATAATGTCATAAAAAACTAGAGAGATGAAGAGAGGGGCAAAGCAGAACTGCTCTCAAAAACCTGCCATGCCTCTTTACCTGAATGTTTTAATTTGGGGTAAATATGAGACACTTCATATACCTGTTTTAAATGACCAAGGAAGCATTTGTTTTTGACAATGATAATTCTAGAAAAGGAAGGAAAGCTTCAGTCGCTAGGAGCCCATTTCATCCTCAGGGTTCAGTAGAACCAGGACTGTCAGGATTTGACCATTTTAACACAGAAAGATCATTTGAAGGATAATAAGGTTGTATGAAAATAAATTTTATTTTTATTCTGGTTTTGGAGATGAAGCGGGGTAAGCAGCCATAACAATCAATAGAAATCATTAGAAAGATAGGCATAAATGACATATGCTTTAGGGTTTAAAAATACAGCTGTGATAGGTCTTTGGGACAAAGAGTTTTGGGGGTGCTATGGTTGGCATGTGTCCCCCACAATTCATGTGTTGGAAACGTAATCCGCAATGCAACAGTGTTGGAATGTGCGCCTTCAGGGAGGAATTAGGTCATGGTGACTCTGTTCTCATAAATAGCTTAATGTCATTGTCAAAGGGCTTGATGGAGAACTTTGGCTTCTTTTTGCCTTTCCATCCCTTCCACTATGTGAGGAGGCAGCATTCCATTCTCTGGAGGGTGCAGCGTGGCAGGCACCGTCTTGGGAGCAAAGACTAGACTCTCACTAGACACCAAACCTGCCAGCACCTTCATCTTGGATTTCCCAGCTCCAGAACTGTGAGAAATAAATTTCTATTGTTTATAAATTACCCACTCTCAGGCATTTTGTGATGGCAGCACAAATAGACCTAAACAAAGATGTGTACTAGCCAAGCTTGACTGAAAAGAGCCATTTCTTCATCTGCAAGCAAAAGAATCCAAGTGCCATAAATGGCTTTATGTTTTATTGTTTGCTCTCCCTTATATTCTAGGCCTTTGTGTGTTTGTCCCGTGAGAGGTGCAAACAAAAATATAATCACCACAATACTCAAAATGCATCCATCACAACTCCCTGCAGAGCTGAAGTTAACGCAGGCTTTTTTGCAAGGAATGCAGATTGCAAACACCCTGGAGTCATCTCTTGACTACAAAGCTGAGGCAGCTGAACCACTTAGCACGGAGTTGATGTTTACAGCAGCCCTCATAGCATGATGCTACTTTGCCTATGATCTAACTTAGAATTCCCTGATCTGTTTTTGTTCATATGAGGTCACTTCAAGTTAAATCTAAAAAGTGGTTTGACAACATGCAGATTTTTCTCCTTGCCCTCCATGTATGTGCCCCATTTCTGTACTGAATAGTGAGATATCTTTCAGGCTGGCCCTTTGCATTTGGTAAATGAACTTCTCTGGAGCAGCTGAAGTGAGAGATCCACAAGGTACATTTCTGTTAATTCTTCTGCAGATGTTGTCTGTTGATATCATTTATATTCCTGCCATATTTCTAAACATGCTCCCCTTGGGTGGACTCTCACAGTATCTTCTTGTTCTTGAGTGGCAGTATGTTAGGCTGTTCTTGCTTTGCTATAACGGAATACATGAGACTGGCTAATTTATAAAGAAGAGAGGTTTAATTGGTTCATGTTTCTGAAGGCTGTATAGGAAGTATGGCATCAGCATCTGCTCTGCTTCTGGTGAGGCCTCAGGGAGCTTGCAGTCACGGTGGAAGGCAAAGGGGGAGCCAACATATCACACGGTGAGAGTGGGAGCAAAAGAGAGGGAGTAGTTGCCACAGATTTTTAAACAACCAGATCTTCTGAGAACATGCTCACTATCAAGGACAGCACCAAGGGGTTGGCATTAAACCATTCATGAGAAATCTGCCTTCATGAACCCATCACCTTTCACCAGGCCCCACCTCCAACACTGGGGATTCAATTCAACATGAGATTCAGAGGGAACAACCTCTAAACTACATCATTCCACTCCTGGCCCCTCAAATCTCATGTTCTTCTTCCACTGAGAAATATAATCATCCCCAGCCAGTAGTTTCCCAAAAGTCTGAATTCATTTTAGCATCACTCAAAAGTCCAAAGTCCCAAGTCCAAAGTCCCATCTGGAGTTGAGTCCCTACCACCTATGAGTCTGGAAAATCAGAACAAATTACTTGCTTTTAAGATACAATGGGGGTACAGGCATTGGTTAAACATTCACATTCCAAAAGGGATAAATCAGCCAAAAAGACAGGGGCTATTTACATGTACAGCCCCCACACAAGTGCAAAACCAAGCAGGGCAGTCATTAAATCTTCAAGTTCCAAAGCAGTCTCCTTCAACTCCACGTCCTGCATCCAGGGAACACAGGTGCAAGGGTTGGGTTCCCAAAGCCATGGCAGCTCTGCTTCTAGGCTTTGCATGGTTCAGTCCCCACAGCTGCTCTCATAGGCTGCAGTTAAGTGCCTGTGGCTTTTCCAGGGTACAAGCTGCTTATGGATCTACCATTTTGGGGTCTGGGGGAAAGTGACCCCCTCCCTACAGCTCCACTACGCAGTTCCCACACTGGGAACTCTGTGTACGGGCTCACACCCCATATTTCCCTTCATGACTGCCCTAGTAGAGGTTGTCTATGAGGGTTCTGCCCCTGAGATAGGCTTCTTCCTGGGCACTCTGGCTTTCCCATCCATCCTATGAAATGTAGACAGAGGCTGCCAAACATTCTTCACTTTTGCACTCTGTGAACCTACAGGCTTAACACTATGTGGAAGCCACTGAGGCTGATGGCTCTCTCCCTCTAGAGTGGAGGCCCAGGCTGTAACTTGGCCCCTCCAGCTGCAGCTGGAGTGACTGGAATGCGAGAAGCAAAGTCCTATGACTGTGCAGGGGATTGTGGCCCTGGTCCTGGCCCCCCAAAACATTATTTGCTCCTAGAACCCATGGCCTGTGATGGGAGGGGCTGCCTCAGAGATCTCTGAAATGTCTTTGAGACCTTTTCCCCCCTTGTTTTGGCTATCAGCACCTGGCTCCCTTTTAGTTACGCAAATCTCTCTAATAAGTGGTTGTTCTGTAGCTCACTTGGATTCTTCCACTGAAATTGGGCTTTTCTTTTCTACCACATGGCCAGGCTGCAAATTTTCCAAATGTTTCTGATATGCTTCCCCTTTAAATATAACTTCCAACTTTAAGTCATTTCTTTGCTCCTATGTCTAAGAGTAGGTTGTTAGAAGCAGCCAAGACACATCTTGAATGCTTTGTAGCTTAGATTTTTTTTTTCTACCAGTTACCCTAAATCATCACTCTTAAGTTCAAATTTCCACAGATCTCTAGGGCGTGAACACAATGCAACCAATCTCTTTGCTACAGCATAACGTGGATGACTTGTGCTCTAGTTCCCAATAAGTTCCTTATTTCCATCTGAGACCTCAGCAGGCTGAACTTCACTGTTCATATCACTATCAGCATTTTGGTCACAATCATCTAACAAGCCTCTAAGAAGTTCTAAACTTTCCCTCGTCTTCCTGTCTTCCTCTGAGCCCTCCAAAATCTTCTAACCTCTGCCTGTTACCCAGTTCCAAAGTCACTTCCACATTTTCATGTATCTTTACAGTAATATCTCACTCCTGATAACAATTTTCTGTGTTATGTAGTTCTTGCATTGCTATAAAGGAATACCTAAGACTGAGTAATTTATAAAGAAAAGAGGTTTAGCTGGCTTATGGTTTTGCAGGTTGTACAGGAAGCATGATACTGACCATCTGCTCAGCTTCTTGTGAGTCCTCGGGGAGCTTGCAATCATGGAGGAAGATACAGAAGAAGCCAGCACATCACATGGTGAAAGCAAGAGCAAGAGAGAGAGGGAGGAGTTGCCACACACTATTAAACAGCTAGATCTCATGAGAACTCACTATCACAAGAATAGCATCAAGAGGATGATGCTAAATCATTCATGAGAAATCCACCCCTGTGATCCAATCACCCCCAACCAGGCCCCATGTCCAGTACTGGGGATTACAATTCAACATGTGATTTAGAGAGGACACACATGCAAACTACATGAATCAGTGAGTACAACAGCCTCTTTCAGGTCTCTAATGGTTTGGTTGTGTCCCTCCCCAAACCTCATCTTAAATTGTAACTCCCACAATTCCCATGTGTTGTGGGACGAACCCGGTAGGAGATAATTAAATCATGGGTATAGGTCTTTCCCATGCTGTTCTCCTGATAGTGAATAATTCTCATGAGATCTGATAGTTTCAAAAATGGGAGTTTCCCTGCACAAGCTCTCTCTCTTTGCCTGCTGCCATCCATGTAAGACGTGACTTGCTCCTTCTTGCCTTCCACCATGATTGTGAAGCCTCCTCAGCCATGTGGAACTGCAAGTACATTAAACCTCTTTCTTTTGTAAATTGCCCATTCTTGGGTATGTCTTAATCAGCAGCATGGAAACAGACTAATACAAGGTCTGTAGGGGAAGTGCTGAGCTCTCCTACCATTTCCTTCTTCCTGTAGTTTTGAAGCTTTGGTCAACTGATATGCATAGATTAATTCATAGTATTGGGAATAATACGGAATGAACATAGTAGCTGACATTTATTGAATGCTTACAATGTTGTTGGAGCTGTTCTGAGCACGTTCTATGTACAAACTTTCTTGATTTTCTCAGCCACTCTATGAAGCCAGGTATCAGTTAGGGCTTGGTGGGGCTTGCTTAGGATAATGGGAGGTCACATATTCTTGGAGCTCCAAAGTGCACAATTCTCAGAAGGTTGCTTGGAAACTGCTGCAAATTTCCACATCTGTCTGGTGCTGATGCTCAAACAGCTACCTTCCACTGATCTCCAGGCCAACTCCAGAAAGCCCATGACAGCTTCTCATTGGCAGAACTTCCCTGGAACCCACTGGTATAGAAAGATGGAATGTGAGTCTCCAGGCCTTACCCTGTGGATTAGGGGAGCATTTTGAAGGCAGATACCCCACTGAATGTCAACACATAGCATCTGGCACATGGAGAAACTGCTATTATTTCCATTGTACAGAAAGAAAATTATGGCACAGAGAGGTCAATTAACCATTGATGTGTCCAAGGTTTTACAATTAGTGAGTGGTGGATTTTAAATCCAAACCCAGGTAATCTGTTTTGTAGTTCATGGTTCTAACCACTTTGATCATGCTTGCTTCCTGCTAGGTGTGGCATGGGAAGGTGCTGTGGTAAGTGTGCTTAGGCTGGGCCACCTCCTTTAATCCTTGAGACAGCCCAGGAGGTAGACAGCAATGGTAGATACTGTCATTATCCCATTGTGTGCAGGTAAAAAAGGATGCTCAGAGGTGTGGAGCCTGTGGCAGTCTCTCTAACAGCAAAAGGGGGAGCTGACCACATCATTCTTCCCTCTGAGCTACTCCACAGAAGGTGGCCAGGCCAGGGATATCAATAAAGGGTGTCCATTAGCAAGGGGAAGCCTGAAAGTGAGCCAAAGCATATGTCCATCATGGAAATCTCTTGGCTGGTGGGAGTGGTGGAGGGTAGGAGGTAGGCTCCCAAGATATCCGTTAAAGAGCCCTGGGAGAAAAGGAGCTGGCATCTGAGCATCTGCCATGGTGAAGGAGCAGACAGCACCTGCCAAGTCAAGATAAAGTTTTGCATCTTCAGGTTCATGCTTCCTTCCTACTCAATACTGAAGACTACAGCAAGGAAGTGGATCAAGGAAGGATAAAATGACACCCTGACATTATCCTTGCAGATTTTCCAGCCTAAATCACAGCTGAACTGCAGGAAAACCCAAAAGATATTGACATTTTGGAATTAGACTAGACTGGCTTTTTTATATTCAAAAATGAGACTTTACAAATACCTGAAACTGACTAGAAAAGCTAGCTTCCATGAGACATCACCCAGTGCTGCAGAATAGAAAATTGAAACGTAGGTTTGAAGATTGTGGTGGGTTAAAAGGAAAACTATTTCCTGATTACAACCTCCCAAGTTCAGCCCCTTGCATAAGCTGGTTACAAAGACATCATCATCCTTGATTTTCTCAAAATAGTCTGAGGTGAGGCCACTATATCTATTTTACAAATGAGCACACTGAAGCTTAGAGAGTTAACTGACTGCCTGATTTGAGGTGATAAAGCTCAAAAAACAATCAGACACACTCACTTCACTGGATTAACACAGTTACTTTGGATGAAGACTGCCTGAGTTTGTACGTGTTTTATGATTTCTCCTTAGAGAGTTTGTTCCTGTCTAGATGTTGAACATTTGGCTATGGTATTGTAATAAATTCTTATGGAGAGATTATATCAGCACTTAATGAGAAACTGGTGGGTAGTTAATGAATCATTAATATTTGAGTGAAGCATCCACTGATTGTTATATTTGGTAAAGAATCCAAGTCTACAGCACAGTTCATATTTGAACCTGACATTGATTTATACAGATTAGCATTAAAGGTAGTATTTTATTACTTGGCAGGAGAGAGGACAGACTGACTGGGAGATCAATAATCCCTTGTGGATTAATGATCAGTTGGGGAAATGAGAAATTGTGAAAAAGATAGAAGTCAAAGAACTATTGTTCCAGACTGAATTCGACCCAGGATAGTGGCCCAACTCAGAATCCTCCGCAGCTGGCATTCTGGTGCTCGGAGTTGAAGAAAGGAGATTGTAACAAATATCATTCTTGCAATTACTAGGAGACAGAGCACTTTGTTAGCTTTATCACAGCTGAAGGTTTACTAACTCTAGCACCATCTTGGATCTGGTAGAGCCACCCCCAGCAGTCCAGACAATTTGGTTCTGGTCCAATTGTAGTGTTTGCCCCTAGCTTTGAAGTATTTATGCCTGCAATGCCTTAGTTTTCTTTCACTGTATTCAGGATTAAGCCTATTTGCATATCTATTTGCCCTTAAAATCATACCATGTGTTATTATTATTGTCATCATCACCACTACCGCCACCATCATCATCACTATATTGTAGGTCCTTTTTCCTCCACTAATATTTGTGTACTTTTTAATAATCAAATTAAAACAATGCTGGAAGTCACATGTTTTTGTCTCATGGAAAATGCCTACAATCCCTAAGCCCATAGCCATGTCAAAGTTCTGAAAAGCCTTCAAATTAAATGTATAGGAAAGTATAATATAGTATAATATAAGGTAGCAGGGATTAGAAGTCTATAAAAATGAAGTATTGAAAAATTTAGTAAAATAGTACAGTAGAAAACTGAATGCTAACTTTAAGATACCATACAATGTCTTTTTAAAAATCTACCTTATATACTTGAGTTATGCCTACTAAAAAGATATAAAATAAAAGCTCATGTATTTGAGGGGAACTACTTAGAGTGAAATTATTAAAAATTCCCAGTGCATCAAATAAAAATGTACTAATGATTAATTATTTCATACCTTAGGCCTTAAAAAAAGTTTTAAGACAATGTCAAAAAAGCACCTTCCAGGACTCCAACCTACAACACCAAGGTGTGCTCATAACACACAAGTGTCACAGCAGCCAGGGAAGCGTCATCTTTTTTTGTGTGTAAAATATTTCTTTTATTTGTTCTTAATAATTTTTAACTAAACCTCCATAATTGGTACAAAATTCTTTTTAAATTTTCATCAAAAAGGTTTTCTTCTTTGTGTAGGAATCCCAGCAATTTTACAGCAACTCAGTTATAAGCTCAGAAATCAAAAATTGCCTAAAAATTATTGGACGTTTAATTCTTACAACGGGCAACCAACTTCATTGATTTTTTTGTTACCGTTGAAAGAAAACTGTTTATTAAATTCACCATGTATTTTCTGACAATGTCTCTTTTTTTAACTTTTATTTTATGTTCAGGGGTACAAGTGTGGATTTGCTACACAGGTAAACTTGTGTCATGGGGCTCCGTCGTATAGGCCACCTCATCACCCAACTATTAAGCCTAGTAACCAATAGCTGTTTTCCCTGGTCCTCTCCCACCTCCCACCCTCCACCCTCCAAAAGGCCCCCGTATATGTTGCTCGCCTCTACGTGTCCATGTGTTCTCATCATTTAGCTTCCACTTATAAGGGAGAACATGTGGCATTTGGTTTTCTGTTCCTGTGTTAGTTTGCCTGGACCTGAATTCTTCAGAACTCTGGGGAGGTAGGACTGTGGAAGGTGGTACCCATTGATGACTGCTTGATTCAATTTTCTCCACCTTTAACATAAAATTCCAAGCAGAAATAGCAGCTTAGAAGTTATTTTCAAAGGTAAAACATAAAGGTTTGTTAGAAACTCCGGAGTACATGTGATAACTTTCAGCACAATAAAGATATTGCTGTAAAAAATACAAGGGATGGAATTGAGTAGAACAGTGTGAATTCCACACTTTGTTGATTGTTGTGGCTTATGGGTTTTAGTGCACTGTGCTACTGAATCAAATTGAAGCTGTTTTCAATTCTTTACGTATCCCCTCTTCTCCTTCTTTCTAGAGACAGGCCTCTTAAACATAGAGTGAGCTGGTGACCTGAATGAATGGGGTCATGAAGAAGGTGCACTACAATGATTCCAGAGCAATAACTGGGATAATAAAAAGCTGAAACCCACTGTTTTCAAGATACAGTTAAGATTGTAATTACTTGGCAATGGATGAGTTATAAGATGGTTTTCAGAAACAACTTAGGTAGAAACAGGGTGCAAGTCCTTGGTATTGCTATTATATAAATCAGATGTCTAAAATGTTTTGTTACGTTATTTAAAATAAAATGGAATAATCTGAATGACATGTCCAAATATGAATACTATGAAGTAAATATTTTTGGGTGTGAAAATCATGAATAATGAATCCTTCACCTCAAATAATTTAGATAGGATGTTAAATCTGTGTTATAGTACACCAACCTCTTCAGCTCTGATTTTATAAAGCATGGGTATGTTTTGAACACAACAAGGCTACTATTCAAGATTCTTCTAGCTATAACTCACTATTTGTTTGTTTGTTTGTTTGTTTATTTGAGACAGAGTCTCGCTCTGTTACCCAGGCTGGAGTGCAGTGGTGCGATCCTTGGCTCACTGCAACCTCTGCCTCCTGGGTTCAAGCAATTCTCCTGCCTCAGCCTTTGGAGTAGCTGGGATTACAGGCATGAGCCACCATGCCCGACTAATTTTTGTATTTTTAGTAGAGGCAGGGTTTCGCCATGTTGCCCAGGCTGGTCTCGAACTCCTGACCTCAGGTGATCCGCCCCCCTCGGCCTCCCAAAGTGCTGGGATTACAGGCATGAGCCACCGTGCTGGGTCCACTGTTAGCTTTTTTTTTTAATCTTTCTACTATGAGAATTGATGTTTAAAATAATAATCATGGAGCTGAACAAGCAGGGTGAGGCTTGTCACGTCTGACTTTGAGACCCTAAGCCTAACACTCCGGATGTTTATCCCAGAATGGTGTTTTCTCTGCTGCTGCTGCTGCTGCTTTTTTATTTTTACTTTTCGCTTCCCTCAGAATTTGAAGTCTTTTTTCCTTTCCTGGTAGACACTTGCTTCTATATCAATCAGTGCACGTGCTTAAGGAGGCGTAATGTGCAACCCCTTCCAGGGATGATGGCAATCTACCAGCAGTGAACTTCAAGCTGCAGAACTGAAATGTTCATTAAGAAATTCCAGGCACCACTGAACTGTTGGAAAAGTCTTTGGAGGGACATAGGAATATGGTCTTGAATCCATGACATGTGGTTTGAATCAGTCAGTACTACATTATTGTCTCTATTCTGCAGATGAGGAAACTAACACACTAAGAAGCTAAGGAATGTGGTGGTCAAAGACTACCATATAGCTAATAAGTGGTAGAGTGAGATTCAAGCCCAGCTCTTCTTACCCCACACCTGGGCTCCTGGCATCCTGGTGTGCAGTGCTGGTGACATCAGATAACAAGATGGCGCACACACATTTCCTGGGAAAGGCAGTGCTGCACAGGGCCGGAGAGATAAACGGATGGAAAATTAGAAGCAGTGGGCGCCGGCCAGGCTTTGAGCTAACTGTTCCCAGATTTTCAGCAAACCCTAGACCTCCCTGGGCCTCCAGTGACCATGCTGAGCCAGAGGCTCCCCAAAATCTCTCTCAGGTATGAATTATATGACTTTCAAAAAACTGCAATGTGTGAAGTACTTTACACATTGAATAGAACTAAATAAGGTCTTCAAAAGAAGTGGAAGATGTGACATAGATATATTTAAAAGAAATTAAAAAAAAAAAAACCCAAAACAGAAAAGAGCCTGACTTCAAAAATACTGATTTTCATCAATAATAAAACAAAAAACTATACGGTTACTGTGTCCACCCATACAAAAACTATATGGTCACTGTGTCCACCCATACAAAATAATTTGACTGAACTAAGAATAAAAAGTTAATTCCATGGGGCATTTCAGAGGGGTAGAGGGTAAGAGGAGGAAGAAGATCAGGAAAAATAACTAGTGGGTATTAGGCTTAATACCTGAGTGATAAAAGAATATGTACAACAAACCCCCAGGACACAAGTTTACCTGTGGAACAAACCTGCACATTACCTCTGAACTTAAAATAAATGTTAAAAAAAGAAAAAGTTAAATTCAGTAACATTATCATACACCCAGTTTGGTTAAATTTTTAATTTTGTAAGTTGATGGTACTGGTGTTGAAGACGCAACATGAGAAAAGGCCTGGAGTGGCAGACTGGGGCCCAGGCAGTAATTGGGCAAACCTGAGCCTGCACAAGTGCTGGTTACTGCGTCCAGGGAGGCCCCCAGCAGCCATGAGCCCAAGGCGTGGGCATGACAAGCCATCCTTTTCCAAAGTAGGCAGATCCTTCCAAGAATACATTGGGATACACAGCCCAAAAGGGCAAGGAAAGCCTTGGAGTCTGGCTCAAATGCCTAAAATCCCAAGAGGATCCCAGGGGAAAGAACTTGTGGAATGAGACACTGGAGGAGAAGGGAAGGATAAGAAGTGACTTTAATATCGTCCTTCAGGCTATGGAGAGCATTTATGGACAATGATGCCTGTTCTAGAATTTCATTGAATAAATGGAAATTGTAATAACAATAAGCCAGGAAGACATTAAAGGACAATTATTATTTTTTTAATAAGGAAAAATTTTTTAAGCAGTGAATTGATCACAAAAAAAAAGTCACACAATTGACCTTAGGCTCCTAAAGAAATATATTACCAACATTTTTTTAACTCATAAAATTTAGCTAAAACTACTACAAAGTAGCAAAGAAAATTAAGAAAGAGTTCATGGAAAGTGACCCTTTGAAGATCTTATTTCTTTTTCTACCCTTGCCCTGCAAGATTGCTGGTTAGGCTGAATTACGTTGGCAATTCCTTTTCATCAGACATTTGGACATTGCTCCTGGCTTATGAGAGTCTCATCTCTTGTTTTGTTATTTTTAGAAGTAATACAGGTACTATGAATAGTTTAAAATAAAATAAAACAGTGATCCCCCTATGATATGCTAGCAATAAAAAGTGATTCTATAAAATTCGGGTATAACGTAATTGGTGGTCAGCTCTGATTCTCTGCCCAGGAGACAGGAAAGACTTGGAGAGAAAGTTGAGATGAGGAGGAAAATGTCAGGAGACTCCATTTCAAAAAGTGGGAAGACAAAGGGTGAGTCCTCCTGTTGCCAGATTTCTCCCAGTTCACTTTCCTCAGCTCCAATCCCACCAAACATATTGTGCCTAGTCACCCGGGGAATCCAGGAATTGCTGACACTTTTCTGGGCATCCCAGGCAGCCACATGCACAAAGCCATCCCTACCCAAAGGAAAGCCTGTGCGATACAGGCCAGCAATGGGTGCCCACCTGCACACAGGGTCAGCCTGGGTTTGGCCAGTGTGCCCACTCCCTGGACAGGCAAGCTCACTCTGTTCCTGTTCATTCCTTAGCCTTTCAGGAGTACCCCCTGTTTGTTTCAGAGCTTCGTGCATGGCAGTGGTCCTGCTGCTGGTGGTGTGATGGTGGCTTTTATGTTTCTGCTCATTGAAGGATGTCATAAAATGAACATCAATCCCCTAAGAAAGATTTCAGTGATTTGCCCTATTTTTGTGCTGCAAGCAGATAAACTGCAAATAACTATGTCACCTTTCAAAATCAATTATCTGGCAAAGCCACAGCCCTGCTGTAACTTTCTGTAATGGCCTTTTTATATTCTCAATAGTCCTCTCCCTCTATTTCTCTATTACACCTGTCCACGCTGTACTCCGAAAATTTCAGAAGACTCTCAGTTACCTACCAGGTTCCTCTTCGCGGTGGTTCAAGAGCGACAGATTCCTGGGACCGTGCTAAACAGAAGACTCAAATGTGTGTAGTTGGCAAAGCTTGGGGTAGAGTCAGGTAAGGAGCTATGGGGTGATGTCTTCACTCTGCACTGGTCTTAAATCAGAGTTGACACCTACCCGGTTGCCACCTTAACCTACATTTTGGCTTTGTTTGCTTGGTTTTGCTTATTAATTTATTACTGTTATTAATTATTATTAGAGACAGAGTCTTGTTCTGTTGTCCAGGCTGGAGTGCAGTGGTGCAATCATAGCTCACTGCAACCTCTACCTCCAGGCTCAAGAGATTCTCTCATCTCAGCCTCCCAAGTAGCTGGGATTACGGTCATGTGCCACCACATAAATTATTTATTTATTTATTTTTGTAGAGACAGGGTCTTCTTATGTTGCCCAGGCTGGTCTTGAACTCCTGAGCTCAAGTGATCCTCCCTCCTCGGTCTCCCAAAGTGCTGAGATTGCAGGAGTGAGCCACCGTGCCTGGCCTGGTTTTGCTTTTGAAGTTGGCTTCAGCAGTGAGTCTTTCCTGGTCAGGAGGCACAGAAAGTAAAATGGACTCTTTCTCATCATTTTCCCCTAAGGTTAGTCTTTTATGGAACACAGGATGTGCATAGGCTTGAGCTCCTCTATGTCTTAAGGCAATGTAAGGAAACACATCCAAATGAACTAGTTATTTCAAGTTCTGGCAGAACACTACCCTTTGCACCGGCCAGGCTAACCTGGGCTGTCATTTGCACTGCTGGGCTGGCCTGGTCACCTATGCGGACAGTCTTCCCAATGCTCTCTCTCGTAATTTGCAGGTACAAACCTGCTGAGTGACTCAACCTGTTTCCTGTGTGAGCCTAGGGCAAATAAGAGAAGCAGCTGTTTGTCCTCACCTGGAAACTTGTTCCTGTCTTCACTGAGACTTTTGGAATTGGGTAACAAAAATTGTTTGTAACCTGTATGTTTCGGTCACCCTTGTTGCTTTCCTGCTGACCATCAGCCACAGTGGGACTCCAGTACTGCTTGAGCACCTGCTGTATACCCTGTGGATATCAACTTGCTCCATCCACACACGGTCCTTAAGAGGCTGACATGGTTTGGATCTGTGTCCCTTTGCAAATATCATATTCAATTATAATCCTCAATGTTGGAGGTCCGGCCTGGTGGGAGGGGATTAGATCATGGGGGCAGTTTCTAATTTAATAGCATCCCCTTGGGTGCTGTTCTCATAATAGTGAGTTCTCATGAGATCTAATTGTTTAAAAGCGTTTAGCACCTCCCTTCTTACTCTCTGTTGTTCCTGCTTGGGGTCATGTGAGGTGTCAGCTCCCCCTTTGCCTTCTGCCATGATTGTAAGTTTCCTGAGCCCTCCCCAGAAGCTGATGCCACCATGCTTCCTTTACAGTCTGTGGAACTGTAAGCCAATTAAACCTCTTTTCTTTATAAAGTACCCAATTTCATGTATTTCTTTATAGCAGTGCAAGAACGAACTAATACAGAGCCAGAGGCCATTCTCCCCAAGGTACAGCTGCTCTTATTTGTAGGTAATACGGCCAGGGTCACCCACCAGTGGGATCTGAGCACCGGTCATCTAAGAGGGTGGCTTAGAAATCAGTCTTCAAAAATAAGTCCTGAACTTCACACACTGGTGGTGGGGAGGTAAAAGTGTGTAGCCACCTTGGAAAACAGTTTGCCAGTTTCTCAAAAAGTTAAAAATAGAGTTACCACATGACTCAGCAATTCCACTCCTAGGTACATACCCAAGAGAAATGAAAAGAAATGTCCACAAAAACCTGTACTTGAATATTTATTGTGACACTCTTCACAATAGCGAAAAAGTGGAAACAATTCAAATGTCCATAAACTGATAAATGGATAAAGATAATGTAGGATATCAATACAATGGAATATTATCCAGCCATAAAAGTATGAAGTACAAACACATGCCACAACATGACGAGCCTTGAAACCATGTTAAGTCAAAGAAGCCAATCGCAAAAGACCACACATTGTGTGATTCCATTTATATAAAATGTCCAGAATAGGCAAATCCATGAAGACAGAGTAGAACGGTGCTTGCCTGGGGCGTCAGGGTTGGATAGGGTAATGGGAACAAACTGTTAATGGATAGAAGGTTTCTTTGCCAGGTGAAGTGTTCTAAAATTAGACTTAGTGATGGTCTTTGGCTTTTACAGTTTATTTATTTATTTATTCATTTATTTGTTTGTTTGTTTGTTTTTGAGACGGAGTCTCACTCTGCCACCCAGGATGGAGTGTAGTGGCACAGTCTCGGCTCACTGCAACCTCTGCTTCCCGGGTTCATGTGATTCTCCTGCCTCAGCCTCCTGAGTAGCTGGGATTACAGGCGCCTGCCACCACACTCAGCTAATTTTTTTGTATTTTTAGTGGAGATGGGGATTCACCATGTTGACTAGGCTGGTCTTGAACTCCTGACCTCAGGTGATCTGCCCGCCTCAGCCTCCCGAAGTGCTGTGGTTACAGGCTTGAGCCACCATGCCTGGCTGGCTTGTACAGTTTAAATAGGTCAGGTGTGGGGATATGAGTTATCTCTCAGCAATGCTATTATTTTTTAAAACATCAGCTTTGTAGGTCATAATTACTTGGGTATATTGGGTATACGTTAGAGGCAGAGAGAAAATACTTGGTCCTCAAAGCAGAAGTTTGGTGGTTAAGGAGGGAGCAGGAAGAGTTTACCCTTTTGAGTGCTCAGAGCTATTATTATTTTTGTGGATTTATTGACACGTAGGAATAGAGCTTTGAAAAATTTTAACCATTCTCTTCTGATGGTTAGGCAGTAATCGGTATCTGTACAAGCAAATAGAGATGATCAAGGATCAACCCACGTCAGTTCTTTTTTCACTTGTTTCACTGAGGAAACAAATAATTGCTCCCAGAGCAACATGGAATGAACAACTGCTTCATTACTGGAAAAACTCTAACCCCCCTCAGAGTTTAAATAGGAATACATAGAAAGCATAGTTTCTTCTTCCAGTTTCTTATTTTATGGTAATGAAAACAGATAATTAATAACAATAATCTGACACTTTATAGGCTTTTACATATTCTTAATAACATATTCTTTTTTTAACTTTAGCAATGTCTGTGTGAGAAGAATAGCACAAGCAATGTTATTCACATTTATTTTTATTTATCATTTTTGAGATGGAGTTTTGCTCTTGTTGCCCAGGCTGGAGTGCAATGGTGCGATCTCGGCTCACTGCGACCTCCACCTCCCGGGTTCAAGCGATTATCCTGCCTCAGCCTCCGAAGTAGCTGGGATTACAGGCATGTGCCACCGCACCCGGCTAATTTTGTATTTTTAGCAGAGATGGAGTTTCTCCATGTTGGTCAGGCTGGTCTCAAACTCCCGACCTCAGATGATTTGCCCGCCTCGGCCTCCCAAAATGCTGGGATTACAGGCATGAGACACCGCTTCCGGCCTATTCACATTTCATAGGTACTTAGTATCAAGGATTATTAGAGTGGTTAAGGATCTTGCGCTTAATCATACAATTCACTAAAATCCAAGTCTCAAGACACTTTCTCATACTGACTGCTCCATTTTAACCCAAAAAAAGTAACTTCTTTCCCCTACCCTCACGCCCAATAAGAGACATATACATACAGAGATTATTATAAAATTAAAATTCTTTCCCTAATTATAGTTTTCAACTTCTATATGCAGTCATGCCTCCAGAACGGAGTTTACAGGAAACGTAAACATTTCCTCCTGGATACAATTACTTCCAGTGGAACACCCTTGTCCTGCTCCAGTTAAGAACCTGGAGAACAAAGAGGACTGGAAGCACATGTCACCTTTCTGAGGAGGCAAACCCTCTTTTTTTTTTTTCTGTCTTTCTTCCTTTTTTTTTTTTTTTTTGAAACGGAGTCTCACTCTGTCACCAGGCTGGAGTGCAGTGGCACGATCTTGGCTCACTACAACCTTCATCTGTCAGGTTCAAGTGATTCTCCTGCCTCAGCCTCCCTAGTAGCTGGGACTACAGGCACCCGCCACCATGCCCAGTTAATTTTTGTATTATTAGTAGATATAGGTTTTCACCATGTTGGCCAGGATGGTCTCGATCTCTTGACCTCATGATCCACCTGCCTCAGCCTCCCAAAGTCCTGGGATTACAGATGCGAGCCACCACGCCGGGGCAAACCCGCTTGAAAGACTAAGGATGATGTTTTTTTTTTTTTGGAGGCCCATTTTGTGGCCTCTTTTATTTCATTTTCATTTTTCTTTTCTTTTTTTTTTTTTTTTTTTTTTTTGAGACAGAGTCTTGCTCTGTCACCCAGGCTGGAGTGCAGTGGAGCTATCGCGGCTTACTGCAACCTCTGCCTCCCGGGTTCATGCCATTCTCCTGCCTCAGCCTCCCAAGTAGCTGGGACTACAGCTGCCTGCCACCATGCCAGGATAATTTTTTTGTATTTTTAGTAGTGATGGGATTTCACCATGTTAGCCAGGATGGTCTCGATCTCCCGACCTCATGATCCACCTTCCTCGGCCTCCCAAAGTGCTGGGATTAGAGGCGTGAGCCACCGCGCCCGGCCACCTCTTTTATTTCTTTACCTGGTGCTTTAACTGACTAAGTAGGGGGTTGGAGGGCTGGAAAAGGGAAAGAGCAAAGCCAGACCATTCGACCCATTACTTATTCAACTCTAGAGATGAGGCCACAAGAAGAGAAGAGAGGAGATGACAACCACATCCAGAGAGGGGTGCCACACAGAGAGATGGAGGCTAGATTGGAGTCTATTCACAAGCCCTGCATTCGACCTTTAGCTCCATTATGACGTAGCAAAGTCATCTTGACTGAACGCTCTGAAGTTTTGATTATTTCACCTACAATACAAGAACTGGGTTGCCGAGAATTTTATGTGAAACAGCATTATGTGAAAAGCATCCATGATGTTTGTTACCTCTAAAGTTGAGTATTTATGGCCATGCCTAAAGGACATTTAAGTGAATTGAGTCAGACTGGGTAGTTTCCTTGATTTTTTAATAAAGTGCACCAGCCTGGTGCTAATCAAGATGATGAAGTGTGCTCAAACAGGGACCGTAAGACTGACAGAACAGAGTGGCAATAAGACACCAAATTATAAACAAGACTAAAGGCCATGCGCGGAGGAGTTAGGTTATACACCTGTGCACTTAAAGAGTCAGCTATGTTCTGCCACAAAGATTTTCTTTTTCTCCACACTGGCCTGGCGATGAGCAATAGTGAAACAATTGCAGCTCACTGATGGACAGACACTGACTAACTGACCTCCTCACCTCACCCAATCCCACAAACCATACTACAGCTTTGATTGGAAAAGAGACTAATTTTAGTAACTTTCTCCTGATAAGAGACCCTCAGCCACAGACTGGTGGTCGGGCAGGTCCACAGAGGCTGCACACTGAGGACCTTCCTGTCCTCTGCTTCATCTTTTTATATATAGAGATTAACTTTAATGCATTTAAATGTTACGTCTCCACCCCAAAGTGAACATGGGATGCATATTACACACAGGTTTACCATGCATGCACATACACCCCTCATAAATATTCACAGCCCCTCCTATAGCTTGTTAAATATATATACTTAGCCAACCCATTCAGCATAAATTCCTGTCTCACCCATCCTCCTTCGAAGTAGCTGCTTTCAGTCTCTGCTGAAGGCTATGCTTCCTAGTCTTTCAGGGTGGCCAGAGGCTGCAACCCTTTATAAGAAATTAAGCTCTCTTCTCCAAGTGTATGGACCTTGGGATTCTTTTGTGGACAAGTGTGAGAAGTTTGTCTTTGATGTCCTCTCAATCCCTGAATCAATGTCCTCTCAGCATGCGGTGACTTTCCCAAACCTCACACATCCAACCTTCCTCCTTCTAGCTCTTGGAGGAAAGAAGGCAAGGAGCCAAGCATTTGCTGAGTCGATTGAGTTTCAGGCACTCTATCAGGAAGGATTATATGTGGTAATTCTGCTAAGGTGTTGATTACAGAGGCTACATCAGGTAGTCTGATAAGGGATTAAGAGGGAACCCTGCCCAGAAGTTGTTATGTTTTAATAGTGAGAAGTTAATAGTAATCACATCTTTCTGATTCACCCAAGCATTTCTTTATTTGCTCAACAATCATTTATTAAACATCTAACAAGTGGTCATCCTGCCAGCTCCTGTAGGGTATGAAGGTGGACTCACACTGCCAGCCTCACGAGGAGCTAATAACTTATCGTCAAGGCCCCCAGGGAGAGGGTGGGCAGCCGGAGCTGGCCTGGCAGCAGCATTATGGCTACACCAGTCACTAAACACGCAACTTTGGGCTAGTTTTGCATCTTTTCCAAATTTTAGGTTACTTGTTAGTAAAACAGAGAAAGTAATCCTCTCTGGCTCATAGGGTGTTGAATGAGGGAATGATTATAAAGAGCTCCACATGGGAGGAGCACGTGGTTCTCAGTAAAGACCTGATATTGAGTTCCATCCAAGCGTATGAGCCCTCAGTAGCCCTCCCGGAATGTGAGGTGGGTAAACAGCCTGCGGAGAATATTGCGGGAAACCAGAGAGAGGGTGCTAGACCATAGCCTGGGTTAGAGGAGGTGATATTTAAACTGGATCCAGATGGGTGAAGGGTGGGCTCTTCCCTGGCAGAGGGAAAGGAGGGAATTTCTGGTGTGTTTTGGAGCTGTGGATATCTGGTTGTTCTGGGACTTAGGGTGATCATGCATTGGGTGGCGTCGGAGAAGAAGGTGAGTTTTCAGGCTGGGATGCGTTTTATTTCTTTTTTTTAGAGATGGAGTCTCGCTCTATCACCCAGGCTAGAGTGCAGTGGTATGATCATGGTTCACTGCAGCCTCTCACTCTTGGGCTCAAGCAATCCTCCTGCCTTAGCCTCCTGAATAGCTGGGATTACAAGTTCATGCCACCACATGCTGCTAAGTTTTAAAAAATATTTCTTTGTAGAGATAGGGTCTCACTATATTGACCAAGTGGGTCTTGAACTCCTGGGCTCAAGCAATCCTCGCACCTTGGCATTGCAAAGTGCTGGAATTACAGGTGCAAGCCACCGTACCAGGCCTGGGATGTGGCTTTGAAGTGCCCTCTGTGGCATGGGATAGAGGTTGATGTTTATCAATGAGAACCTGGTTTAACGCAGAGTTCCCAAAATGTATTCCCATTCCCCTAATTCTATTACATTTTACCTTTAAAAGGCTCGGTATCAGATTTCTGAAAACAAACTGCCTTAGTAATATACAATTGTTGCGATGAGCTAAATGATAAAATGTATAAAATGTTAACAGTCTCTCTCCTCCCCAAGTGCTTTCCAGTCCCATCCCCTGAAGTAACCAAAGGTAATGCGTTGGTTGTGTCTTTCTCCACGCACTTTGGGAAATCCTGGCTTAAAGGGAAAATATTATCGCAGTAAAGTGACTGACAGCAGGGGTGATATTCTCAGTCAAAGGCTTTTTCTGAAGATCCCCCAAGTCACATCACCCCTTAACTGACTTCAAGTCAGGTTTTGTGTCTGCCACAAAGAGATAGGTTCTTGATAAATGAAATACTGTAAATGTTTTGTATGTTGGGTATTTTAGTTGCTATAAAGAAAAAGCTTCTAAATACATCTCCAGCTATCATGCTAATGAAAAGATCTGATGTTATATGACCTGAAGGAAGGAAATAAATGTAGGCCACCTCTGGTTAAAGTAGCCATGAAAAAATGGTGCAATGCATTTCTTTTCTTTTCATTTTTTTTTTTTTTTGAGACGGAGTCTCGCTCTGTCACCCAGGCAGGAGTGCAGTGGCGCATTGCCGCTCACTGCAAGTTCCGCCTCCCGGGTTCACGCCATTCTCCTGCCTCAGCCTCCCACATAGTTGGGACTACAGGCGCCCGCCAGCATGCCTGGCTAATTTTTTGTATTTTTTTAGTAGAGACGGGGTTTCACCGTGTTAGCCAGGTTGGTCCTGATATCCTGACCTCGTGATCCGCCTGCCTCGGCCTCCATTTCTTAACCCACAAGAGACACACAAGATTTTATTTTATTTTATATAATTTTTTAAATCAGCCATTCAGAGATCTGGCACAATAAGCATAAATATCCCTTATCTGTGGACTTGCTAGTTCTGGATGAATTGTTTTGCATTCTGAGGAAAGGCGAACTCTATCAGTCTGGCTGTGCTAAGCACCGGAGATTCCACTGGGTCAGGCTCAGCTGGGTCTGAAAACTGCTTCCCAGACAAAGGCAGATGAGACACAGGTGGAGGCACTAACCGGGCCTGGAAGCCAGGAATTCAGGTTTCCACTTCAAAATGCATATCCAGTAAGCTTTAAATGTTGTTTGGATATCAAATTTGTGTAACACAATTTACTTTTAAGATTGTTTTGATTCTTACTATTCTATTTGAGACATTATAAAATAGGCACACTGACCGTATTTATGGTAAGCTCATTTTTGTAGGATAAAAATTCAGCTTCTAAAGTTAAACTCTGTTGCTTGCAAGAGTATCTCTAGTGTCATAGAAAACTAGAAGCAAAAGGCCACCCAACAGAGCATCGTTATAACATGTCGTTTGGTGCAGACGTGGGTCTGCAAGGCCAAGGTAGGCAGAACATGACGTGATCAGTCCGAACAGTGGAATAAATTCTTCCCTTTGACCATAGAGGGTTCCTGTTAGGTAAGGAACTGGTGTGCTTGCCCTGTCTCTACCAAGTTCCCAGCTGGAAACGGATGGCAGGAGCAGTGAGCAACTGTGAACTGAGGTGTGGGCACCGAGTACGAGAGGATGACATGACTCAGGAATGGCCCCAGCACAAAGCTTCTCCACTCCTAAGAGTGAAAGGGCAATGGGAGCAAAGGGTGTTATAGGACCCTCATCATGGTCAGAAGAACTGTAAGAAGCAGGTCACAGACAGGGCTTGTGGGGCAAGCCTCTCTCTTTCTGCTCTCTGGGTTCCTGTCCAGGTCTCTGTTGGCCAAACCCAATGAAATCAGTGTCTTAGTTCATTTAATCTGTGATAATAAAAGTACCATAGATTCGTGGCTTATACGTAACAGAAATGTATTTCTCATAGTTCTGGAGGCTGGAGTTCAAGATCAGGGTGCCAGCATGTTCGGTTCTGGTGAGGGCCCTCTTTCAGGGCAATCTGGTGAGGGCCGATTGCAGACTGCTGACTTCTCATTGCATCTTCACAAGGTGGAAAGAGGGTGAAATAATTCCTTGGAGTCTCTTGGACAAGGACAGTAATACCGTTCATGAGGGTTCCACCCTCATGACCTAATTATCTTCCAAAGACCTCCTAATAGCATCACATCAGGAGCCAGCACAAAGCTTCTCCACTCCTAAGAGTGAAAGGGCAAGGGGAGCGAAGGATATTATAGGACCCTCATTATGGTCAGAAGAATTGTAGGAGGAGGTTGCAGACAGGGCTTGCGGTCATTAGGAATACAGCCTAACGAGAGGACACAAACATTTAAACGCTTGCGATGAGGGAGTCAAGGTGATGCAGTCCATAGAAGTTAGCTGCTTAGGGCACAGAGACGGCAGGGAAGGGTGGAGGGCTATAGAGACCAGCCAGTACTCATAATATCTGGGATACAGTAGTCGAAACGACATCCTTATTATAGTGTTAATGTTATAAATAAAAATGAGTTGAATCTGCATTTTTATTATATTTCTATACCTATAACAAGTTCATGAGCTATTGCTGTGAAACAGGATCTCACATGAAGAATGGCATGACTTCAAGGTGGCAAAGACATGTTATTTAATAAACAGTCTCCATGATCACTCAGAAACTTTGGTAAATATAGTCTGTAACTTTCTGTCTCTTGTGCATGCGTTTCTAAAACAGCTATATGGAGATGTAATTCATATACCATATAATTTACCCATTTAACGAGTACAATTCAATGGTTTTCAGTATATTTACAGAGTTATACAACCATCATCAAATCTGACTGTAGAACCTTATTGTCATCACAAAATGGAACCTGATAGAGTTTGGTTATTTGTCCCATCCAAATCTCATACTGAAATGTAATCCCCAGTGTTGGAAGTGGGGCCTGAAGGGGGAGATCTGATTGTCTGAAAGTGTGTGGCCCTCCCCACTCATTCTCTTGCTCTGTCTCTTGTTCCTGCTCTAGCCATGTGACGTGCCAGCTCCCTCTTCACCTTCCACCATGGTTGTCAGCTTCCTGAGATTCTTGGCAGAAGCTGAGCAGATGTGGGTACCCTGTTTGTATAGCCTGCAGAACCATGAGCCAATTAAACTTCTTTTCTCTATAAATTGCCCAGTCTCAGGTATTTAGAGTAACAGAAGTATGGCCTAACACAGAGCTCTTTACCTACTCCAATTCTCCTTTTCCCATTCTCTGTTCTCTTTCTACTCCACCTGCCCTAGCCCTAGGCAACCAGTAATCTATTTTCTATTTCTACAAATTTGCCTAGTCTGGACATTTCATATAAATGGAATTATGCCACATGGGATCCTTTGTGACTGGCTTCTTTCACTTAGCTTAGTGCTTTTAAGTTCATCCACACTGTTGTAATTACTTCATTCTTTTCTATTGCTCAATAATATTTCATTATATGGATATATCACATTTTATTTACCTATTCATCAGTTAATGGACATTTGAGTTGTTTCCATTCTTAGCTATTATTAATAATGCTGCTAAAATATTCATGTACAAGTATTTTGTGGATATATGTTCTCATTTCCCTTGGGTTGATACCTGGGAGTTGAATTGCTGGGTCACGTGGTATCTCTATGTTTAACTTTTTAAGGAACTGCCCAGTTGGTTTCCAAAGTGGCTGTGTCTTATCTCATTTCCAGCAGCAATGAGTGAGGGTTTCCATTTCTTCACAACCTTGCAAAGATTTGTTATCATCTCTCATTTTGATCCTTAGTGAAGTGGTACCTCATTGTGGTTTTCATTTGCATTTCCTTGATAACTAATGATATTGAGAGTCTTTCCATGTGTTGTGGTCATTTGCACATGTTCCTTGGGGGGAAAAAGCCTCATCACATCCTTTGCCCATTTTTAATTAGCTTATTTTTAATCACTGAGTTGTAAGAGTTCTTTTTATAGTTTGAATACAAATCCCTTATCAGACTCATGACTTGGAAATATTTTCTTCAGTTTGGTGGGTTGTGTTTCCATTTTCTTGATGTTATCATTTGCAGCACAAAAGCTTTTAATTTTGATAATTTTGCTGAAGTCTGATATATACTTTTTTTTTTTTTATCACTTGTGCTTTTGGTGGGCTACTGAAGAAGACTTTGCATAATACAAGGCCACAAGGACTCACTTCTATGTTTTCTTCTAAGAGTTTTATAGCTTCAGCTCTTACATTTACATCTATGATCTATTTTGAGTTACTTTTTGTGTATGGTGTGAGGAAGTGGTTCAGTTTTATTCGTTTGCATGTGGATATCTAGTTGTCTCAACGTCAAAAAGTTTAGTCTTTCCCCCTTGAATTATCCCAGCACCCTTGTTGAACATCAACTGACCATAAAGTTAAAAGTTCATTTCTGGATTCTCAATTCTTATTCTGTTCCATTAATTTATGTGTCTGTCCTGATGCCAATATTACACTGTCTTGACTACTGTAGCTTTGTTGTAAGTTTTGGAGTTGAGAATTATGAGTCCTCCAACTTTGATTTTCCTTTTCAAGTTTGTTTTGACTATTTCAGTCAATTGCATTTCCACATGAATTTTAGGATGTACTTGTCAATTTGTGTAAAAAAGCCATCGAATATTTTAATAGGAATTGCAGTGACTTTCTAAATCAATTTGGGGAGTATTGACATTGTAATAATATTGTCTTCTGATCTACGTTAATGAGGTGTTTCATTTAGGTCTTTTTTACTTTTCCCAGTGATGTGTTATAGTTTTCTGAATACATGTTTTATGTTTCTTTCGTTAAACATATTTCTAAACATTCTATTTTTTTAATGCTATTGTAAATGGAATTGATTTCTAGATTTGATTTTTAGGTTGTTAATTGAAACTGTATAGAAATACAGCTGAAATTTGTAAATTGATCTTGTATCCTGCAATCTTGCTCAAATTGTTAGTTTTAATAGTTTTTAGTGGATTCCTCAGTGTTTTCTATATACAAGATCATTTCATTTGCCAATAAATAGTTTTACTTCTTCCTTTTCAATCTGAATGTCTTTTATTTCTTTTCTTGCCCAATTACCTGGATAATTTTTTTTCTTTTTTACAATTTTGACTAGAAGTGGTAAGAGCAGACATCCTTACTGTGTTCTTGATCTTGAGGGGAAAATATTCAGTCTTTCACTATTAAATATTATGTTAGCTGTGGGGTTTTGTAGATTTCCTTTATCAGATTGAGAAAGTTCCTTTCTATTCCTCACTTGCTGAGTAGTCTTATCATAAAAGGGCATTGGCTTTTGTCAAATGTTTTGTCCACATCTATTGAAATGATCTCAAAAATCGTATTCTTTATTGTATTAATACGTGTTGTAAGCATTGATTTTTCAGATGCTAAACAACCTTGCATTCCTAGGATAAGTGCTATTTGGTCATGATGTACAATTCTTTTGTGTATTGCTGAATTGGGTTTCTAGTATTTTAAATCTACTTTTATAAGGCATATTATGAAATTCATCCACTACAGATTCTGTCTGTAATTTTCTTGTGATATCTTTGTCTAGTTTTGGTATTGGGTTAATACTGGCCTGTGGAATGAGTTGGGAAACAATCCCTCCTCTTCTAATTTTTAGAAGGGTTTATGAAGAATTGGCCTTATTGGTTTTTCAACTGTTTGGTAGAATTAACCAATAAGGCCATCAGTATCAGTGCCTGGGCAATTTTTGAGGGTAGTTTCTTTTTTTTTTTTTTTTTTTGCCTGGAAAATTCTAATTAGTGTGATTACTATGGAACTGGAAGTAATTATTT
Source organism: Homo sapiens (assembly GCF_000001405.40). Taxonomy (NCBI): domain Eukaryota; kingdom Metazoa; phylum Chordata; class Mammalia; order Primates; family Hominidae; genus Homo; species Homo sapiens. Next base: position 40,875,033 of record NC_000021.9, on the reverse strand, counting down.
TTTATATATTTTATTTTTTATTTTACTTTAAGTTCTGGGATACATGCGCTGACGGTGCAGGTCTGTTACATAGATATACATGTGCCATGGTGGTTTGCTGCACCTATCAACCTGTCATTTAGGTTTTAAGCTCCACATGCATTAGGTATTTGTCCTAATGCTCTCCCTTCCCTTTCCCCTTTTGCCTTTCCCCCACCTCCCGACAGTGCCCAGTGTGTGATGTTCCCCTCCTGTGTCCATGTGTTCTCAATGTTCAGCTGCCACTTATGAGTGAGAACATGCAATGTTTGGTTTTCTGTTCCCGTGTTAGTTTGCTGAGAATGATGGTTTCCAGCTTCATCCATGTCCCTGCAAAGGACATGAACTCATCCTTTTTTATGGCTGCACAGTATTCCATGGTATATATGTGCCACATTTTCTTTATCTAGTCTATCATTGATGGGCATTTGGGCTGGTTCCAAGTCTTTGCTATTGTAAATAGTGCTGCAATAAACATACGTGTGCACATTTCTTTATAGTAGAATGATTTATAATCCTTTGGGTATATACCCAGTAATGGGATTGCTGGGTCAAATGGTATTTCTAGTTTTAGATCCTTGAGGAATCACCACACTGTATGTGGGTAGTTTCTTGATAACTAATCCAATCTTCTTACTTACTATATGTCTAGTCAGATTTTCTACTTCTTTTTTACCTGGTTCCAGAAATTTGTTCTTTTCTAGCAATTTGTCCATTTCATCTAAATTATATAATTTATTTCCATATAATTTCTCATAGTACTTCCTTATCTATTTTAGTAGACTAACAATATTTCCTGATTCTTTCCTAACTTCAGTAATTTGAATCCTCCTTTTTCTTAGTCAAGCTAAATAAAGGTTTCTCAATTTTGTTAATCTTTTCAAAGAAACAACTTTTCATTTTATTGACTTTCCATTGTTTTTCTATCCTTAATTTCATCTCTAATATTTATTATTTTATTTCATCTACTTGCTTTAGGTTTAATTTGCTTTTTGTTTTTCTTCCCTAGTGTCTTCACGTGGTAGGTTAAGTTACTGAATTTAGATCTTATTTTTTAATAAAGGCAATTGCAGTTTAAAAATTCCCTCTGTCACTGCTTAATCTGCATCACATACATTTTGGTGTTATGTCTTCATTTACATTCATCTCAAAATATTTTCTGATATTCCTTTGGTTTGTTCTTTGACATATTAGTTATTTAGGAGCATGTTGTTTAATTTCCAAATTTTACGACTTTCACAAATTTTATATTGTTATTGATTTCTAATTTATTTCACTATGGTCAGTGAAAACAGTTAGTATGAGTTCAATTCTTTTAAATTTCTTTGGGCTTTTTTTGTGGTTCAATATATGGTCTATGTGGAGAATGTTCCACGTGTGCTTGAGAAGAATGTGCGTTTTGCTCTTATTGGTTGAAGTGCTCTATAGATCAGAGGTCCCAAACCCTGGGCCATGGTTTGGTACCAGTCCATGGCCTATTAGGAACAAGGCCACACAACAGGAGGTTAGCAGCAGGCAAGCTAGCGAACTTCATCTGTATTTACAGCCAATCCCCATCACTCACATTACTGCCTGAGCTCCGTTCCCTATCAGATCAGCAGCAGCATTATATTCTCACAGGAGCACAAACCCTATGGTGAACTATGCATGTGAGGGATCTAGGTTGTGTGCTTCTTATGAGAGAATCTAATGCCTGATGTTCTGTCACTGTCTCCAATCACCCTCAAATGGGACCATCTAGTTGCAGGAAAACAAGCTCAGGGCTCCCACTGATTCTACATTATGATGAGTTGTATAATTATCTTATTATATAGTACAATGTAATAATAATAGAAATAAAGTGTACAATAAATATAATGCACATGAATCATCCTGAAACCAGCCCCTGCCGACCCTCCACCCCCGCCTGTGGAAAAATTGTCTTCCATTAGACTGGTCCCTGGTGCCAGAAAGGTTGAAGATTGCTGCTGTAGATGTCTGTTAGGTCTGGTTGTTTATGGCATTATTCAAGTCCTCTATATCTTTGTTGACTCTTTGCCTAGTTTTTGTATTTATTATTGAAAGTGAGATATGAAACAATTATTTTTGCATTGTCAGGTGTGCTTTACCTATTTTGGGGACTCTGTTGTTTGGTGTATATATGTTTATAATTGCTATGTATTCTTGACAAATTTGTTTTTGTCATTATAAAATTTCCTTCTTTATCTCTATAATTATGTTTGTTTTAAAGTTTATGTCATCTGATATTTATGTAGCTACTCCAAGTCTTTTATTGCTATATACAATTTTTTATCCTCTTACTTTAAACCTATGTATATCTTTGAATTTAAAGGGTGTCTTTTGTAGATATAATATAGTTGGATCTTGTTTTTATTTTGTCCAGTCTGACAATCTTTGCCTTTGGTCAGGTAGCTTAATTCATCCACATTTAATGTTATTATTGATATGTTTGGATTTGTCTATTATTTTACTTTTTTTAAAAAATATGTCACACGTATTTTCTGTTTCTCTGTTTCTCATTTACTACTTTATTTTGCATTAAGTGAATATTTTCTAATGCAGCATTTTGATTTCTTTACTGAGTTTTTTACTATATATTTTCCAGTTTTCTTTTTTACTGGTTTCTCTGGGATTTACAATATACATATTAACTTATCAGATTCTACTTTAGATTTATGCTAACTTAATTCAAGTGAAATATAGAAACATTATTCTTACATAACTCCATTCCTTCATTCTCTTTTTAATATATTTATAATGTTTGTTACATGTTATAATAATAAATGTTTGTTTCTTAGTTTACATTTCTGTTTCTCTTTATTTCTTCCTGTGGATTTTAGTTGCCAACTTGTGTTATTTTCTTTCTCTGATATAATTTTGCTTCCACCTGCCTCCTTTGTGCTATTATTGTCAAATATATTACAATTTTGTAAGTTATGGGCCCAATAATATAATTCCATACATATTATCTTATGCACTTGTCTTTTAAATCAACTGAGAGAAGAAAGGAAAAGAAATATGCAATTATACTATCTTTTACAATTAACTCAACTATATAATTACCTTTATTGGCATATATTACCAATAACTATATATTACGTTTTTTGTCTCATAAATTTGAATTACTCTCCTGTCACTTACATTCAGTTTGAAGATATTTCTTTGGTATTGCTAATAAGACAGGTCTGCGTGCTATAAATTCTCTGCCTTTTTTGCTTTCACATTAGAAAGATTGTCTTGCTGAATATAAAATTATTGGTTCTCTCTTTTTCTTTTAGCATTTTTAATGTCATCCACTGCTTTAGCCTCCATTAATTCTGATGAAAAGTCAGCTGTTGAAATTATTGCAGTTTTCTTGTATGTGTCAAGTTGTTTTAGTCTTGCTGCTTTTAAGATTTTTCTTTGTCTTTGGCACTCAACATTTTGTCTATAATGTATCTGGGTTTGGATCTCTTACATTTATCTGACTTAGAATTTATTGAGATATTTGGATTTGTAGATAAAAAGTTTTATTATATTTGGTCTGTTTTTAGCCATTATTTCTTTAAAATTTTTTTTGTACTCTTTTCTCTCTCTGCTGGTTTGATATGCTCATTGCACTTCACTGCTTGAAGTGTTTGATGGTTCCCCACATTTGCTAAGACTGTGAATTTTTCTTTATTCTTTTTTTCTGTTCTTCCAATTGCATCATCTCTATCCACCTATCTTCAAGTTTGCTGATTCTTTCTTCTACTAGCTCATATTGACTTTTGAGCCCCTCTAGTTAATTTTTCATTTTGGTTAGTGTAATTTTCAACTCTAGAAATTTCATTTGGTTTGTTTCAGCAATTTATATCTCTGTCGATATTCTCTATGTGATGAGACATTGTAAACATATAGACCTTTACTGTTTTAAAGCATGGCTTCTTTAGCTCTTTGGAAATATTTATAAGAGAATCTTTGATGTTTTCATCTAAGTCCACAATTTGAGTCTCTTAAAGGTACTTTCTGTTGCCTGGTTTGTATTTTTTATTTTCTGTGTATGTGTCACTCTTTCCTATTTTTGTTTTTGAATGATCTTTCTTTTTCTTTCTTTCTTTCTCTCTTTCTCTCTCTTTCTCTCCATCTCTAGCTCTCTCTCTCTCTCTCACTAAAACATGGACATCTTAGATAATATATTGTAGCAGCTTTCGACACCAACCTCCCTCCCCTGAGGCTTGTTGGTGTTATTTGTTTTTTTATCTGTTTAGTGACTAGTGACTTGGCTGGACCAGTTTAGTGAAGTCTGTTTCCTCTGCAGTGTGTCACCTTTGATATTGCTCCTCACAGGGTACTGACTTGGACATGCATGACAACAGTTTTAGCCAGGCTTTCTGTGACCAATCTCTTCGTGTGATCTCCCCATTAAGCTTTGGGCTGTTTTCACGGTGTTGAGATCACACTCAACTATTATCTTCCACTTATTGCTAGCTGATTGCACTATTGTTTTTTGCACTGCCCTGGGGCATACATTGCCCCACCTTCTAATCCAATTAAAATCAGGCCCTTTTGCAGAGGTAGTTTTTGAGGCTTTCTCTGACTCCAGATGACTCTTCTTAACTGATTCTCCCCATGGTTCTTTCTGATAAACTTCTAGCTTCTCTCCTATTTCACATATTGATATCATGAAGCTATAAGCCTTCTGTTAATTGTTTACCACCACAATCTCCATTGTTTTTTCACAATGTCCTTTGGCTTGGACTTTCCTATGCTCTGTTCCAAATAAAGACAGTCCTGTTAGGGACAGCTACAGAGTTCTCTGTTTCTATAGACTGTCTCTCTCTTGGGAAGAGATTTTATATATATTTCAACTTCTCTTTTAGATACAGGGGGTACACGTGCAGGTTGGTTACATGGGTACATTGTCCATAGATAGTGAACATAGCATCTAATAGGAAGTTTTTCAACCCATGTGCACTCCCTCCCTCCCGCTTCAAGTAGCCTGCAGTGGCTATTGTTCCTATGTTAATGTCCATGTGTGCTCAATGTTTAGCTCCCACATATAAGTGAGAACATGTGGTATTTGGTTTCTGTTTCTGTGTTATTTCACTTAGGGTTATGTCCTTCATCTCCATCCATGCTGCTACAAAGGACATGATTTCATTCTTTTTTATGGCTGCATAGTATTCATGGTATATATGTACCACATTTTCTTTATCCAATTCACCATTGATGGGCACCTAGGTTAATTCCATGTCTTTGTTATTGTGAATAGGGTGGTGATAAACATATGAATGCACGTGTCTTTTTGTTATAATTATCTGTTTCCCTTTGGGTATATACCCAGTAATGGGATTGCTGGGCTGAATGGTAGCTCTGTTTTAAGTTCTTTGAGAAATCTCCAGACTGCTTTCCACAGTGGCTGAACTAATTTACATTCCCACAAACACTAAATAAGCATTCTCTTTTCTCTGCGTCTTTGTCAGCATCTGTTGCTTTTTTATGTTTTGACAATAGCCATTCTGACTGGTGTGAGATGGTATCACATTGTGCTTTTGATTTGCATTTCTCTGACGATTAGTGATGATGTGCATTTTTTCACATGTTTGATGGCCACTTGTATGTCTTCTTTTGAGAAGTGTCTCCTCATGTCTTTTGCCCATTTTTTAATGGGGTTGTTTTTTTCTTGTCAATTTGTTTAAGTTCCTTATAGATGCTAGATATTAGTCATCTGTCAGATGCATAGTTTGCAAAAATTTTCTCCCATTCTATAGGTTGTCTATTTACTCTGATGATAGTTTCTTTTGCTGTGCAGAAGTTTGTTAGTTTAATTAGGTCCCACCTGTTAAAATTTTTTTTTTGTAATTGCTTTTGAAGACTTAGCCAAAAATTATTTGCTAAGGCCAATGTTAAGAAGGGTATTTCCTAGGTTTTCTTCTAAGATTTTTGTAATTTGAGGTCATACATGTAAATCTTTAATCTGTCTTGAGTTAATTTTTGTATATGGTGAAAGGTAAGGGTCTAATTTCATTCTTTTGCTTGTGGCTAGCCAGTTATCCCAGCACCATTTATTGAACAAGGAGTTCTTTCCCTATTGCTTGTTTTAGTCAGCCTTGTCAAAGATCAGATAGTTGTAGGTGTGTAGCTTTCAAAATAATAAGAGCCGTCTATGACAAACCCACTGCCAACCTCATACTGAATGAGCACAAGCTGGAATCATCCCCCTTGAGAACCAGAACAAGACAAGGATGGCCTCTCCCACCACTCCTAATCAACATAGCAGTGGAAGTCTTAACCAGAGCTATCAGGCAAGAGACAAAAATAAAAGGCATCCAAATAGGAAAGGAAGAACTCAAACTATCTCTCTTCACTAACAACATGATCCCATACTTAGAAAACCCTAAAGACTCCACCAAAAGGCAATGAGAACTGATAAAAAATTTTAGCAAGGCTTCAGGATACAAAATCAATGTGCAAATCAGTAGCATTTCTATACACCAATGATACCTAGGGTGAGAGTCATATAAAGAACACAGTCCCATTTACCATAGCCACAAAGAAAACAAAATACCTAGGAATACAGCAAATCAAGGAGGTAAAAAATCTCTACAAAGAGAACTATAAAACCCCAATGAAATAAATCATAAACAAAACAAATAAATATAAAAATATTTCATGCTTATAGGTTGGAAGAATCAATACCATTAAAATGGCCATACTGCCCAAAGCAATTTACAGATTCAACACTATTCTTATCAAACTACCAACAGTATTCCTCACAGAATTAGGAAAAATTATTCTAAAATTCAAAAAAGAGCTCGAATAGGCAATGCAATCCTAAGCAAAAAGAACAAAGCCAGAGGCATCACACTGCCCAACTTCAAACTATACTATAAAGCTACAGTAGGCCAGGTGTGGTGGCTCACGCCTGTAACCTCAGCACTTTGGGAGGCCAAGGTAGGCAGATCACTTGAATTCAGGAGTTGGAGACTAACCTGGCCAACATGGTGAAACCTAGCCTCTACCAAAAATCACAAAAATTAGCTGGACATGGTGGCAGGCACCTGTAGTCTCAGCTACTTGGAAGGCTGAGGTGGGAAAATCGCTTGAGTCTGAGAGGCAGAGGTTGCAGTGAGCTGAGATCACGGCACCACACTTCAGCCTGGGTGACAGAGCAAGACTCTGTCTCAAAAAAACAAACAAACAAAAAAGCTACCGTAACCAAAACAGAATGGTGCTGGTACAAAGACAGACACATAGACCAATGGAGCAGAATAGAAAACTCAGAAATATAATCTGCTCTTAAGTTGAAAGTAGGAATAGAGGCCTATTTCTATACCCCTGATCTATGCATGGAGCATTAAATGGGGTGATAGCCTCTGGTATTCTTAGCTTGCTTCACCTGGCATAGAATCTCTACCCTACAAGTGGGCTGGGATAAAGATAATTGGGGCCCAATATTCTTGGCTTGCCAAGCAAGGGGTAGAACTTCCATCCTATGAGAGGGGGCTGGATGGAGGAGGGGAACCCCAGACATCTTGGCCAGGCTTACTTGGAGTAGAACTTCTGTAGCACAGAGCCAGAGGAAGGGTGGATGAGAAATGCTGGTGGCTTCACCACCCTGGGGAGAAACTGTAGCTATTGTACCACTAAGGGAAATGGTAGCCTTATGTTCTTGGCTGTAAGTTCCTGGAGTATAGCTTTGATTATACTGAGTTGGGAGTGGGGTAGGGAGAGAAAATGTCATGGCTCAGATGCTTCAGATTCTTGTTGTTCTTACAGAGACTTAGTTGATTTTCTTGAAATAATGTTTCTACATTTGTGGTATGCCTCTCAGGATGATTTCCAGGGATATATATATATATATATTTTGTATATACTTATATATATTTATATATATTTATAAATATATTTTATATTGCTTGCTTCACCTGGCATAGAATCTCTCTCTCTCTCTCTATATATATATATATATATATTTTTTTTAAACGTTTTCCACTAGGTATGGTTGTTTCACTAAAGAGAGGGTTTATGTAGCTCCTTATACCACCATTCCAGAAGTGTCCTTCTATATGATTTTATGTGTTTCTTTTTGTTTATATTTTTAGATAGTTATTTGTTTTTCAGTTTTCTGACTTATCTGTGTACTTGAGTTGAAGAATTACATAGTTTACAAGGTTTGCTACAAAATGACATCCTCATCTCCTCTCTCTATTTTCCCTAAAAAATCACTTTTAATTCTTTTTAATTGATATTAAAAACTTATCTCCTTGTTTAGAAGTAATATATTTATAGAACAAAATCTTTTTTAAAATAATTTCAGTTTTATTGCCAGGTGTGGTGGCTCATGCCTGTAATCTCAGCACTTTGGGAGGCCAAGGTGGGTGATCACCTGAGGTCAGAAGTTTGAGACCAGCCTGGCCAACATGGTGAAACCCCATCTCTACTAAAAATACAAAAAAAATTAGCTGGGCATGGTGGTGGGCACCTGTAATCCCAGCTACTTGGGAGGCTGAGGCAGAACAATCACTTGAACCCAAGAATTGGAGGTTGCAGTGAGCCAAGATTGAGCCACTGTACTCCGGCCTGGGTGACAGAGCGAGACTCCATCTCAAAATAATAATAATAATAATAATTTCAGTGTTATTAACTTCCCATGATAGCAGATGAATACTGAGTTCTATTTCACTCTGCCATATCTCTGACATATGCTTCCGTCATGCCTCTCTCAAGGTAGTTGTCATATTCATTAGATCAATACTACATGTTCATATCAGTGTTTCTGAGTAGTCCCAATATTAATAGCTGAGCTATACAGAGTAGTGCTTTCTTTCCCTTCTCATTTTTAAAAATTTATTTTTTCCTAAGGTTAATATTTGTTGGGCTCTCTTATTTGCTTGGTTTCCCATGTCATTATTACTAATTCCAAACTCTCTCTGATTTATGTAATTTTCCTCTTACTGTATTCAAGCACCCAGACATTTAAAGACATCTCCGGAGAGCTTCTGACCAGATTCTGCCTGAACTTGTTGCTCTCTGGGCTTAGGATGCAGCTGCATCTTAGGATCCTCACCATCCTTTTGGACAGTCCCTTCATCCCTGTCTTGTTTTAGATCTTCTGTTTTCTGTACCTCAGGTCTTCTTTTTTGGTTTCTACTTTTGTTTTAGTGGAGTTCATCCTTCAGTAACTCCCTGATAAAGCAATAGGGGGGTAAAGTTTTTCAGACCTTGTTTTATGAAAGTATATTTATTCTACTTACTAATAGTTTGCCTGGGCATGAAATTCTAGGTTGGAAATAATTTTACCTATGGTTTTGAATGACTTGGTCATCTGTTTTCTAACTTCTAGTACCATTTTTAAGAAATCCAATGCCATACTGATTCTCAATCCTTTGTATTAAATGTAACTTTTTTTTCACGAAGAGTTTACAGGATGGGTTGCTGCTGTATCCTAAAGTGTCACGTAAGTGTGCTGAGGTGTAGGTCTATATTCTTCTGTTGTGCTAGATATTTGATGGGCCCCTTCAGTTTGGAAAATCATGTCCTTTGAATCTGAGAAAGCTTCTTGGATTCTTTGAGCATGCTCTTCCCTCCATGTGATCTCACCTCCATCTGGATATCCTTTAAGCCAGATGTTAGACTCCATGGGCTAGTCCTCTAAATTAAAAAATGTCTTATATCTCCAATTTTCTTTCTTTAATTATTTTCTGCTTACAAATATGTTTAGTAGTAGCATTTCTTTATGTTAAAGAAAAACAAAGTTCAAATGCCCAACCATAATTATGTTAAACACTTGGTATGCATATGAATAAAGACAAAGGGCTGCTGAGCAAATCTGAATTTAAATAGAGGTGTTGTAGGTATAATTAACCGTAACTTATTTTTTGAATAAGTAAGAATAAAGTCACTGGCTGCAAAGGATTATTAGAGATGTATTTTCCAAAATTCATTTATCTGGACTCCCTCTCCCCACCTCTACCCCCTGCCAACTGAGCAGACCTCCCACTATTAAACCAAAATGACTACTCACCCTCACCCCCCAGCAGTTATAATACACAACATCACTGCCCCACCAGATCAGGGGAACAGGGCATTTGGCCTGTGGCTCTGCAATCTTTATCCTAATCTTGTTCCAGCTTCAAGAGCCTAACAGACGCCTGTGATCACCTGAGACTTCTTAAACAGCACCGATACTTCTATCTGGTTGGAACCTTAAATGCCACCACTCTTCAGAGACAAGGTTCTCACTAGATTCTAAATCTGTTATTTAAATTACTTTTCAATTTAGAAAAGGAGAGAGAGAAGAAACTTATTAGAATAAGGCCACCTAGGAATGTTCTTAACCTCTCCATTGAGCTTTTGGCTGATACACGAAACTACACATAATAAATACAACTTTTCTTCCAGGTGCACAGCTAAACAACAGCTTCTGGCACTTGATCTCCAGTGTTCAGAAAGACGCACTGCCCAGAGTCAAGCTAGTGTGTAGATCCAGTGGCCTCTGCCAATGAGGGCTTGCCAGTCATCAGAGGACAGACAAATAGGATCCAGCACCAGTTATTGGGCCTTCCCGCCTGTTGAGTTTCACAGGCAGGACGTGTGTGAGGGGAGTAGCCCATACTTCTGTTGAAAGATGGCTGTAGTACTCTTTAGGGCACAGATGATGACAAACTTTCCAGGAACAGATAAGTCAACTGCAGTGGAGCCCAGGCAACATTCAGGGCTCTGGCCAACCCTGATGTGTCCCGCATCAATGAATGAGGACAATCAAAGCCAGAGGTCTTGAGACTCCTCAACATTCAGAGAATTGGCCTGGGAGCTGAGGCTGGCACTGGAGAGAACAACAGGTTCCCCAAACACTTAGGCCAAGTCTTGCATAAAGGCATGATTAGGAATCCAAATGCCTACAAGAGGAGTGAAGGTGTTCTTCACTCCTTCAGGAGTTCAGGTACTTGTCCCGCTCTTCTAAGCATTCCATCACCAGGTCACTGGTCCTGGCAACAGGTCTTTCAAGAGCTCCTTGAGTACTCTCCCATGGCAGGACCTTGTGCATTCCTGCATCCTGGCATGGAGTCCGGAGCCCGGCATATGTTAAGTGTTCAGTACACATTTCCCATTCCAGACTCCTTGGGGAGCCTGGACAAGCCCTTCCTGCTCTTTCTTTAAATTTTTGCTTTAATTTCTAGATGACGGTTTCCAGTCTTTCTATTGAATTTTTCAATTCTGCTATCATGTTTTTAATTTCTAAGAACTTTACTTTTGATCTTTGAATGTTCCTTTTAGAAAAATAACATGTATTCTATTATTACAGATGTAATATTTTTTATCTTCTCTCTCTGAGGGTAATGGTTGATTTAATGACATTGTCTTCTTGCCAAAGAGTCTTTTTCTTTTATGTCACTATTTTTTCGTTTTTGTTTATCTTGCTCACTGTCTTTTAGAATAGATTTTTTTTAATGGCTTGGCTCTTTTGAATATTTAATCTCTGCTTGCACTTAAGAATTGTAAAATGCTGGTTGGCAGCTCATTGACACCCATGGACTCATTGACTCTCTAGAGCAGTGGTTCTCAAAGTGTGGTCCATGGAGCAGCAGTGTCAGCATTCCCGAGGTGCTTGTTAGACATGCATGTTCTTGAGCCCCTCTCAGACCTTCTGAATCAGAATCTAGAGTGAGACCCAGCAATCTGCATTTTAATGCCTCCCTCCCACCATAATTGTTATTCATGCTACAGTTGGAGAAGTACTGAAAATTAAGGGTGGTCTGCCTTGGTGGCTTCAATGGGGGGATCTGCATGGCAGTATCTTAGTGTCTCTTTTGGACTGACCAGGTATCACAGTGTCATCTCTGGCTGCCAGACTCCTAAGAGCCTACTAGAGAAAGAAGGTGGGGAATCTCACCCTTCAGTATATGAACATTTCTTTAACATCCTGTTTTCAATTTGAATTCCATTTTCAACTGTGTCTGGTGTCATTCAATCCAGAGACTGTTTATCTCTCTCTAGAATCAGACCCTGGGTCTTCAGTCAGATGACAGAGTGGCAGTTCCCTTTTGTCCCTCTTGCTGGTTCTGCTACATCTTGCCTTCAGTTGTCTTGGTTTCATAATCTCCCATGTTGGCTCCCACATTCCACACAGAGCCCCCAGAGCTCTGCAGGATCAGCTGCTGCCTGTGCCTCCTGACCCTCCTCTTGCTTCCCACACTCCAGCAGACCAGGCTCCCAGCCATTCCTGGTCACTGCAGCAGCCCTCCTTGCTGAGGGCCTTGGCATGTGCTTTCTTCTCTAGCAATGCTTTCTTCTTCCATCCTCCTTCACCCAGTCTAATTCTTTACTACCTGTTAATGGCTGAAATGTGTTTCTCTAAAAGATGTTGAAGTTCTAACCCCCAGTACCTGTGAATATGACCTTATTAGAGATGATCAAGTTAAGATGCACTCATTATAGTGGTTTCTAATCCAATATGCCTGACGTCCTTATAAAAAGGAGAAGCCTGGACACGGACAGGTGCACTGGGAGAATGCTGTGTGAACCCCAAGGCAGAGAACGCCATGAGAACATGCAGCAGAAGCCGAGGAACACCCAAGACTGCTAGCAAATCACTAGACGCTGAGGGTAGGCCAGGAAATGATCCCTCTCTCAGAGCCTCAGAAGGAACCAACAGTGCTGACACTTGATCTTGAACTTCTGACCTCCAGAATCGTGAGAAAATGCATTTCTGTTTTGAAGTTACCCTAGCATGTGGCGCTTTGTTACAGCAGTCCCAGGAAAGTAAGACACCACCCGCTGGTCCTCCTCATGATGCTGTCTGATCACTCATCCTTGGTTAGGACCTCTTTGCCGTATCTCCCCACACCTTACACTTTTTCACCCAAGTACTTTCCATAGTACCATTATTTAATTGCAATTTCTTTAATTATTCAAATGTTTCACTACTTGTGCAATTCTTGGTTTTATTTGCCCCCATTAGTCTTCTTGTCAGTCCTCTGTGCATGCAGGGGTTGGGGTCATTTCTGTCTTATTTACCAACATACCCCAACCACTTAGCACAAGATTTGGCACATAGCGATCTTGGTTAGCTCTGGTCGAAGGATTTAATTTTCTTTGATTTCTTCCGTCTCCCTCTCCTTGAGGGTCGCATTAGATTTAGACGTATAAAGTAGTCTGTGACCTTGGCCCTCCTACTGGAAAGGAAGCTCCAGGTCTGCCCCCAGCTGTACTTACTGTGGCTGGCCACTTACTGCCCTTCCTGGGCTGCTGTCAGGGAATGAGGGAACTGGTCTTCACTTACAGCCGTGGCCTCCACCAGGACATTGGACTCACCCGGGGCTTATAAAATGCAGACGCCTTGTCTTCACAGCAGCTCAAGCTCTCTAGGTAATTCTAATATGGGAATCACTGAATTTGAGCCCATTTACACCTATCTTAAGTACAGTAGTAATTTATTTGGTCACTTGTATTCCTAGTTCATAGCTGATTAAAAACCAGAAGTGAATATGGGGGCTGGGTACCAGAAACTGCTCCCAAACACCAAACAATTGAGTTCCGCCAAATCAATGGGAACACTAAGTATAGGGACAGATGGGCCTCTGACCTACACTGTAATGTTCACAATGATGGGCTTAAGTAAATAAGAAAACTTTAGTTATGCTCTGTGTGCATTCCTTAACAAGGTGGAAAATGATAAATCACTAACAGTGCCACATTGAGCTCTTCTGATGTACCAGGCACAGCTCTGAGCAGAGATGATATTTGATTTAAACCTTACAAGAACCTTATAGGTTATGTTTTGTTGATATTCCTATTTTTCAGGTGAGGAAGCTGAGGACTAGAGAGAGCCAGTGAGTTGTTCAAGGACACATTACTAGTAATAGGAGGGACAAATTCAAATCTTCATCTGTCCAACTTGAAAGTTGGTAATATAAATGTTTTTTGAGCAAGTTCCTTTTTTTCCCATAAAAGAGAAATTTTTTTGTGAAAATTCATTTATGATGGCATTGCCTACCAGTGCCATGTTAATGACACTACCAGTGTTAATGACCTACCAACACCATGTTAATCGTGTGTTTACTTAAAAATTACCCACAAGAATGAATTGGGTAATGGATGACAAATGTGAACTTTTCAAAAGTTATTTAATTTTTATTCAGACCACACTGGTAGATAAAAAGAAAACTAGAAGTGATTCTATGGTGTTTTACTCCTTTGCACCTTCTGAAGAGAAGCAGATGCTTTACTGAGTTGTATTTGCTGGGTTTTCCCATCTGATTAACAGTGAATAGCAGAAATGTGCTCTTTTACCTCATCTTCCCTTTTCTGGCCTGCTTTGAGGCTCTCTTGGTAAAATGTCTGGCCTAAGACAGGACGTTTTTTGTGGGCTGGTCCAGACCCCATCTTTGCCTCACTTTCCTGCATGGTGAGTTCAGATCAGGTTGCTATTATAAGCTGATTCTCATAAAAGTCTGCGAATAAGAAAAAGGAGAGCTTGTAGCACTGGGAGATTTACATTCCTCTCCTGGTAGCAAGAAGGTCATTCTGAATATCTGTTTGCAGGGAAATATGCAGTTTGTGCTTTCTCTGCAGGTTCTAAGGTCTCTCCTCTAAAATGGATTGTTGCAGTTTCTTCAAGGGAGTCCAAACAGGGAAAAGAGAACTGGAGTGAAAGAGCGTTTTGTATTCGCCCACACTTCCTCCTCTACTAGTTGATTATGAAAACCCCCAACCTAACAGATGGCTTGGTGCAGGGCTCTTTGTTGAAGATACTATTATTAACAGATGAAATGCATGTGTCCTCCACACAGACATCTCAGGAGGGCAGCTCTCCAGCCAGATGACGGTCCAATATTCTATTAGCTTGGTGTGAAAAGGAGAGAATTTTTAAATCAGTTACTTTCACTCTGAAGTGCAAGGATAAGATGTAATTCTGCATTTTTCTTTTCCTAATTGGAAGAAGACGGCTTCTAAGTCTAAAAGTTTACTTTGTTGGCATTTGACTGACTAAGACTCTAGTTTTGGTGGCTGGAGATTTAAATTCATATTAGACTCATTAAGAAACACAAGTAAAACTTTCAGAGTAGAAATGAATGGGCAATCCCCAAATAATTCAGTGGTACTTTTTAGCTTATTGAGCCAAATATACTGATAACAACTTTTAGGCATCCACAGTTATCCAAACTCAAGTCTCAGTTGGGGTTACGTTTGTGGCTTCTCAGAGTTGGACGGGACCTCAGAAGGCTAAACACATTTGAATGTGAGGAATCTAAAAAAGTGAGGAATTACCAGCACTTATACAGTAATTAAAAAATCAGATTAGAGTTGGTTTGGTTTTTTTTTATTATTTTATGTTAATAAATAACACTCAATAAATAGTGATCAACCTGGGTTGCTGCCGGGGAAAGGTACCCAGACCTTGTAACACTTAAAATATATGCAAAATAACTTAAAAGTCTTGATCACGACACTGTAAAAAGGTTGAAGGAATGAATTTCCAACTTTCCTGCTGGTTAACGAGTGGAGATAGAAAGGGAGATATGTGTTAATTTTGAGGAAACTTCCTTCTTATTCTTTACCACACAGCTCTACTGGGTAATTTCCTTTTGAGTCAACTGTAGAGTGAAGAACAAAGGCTTAGATATCTCATGAAAAATTCACTGGCTGTAGGTTCATAGAGTATCCAGCACTGTCCAATATAACTGTCTGCAATAATGGAAATGTTCTATATGTCAGCACTGTTTAATATGCCAGCCACTCACCATTGTGGCTACTGAGCACTTGAAATATGGTGAGTGCAACTGAGGATCTCATTTTTTTTAAAGTTTATTTTAATTAATTTACCTTTAAATTGAAATAGTCACATAGCTAGCAACTGACGTATTTGACAGTTGTAGAAACCATATATAATAACCCCTTAAAGTTCATTGGTATCTTTTTATAATTAAAAAGTAGACTTGTGCATAGTAAAATAAAACAAAATTAGTAAGAACACATCTATTTAATAAAGAAGGCTATTTCATGAAATTATATATCCCTTCTCTGTCCTACCCCAGTCTGTTTTTTGAGATGCAACTATGGATAACAGCTTGTTATAGATCTCTCCAAGAGCTTTCTATGCATGTATAAACAGAGAAATGAATACACATTTCTTTATGGGAGTGGGAACATACAGTATCCACTAATTTTATTTCATTACTCTTCCAGCTTCAAAACATCTGGAGATCTGTTATATGAGCCCTAAAGCTGCCTAGTCATTTTAATAGCTGCATAATATTCCATAATCTAGATGAATTATTATTTAATTGTTCCCTGATGGTGGATATTTGGGTTTTTCCCATCCAGTTGCTATGGTGTAATCACAGAACTGACCATTCATCCAGTTATATTTTTGCATATGCATGTGTGGCTGGTATTTTCAATGATAGTAAATTGCATGAGAAGAGAAATCTCAGAGACAACACCAGGATGCAAGTCATTTAGGATTTAATAAGTTTTTGTCCTTGAAATGCTCTCAGAAACAAACAAGAGTGAGTATAATTTTCATACAGTGAGCATAATATTGACTGTAAGCACCATGTGAGAAACAGTTGCTGTCTGTTTTGTCCACTGATATATACTGTGTGTTCACAGTGCTAGCCAGTAGCAGGGGCTGAATAAATCTTTGTTCAATGAATAGGTAGATGTCCTGGTTGTGGATCACATTCTGAGTCTTTCACTTGCTTTGGAAAGGATCTGCCAAAGACCGAAGAGATTAAATTTGTCTTAAATAACAAAGGCCATTAATATCTCTCACAGTCACATGTTATTTAGTTTTCAGTTGCTCCTCAGCCATCCTTGGAGGAATATCCATTACTATTCCTAGAGAAATAGTCATGAAAAAGTTAAAATACCTTAGAAATATTGAGAGTTGCTTTTCAAAACTTTTCTTAAGATGTGATGAAATCATATAGGCATTGGCAAACAGATGGCATTAGCTATGGTCTGGACTGCGGGTGCTGCTTCTAGTTGCTCTCAGTGGGCCTTCCTCAGCTGAGAGGGCACTGCCCTCAGCCACCCTGGCACATGCCATGCCTCTGCAAGGCAAAGGATAGAAACCATGAGCAAGGCAGTCAAGTGGACTTGAATCTGGCCCTTTCCTTACTCTCCAACCACAGATCTCCATAAATATGCTATGCCCTTTTTTCTGTAAACCACTTACCATCCCTCCCATTCCCAAAAAACGTTCACTTCTGCAAGGACTTGCTCTGTGTAAGTGCAGAAAACAGGTTCCATCTCCCGTGTCACTTCCTTTACTCTCAACTGCTGTTTCCATGGAGTTTTGTTTCTGACTTCTCCCTACCCCATGGCCCGGCCTTCTGGAGGAGAATGAGGAAGTGAACCTGATGGGGTACTGTGATGGTTAATTGTATTTGTCAACTTGACTGGGCCATGGGGTGCCCAGATAGCTGGTGAAATATTATTTCTGGATGTGTCTGTGAGGGTGTTTCTGCAAGAGACTTACATTCGCATTGGTGGACTGAGTGAAGTAGATGGCCCTCTCCATTGTGGGTGGGCCTCATCCAATCTGTTGAGAGCCTGAGTAGAACAAAAAGAAGAAGGAAGGTTGAATTTATTCTCTACCTGATCCCTTGAGCTGGGGCATGTTTTCTGCCCCAAGAGTTTCTGGTTATCAGGCCTTCAGATCCAGACTGGAATATATACCACTGGCTCTGCAGCTCTCAGGCCTTTGAACTACACCACTGACTTTCCCAGGTCTCCAGCTGGCCGATGGCAAGGTATGGGACTTCTCAGCCTCCATCGCCATGTGAACCAGTACCGTACAGTAAATTGCTCTCTCTCTCCACACACATATATGTATAGGGGTGTGTGTGTGTGTGTGTGTGTGTGTGTATGTATACATATAGTCTATATGTCTATATGTAGTCTATAATATAATATATGTATCCAATTTGCTCTGTTTTCTCTTAAGAACCCTGGCTAATATAAGCATGTTACTTTGTTTAGAGATTTTAACAATGAGAAAAGGTCAAAATGGCCTCTTATCCAACACATGTCCACTATAGTGGGGGCTGCAGAATGAAACACACCTTCAAGGCTGCTTATGAACTCTCAGGAGGATATGGATGACATGAGGGAGAAGTGACAAGTGATATGGGAAGAATGGGCCTGTGGACCCACAACTGTGATGGAAAGTGGGTTCACACCCCTCACTAAAGGTGCTGCTAGGTTTCAACTAGGCAGGACCTGAAAGATCAGAAGAAAAGGAGACAAGAGAATTTTGACTTTTAACTTAGTTCCACTGTGTACCTGACAAGCTGTTCGCTGTATTGTGCTACACAAATCTTGTCAGGTTTCATAATTTACTTAATTTTGTTTCTTTATTGCCTTTTAACATAATTTTAGATTTTTTAAGAAAATAAAAAGAATCAAACAACCCAGAAAAGTATAATAGACAAAGAGAAAACTGGCTTCCCACTACTTAGATAGCTACCATTGCCATTTTAACAGTTATATTTTACATAAGTGAGGTTATGTTATATGTGTTGATTTTCTAAACCCCTTTCTTTTTTTTGTTTTTTGGTTTTGTTTTTGTTTTTTTCCCTTTCTCCTCCTCTCTCCACCTCAACCCAATCAGGTAACAAATATTAACATTTGCTGTGCAACATTTTTTCACCCTTACAAGATTTCAGTCTCTCTCTCTCTCTCTCTCACACACACACACACACACACATACACACACACACGTGTATTTTACGAAAGTGAGATATTTCATGTGTTCTTCTGTATCTTGCTTTTTTCGCTTAATTAAATGTGGTGGAAATGTCTACACATCCCTGATTTTTTATGACTATATTTAATTCAACATCCCTCGAGGATAGGCATTTGGATGGCTTCCTCCCTTCTTCCTTTCCTTTCCTTTTCTTCTTCTCTGTCTCTCCTCTTTCTCTTGTTTCAGCAAACTATTCGGCAGCAGATAGCACTGCCCATACAGCTTTAGGTTCTGCTGATGTTTTATCTCAATGGAACAGATGCCTAAGACTAAGACTGCAAAGTTGAAGTGTAGGTGATTTTTGTTTTGTTTGTAAATAGATATTGCCAGAATCCATTAAAATTAAAAACAGCTACAAAAGTATCAAATTGCCACCAACAATGTCCACAAGTATCCTTTCCCCCTGTGTCCCACCAACATTAGTTTCCTTGTCATTTAGTTCTTTTCCATGTGGAGGATGAGAAGAAATATGCAATTGTTATTTAAATGTACATTTCCCTGCCTATTAATGTGGTTCAGCTTCTGCTCAGGTTTATTGGCTGTTTTGTTTTCTTTTCCTCTAAACTATCATATTCAAGTCCTAGGCCTATTAATTGCTTTTTGTTATCAATTGTTAAATGTTCAACCTTATATTGATATTAGTCCTCTATCTTGCAGGTGGTGAGTGTGCCCCTTAGTCCACCCATTACTTGTCTTCTGGCTTTGTTTTGGTCAGAAGTTTGCCATTAAAAGAATATTGCAGTTATTTGTCTTTTATTTTATAGCTTCTGGGCTTATGTCATGTTTAAAGATGTATCCTGGCCAGGTGCAGTGGCTCACACCTGTAATCCCAGCACGCTGGGAGGCTGAGGCGGGCAGATCACGAGGTCAGGAGATCGAGACCATCCTGGCCAACATGGTGAAACCCCGTCTCTACTAAAATATAAAAAAATTAGCCGGGCATGGTGGTGCTCGCCTGTAGTCCCAGCTACTCAGGAGGCTGAGGCAGGAGAATCGCTTGAACCCAGGAGGTGGAGGTTGCAGTGAGCCGAGATGGTGCCACTACACTCCAGCCTGGGTGGCACAGCAAGACTCCATCTCAAAAAAAAAAAAAAAAAGATGTATCCCTGGCCACTGTGTTATACATGAACATGCTGTCTCCAGAATATTCTTCTATCTGAATTGCTTGGTCTTACATTTTGCTTATGACTCAAGTATTTTTCTTGTATAGTTTTTTTTAATTAGCATTTTTAACGTGTCTGAAATGAAGTAAGCGTCCAATTTTATCTCATCCCCAATTTCTTAGACTTCTCTCAAGCCACTAAAATTTGGTTTATGTAAATGAAAAGGAAATGTCTGTATAGTTTTCTTGTTTATTTCTTTCCAACTTCTGCTTTCTACATCGCCTTCCTTCCCGTCTTTTCCTCATTCTTGATCTGTGTTTGACACTGTTCCCTTTCTTCTGCTCTTGCGTCAAGGCATAGAACCTCACTAAACACAGCAAAGCTGTAGCATCAATAACAATAGTAAATACTTACATTTATGGGATCTTTTGCTCTGCGTGCTGGGCCCTGCTCTAGGCGCTTGGCAGGTTTTAAGTCATGTGATTGTCATAGCAGCTCTGTGGCATAGGTAGGGTTAACAGACCAGTCTTTAGAGGCCAGAGGTAAAGCCACGTGCACGGGTCACCTCGCTCTGGCTCAGGCTCAGCAGCCCTGACGGAGTCTGACCCCAACCCAGGTCTTAACCACTGGGCTCCAGAACCACATCACTCCTGCAGGGAACACAAGGCTGGCCCCTCGCCTTTCTCCACGTAGTGTTTTGGGACCCCTGCCCCTCTCTGTTTAGCACCTCCCCAGTGAGGACGGAGCTCCTTTAGAGACCCTGGGGCGTTTCATCAAGACTGTCTTCCCTGGTGTCTGAAAAGCTGCCCACGAAGCCACAGAGCTGAGCTGTGGCTGGGGCTACGGGGTCATACAAGGATCCCTGAGCTGCTTCCTCATTCTGCTGCCCTTGGGGCCACGCTGGATCATTCCCCAGACATTGAAAGCCCCGTGCTAAAACCAGGATTTCTCCGCTCATCTCATCTGGAGGCCCCTCCTGTAAGGAGGCCCCAGGGACAGCTGCCTGGCACGCCTGGCGCCTCCAGGAACTCTGTATGAACACCGTTCTTTCAAGAGGGGGCCGCTGCACCCCTCCACGAGAGTCCCGGGGCTGGTGGGGGCTCGGGTCCCTCAGGCAGATCCAGGCCCGCACCCCCATCTGCAGCTCTCCCCCCAGCCTCTTCCCTCAGCGTCGTCCTTCCCCTCAACTGAATCCCAATGGGCTGTCATGATCAGCGCTCTCCACACAGGCTTATGTTTCGGTTTGAAGTCTTCTCTGCTTCTAAAACCTATTTGATACAAACCCCGCCTTGACCTTCTCTTATAATTCAAATCCCTAGACTCAGTACCTGTCTTCATTTAAAAAAATAACTTGTTAGAGTGCCTATGAGCAAGCCACCTGCCCAGTGCGGAGTAAAGAAATATTTATTTTGATGAAATGTGTATGCAAGTTGATAAGCTGATTTGACATCTAAGAAGTGTTTTTTTTTTAAATTCCCTTCCATCTGGGTTTTTTTTTTTTTTCTATCACAATTCTATGTCTCCCAAGGTGTGAAATGCAGGAGATGTCACTAAGGGTCTCTGTGCCTTGCCTCATGCAACACTTTTTTTTTTTTTTTGATCTAGTCTCTTTCATAATTCAGCAGATATTCATTGAGCATTTACTATACGCTAAGCATTATTCTAGGTGTGGTGAGTGCAGAAGTGAACAGAAAGACAAAATCTCAGCTTTCATCTAAGAAGATAAGCCCGTAAATAATTACATACATTTATAAATCAATATAGTGAAAATAAAGCTCAGCGGATACACACTGGTAGGGTGGAGAATGCTATTGGTGTGGGGGTTTGTCAGGGAAAGGCTCTCCGAAAAGAAGGTGTCTGCATAACCAGTGATGGCAGTGGGAGGGTGGCCCCTGGGGTGCCTGAGGGAAGAGTGTGCGCTTGTGCTGAGTGTGCCTGCACAAAATGCAGGAAGCCAGCGCTGGGTGTGTGAGCAGGAAGGTGGCAGGGGCAGGGGATCTACCCTACAGGAGCTGGTGCTGGAGAACACAGGGCTCATGGCCATGGTGAGGACTTCGGATTTCACCTTGCATGATACAGGGAGGCAATGGAGAGTTTGATCAGGGCTTCCAATGATATTGTGTGTGTGTGTGTGTGTGTGTGTGTGTGTGTGTGCGTGCATTGCAGGATCAAGGTGGCTGCTTTACAGAGACCAGGCTGTGTGTGAGAGAGTAGAAGTGGGGAGAAATGTAAAAGCCCATGGGAGATGATGGGGTTCCTGTTCTTGGTCAGAGGCTCCTCTGTCCACACAAGCATCCACCATGGATCTGTAGGAGTCATCTTGCCATCCTCCCCGTCCCTCCCCACATGCCCCAACTCTTCCCTCTTCAGAAGGGGACTGATCATTACTGGACCTCTGGGTGTTGTGCTTGGGTTCAGACCAAGCTCTGCCCCCAACTGGCTGGGTAATATAGTGCAGGGTTCTGGACCGCTCTGAGCCAAGGCTTCCGCATCTGGAGGGCAGGGAGGAGAGAAGCAGTGCTCACCTCCCAGAAAAGAATTGATTTTGTGAGCACAGACAGCACGTTGCCTAAAACTGAACATACAGATGTTGAATGAGTGTCAGTGACGAGCTAAAGGCCTCATGTACTGAGAATGATGCAACTGTTATTTAAAGTACTATTAAAGTATTTCCAACTCCTGATCATCTCACCTTTTAAATGTCTTTCACTATTATCTGCGGCAAGTGGCTTCATCCCAGTCCTACTGCACTGGTCAGGTCTTCCTCATTTCCTAGAAAGTTCTCCCTGCATCCTTCTCACATTCCTCAGGCCATTATCCAGTGTGTCCCCAGAAGGGAATGTTTCCAAGGCATACCCCTCATTGTGTCACTTCCCTATTGACCATACATCAGTGGTTTCCTTTCGCCTTCAGGATGGACCCCAACTCCTCCTTGCAAGGGGCCTTCCATGACTGTGCTGTGTCCTGCCAGTCTGTCTCTGTACATTCAGCTCTCTCTGCCGTGGGGCAACTGTTCCTTCGTGTACAAGGCTGAAGCTAACAGAGTGTTCAGGACTCAGCTCCGGTATCTGCAGGGAAGCCTTCCCTGCCCACTGTCTCTGCCACACCTGCTTCCACCACACACACACATACCCACCCACCCAAAACAATGCACATAAACACACACCACATATGCAAACACACAAAATACACACACACACTAAAATACAAACACACACCACAGAAACACATAAACACAAACACACTTTCACAGAGAAACACACACAGTCACAAACACAGATACCACACACACAAACACACACCAAACTCAGAAAGACACACATGTACAGCACACACACAGGCACACACACACCACACCAGCTAGTTGAATTAGATGTGTCAACTCCCGATTATATAATTTATCTTATCAAATTGTTGTCACTATTATTTGAATTTCCCACTTGATTGAGGTTAGTAGATACTGTGTTTTGGTCTTTTTTTTTTTCTTTTTTTCCACACAGTAAGGCATGTAAAGTACATAAGGCTTAAGTGTACAGCGTGGCAAATTTTCCATGTGTATTTTCCTGTGTGGTGTTTACCCACACCCAGACGGAGAACATTTCAAGCAGCCCAGAGGCTCCCCGGTGCCCAACCCGGTTCATCCTCATCCATCTTTAGCCCCCACAGGGACTACTATAACAACTTGTAGATAACAGACTTATGCCAAATATTTGTTGAAGGACTCAATCAGTTCATTGGAGGAAGAAATGGGTGGGTCGCTGCTGACATTCTTGATCATCTCTGCCGTTTGCAGTTCTGAGACCAGAGGTGTGGCAGTGTCTGGTTTCAATGAATCAAAACACCCTATAGCCAGAGTGAGGCTTTGCCAAGTAATGTGTTTCCTCAAAATGTTTCTATAGGTTCAGTTGTAGGCTGTTATGACATCATGTAGTGGTTATCTGTGTAACCTTCTCAGAGCCAACTCCCATATCTCATTGAATCCTCTCAACAATCTTCTAAGATCGGAAGGGTGGGTATGATTACTCAATTTTCCACGAGAAGAAACTGAGACTCCAAGTAAAGTCTGAGCTCCTTCTCTGCACAGGGAAGCACCATGATGGTCCCTGATGCACACGGCTCAAGAGAGTTATAAAGCAAGATGCTGGTGTCCTCACCCAAATCTACAGAAACCCTTCTCTGCCCCTTGCCATTTGACTTCAGGCATCTTGATCCTGTTGGGGTTTAACTGTATTCCCTTCTCTCCAAAAGATAGGGTGCAATCCTAACCCACAGTGCCTCAGAGTGGGACCCTATTTGAAAGTAGGGACATCAAAGGTTGCAAATGTAATAAGTTGAAATGAGATCATACTGGAGTAGGGTGAGTCTCTATTCTAACATAACCACCATTCTTGTAAGAAGAGTAGAGACGCCCAGACACTTGCAGGGATAAAGAAAGCCATGTGAAGACAGAAGGTGAGATCAGAAAGATGCAGCTGCAAGTCAAAGAGTGCCAAGGATGGCAGCAACCACTAGAGGCTGGATGAGAAAAGGGGAAGCTCTCCTGCAGGTTGCAGAAGAGGAGGTTCCTACCAACACCTTGGTTTTGGACTTTTAGCATTCCAAATTCTAAGACAATAGGTTCCTGTTGTTTTAAGTCACCCAGTTTGGGGACGTTTGTTTCAGCAGCCCTAGGCAACTAATGCAGGTCCCCCATGGGAAACTCCTTATTGCCTTGATCAGAATGAACCCCACAGGTCCAGCAGGACTGAGGCTTCCCACGGTGGAGACCTTACTGCCTAAAATGCCCTCCTTGCTCATCCCTGGCAACATTCAACCCCCAACCCTTCCTTTAGCACAAGGCTCAAAGGCCATTGCTTCATATATGCTCTTCCTGGTTCTCCAACAGAAAACAGAGGAGTAACAGATGCTATACTTGGATGATGTAACCTGGATGATGTAACTCCTCAAATGTGCATTGTTCCTTATTTAGCATCAGTCAAGTGAGCACCAAGGTGGCCTCTTTGACTTTACCTTTCTTCCCCTAGGATGGCTGACCCAGAGCTGCAGGAAGACAGAACTGGGGAAGGGAAAAGTCTGGATGGAATTGTTTCAGGTCAAAGGTTGATCTTCCAGAGGCTACACTGATTAGGAATACAAAAGGAGGAATCACTGGAAACCTAAGGTATTTTATAAAGTTAACTTTTCCAGATGTTTATACTCTCAGGGCAGAATCCCCTGTCCTTGACTCAGTTTTGCATGTTGACATCTTAACTGAATTTGAAAGCTCAACGTTCTTGCCATTTCCTCTGAGACTTCTATATGAAGTACAGTACTCACTTTCCCTCCTAAATTACCATGGCGCTTTATGTGTACACATGTGTGCATATCTGAGGACAGGCTCCGCCTTCTACCTGCATTAGAGATCTCCATTCCAGCCCACAAATACTTACCGAGCATGTACTTGGGCCAGGCCATGAGGATACCTTCCTGAACAGGAAAGAGTGTCTGGTCTCATGGAACTCACAGTTTAGTGAGAAATAAGTATGTTTCTTACTGAAGTCTATTACGTAAATACATTTGAAAAGACACTGGTGCATGTGTTAGGCCCATTCAAGGTCCTTCACCCATTCACCCTGTGGCAGATGCATTAATAGACAACCACGGAGAGGTGCACTCACACGGGGTCCCATCTGGTCCCAGGCAAAGAAGGGCCTGCACTTGGGGTTGAATTCTCTGTAGTCACCATCTTGAAATGTTTAATGATATCACCTCTGTTTTACCTTTTCTAAATCCAATGGGACAATGGAGCATGAAGAGGGCTTGGAGCCTTGGCTTCTGTACCATCCTGCTACCTGCCACCTGCCACCTCTCCTTTGGGAGAGGTTCTTGGCTGTCCACTTCCCAACCCCATGTTCCCCCAGCTCTTGAGCAGCCTCTGCCCCTGCAATTGTTGCTGCTTCCCAACAGGGTGGCAACTGCATCATTTTGGAACAGCAAGCCTGTGTTCTGCCACCACCTGCCATCTCTGGTGAGTGTATGGGCATGTGTGCAGGACAAGCACTGTGCAGGAGTTCAGAGAAAGGCCTCGCAGTGACCATCCCCTCAGCAGGCTGGCAGTGCCAGGGCACATTCCACAAGTGGCCAGAGGCTTGTGCCCACCTCCAATCCAGATACCCAGAGCTTCCCAGCATGGAGGTTGCAATCCCTGAGGGATCTCCTGTCCACTGTACATTGGGACAGTGGGCTGTGGGAGAGAGACAGTGGCTTCCCCACCCCCTAACTGTGGCTGGCCACAGCATGTGGGTGCAGCCAAGGGCAGGGAAGCAACTGGCAAGTGGAAGCCTCTTGTACTGCACTGAGTCACCTGGAAGGTCTGTGGGGTCTGTACAGGGGTGCATTCCCACGCCCAAGGAAGAGCAGCATGTAGCAGAAAACACCATGACTGGTTGAGAGAGGCAGGAAGAAAGGAGGAAGTGTTCTGTTTTAGCACTTGTTATGGTGCTTCTTTTTCATTTTGAGAAAGGAGCTCTCCATTTTCATTTTATAGTGGACCCCACAAATCATGTTTCCAGCCCTGCTCCCAAACTCAGTAACAGTTAACCACAGCCATCGCTAACTACAGTGACCATGTGCTGTCAACGGATGGAAAGATCTTCACACCTCTGTGAGTTAAGAACTGTGATAATTTCCAGTCTGCATATGAGGAAATTGAGGCTCGAGTCACATGCAGAAGCCCCACATCGGGGTAGTGGAGGAGCTGCAATTCGACCCTGGGTTTCCCTGACCCCAGTGCCTGGGCACCCTTGCAGGTGGCTAGTGTGCAAGTAAGAATTAATGAATAGGTCAACCAGCCAGATGCAGGGACAGAATCAGGCCCATCCCCTGCCTTCCTGGGTTGCATTTGGGAAGGACCAGGGACTGAGCACCCAGCATTTGCAAAGCCAGAGGATGCTGGTTCTGGTGCGTGGTACTGGGGGCTGGGCCTGCGCAGCCTGAGTGGGCGGCAGCACGTGATCACCTGCAGCTGCAGAGCCGTGGTGAGCCAGGCAGCATCACCGGCTCAGCTGACCCTTCCTGGTACACAGGGCCTGGCCATCTTGTGCCCAACCCTGGTAAAGCACCATTTTGTTTCTGCCTCACCATTTGCTTCTCCTGTGTTTTGTGAGCTGTCTGAGATGTGCATCATTCTTCTGTATTTGGAGGGGGACATGGAGCCCAGTTAGGATACCTAGTGCCTAGGAAAAAGCCTACTCAATTTCCCTTGAAAATGTCTCCCTTGACCCCCACCGAATGCTTTTTTTCAGTCCTGATTGTCCTGACTGTGAGCATTCCATCCTGGCTTCTACACTGGGGTGCATTCCAGCCCTGTCGGTCATTATATTGCAAAGTGATGGATAGATGTACGCCCTTGTGAGAGCTTTAATTTAAATATTATCATGACTTCAAGAATCATACAGAACATTCAGGAAATGTTAACATATTGACTTTTCACAGAAACGTGAAAGGGGCTATATGTTTGGGATTACTCAAATTATCAGCAATTTCAATCAGCTTTTTTATGCGCCATTCAGAGAGCAAAATTAGAAGTGCTTGTGTTTGCATTCTACCATGTATTCAAGATAATTAAAAATTAGCCCGTGAAATCATAGAGATCTTTACAGTAGCAGCAAGGATTTGGAAGGAGCATTTCCCTCTAAGCAAATGAACTGGACTTTTCTGAGAGTAAATACGGAATCGGAATCCAGCTGCACATTTTATTAAAACTACGAGCATTTCATGTTCACCTCTCCGTGGCTGGCCACCTTCCGCAATAGTCACCCCGGCCATCCCTTATTAGCAACCGGCAGGAAAATAACTAAAAATAAGCAGCTGTTGAAATGATTATTTAAGCCTCTAAGAAATTCCTCCTGATGACTGTGCGTGACTGTGCGGTGGCTGCGCTCTCCCCGGTCCTGCCTCAGTTCGGCTGCACGTCTCTGCTGCTGCTTTAAGACTGCAGAGCGCCCCAGCGGCCAGAGGCAGGGGAGGGGTCCCTGCTCGCCTCCGCGCTCGGCTTCACTCGCCCGGCTCGCAGGCAGGGAAGGTTGGCAGAGGGATCCATGTGACTGAGGCCGGAGCACGGCAAAGATGAGCCTGCCCGCCCGCCTGCTGCCTGGATGCGGAGGGTGAGGGCTGGCGCACGGGAGGCCGCTGGCTGCGCATTCTGGGCGCCGAGTGCCCGGGATGAGCTCACGCCCGCGTCTGCGGCTCTCTCCACCTGCCGACCTGCCGGGGGCCCACTGAGCTGACGGCGCACCTGGGCTCCGGCCGCAGCGTGGGGCGCGGCGCCCGGGAGCAGGTGTGCAGGAGCGCAGCGCGCGGCGAGCGCAGCCCTCGCTCCGGAGCCCGGCCGCGCCGCGTGCCCGGGCGGCTAGGCAGCGGCGGCGGCGGCGGCGGGCGGCGGGCGGGCGGCGGCCCCCGGGCAGGTGCCGAGCGGCGAGCGGAGCCGGGCCGGGCGGAGCGCGGGGGGCGAGGCCGGCGCGTCGCTCGCGGGAGGCCGGGGAGCGGCAGGGGCATGTGGATACTGGCTCTCTCCTTGTTCCAGAGCTTCGCGAATGGTGAGCCTTTCGGTTTGTGATGAATTTCGTTTCCTTATCATTGACCGGGGGGGCGGGGGGGTGGGGGGTGGCATTGGATGCATGGGTAAAGTCTTCTTTCTTTTTCCGCTTCATCTGTGTTTAAAATTTCGTGCTTTTATTTATTTTTTAAATATCATATTTATTTTTTGGGGGAGAAGAGGTGGCAATGGAGAGGCCCGGGAGAAATTGCTCTGTAATCATTGGAAGGCGCTTACCTAGCCAAGTGACAGCTCAGAGCCTAACTCCAGTACTAGAGAGCTGCCTCATTCAGAATAAACCAGGTTTGGTGACAGAAGGAGAGACAGGAAGATTGCCACTTTGAATATTACAACCTGGAAAGGGATGTGACATTCCAAGTGCACGCAAGTGGAGGGGTCAATGAGGAACATCTCCCTTCAGATTCAATGCTTTTTGAGATTTTTCAAACACGTAATTTCATGCTAGTACAATGTATCTCCAGCACCAAGGAGGGCTTTAAGAATGTTCTGTCCTTCTATGCACCCCGTGCTGCTTCATGCTCCTCACAGTCGTTTATGTAAAAATATGCACTGATAAGCATTACATCATCTGAAATGTTGACAAATTAAAAAAAAAAAAACACCTGTATAGTTGTAAAAATGAAATCAGTGAATATTGTAAATAGCATACATTTCCTCATGCCCAGCCAATATTATATTTTGAAATGATTTCTTCCTGGGTATTTAGAAAGCTATTGCTCTTGACTGAGTCAGACCCAATTAGTAAGTGTGACTGCACCTTAGGCTGCCTGTCACCGCATAAATATGAACTTACATGTATGAATGGCTTCCTCTCTTGTGGGAACCAGAGGAAATTGTCATCATTTGACATCGCCTGGGAGTAGCTACGGCTTAAATTCCCATTTCAAATTTTGGAACACACATCTGCATAAAATGTATAACCTACTGACAGTTGAAATTAAACCATTAAGCAGAATCCCCTAGCCAGAAGAGAGGAGAGAGAGAGAGAGAAAGAGAGGAGGGAGAGAGAGCGAGACAGACACAGAGACAGAGAGAGAGAGAGAGAGAGAGAGAGAGAGGAGAAGAAGAGAAGGTAAAAGAAGAGAAGAGAGGAAATCTGGCCCTTGTGAGAAAATACGAGAAGCAAAGGGGAGGCTCTAAGATTTTCCTGGAAGACACACAGGGAAGCTCTGTGTGTTGGCTGCAAGGCAGTGCATTTTCTTTGCCTACCTAGACAGTGCCTAAAGAATCAGCATACCAACAGGCCAGAAGAAATGCATGAGCATTGTCAATTTTTTAAAAAAACGGTGACTAAGAAAAGGTAGAGTTGAAAGAAGGTACTATCAAAATGAACATGAAAATGATACTTTGCTCTCCAGTATAACCTAAAGCAAAGTGTTTGAAACTTTCATTTTGAGATTTCCTAGCAGGAAAGAATTGCAACAAGTTCTGACAAGACACCCATCTTTCCCAGAGGGCACCATACCTGTCCTGTGTCCTCCTGGGAATTTCCCTTCAGGGACAGATGTGCTTAGGGAACATGCGGAGATGTGTCGGGGAAGTCAGCCCTTTCTGCTCTTCTGCTAATGCGACCTCCTAAGAAATGTAGAGATGCCTACACATGTGTTCCAAAGACACAGAGCCTTGACACCCTGTTTCGCCTGTCAGGGAGTACCTTTCTGAACTCCTTGGAAAGGCCTGGGTTATAAGAAGAAACAAAATTTGCACCCCATTGGGAAGTGTGTGTTTCAGGATGATGAAAGAGGCTGTGCTGGTTGTCAGTCAGCCAGTATTTATTTACAGTTTTAGCATTTTGTATGACAAAATGGTATGGAAGAATTTATGATACTGATACAGACTATTAGCCTCTGATACAGAGATGCTATATGTGTGTGTGACTTTTTTTCTGAATCAGCATTTTATAACTAAAATAAACAATCATAGAAATAATTATATATGGTAATACAATTATATGAAACCTCAAATATTCTGCAATATGAAAAATATATGCAAAAATTATGTAGGTACTCATATAGTGAGTTCTGCAAGTATTATTTTCAAGACTTTTAAAATCAACTGATAATCACCATTATTGTAATAAATATAGGTAGATTCCACAATATTAGACATAAACAGCAAACACAAATGAATATTTTACATTGCTGTATTACGTATTCTGATCCAATCTAGCAGAAGGCTATGGAACTGTCTTGTATAAAAATGCCCCTCTCTTTATATGATCAAGGATGAAAACATTAAAAGCCTGCTGTAAAGCTTTAGGATCTTTGAAGGGGGGAGGGGAAATCAGCTTTAAACAGTTTTCTAAGGTATGGTGTTCATTACATACTGGGGAAAGGATCATAAAATATATAGACATGTTGAAATAAAATAAGAATCCAGTTTGGAACTATGCCTGTTTGTAAGACCATATTTCAAAAATATAAGAGTAAATGGTTTCTACCTATCTGAATTAAACTTTAAAAAATTGAGAATATTTTTGTCAACAACTGTCATATTTTGTTATACCTCAACTTTGAAAAATTTCTGAATGTGTGTGATAAAAGATTGATGAATTCTAATACCTAAACTGATTATTGCTAGGCCTCAAGCATCAAAATGCCTGACATGATAACTTTTTTTTTTCATTTGTAAAAGATTATGTAGTTTAATATTTGGGGCTATTAAAATAAGCCCACAATACATCTGCATTTTAACAGTAGACAACAATATTTTTCTTATTGATGTATCAGAAGTACAGTTATTTCTTAATAAAAGTATGGTTGCTAGACAGGCTGCAGGCAGTATTTTTGAAAAAAAAAAAAAAAAAAAGAAGAAGTCAGTGACCAGGCCCTTCATAGGTTAAACCCTTAAATGAATGACCTCACCTGATGAGGTGCAGTATCGTGTTTTAAAGCAGTCAATTTGTTCTGCAATGTTCTGGAAATACACGCGAGCTTCTGTTACAGTGCAAGGAGCCAAGGTACACGTATGTGCAGACACTCACCCACACACGTCCCTCGGTGTCTTCTCAGCAAAGCTTCCTACTGCATTGTGTTTCATTACCATTTCTCCTGGTTTTAACCCCAGAGCACATTCTAGTTTAAAATTATTGCTAAAAGAAGAGCCAGGCCTTCAGACAAACAGAATGATGAAGAATTAGATTTATTATATGTAATATAGTTTTGCTAGTATCCTGGCATCTCTGTTTTTACACACACACACACACACACACACACACACACACACACACATGCATGCATTCCTGACATCATCTTTTCCTGAGCTGTGGGATTTTCAGTTCTACTGCATCCGCTTTCATGGGGCCTGAGGGTCATGGAGATTAGAGACGGTGGGGTGCTGGGAGTAAGAAGGTGCTCATTAAAGAGAAGATGAGTATGCAGCACCTTTGAGCTTCATCCATTCACTTGATAGGAAATTACAGAGCACACGCTTGCTATTTTATTTAATTAGAAGCAGACCTTTGTAAATACAAATGCACCTTAAGGACTTCAAAGGTGATTTTTATTTAATTCACATAAATGTATGTAAGGAAGAAATGTTATCAGGTGAACAATTTCAGGGCTGCCTCCACTTCCCTTTCTCCCCCATCTTTATTAAACAGATTAAAAAGCTATCCATAATCTCAGGGTTCACCTAAATTCCGAGGCCTTTTAACTTAAGCTGCATGCCCCTCCAAGATGCCCTCTGTAGGAAAACAAAATGCCACGCAGACCTTCAATAAATGCCAGTGGATCGTTCTCCACTTTTTGACTCTCTCCTTTGTCATTTTGGTGTGACCACGGTTTGCTGCCTCGGGGGATCAGTGAGTCACGGGGGGCAGAACCAGCGCAATACAGCATTCTGGTAGGGGAACTAATTTTGACTAAAATATTTGCCAATTCTAATCCCCAATTCCTGGACCTCCGGGTAGCTGGCAAGGTATTTTATGTTAGATGTGTCTGGAGTAAGGTGCACGGAGTATTTCGACAAGAGACTCAATTCAATGCGTATTAAAACTTGATTGAGAGAGGGAGAGAGAGAGGTCATTTTATAAAGAAAGACCTGTGAACACTGTAGATTGGAAATTTATGTTTGCAAAATAAAAGGATGGGTTTATCAAGTGGATGCATTTACAAAATGTGGCATCCAGGTTTCGTAAAATTAGCTGAATTCTACGGGTAAGATTATGAATGTGGCTCATAAATAATTAATAGGTAGTGAAAAAGAATGTATTTTGCATTAGGCAGTGCATTCAATAGTATTTCGGAAATGAGCACTTCGATTTCCTCGGTTTCCATGCGTGGCCCACCTCTCCAGAGCAGGGCAGGCACCCAGGGGTGTGCCCACACAAACAAGCGCGTGTGGGCATTTTCTTGGCTGCTGCGCTGAAGTGCACGCTGGGCCTTGGTGCCCGCACCCTCAGCCTGGGAGATAGGGAGGTGGTGCTACCTGCAGGCCGATTGTGTCCCCGCCATAGGACACTAGTGGGCGGCAAACCTCACAAGACTCTTGCAGCCAGCCTTCAGCAGAGCCAGCAAACCCAGCCGCCACCGAGGGAGGACTGCTCCATGCAGATGGTCAGGGGCTTTCTTCTGAAGACGCCTCCCCCACGATCTCTCAAGTTCACTGCGCCCAAACTCCGGCGTCGTAGAGTTCGTCTAACAGGAACCGGGCAAAGGCAACCGCAGGTCAGGCGAGGTCCAGCAGCCTTTGTTTTCAACTGTACAGCGGAGGACCGTATTCACAGCAATATCTAGAAACCTAGAAGGTGCCCAGAAAGGAAACACAGGTGTTGCAGCGGGTAGCGGGCCCGCAGAAGGGTGCATTTGCACCCCCTTTCCAAAGCCGCGAGGGAACCCCGGCGTGGCGCGCGCCTCGGAGGTGGCAGCTCCGGGAGCAGCTCCGCGCCTGATTGGCTGACCTTCCAATGTCATTCCAGGAGCCGCCGCTTCTCCTGCTGATGGTGACAGGGGTGATGCTGACGTGCCCGCTCCTCCGCAGTCCATCAATCTCCGCAGGCAAGGCTCCGGGACCGGGAGCCCCCTTCCCTCTCCCCCAGGCCCACTGGAAAACACCTGTTCCCCTGGACTGGGGGGTTAACTCTTCAAGTTCCAAAGACCTGGGCACAAAAATGCTCATCTTATCTCTCCGCGCCCCTCCCCCCAACTATATTTATGTTCTTTTCTTCAATGTTGTGAAAATGCCAGAAAATTCAAAGTTGCATTTCCCTTGCCGAATCTATGGGTTAAGATAAGGCAGTGGGAATGGAAGATTCCAGCAGCCCCACGGAGTATCCACTATGTCGTTCTGAATTCAAAGGGTGGAGCACACGGATGTTTTCTGCAGGTGACGCAAGGTCTGTCAAGGTGGCAGGAGGGAAGCAGGGACAGGATTTTGGTTCAGAGGTCAGACAGCTTCTGACCAGGACGTTCAGAAGGGTTGGGTTTCACAAATCTGCTCCTGAAAATCAGTTCCCTCCATATTATCCTTTTTCTAAAAATCTTGGCTGTTTCCTTGATGGAGTCTGTGGTAATCGTTACGCCTGCATTTAGGTGATGCTGATTTGGCTAGTGACTGCCTCTCTCACTAGCTAGACAGGAGCCTCCATAGTCTGAAATGCGTGCGAAGCCTGAGCGTGTCCTTAGCACAGAGCAGAGCACATGGTATGGAGTAGTGGAAATAGATGATGTTCCTTACGGAGTGAAAGGAAAAAGTGATAGGCAGAGCCTTTCTCCCCTCCTTAACTCCTGTCCACCTTCCTCCCTCCCGTCCACCTCTCTCTTCTGCCTCTAGCTGATTGGCTCCCCCTCTTAGTTTGCTTTCCTGGACTTGCTCTCCTGGTCCCTATCTTGCATTCTGACTAAACCACTGGACTCTTTTGCTCTACCCACCTTTTTCTGTCGTAGTGACTCAATCACGGTAGAAATGTTTATTTTCCAGAAACGCCTGTGGCTTGGGGCATTTTCTTCTCTTTTCAAAAAGAGATTCATATTTCGAGTATCTGATGGGACTTCATCACTGTTGCACAACAGCTATGTAATTGCTTTAGGTGCTCTTCCTGCCGTGCAGTGGGTCAAGTGTCACAGACAATAATTTCATCCATGTGCTGGACCCCTTGTTCTCAAGTGTACGCTGCTAAATGGCATGATTTAAAATTCCTATACAGTGTTTATTGCCCTGTCGCATTTTGAAAGCCAGCCAGAAACATCAAACCGACATTTAGGTTCCCCGCCCACTCCGCCACCCCCAGCTCTTGGGAATTCATTTCTTCATCAAAGAGCCACCCAGGACATCAAAACAAAGCTTACTTTCTCAGGCCTTAATTCATCTTTAAAAAGTCATACTACTGTTTTCTTCAGCATCCTATGGATTTATGGGTTTTTTGTCATTATCTTTATTTCTTATTTTGCAGATTCAAATATGACAGTTGCTATCTTCATCAAAGTAACATGAAAGGATATCTTAATCATTGTTAAAGTTGATTTTTGTCCAAATATAAAAATCAAATTAAGTGTCTTATAGCTTACAATATTTATCAGCTTTTGATTTTTGGACATCTCTATTTGTTCTATGTGATCAACGCTGATTTTTTAAAAATCATGCAACTGGATTAATTTTTGATCTTGAAGCCCCCTGGATTATGTAAATACATATTATGGTTTAACAGAGAGGGATGAATGGGATTGAGAAGATATATGTCAAGATATGAAGAAGGAAAGAGGCTACTACACAGAGAGTTAGAATGACAGGGATTAATGAATCTTGCCTGTATCCCTAGTTATTTTTTTTACTGAGAAGACAGTGAGTAAGATTTAAGAGTGAGCAAGCAGTCCTATTTATAGAAAGCTGTTTTTAAGTGCAGCCGCAAAGACAGTGAAAGAAAGAATTGAAAATGCAAGAGATCACCTCCATACTAAATGCTAGCTTCCCCTAACGTCCCAGCTCTGTACAGCATTTTGTAGGAGAAAAAAACAAAAAAAAAAGCATACCAACCCTTGCAGAAATATTATGAAATCTCTTTGGACTCTCTGCAGAATATTCTAGAAGTGCTCTCAGTCTTTAAGTCT
Organism: Homo sapiens; assembly: GCF_000001405.40. Taxonomy (NCBI): domain Eukaryota; kingdom Metazoa; phylum Chordata; class Mammalia; order Primates; family Hominidae; genus Homo; species Homo sapiens. The sequence goes on along the minus strand of NC_000021.9, from coordinate 40,839,552 downwards.
ATGTTAGGCTTGGGAAGCTGGGGATGAGAAGGCAATATATATATTATCTGGAAACAGCTTGAGTAGGTCTGAACAAAAGACTGGAGGTGAAGGGAGGACATTGAACTTGCAGCACTGCTACAAATATTTATTCTGCAATAAGCCTTGCCTTTCTTAAAGATGTTTCACGGCAGAATAGTAGGAGGGTGAAATCTGCATACATCTCAGTAATAAAGCAATTACTGAGAGAAGAGTTCAAATTTAGGATCCTGTGATTATCACAAGTCCCTCCATGTTAACCTGTTCTCAAACTCTGGGGTTTTAAATTGCAATATATGAAGTCCTTATTTGTCAGTCTGTGTCGGGCAGACAATATCACCCCAGGCTTTGTGATTGACACAAATGTTATTGGACAAGGGAAAAAGAATGCCACATGCTCTTATAAATGAAATAGTCTTTATAAGATTCCATATATAAGTGAGATCATGGATTTTGTATGTGTGTGTCTGGCATATATCACTTAGCTAATGTCCCCCAGGTTCCTTAAGTATATACAATTTAGCATAAAAAAAGAAATGAAATAGTTTTCCTTTCTAGGCCTGTATTTGTTACTTATAGCATTCTGGTTTTCCTGGTTCCAAGTGGGCTTTGGGTTTTATTAATAGTAGAATCGTTGAATTTTTATGCAAATACTGCTGATTTACAGGTTGGAAATCTGGACAAAATCAGACCTGCCCTAGAAGATGATGCTGTGGAAAGTGTTTGCCTTTTGTCTTATAAAGAACCATCTATAAAATGGATCATTTTGTCGCTAGTCTCTCCAGACTATGAAATTGGCATTTTGATAAGGTGATGGAAAGAAATTTGAACTATTTAATTACTGATTTTGATTCATACAAGCCTTGACTCTTTTAGTATTAAAATGAAGAAACAGGAAACAGTTTTAAGTCTGGTTTTACATAAAATTTACACTTTTTTCACACTGAAAATAAAACAGTAAAAGCCAGCTTATAGTTCTTTCTAAATATCCCAACTTTCTCATTATTGGATGCTTCTGCAAAACAGCAGTATGGTGATACCACTCCCAGTGTTGACCTTGATGACCTGAGGGTCCCAAAGTGGCTTCAGCATTATCATGGAGTCACCACAATGATCAGGTAGAAGCTGGTGTTAGGACCAGCGTGAATGGGTCACAGGGGCTGAGGGGGGCTGTTGGGAGGTAGCCCATGCCGTATACTGAAGAGCCATCCATGCCACTTCAGGTGGGTGATTGCAGTGGACTCTCTTACCATTGATTAATCTTCCTAATATTGAGTAAAGCATTGATTCTTCTCATAAGCATGAACTGCTGGATGATGGGAACATTTCTGTGATTGTATCATAAGAGAAAGACAAGTAGAAAGATAATTAGAACTGCTGCAATTCTATGTATATTTTAATTTAATTTATTTTTTTAAATACAAAAGACAGCTATATTTCCTATATAATAAGGAAACTTATTACTTTAAGGAAATATACTTTCTCACGAGAGAAACTCAAGATTCAATTCTTTTCACAGTTAGCCCCGCTGTGGTGTGATTTGATCTTGGGTTCCATAGAGATACAGAAAATCCAAGTCCCAGTCTGCTTAATTGCCATGTTTATTTTTTAATCTCGGCTGTAGAGCATTTTTAATAACTGATATGTAGCTTGCAGGGTAGAAATAACAATGCTTTGGAATATTACCTGTGAGACTTTAGGAATGAGCTGAAGACACCCAACAATGACAACAATGGCCTCTACCAGCAAAACGGGAACCATGACTACTTTATCACTCCTGCCGGATCTAGTTCTTGTCAGTTCCTGCAAAGGCTAGTCACTTGTCTATTTCGTTGGCTAGTGAAAAGGAAATGCACAAGAAATGTGGAATGCTGTCTAACAGACAGAATCCTCCTTTCACAAGTTGTTTAAGTTGGCAGCCCAAGTTAGCAACCTCTATCCGGGTCCTTAACGTGACAGCAGAATGTGGGTAGGATGGTTAATTACCAGATGTGTCTGTTATGACTCACCCAAATCAATAGCTATTAAATCCTTGGTGGCTACTGTTTTAGAATAGGCTTCATTGAATATTTGTATAGAAATCTGGGTAGAAAAATGTGGACCTCGAGGTGATCTAGGTATTTGTTTTGGGCAAGGAACTCTCATCAGTGGTTGGTTTATTTGTGTCTTGGGGGATCTCACATCATCAGCCTTTATTAATCACAGGCACGAGGGGCCCCACACTCTCCCCCATACCTCTACCGCCCCATTGCTGAGGATGGGAGAGTAAGAATATAGAATATGCTGTAGGCTTCTGTGGGATTAGATGCTTGGAGGCAGCGGAGGCAAATGTTCATGGGAACACTGAATATGGAGGAAGAGGCTGTGCCAGCCCCATAGCCACACATCCCCTCCACCCTTACATCAGGATAAGAGGTAGACCACAGTCTGTTGACACTTCAAGCTGAACATTAGTTAGTATCCTTCTATGTGGGCCTTCCCAGGTAAGGATCGAGGACACTGGTTCTCAACACCCCGGTGTTCTGGGTCAGGGAGAACAGAGAAAGGAGATATGGAAGTTTCCTGAAATGCATTTCCTCTCATTAGCCTCCTGTTGGAAATTCTGATGCCAGCGTTGTGGGGAATGGGCTGTAGTTTGGAAAGCTCCCCAGGTGTTTCTAATCCCATGTGACTTTGTCTTGTTTTTCCCACCACCACTGGGGTCTCCCAAGTTATGGTTTCCATGTTTGTTATGTCGTCTTCCAGCTCTGATACCAGAGAGTCTGATTCTGTAGCCTTGGTGTATGCACGACCTGTGAATTTGCATTATTAACGCATGCCTTTGCCTGTTCTGATCCACATGAACCATAATTCACCTTTGCAAAACACACACTTGCAAAGAAGCTACCCAAACAGTAGCTAGGAAGTTGATCCAGTAAAGTTCCAAGTACATCTCGATGAACTGTTGGAGAACTCTGTATTGGGTAGTAATTTATTGGGAATGTCTGTATACAGGGTTAGGTCTTCACTGACCACCATAAGAATTTGGGCATCTTTCGGGATAATTGGTGCTGGGGTTTAGTAACAAGAAAGATTCTGAGTAGAGGGGTATGTAGATCCTGCCAGAGGCACTCCCAATGTGGATGCTAGCAGCTTACGAATCATCTGTGTGTATTAATATCTATCTCTTTGCACCATTTTTTCTTCCTGTTAGCGTATTTGATATTCAGGTTTATAAATGCTTGTGCTTTGCTTATGGTCTTGATTCCATTGTATTTCTCACATTGGTCCCTTCTTCGATAGCAGCTGGAGTCCCAGCAGAGAAGCCCTTTGAAACCTGCCTGTAACCATGAAGCTCCAGGCAAGAGATCCATAGTGGGAAACCATTTGGGTAACTCTACTGAACAAGCTTAAGAGATGAGCTAGAACGGGCTGAGACAGGGCAGGAGAGTGGATCTGTTTGCAGCTAGAGGTTTTGCTTTGATGCCGCCTTGGGATGCTGCACATTCCTTTGTCCAGGGCACAAGCTCATTCCAGAGCCAGATCTGAAGGGCTTTGGGTCATTTGCTCTGTTGGATGTTCTTGGCTTTCTTTTAGGTAAATAATCACAAGTTGACTGTATTTACCATACAAAGTATATGTCATTATCCTAAGTTGTCAGAAAAAAGAGAGAAGCTGGCATATAAGGGCATATGTGCATTTTAAACCTTGTTACATATATGACAAAATAGAGGGCAGTTATTGGTGGCAGATTAATTTTTTCAAAACATCGTGTCCTTGATTTTGGCACTAAAATAGACTCAAATGTGTGCTGGAGAGAGGCCTAAATTCAGAACCTTAAAAATACCTTTTTGTGTCCTGAGATCTTATTTTAGATAATATTAAAAATAACTTTCCCTCCTAGGCATCTTAAACAAGTTTGATGTTATAATCCTTTGGTGATTTTATTGTGATTCACTATAGAAATTACCTTTTTGAGTGGCCGTTTTGAAATTTAGCTTTAGAAGGAAATGGTATAAAAGCCATTGTAGGCTGAATAAATGTGAATTCTGCTTACTCATCACTACAGGAATTAGGGTAGACTGTCTCTTTACAATAATAGTTTCCTATACTCATGTTCCTTTAAAAGGGGGTGGGGGCATTATATTAAGAAGTCACAAGCTCTGACAGGGGAATTGCAGAAGAAGATTTCAGTTTAAAATAGCTCACAGTTCCTCTCTGATTTGGAGTTTTCACAACCTACATGGTATAGCACAGACTGTTCTCTTTTAAATTTTGTAGTAGAGTAGGTCAATCTTTTCCCATCTTTCTGCCACGGAAAGGGCATAAATATTTCCATCATCAGATTTAATAACCTGTGTTAGACTCATGAGTAATTGTAAATGGTGAAACACTTTCTTCATAAAAAAAATAAAAATGAGAGATAATGTGACTCAGTATTATTATTAGAACAAATCACCTTAACCCATAGAAAATATTTCTTTCCTGCAGCAATAAGTGTTGAGTATTTTTCCCTGGGGTCTCTAGCATCTCTTGATAAGAGTGAATATTGTTAGGTCCAGCCTGACTGGTGGCCAAGGCAGGTTAAGTTTATGCAATGAGTCGATTGTGGTGGAGATACATTTGCAAGAAATGGAGGAGCAGTCGGCATTTCACCTCTCTCCATCTTGTTCACCTTTCTCTCTCCCTCTTTAGAAACTGGGAGCAAATATTAGAGCTTACATGTGCTCAGTGAGAGTGGAGGGAGAAAGCTGTATTTTCCTGGGGGGTCTGGAGGCCTTCTCTGGGTTTATTCATTTTCAAAGTCACTGGTGGTTTGCTCTCTCCTGGGTAGGTGGAAGACATTGCTGTGACCTCTTGCCTGCTCAGGGCACACTGAAGTCTAGAAGCAAGGGTTGGAGTTCTCTGAGCCTGTGAGTGTCCCTATTCAAAGGTGCTCCTGGAAGTGTCTCCCTAAAGGTCTTTGATGGAGGAGGCTGGTATTTAATTATTTTTTTCTGAAGTGCACAGGCATAGGCATTATGGGTTATTGTAAAGCTCTAAATAGAGCCATGAGAAATAAGGTAAATCCATGGAACTGGGCAACTATTATTATTATTATTATTATTATTATTATTATTATTATTATTTTATTATTATTATTATTTTGGAGACAGAGTCTCACTCTGTCGCCCAGGCTGGAGTGCAGTGGCGTGATCTCTGCTCACTGCAAGCTCAGCCTCCCGGGTTCATGCCGTTCTCCTGCCTCAGCCTGGCGAGTAGCTGGGACTACAGGCACCCGCCACCATGCCCGGCTAATTTTTGTATTTTTAGTAGAGACGGGGTTTCACCATGTTAGCCAGGATGGTCTTGATCTCCTGACCTCGTGATCCGCCCGCCTCGGCCTCCCAAACTGGGCAACTATTATTTTAGGCTCATTATTTTTTGGCAAATGGAAATAAAAAGACTCCTCCCCTATTTTTATGACTTGGTTACTTTTAAAAGAAGTATGCACCGGACAAGCTGTGTTCTTCAGTGGTTCTTAACGGAGGGCAATTTTGCACCCACAGAGGACAGTGAGCAATGTCTGGAGACATTTTTGGTTGTCACACATCTGGTTGGGGGTTGCTACTGGCATCTGGAGGGGACACTCACTATAAGATGCTCAACACCCTGTAATGCACAGGACAGCTCCCCACGACAAAGAATGATCCAGTTCAACATCTTCATTGTGCCAAGGTTGAGAACACAGACTTAAATAGCTCAGAGTCTAGTTACCGTAACATCAGTACTGCGTTTTTTCCATGGATTTTAGAGTGGTCCTGGAGAGAGAGGAGGAAGGAAAATGTCATGAATCTCAGTTGCAATTCCTTTGGCTGCTAAAACCATAGCTGGTGATGCTTGTCATTGATTAACTTTATTTGCTATTTTCTTTCTTTTCTTATGAAGAAAGGGAAGCCAAATCTGTGTTCCCTCTTTTGTCATTAAGAACATGGATGCTCAGGGTGTTCCTGGGTTCCTCCAGCCATTTCTCCCTCAAGCAATTATGCTAATTAGTGTTTGATCAGATGATTAAATTATAATGTGATTAATCCTGTGTGCTAACCGCTCTGAATGCATTTTCTCTCGCCTGGTTGCCCTGTGCCTGAAGCACCCTTTTCTGCGGCTGGCGGAGGCCTGTTTTTCCTGTGGATGTGGATTTCTGTTTTCAAAGCACTGCAAATTCTCTTTGTTGCCTGGTAAAAGGGAGAGGGGATATTTTTGTAACCTGTTCTCTCAGGCAAAGGCTGGACTGGAGAGACCTCTGGGAAATATTGAAACCGTAGCTAGAAAGCACTAATGATTTGAAGATACTAGATGTGGAGAAACGCTTGAAGAGGAGAGTGCAGAGACAGCTGTAGTGGCTCCAAAGTCCATGAAATCTTTTTCTCTGAGAGACTTTTCGCTGTTTGCCTTCCTTTCCCTTCTGAGTGTTGCCTAAGTCTCTGCCTCTTGTGTATGTGATGGCCCCGGGAGGGGTGTTCTCGGTTTATTTTAGGTTTATATTTCCTTAAAAAGGCACGACATCATCTGGTTTTGTTTTCTGATAACACAGTTTAGGTTTGCTCTTGCATGCCGTGTACTTTAGACTGGGTGATTTTTTGAGGTGAGGTTCGTTAACTTAAAATGTTGATGAAATGCTTCCTAATGTAAGAAAATTGGGACTGCATAGGAAAGAATGTGAGTAGAAAATATCGATGGTGGTGTTGTCATTGATGGGCTTCTTCTCTAAGGCTGCAGATTACCATGGCTCATTGTGTAGTTTGATGAGCTTAGCAGTGATTGAATTTTTCCTTGCACCCTATCACTTTTTCTCCCTTTATATTAGCTTAATGGGGTAGTCTGGATACAAGAAATAAGAGCATGTAGAATATGTGCAGTTTTTTAAATCAGAATTTGCCTGTGTTTTGATCTGGCTGGAAACGATAGCCTCTTGCGTTCAAGAGCAGGTCACACGATGATACCATATATTACCATTCCAGCTTCCCGCATCCTAAGAACCCCTGGGCCACAAGAATTACTCATAGAGAGAGTAATTATCTGCATAGATTGTCACATACCCCTTCGAATATTGTGTAATCTCCTTCATAGAAATGAAAATCTCTTGGTTTGCTTTGAAGAAAGATATCCTCCTTGTAATTATTTCCCTAAAAAAGAATGAGGGTAAAAGGAAACTCGTATGTATTGGGCATCTAAAGTGTGTGGACACTTGAGTGACCATTTGATTCGCACTCGTTATGTTTATTAGCTACAATAGTAATGATCATAAAAACAATAGCTTGAATTTATGATTTATTACTAGATGTGAATATTGTTATTATGACCATCGTAAAGAAGGCATGGTTAGACAATGTGCTCATGGTCACACAATTGTTGAATGACAGACTGAGGACTACGCCTCTGTTCATTCTCAGTCAAATGGGTATTTTTAATTTCAGTTTTACAGATTGCAAAACCAGGGTTTGGAAATGTTGACTATCAGGCCCTGGTCAGGTGGCAACTGTGATTTGAGAATAGCACTTTGAGCCCAGGTTGTCTGGTGTCACAGTCTTTAAATCTTCTCCCAAATCAAGCCACATTCATTCATTTGAAGTTTTCAAGCTGAAAATGATTATGTTAAATTTTCTTTAAAGAGTTGTTTTGGGAAAGTGAAAGATCGGTTTTTAAAAATCGGTGTATAAATGGAAAATTCATTTACTTTTCCATGTCAGCCATTTCGCTTACTTAAGTTAGATAAGTAAGAGACAGGTTAATTAACTCTTACCCACTTCAGAGGTGCAACTATTTCATGAGATTGCATTCTGTTGGGAAGAGTAAAATTGGAGACCAGATGACAGTTATATTACATTCATATTACAGGATAGAATCTTTCCCCAACTCTCAAATTTAAATCATGCATCTGTTTTTAAGTACACTCTATTTCATTTGTCCTGAACTGACTACCAATTTTCTCAATGCCAAAATATCAGAATCAAAATATTTTTGAAATTGCTAATTGGAGGCTGAAATTGTGAGTTTTGTATCAGTTTGAGCTTTTCTGAAAAAACACCCAAATTAGTTTTGTTAGTAAGCGTCTGAATCTTATTGAAGCTGAATCATTTTACCGGAAGTGTCCATGGGACATGCGTCTTAAAGAGTTTAGAAAATACTGCCTAGACATTTCAGCCTGACTGAAAGCTCTTGTAATAAATAAGAATAAGCTATGCCTGTGTGTGCCTGTGTGTGTGTGCATACCTGTGCCACGCTATGGTGATATTCTTATTACTCTCTCACACTGAGTTAAGGTTCAAGCCAGCTACTCATATGTGATATATGTCTTCTGAGAAAGGACATTTGCCTTCTGTGGAGTGTGTCCATTGTCCAAATGTGATGAAAATAGACCAGTTCTCTCAGAGCTCAGAGCTTCCCTCGGCTGCTGGCTGCAAGGTGGTGGAACTCGGTTTATTGCCTGGTTGGCCCCTCTGCAGGATACACACTGCGTGGTGCTGGTTGGAATACTGTTCTAATGAAGTCACCATCTGGGTCCACTGGTTGGTCCCCTGTCGTGACAATTGCCTTCATCCTGTCCAATCAGCCACCTCACAAACCTTGGCCAGGGATCCCATGGAGAGTCTGACTACAGAGAAATTTAAAGATATTTGTCTTCTTGTCTGTGGCCTAAGCAGCCTGAATTTCATACTATGGTAATACTGACAGAATCACCTGTTTATGGAGTGGTGAATGAACCTGTTTATAGTAATTGCTAATATTCATTGAGCTCTTATTGTGTGCCAGAAACTGTGCTAAGTGCTTTTTTCTACCATCCCATTTAATTGACAAACAAGTCTTTGAGGTGCCTGTTGGTATTATTTCCACTTTACACTTGCGGAAATTCAAGACTTACAAAGGTGAATGCCTTTCCTAGAGAAGGCATACATTGAGCCGGGGTGGAAGCAGGATTTGAACCCGGGCAGTCTAATTCCAGAACTCCTGCACTTGACTTCCAGGCTGTCTTCCTGGATGAATGAGCCCCAGATAGGTCAGCTGGTTTCTGAGTGCACATACTATTTAGAGTGGTGATATAGCTTGGATATTTTTCCCTGCCCAAATCTCATGTCCAGTTGTAATTCCCAGTGCTGGAGGTGGGGCCTGGTGGGAGACGTTTGGATCACGGCTTGGCGCCATCCATTAGGAGGGATCCTTCATGGCGTGGCGCTGTGCTTCATGATAGGGAGTTCTCTTAAGATCTGGTCATCTAAAAGTGTGTGGCACCTCCCCCACCTACTCCCTGTCTCTCTTGTTCCTGCTTTCACCCTATGACCTGCCTACTCCCCTCTCACCTTCCTTCATGAGTGTAAGCTTCTTGAGGCTTTCTTAGAAGCTGAGTAGATGCCAGCACCAGGCTTCCTGTAAAGCCTGCAGAACTGTGAGCCAATGAAACCGCCTTTCTTTATAAATTACCCAGTCTCTGGTATTTCTTTATAGCAATGCAAGAATGACCTAACACAAATGGCCATGCTTATCTGGAAAACTGGAAATGTAAGTTATGGGGAGAGTTAAGAGGAGCCAGATAGCAAACATGGCTTTCTTAAGCTTTTCTGAAGGAAGATGTGGGAAAAAATGTGGCAATATGAGAACAATTTGGGAGTCTCAGGGTTGGTTTGTTTTCATCCCAGCATTTCTGGAATCTCAGCTCATTCCTGAGATGAGAGGCTCAGTCACGAAAACATTGCCAAGCACTTGTGGCCTCTCCCATGCAACTAAGCACCTGGTCATCCCCACTTCCCAACGTGCAGCATGTGTCACCCATCTTTTCATATCCATTTCTATGGTATTTGGATTAAAAATTAAACCCTCCAAATTTCAGCAGACAACACTAGGTGACCACCACCTGTCTGTAGTGATCTCGATACCATCACGGATCTATCTCTTGACAGCTGACTCCAACGCCAACTTGCTTTTCCTCTGACCTGTTTCACCAGGTGCTCACACCTACTCACCCATGTCTCAGAGACTATAGACTTTGTGATATACCTGATTATACAGCCCCAGCCTATCTGCCATTGCATCAGAGCAGCTGCACTTGACCAAGGAGCTCTCGCTGCACACACTGTGCTCTGACTGGTCTCATTATGCATGACCACAAACCTCGAGTGGGCTCTTAGCTCTGCCCTCAATCTACCTCACTGCCCTAGTTGATTTCTGTGTCTGTGGGAAGACTACTTCACACCTTTCTCACCTCCCCAAACCTCAAACTCCCCTTCCTTTCCCAGACTCTGAGTCGATAACCTCATATGATTTACTGAGAAAACCGAAGAATCAAGTGAATACTTGGACTATTCCCTGCTCTCCAATACACACCCACACACTCAATTTTTCATGTGATCAGCGTCCACTCCTGTTTTTATTGCCTCCCTTTCACCCCACTGATGATGGGGGATTCAGTTATAGGGGTGGTTGAACACATGACCCTGGGCAGATAAAATTGACAGCAGTGTTGCATTCAAGTATTCCCACAGCCCAGGGGAGTAGGACAGGGCAGGCCATACAGAGTGAACTAGCAGGGGCTGCGGGAAGCAGACCTTGTAGTAACAAGAAGGGATGGTGGCCGTGTGTGCACACCTGTAATCCCAGCACTTCAGGAGGCCGAGGCGGGTGGATCACCTGAGGTCAGGAGTTTGAGACCAGCCTGGCCAACATGGTGAAACCCCATCTATACTAAAAAACTACAAAAATTAGCTAGGTGTGGTGGCATGTGCCTGTAGTCCCAGCTACTTGGGAGGCTGAGGCTGGAGAATCACTTGAGCTCAGAAGGCGGAGGTTGCAGTGAGCTGAGATTGTGCCACTGCACCCCAGCCTGGGTGACAGAGTGAGACTGTCTCAAAAAAAAAAAAAAAAAGAGGGTGGGGTGTCCCCTGGTTCCTGAGGGAGGATGTGATTGGCTTATTTGGCTGATTCCACAGGCTGACGGGAGACCGAAGCCCACTACTCATGGGTAAGCAGGCACTGTGCCTGGTCCCTATGAGCGGAGTGCCATTTGGCTAGGGGACTTTATCCATGACAGCTCATGGGTGGGGGAGAACTAGCAGGTAAGCCCTTTGAGGCTCTTCTGAATTTATCCCGTTCACAGCAACACAATATGGAACCTTAATCTCAGGTCCCACACCAGACCCATACACATGACCTTCGCTACTGTGACCATGGAAGCCCTGGCCTTGCTCCTGTTGAAAGCTGAAACCTCCATTCATGTCCAGAATTCCACATCTCCCATCTGCTTAAAGACTTTGCCCTTGTATTTATTTTTATTTATTTATTTTTATAGAAACAGGGTCTCACTATGTTGCCTGGGCTGGTCTTGAACTCCTGGGCTCAAACAGTCCCCCCGCCTCAGCCTCCCAAAGTGCTGCAAATACAGGTGTGAGCCACTGCATCAGTCCTGCCCTTGCATTTTATCTCAGCCTCAACTTCCCCCTCTTCCAGCTCAGCATATCAACATTCTGTTTTCTCTCTGTTATCCCTACCACTGTAAAACGTACTAACAACCACCACCTCCCATCTTGTCACCACTTCCTTCTTCCATCCAATTCCTCTGATACTTTTTAATAGTAAAACTACTGGAAAGAATTGAGTATACTAGTGCTTCTCAAACTAACTGTGCTGAAAGATCAGTTTTTCATTTTCCAATCTGTTGCAGCTTGATGTGAGGTCCTTACAGTACTTGCCTCAAACACAGCTTGTTGCTCATGCTTCTTATCACATGAGTTGAACGATACACAAAGTTGCCTGTACCGCCCTTCCTGAGAATGGAGCCCACTGATCACCCCCTTGAATGTTGCAGCAACTTCTCAGTTTCTGTGCTTGTCTCACTGTAGACAAGAAACAAGCAGCTGGTCTGTACACACTTCGATTAGCGCTGTTTCAACTCACCTGACACTCTCATCTTTCAGTCTCTGTTGAACACACACTGATCAGGTCTTCTTCACCACTCCATTGAATCTGCTTTTGTCAATGAGGCTGATGACTTCCACATTTCTAGTCTTCTTTTTCTGTTTATTTTCTTTCTTTCTTTTCTTTTTTTTTTTTTTTTTTGAGACATGGACTGACTCTGTGGCCTAGGCTGGCATGCAGTGGCACAATCACAGTTCACCATGGCCTCAAACTCCTGGGCTCGAGTGATCCTCCCACCTCAGCCTCCTGAGTAGCTGGACTACAGGTGCTGCACCACCACGTCCAGCTAATTTTTAATTTTTTTGCAGAGATGGGGGTCTCTTTATGTGCTAAGATTGCAGGCATGAGCCACCACACATGGGCCACGTTTCTAGATTTCCTCATGTTCACTCTCTCAGCAGCTGTGACACAACAGATCACACTTCCCTTCCTGAAACACCTTCACCTGGACCGTGCACACCTCACTCTCTGGGTTTCCCTCTGCCTCACTGGCTTCTCCTTCTCAGTGTCTTTGGTGAGCTTCTTCCCTCTAATTAGACTCTAAATGTTGCAGCCCACTCCAGGGATTAATTCTTACCCCTCTCTTCTCCTCTCCTTTCCTCTCTGCTTCCTTTCCCTTCCCTTCCTCTCTCTAATTCCTCTCTATATAATTTAATTTAGGTCAAGGCATTAAATGCCCTCTCTATGCTGATGACTTCCATATTCGTATCTCTATCCATGATTTCTTCTCTGAGCTCAAATCCAGATCCTGAAATCCAGCTGCCTACTCAACATCCCTTTACAAAACTCACAGGTATCTCAACATTTAAACTCTCTGAAGGAGGCCTTCTGGATTTTCCTCCCTGTAACCACTTCTATCTCACATTTTGGTCATTCAAACTGAGCATCGCTCGTCCCTCACTGCACAGAACAGAAATCTCAGAGTCGTCCTTGATTCCTCTCTGTCCTTCACATCTTGTATTCAAACCACCAGCATGTCCTAGTGATGCTACTTTAAGAATCTGACCATTTCTTCTACCTTTAAATTCCTTCAAGCTGCGTTCTCCTTTTTGCCTGGACTATCATGATAATCTGCCAACTCACAGCTGAATTTCCACCCAGTAGCCAAGGGATTTCCTCAAAATATAAAGCAGATTACATCACTCCTCTTTCCAAAGCCTCTCCCTTCATCCCCAAAATAAACACAGCATTGCCTACACCTCAAACCCCTTCCATGGCCTGGCTTGGGCTGGCCCACCCCACCCCCTCCACAGAGCCATGCTGGCCACCTGGATGTTTCTACAGCTTGCTGAGCTGGTCCTCTCCTCAGCACTGCACTGGCCGCGTGTTCTGCCTGGAATGCTCTACCCTGGCCTTTTCCCGCCCCACTTCTTCACTTCTTTCAGTTCTCTGTCCAAATATCACCACCTAAGAGAGGTCTCCCTGACCACCTGATCTAAAACAAAGTGGCCTCCTTGATTGTTCAGTTTCTCCTTGCCATGCTTCAGGTTTCTTTGTGGAAGTCAGAGTACTTAAAATCATATACTTAGAAGTTTATCATCTGTCTCTCCCAACTGGGGAAGCCCACATTTGTCTACTGTGCTCACCTAGAAGAGTGACTAACAGGCTGCAGGTGCCCAGTAAGTAGTTACTGATTGAATAATTAAACCAATGAATGTTGTTTAAAGCAATGTATAGCTCTTAGGGACTGGATGTCATTGCTGTCTCTTCAGTTCTACTTTATTTATTTATATTTCTGATGGAATGACAGTATATCTCTGTGTGACAATAGTTTCTGCATTTGGAAGATCTGCACTTGTATTTTAATTAAAAGATCAACAAGCATTATGCCCTAGAATTCTCAACTCTCACGCACCCATAAAAGATATAACAATAAAACCCCTTACTTAAAAAAAAAATCTTTGTTGACTACCCATGTAATTTCTGATATGTTGTATATACTTTGAGGAATACAAAGATATTTGGTTCAAAAATTTTTGAAAATGTTTACTGAGGCCAGGCACGGTGGCTCATGCCTGTAACCCAGCATTTTGGGAGGCTGAGGTGGGCAGATTGCCTAAGGTGGGGAGTTCAAGACCAGCCTGGCCAGCATGGTGAAACCCCGTCTCTACTAAAAATACAAAAATTAGCCGGGCGTGGTGGTAAGTGCCTGTAATTCCAGCTACTCGGGAAGCTGAGGCAGGAGAATCACTTGAACCCGGGAGGCAGAGGTTGCAGTGAGCTGAGATCGTGCCATTGCACTCCAGCCTGGGCAACAGAGCGAGACTCCATCTCAGAAAGAAAGGAAGAAAAAAAGGAAGGAAGGAAGGAAGGAAGGAAGGAAGGAAGGAAGGAAGGAAGGAAAGAAAGAAAATGTTCACTGAACACCTATATGCACTAAACTGTAACATCCAAGAAAGCAGGGATTTTGTGTTGCCCATTGTAGTATCTTCAGTTCTTAGAACAAGGACTGACACGTAAGTTGCTCCCTCCATATTTGTTGAATAAATAAATGAGAAAAAAACACTATATTAACGACTGTGCAAGAAACAAAACAACTTCCTCTTTTCTGGGTCATGGCAAAGTCTCCAGGACAATAGGACATGCTCACAGCTTCTAAAAGGGTGTACCCAATAATGACCACCATGTCGGACATACAGAGAAAGCTCTGCAGTGTTTATGGAAGCAGAAAACAACTTCTGATTAGCCTATTTAAAAAGGGCTTCAAAGAGAGGGGGATTTAAAAACTTTACTTTTAAGGTTGTGTATGCTTTTGACTGGGAAACGTGGGCAGTGAAAAGATTGGCAGGAGAAAAGAGGAAAATGAGGGAAGTCCCCGGGTGTGGAGGGAGAGACACAGAATTCTATCAAGCTGCTGTGCAAAGTCATGGTGGAAGACACATCTAAAAATGGGATAGGGGCCGGGCGAGGTGGTGCCTGTAATCCCAGCACTTTGACGGGGCCAAGGCAGGAAGATTGCTTGAGCCCAGGAGTTTGAAACCAGCCTGGAAAACGTGGTGAGACCCAATCTCTACAAAAATATTTTTTAAAAAGTAAGCTGGGGATGGTGGCCTGCGCTTGTGGTCCCAGCTACTGAGGAGGCTGAGGTGGGAGAATTGCTTGAGCCTGGAAGGTTGAGGTTGCAGAAAACCATGTTTGTGCCACTGCACTCCAGCCTGGGTGACAGAAGTGAGGCCAGCTTCTGTCTCCAAAAAAAAAAAAAAAAATCAATAATAAAAATGGGATAGGGAGCAGATTGTGGAAAGATTTGAATTCAAATTTAGATGGAATTGAATTGAAGATTCGTGTGTTAAAATGCTCATCTCTATTTGAGCAATCAATGCAGTATTTTGGTTGCCGCACATAAGAGACATTGGAGAGCAGAGAGAATTGGTGGAAGGGTGGCCAAGCAAAGGCTAATTCCACGGTGCCGGGGTGAGATGATCTGCCACTAGGACAGTGATGGCGGCTGGGTACTGACCTAGGTGGGAGGCTGGGGGACAGAGGGAGCCCAATGGGGATGATCCAAGCATGACTGCTGATAAGGTTGGGTCTAGATTATCCCCATGGCGGTGTCTCACAATGTGAGTTTACCGTTAAACTAAAGCTGTGGATAGATTTTATAGCCTTGTGTGTTTAATTACTGCCAATATTGCCTACTTTTTTTTTTTCTTTTGAGACTCTGTGAAATTTGCGTTTCTGCAAACTATGTGCCAGAATGGAGTCATTGACAGGGATTTTATAACACCTGATGAGAATTATTCTATAATTTTATCACAGCATAACCCAAGAGATGCTGAAACCTGACTGCATTGCAATATGTATGGATCAGAGGGCACATCCTGAAGGGCTAATCAGCTTCAATCAACTCATAACTGACAAGTTTAATTTCTTCTGTTTTTTGTATTTCTCTTGAAATTAAAGTATACAAAAATGTAGTATTGACAGTGAATTTGGGTGAGGTTTCACTGTAGCAATCACCATCTATTATTTTACAAATCATTGGGATCAATTTTGGTTCCTGTTAGCATAAAGCTATTTGGGTTTTTAGTAACCAGAAAATGAAGGGTTAAGCACACCTATAAATATTTATATTTTTTGTTATGTAGTATAACTTGGTATCACCCAAATATCCATTTTCCCTCATTCATATCCTGAAAAATTTTAAGTTTAAAAATGTGTTCCACGTTGTGAGTTTTGAAAGCCTTAAACAAGTTGAATTGAGATTTACAGGATTCAACTTAGTGTAACTTTGACCTCAAAATAATTTACAATTCATTTCATATTTCACATCTGCAGCCTCACTTTTTCGTTGAGCAGCTTAATGGTTTTTTTTTATGGTTTATCTGTTTTTGGCCTCCTTGTCTGTCTTCCTTTCTCTCCTCATCTTGCACACTTATTGACACACACACACACACACACACACAATGTATGTATGCTAAGATTAAGCATTCTTTCTTTTTTGGGGGGGCGGTGCTGGGGGGCTGGTGTCTCGCTTTGTCACCCTGGCTGGAGTGCAGTGGCACAATTTCGGCTCACGGCAACTTCTGCCTCCCGGGTTCAAGCAATTCTCCTGTCTCAGCCTCCCAAGCCGCTGGAATTACAAGCATGAACCACCAAGCCCGGCTAATTTTTGTATTTTTAGTAGAGACGGGGTTTCGCCATGTGGGTCAAGCTGGTCTCCAACTCTTGACCTCAAGTGATCCGCCCGCCTCGGCCTCCCAAAGTGCTGAGATTGCAGGCATGAGCCACTGAGCCAGGCCGAAGTGTTATTTCTTATAAGAAGTTTATGTGTAAATTCTTTGCTTTTGTACTTATTGAAAAAGTTATAGTTTTGTACTTATTGAAAAACTGAAAATAAAGAGAAGTAGGGTTTACATATTGTATATACCCATCTCAACGTGATACAGATTGTGAGGAACTGGCACTATCTAAGCAGGGTGATCATGATACAGAATGTTACTAATGTTATTAATGACCGAAGATGAAACCAGTGTAAACTCACCAATGGGCTTTCTTAGAAGGAGAGCATTCATTAACCTGAAAATATTTACTGTGCTTATTTTATGTCCATTGGGAATATGGAATAAGATAAGCACAGTATAAATATGGTTTCTTAGTTGGCCATTTCATTAGGAAATTATGACATAGATAAGTACAAAGTAACAAAGTCTTTTTTTTTAAAAAAAAACAGAGGTAATATAAGCTAATAAAACAAGGAGACAAACTGAATAATCCAATTTAGTTAGATTATAAAATGAGCTCCTGATCATTCTAAAAAGACTTTTTTTTTTTTTTTTTTTTTTTTTTTTGAGAAAAGATCTCACTCTGTCACCCAGGCTGGAGTGCAGTGGTGCAATCTTGGCTCGCTGCAACCCCTGCTTCCCGGGTTCAAGTGATTCTCCCACCTCAGCCTCCCGAGTAGCTGGGACTACAGGCATGTTCTACCATGCCCAGCTAATTTTTGTACTTTTAGTAGAGACGGGGTTTCACCATGTTGGCCAGGCTGGTCTCAAACTCCCGACCTCAAGTGATCTGCCTGCCTCAGCCTCCCAAAGTGCTGGGATTACAGGCATGAGCCACTGTGCCCGGTCTTTTTTTTTTTTTTTAACTTTTATTTTAAGTTCGGGGATACATGCGCAGATTTGTTACATGGATAAACTTGTGTCATGGAGGTTTGTTGTACAGATTATTTCATCATCCAGGTATTAAGCCTAGTACACGTTAGTTATTTTTCCTGATCCTCTCCCTCCTCCCACTTTCCACCCTTCAATAGGCCCCAGTGTGTGTTGTTCCTCTCTATGTGCCCATGTGTTCTCATCATTTAGCTCCCATTTATAAGTGATGACACGTAGTAGGTATTTGGTTTTCTGTTCCTGCACTAGTTTGCTAAGGATAATGGCCTCCAGCTCCAAAGACATGGAACCAACCTAAATGCCCACCAATAATAGACAAGATAAAGAAAAATGTGGTATATATATACCACGGAATACTATGCAGCCATAAAAAGGAACAAGATCATATCCTTTTCAGGGACATGGATGCAGCTAAAAATGTTAAATATAAACATAGAGGAGAAAGGAAGCTTTGTGAACTGTACTTCGGGAGGGCTTTATGGAAGTGAAGCTGTTGCCACAGAATCCTAGGGAACATGGATCAGTGCTGTCCTGCAGTTTGAGAAGAGGGCTAGGCATTGAAAGCACTGCTGTGGGGTGTGTGTGTGTGTGTGTGTGTGTGCGCGCGTGTGTCTGTGTGTGTGCATGCATGCACATAAATCTAGAGACTGAATGGATCTGAAGGAGGCTGAAGAGCAAAATCCAGGCTGCAGTGAGAAGCTTTTAAGGACTCTCAGAGCAAAGCTGTGTGCAACAGAGCTAAAAGATAAAATGAAAAATGTACTGACTCTTAAGTTGTGAAAAGTCAAAAAAGACAATTTGACAAACTCAAAACAGTGAAGATGATTCAAGAAATTAGAGTGTGTATATATATATATGTGAAGATATATATATCTATATATATGTGAAGATATATATATCTCTCTATATATGTGAAGATCTATATGTGAAGATATATATATCTATATATATGTGAAGATATATATATATCTGCGAAGCCCTCCCCAACTACAGTTCATACATATATATATATGTCTGGATATCTGGTTTGGGTACAAAAAACTTGCTGTACTAAATTATTGATAATATATTTTAAGGCAATTTACTAAGTTAAAAGCATAATAAATTATAATCTATTATTGTGCTCTAGAGAAGTTATTGCTTAATGAGGAAATTAAGGTTAACATTGAAACCTGGGAGGTTCTGATGTTTAAGTGGGCATAAATCTTGAATGGAGTTAGGCTCAGGGCCACACTGGGTGATTTATCCAAATTCACTCACTCTTGATTTTTTGTTTTTTTCTTTGAATTTTTACATGGCTATGGAGTTCAACCATAAGATAATTTTTTTCTGTAATACATATTTATGACCCTAATTTAAAAAAATTTTATTTTACTTTCAGTTCTGGGATACCTGTGCAGAATGTGCAGGTTTGTTACAGAGGTATACATGTGCCATGGTGGTTTGCTGCACTTATCAACCTGTCATCTAGGTTGTAAGCCCCATATGCATTAGGTATTTGTCCTAATGCTCTCCCCCACCTTGCCCCCACTCCCTGACAGGCCCTGGTGTGTGACGTTCCCCTCCTTGTGTCCATGTGTTCTCATTGTTCAACTTCCACTTACGAGTGAGAACATGCAGTGTTTGGTTTTCTGTTCCTGGGTTAGTTTGCTGAGAGTGATGGCTTCCAGCTTCATCCATGTCCCTGCAAAGGACATGATCTCATTCTTTTTTATGGCTGCATAGTATTCCATGGTATATCTGTGCCACATTTTCTTTATCTAGTTTATCATTGATGGGCATTTGGGTTGTTTCCAAGTCTTTGCTATTATATATAGTGCTGTAATAAACATATGTGTGCATGTGTCTTTATAGTAGAATGATTTATAACCCTCTGGGTATATACCCCGTAATGGGATTGCTGGGCATGACCCCAATTTTTTACCTAAGAGCTTTTTATAGTTCTAGCTTTTTTTAGTCACAAGCAGGGGGCCTTTATTTATATATCCCTACACACATTATTTTTCTCCATAAATTGTCAACTTCCTGCCTTATCCCATTCCTGATGATGATATCCTGTTCTTGGGAATTAAGGCCCTAGAGCCCTAGAACCATCAACAGTTAGACATGGAAGGACCTTTGTTAATTACCTGTCAAAATCTTCTATTTGAAAGATAAGAGGGGAGTGAGGATCAAAGATGTAAATTGACTTCTTTAATGAGGCACAATATGAGTGGAATGGAGCTGGAACCCAAACCAAGCTGGCCTATCTCCCAGCTCTAGACAGTTTCCATCATGGCAAACATATTCATGAGAAGAATGTTGGAAGAAATTAGAAATTCGCATATAAGCCAATGCAGATCAATATATCCATGCTAGATTGCGTGATTTATCACAACAGCTTGGCCCACAATGATCTCGTTGGTTGACTGAGATGGGCCTTTTTTACACTCAAAATTTGTGAGGATTAGTAATTATATGGCATTAGCATTATGTTCCTAAATTTATGGCTCAGTGAATGCTAAGTATGCAATTGGGAACGTATACACAACCATTATGTGTTTGGCCCTTGTTGTTTCCTGAGACTCAACATCTTATAGGGTGAAAATCCAATAATGTGTTTTGACGACATAGACTGCCCCCACTGTCTGGGGAAGGTTCACATGGGGCTGAAAAGCTCCCCTGCCTGGGTGCAGCCCAGCACAGTGCTGTGGTTTGAGGCAATCTGTGTTCAATTACGGTAAAATGTTAAATTAGCTGAAAGAGAATTTTTCTGGTCACTTGAGTCTGCCTTTTGGACTCCATTAATCATTCAATCATTAAATCATTTATATTAACCCTTTCTAACCAGTCCTAAAATAATCAGCTTTGTGT
This sequence comes from Homo sapiens, assembly GCF_000001405.40. Taxonomy (NCBI): domain Eukaryota; kingdom Metazoa; phylum Chordata; class Mammalia; order Primates; family Hominidae; genus Homo; species Homo sapiens. The sequence goes on along the minus strand of NC_000021.9, from coordinate 40,819,141 downwards.
TCCGTGTTTTTCCTCAGTTAGATTTTCTTGGGCAAATAGCCCTGGGCCCCAGTGAAGAATCCAGCCTACCTTAGGTGCTCAGTCAGTGTTGAGCAAATGGGTGGATGGCTGTTACGCAAATGGGCTCCGTGTAGGGCTTATTAGACCTCAAATCCTGGTTTCCTGTCATACTTCAACAGGAAATGCTACATTTGTACTTCAGATCTAAATTTTATTTTAAAGCCAGAAAAAGCTCTTTTTATATAAAATAATTATGTGGTTATTTTAAAGTAACAATGTCTCATTCCAAAGACCATCTCTTTCCTTTTTTGGTTCAGCTGTGTTTTAGACATTATCTAAATTTAGTCGTTCTCTTAGATTTTATCACATCTTCAAAAAATGCTATTTTAGAGTAAAGAATATTTTTAATTGTTCTGTTCTTAACCTCAGTGTCCATGGAGGGTTGGAGAAGAAGCAACATATATGAAGCTGAAGATTGATTTCTAAACCTTCAGTTAACGTTGGCTTTCCAAGAGCAAATGCTCAAGCGTGGGATAACTATCTTATGTGACTTTGTCTTTTTTTTTTTTTTTTTTTTTTTTTTTTTTTTTTTTTGTGAGACGGAGTCTGGCTGTGTAGCCCAGGCTGGAGTGCAGTGGTGCGATCTTGGCTCACTGCAAGCTCCACCTCCCGGGTTCAGGCCATTCTCCTGCCTCAGCCTCCTGGGTAGCTGGGACTACAGGCGCCCGCCACCACACCCAGCTAATTTTTTGTATTTTTAGTACACATGGGGTTTCACCATGTTAGCCAGGATGGTCTCATTCTCCTGACCTCGTGATCCACCCGCCTCGGCCTCCCAAAGTGCTGGGATTACAGGCGTGAGCCACTGCACCCGGCCGACTTTGTCTTTTTTTTAAAAAGAAAACAACACATCGCATGGGGGCGGGGTGCCTCCATCCAGGCAGTGTTGCAGGGACAGGCGGATGTCCCTTTACCACATCGAGGCCCAAGGAGCTTTCATCACCGGGAGCTTCTTTTTTTTTTTTTTTTTTTTTTTTTTGAGACGGAGTCTCGCTCTGTCGCCCAGGCCGGACTGCGGACTGCAGTGGCGCAATCTCGGCTCACTGCAAGCTCCGCCTCCCGGGTTCACGCCATTCTCCTGCCTCAGCCTCCCGAGTAGCTGGGACTACAGGCGCCCGCCACCGCGCCCGGCTAATTTTTTGTATTTTTAGTAGAGACGGGGTTTCACCTTGTTAGCCAGGATGGTCTCGATCTCCTGACCTCATGATCCACCCGCCTCGGCCTCCCAAAGTGCTGGGATTACAGGCGTGAGCCACCGCGCCCGGCCACCGGGAGCTTCTTGAAGTGATGAACCACGCAGTGTTATATTCCTTTTACCTTCTACTCTGTCATATAAATGATGACAAATTGCCTAGCTGTAAATTTGAAAGTCCCTAAATGGCATTTTTGTCAAAGCCTTGAGAACAAAATGCTTACTCGGAGAGATTTTTAAGTCTTGGGAGACGGGGTGGCGGGGAGCAGGCCTAATTATTATGCATCATGGCACAATGCATTATGCATCACGCTTGCTTTTCTGCTTTTTAAACACTTGTTATGGATGATGAAACTAATTTAAATGGACAAACAGGGCGCTCTCCTGCACATTACTCCTGTGATGTCATATTCTTCTTCCAGGGGATTTCATCCTGCTTCCCTTGGAAGTCCCCCAGACATGCACATTTTAATAAGACACTTTAATAATTAGCTTAGAGATAATTGTCAGTCAAGGGAAAATAACCTTTTATCATAGGTGCCTTGAAAGTGGCCTGTTCCAGAGAAGAAACAAGCGATCTGATTTGCACTTAAGCTTGCTTCCCTTTCCCTCCTGGCATTTATGTGGAATAAAATACTACAAACGGGGGAGAGTGTAAAAAAAGGAAAAGTGTGGGTGTGGAAGGGGAAGCCGGAGCTGTCAAATTGTTAAGACAAATGGGGCTTAGAGAATCCTAATTAAACCTGAAATTGCTTAGAAACAGGAAGTATGTATTCCTAATTGTTGGCACCAAAAAAAAAAAAGAATCTAATTTACTGCATATCTTTAAATAAGAATAACCCATTATTTGGCTGAATGAGAATTCAATCCTTACCTATTGAAGAGGTGAATGGCGTGATTTTAAAGGCTATGAAATTCACCTCCAAAGTTCATCATCAGCTTTAGAGAATGTCAAAAAAGAGCGAGCTCGAAGCCATGTGTAGAATTTTTTTTTTCTTTTTCTCATAGGTGTATTCTAGCTTTATTTTGGGGAAACTTTAGTCTATTGAGACCTTTAGAAATATTATTTGGGTCTCTAAAAAATAAATATGGGCATATAGTCTCAAGACTCAACAGAAAATAGATTCATTTTGAAGACAACCCAGCAGCGTTGCTTAATAAGAAAAAAAATGTATCCCCTTGGGCTAGGACTTCAGTTCCTGGGAGGATGTGAAAGATCTCTATTGCAGATCGCAGCACCAGTCTTTCCTCCTGTTATTGTATCTTTTGATGCAGAGGATCAACCACCCCTGGTTTTTGTTGTTGTTTTTATTGAGACAGAGTCTCGCTCTTGTTGCCCAGGCTGGAGTGCAGTGGTGCAATCTCGGCTCGCTGGAAGCTCTGCCTCCTGAGTTCAAGCAATTCTGCCTCAGCCTCCCGAGTAGGTGGGACTACAGGTGCATGCCACCACACCTGGCTAATTTTTGTATTTTTAGTAGAGATGGGGTGTCACCATATTGGCCAGGCTGGTCTCGAACTCCTGACCTCGTGATCAGCCTGCTTTGGCCTCCCAAGGTCACCCCCTCTTTTTATTTGGGGGTAGGAAGGGCATCTAGCATCCCGACACCTCAAATTCATCATCACATGGTGCAGGACAGAACTAAGGACAAATTAGGACCCTTTCTGAGCCTTTGCTCAAGCTTCAAATCACACTTCTTCTCGTTTGTACAGCACTTATAGCACTTTGACTTTCATTTATTTAAAAAACACATTGAATATGTTATCCCCACTTTTTAGAAACTGATTTTGCTGTTTTGACATTGTTTCTCTAGTAGACGGGAAGGGATAATAGATTGGAAGCAGGAACTGTGGATTCTGCCTGTGGTTGCCTCTCTGACTTTGGGATCTCAGGGATGTCAGCCACATTGCCTCATCTGTGGTGACAACCACAATGGTGACAGGTGGAATCATGATGGCTGCAAACTACTGAGCACTTTCTAAATGCCAGGCACTGTGTAGGATCTTTCATCATCACATCTCAGTCTCACTGTAGTCCTCTCTCCCCTTTACAGATGAGCAAACTGAATCACAGAAAGGTTGAGAACATTGCTGAAGGTCACTAGAGGTGTGTGTTCAGTTTGAATGCAGATCACCTGACTTCAGGAACAGTATGATAACCTAAATCCCTAAACTCATATCTCCCATCCTGTCTACCTCACAAAATTATCGTAAACAACAAAGCAAACGGCCATAACTTAGGAAAAATACTTTGAAAACAAGGAAGCACACCCTGGGTGTGTGTGACACTTCCATTATTATCACTTTCTCAGCATTTCATCTGGAAAACGGACGTAATCACAGTTGCCCTAGAAGACAGTGGTGCTCATTACATGGAAGAGATTTGATTAGTGGTGGAAAATTTTGTCTTTTAATTTGTCCAGCAGAGGGTTGGTGCCAGCTTTATCCTGGGAGACAAAGGGACCTACATTTGCTTATATTTGCTGACTAGGTTCTTGTGTCTGTGTGAGGGGCAGCCTGCCTTTAAGGCATTATCTGTGTCAGCCCAGGTTGAGGGCTTAGGGATGGAGGCTGCTGGTGGAAACAAATGAGCTTTGTTTAGGGGGAAAATAGCCTTATCTCGTGGCAGTCTGTCCCTTCCTATTTGTTCTGAGAAAATGACCAAGTGATAGGCCCTTCATCATGTACAAACACTCTTTAGATTGGGGTTACCTTTTTTCTTTGGGAACTGGAACTAACAAAATGGCAATGACCTGAAGGTTGAGAATGACTTCTCCTCTCCATTCAGCCCCTACCCTGTCAGCTGTCACTGCCTGCATCACTGGGCTGCAGCATTTCAGCATCTTCTTTCTGAAGCAGATCAAATCATGCTTAGAAAATTTGATGTGTGGCCCTTCTCAAGGGCTTTTCTTCACTTGTTTTTATTTTGAACTTGTAAATTGCTATCACATTTTCAAACACTGCAATCACCTCGCTAATTGCTGTTTTTCATGAATAAGAATACAAGATCAATGGCCTTTTCAATATTTTCCTTTACCGTGAGGTAATCGAAGGTCAGTACATAAAGCTCCTGACATTTCAGTTACCTGCTCTTCCTCCTGTTAACTGGATTACCTACTTGCCTCTTGTGGTTGGTCCCAGTGTTTTTATTTCTGCCTCTGCAATTGTCAGGGTGTGGTTCCAAGTCAATCACATCTGCAGGTCAACGTCTCATCTTCGTTTTCCATTATATCCTTTTCCCGCTCTTCTTCATGATTAACTAAAACCCCTTGACAACAATGATCTATGTATTTGTCAATGTTGCTGCTAAGCCTTTAGCATCACCACGGTAGAGACAGACAGCTCCCTTCCTCATCAATCCTTGTGTTTATGTGAGCATTTAAAATAGCTATTAGATGTAACTTAGAAAGAAGCAGTATTTCTTTTGTCACAGCACATCTTTTCAAGAGAGATTTTGCACTTCTCACTTTGGTCCTTTCTCTACTACGCTAAGGTGTGGGACTTCACACAGATTGTTCTTACATTTTTAATGAACAACAATAGTAAGCAATTAAGAATTTTAGCTTGAGATTAAATATTGAAAAATGTCACTAAAAGAGTTACAAAAAGTGCAACTGGACCTGTGCAGAGCCAGAGAGTCTGCATGGTTCTGCGGTTCTTCATGCGCAGGAGAATTACACAGTTGGCACATCCCAGCCCATGCTGGAGGCCACAAATAAAGCTGTTGTTTAGTATGCTCCAGTTGCATTTTGGTCACATGTGCTTATATTAATGCCTTTGCTTTCTGCTTCCTCTTGGGTATTATGTGGTTGCTTGGCTGCAACAGTGAATTCCAGCTGCATTGATGACCACTGGAAAACTGCAAGAGACCAAAAGATTCAGGGAATCGAGCCTGCCTCATACCCCTCATAAAGCTGGAAATTAACTCCAAAAGAAACCGTCAAAACTGGCTGTGCTCAGGGGCTCATACCTGTAATCCCAGCACTTTGAGAGGCCGAGGTGGGTGGATCACTAGGTCAGGAGTTCAAGACCAGCCTGGCCAAGGTGGTGAAACCCTGTCTCTACTAAAAATACAAAAATTAGCCGGGTGTGGTGGCGGGAACCTGTAATCCCAGCTACTCGGGAGGCTGAGGCAGAGAATTGCTTGAACTGGGGAGGCAGAGGTTGCAGTAAGCTGAGATTGCGCCACTGCACTCCAGCCTGGGTGACAGAGCGAGACTCCATCTCAACCAAAAAAAAAAAAAAAACAAGAAAGAAAGAAAGAAATCCTCAAAACTATACAAATATATGGAAATCAAATAATCTGCTCTTGAATAATCATTAGGTTAACAATGAAATCAAGACGGAAATTTAAAAATTCTTTGAACTGAATGATAATAGTGACACAACTTGCCAAAACCACTGAGATACAGCAAAAGCAGTGCTAAGAGGGAAGTTCACAGCATTAAATATTAAATGCTGACATCCCAAAGCCTGAAAGTGCCAAATAGACAATCTAATGTCAGACCTCAAGGAACTAGAGAAACAAGAACAAATCAAACCCAAATAATACCCCTGTCTTCATATACCACAGTTATTTAGATTAATCAACATATGTGTGGTCTCATAGGTTCTCTTGCCCAACCATGGTTTTTAGGTCAGAGAGATGTGGGTTCAAATCCAATCAACTCTTCCCTAGCCTTTTATGGAATGAAATGGTGTTTCATTTGTGCCGTTATCAATCATCATCTCTATTATACTCTTTAGGATATATTAGGCTGCACTTTTATGCGCATGAGCTTTTTGTATTTCTCCTCGTATTTCAAAGCCAGAGTTCTCTGAAGACATGTCGAAACCCATTTACTTATCTCCCTGCCTATACTCACTCAACACCTGGTGAATTTCCATCTGCCATTCCTTTCACTAAAACAATTTACCCCAAGATCACCAGTGACATACGTATTGTTGAATTTAGCAGGCAATTTTCAATCCTCACAGCAGTTTCCAACACTGGTGACCACAATCTCTTTACTGAAACAATCTCTTGCTTTGGCTTCCAACTTCCCACTTTCTCCCTCCTTCTTTTATTTTTCTAGTCTCTGTATCAACTGGGTTGTGCGTGACCTTTAAGTGAATTCCTTAAAGTTCAAACCAAGGCTCTCCTCTATCTTTATTCTACATCATCTTCTAGAATGATAAATGTGTGCCCATAACTTTCTATTTCCTACTGTACTTTGAGCTTCAGACCTATATGTTCAATTGTCTGGACATATCCACTTCGAACTCTCAAGGTTTCTTCTAAAGCTAGTAATCCTAACCAAGTTCCATCTTCTCCCTCTGTGGCCCACAAATAGCCATACCGTGAGAGTGTGGGTAGTCATGGTTCACATGTATCCAAAAAGAGAGCACAGGTAATGGAAGGGAATTTAGGTGTCTTGGGAGCCATGGTGTGATTTCTTGATGAGAGCTGTGGCTCAGGGGTCACTGTCTGCGTGCTGGGCACAGTGTGACAGTAGAATGCATGGACTCCCAAGCTGAAGATATAAGTGCTGGGTTATCTAGGAAGACTTCCTTCAGACACTGGTGTGATGGTGCTGTCATTGACCTGAGTACCTGCTGCATGGAAGGGGAGAACATATTCTTGCTAAGACTGGGTATTTGAGATGTGGCAGTTTATGAGGTCAGATGGTAACGATTTCTGGCTCTCAGTTGATTTGCTATATTTTTCTGATTCAATTCTGTTTCTCTGGTTATATCTGTTATATTCCTGCTCTCCCTTACCTGTTTCCTCACATCTAAAGAATACTTCACTCTTCACTTACTCACTGGTATTTTCCCTGTAAACCTCTATGCCTTCTCCTGATCTATTGTTTATCTCCTTGTAAGCTAACTCTTCTACTCTCCAATACCAGGAAGATGGGAGATGAAGAAGAAATATTCTCTTTTTGCTGAAGCAAGGATGCCTCAATTGGAGAACATAGTGAGAGTGAATCACAACCTAAAGGCACTAAGAAGTGAGAAAGGCCGGAACAGACACCAAAGTTGACTTCCAGTGGTCCCAGGTGCCTATCCCATATGGGACCCCATAGGTCTTCAACGCAATCTACTCAGCCTGGCTCAGCCCACAGAGAGGTTCTGTGGGAGATAAAGATTTCTCAAAAAACCAAAATGAGAAAGAAAGGCTAGGCCTGGAAAGTGACCCAAAGCTGAGTTAACTGCTCTCTCAGCCTCCAGGTTACCCATGAGGATTTCTCCTTTCTGTCTGCATCAGCCTTTGTTCTGTCTTTGCAGACTGCCTTTATCTGCTTCTCCAGCATGGACCACCTGGTTCTGCTGCTCCAGGGCCCCCTTCCCAATTTCTGGTGGAAAGAATCTGACTCCACGTGCGCCCATTGATGGGTGAACGTTAAAACTCTTTAGAACACACTTTCTTTTCCAGAATTCATGTTGATGAACTTGTAAGAATAATTAAATCAATTAAAATTCAACAAGCATCAAGTATTTGGTAGGTTATCAGGTACTTGACTGAGTCAATTCAGGATTTAATCTCAACAGGTAAAAGCTTAAAAAGGAAGCAATCATTTGAATTAATGTTTGAAATGCAGAGCCACAAATACTAATTTGGGGGTTCTGGCTAATATATAACACCCTCGAAAAGTCTGTTTGTATTTAAATATCACATGGAGGCTCTGTTTCTTGCTCCTTGACTCTGCACGCTGTAGCATGAAAGTGATGACATTGGACTCTCTGTCTTCTCTGGCAGAAGCCCACTGGAAAGGATGTGAGAAACCCTGACTAGGGACACACTGAGCCTTCCCATATTATTTAATGACAGTCTGTGCCAGGGCCTCCATTAATTTAACTGAATGAAATATTCCTATCTGGGGTTTCAATAGCCCTTCACTGAGTATCTCCTATACAATGTCCCCATCATGGTGTAGCCTCTCATTGCAAACATACAATGACCCCAAGTGAAAAAATTATTTTTATAACTATAGCATTTTTTTTAGAGACAGGGTCTTGCTCTGTTCCCCAGGCTGGAGTACAGTGGCACTATCATGGTTCATTGCAGCCTTGAACTCCAAGGCTCAAGCAATCCTCCATCCTCAGCCTCCTGAGTAGCTGGGAGTACAGTCACACACCACCATGTCTGGATAGTTTTTTAATTTTTATTTTGTAGAGATAGGGTCTTGCTATGTTTCCCAGACTGGTCTTGAGCTCTCAGGCTCAAGCAATCTTCCTGCCTTAGCCTCTTGGGTAGCTGGGACTACAGGCATGTGCCACCACATCCAGCTACAAAAATTTTCATTATTACCTCAGCTGGACAAGCGAGAAAACTGAAATCCAGGGAGGTTGGAGCTGGGTCAGCTAATTAGTGATGGGGCCAGGATCCAAACCCAGATCTCTCTGACTCAAAAGCTTAAACACTCTACCCAACCTTCTTGTGTTCCTGGTTTACCAGACTACCCACCAGGAACAGACTCGGGACCTACTGGGTTAAGGAGAACTTCTAATAAATTCATCTCTTTTTACATGACTTCTCTCCCCCTTTTCAGCAAATTTCTGGAGTAGAAACAATTTACATTCTTCTAAGATAATTTTCTTCCCCCTGAAGATTACCACACACTCCTTCCTGTGCACAGACCTGAGGGTGCAACGTTCTAGCTCCTCAGGAACTTCTGAGAGGGTGAATCGCAGATTTGGATCAGGGTGAAGGCTATGTTTGATCAATGTTGTTCCACAAGGAGATGCACAGTAACATTTAGACTACAAGGAAAAGCAGCTCCAGCCCTCTTCTTTGTCTGCAAGTTCAGCCACATGGGCTGTAATCTCATAGTTTCAACAGAGGGGCCTGCTGCCTCTGGCCTTACTGGGCAGCAGGTGGTGGGGACGGCTGTTCCTTCTGGAGCGACACTGCCATCTCGCCTGAAGTCAGGAGGCAATGGTGCAATGCACTGCTAATATTTTTCTCCTGAAGACTGATGACTTGCTGGATCTGTAGCTAAATGTCTTGTCTCATTTTCACAGCCACGTCATCGCCCTTTTCCTAGTGCTTGTGAGTGAGTCACGTGCAAGGGCCATCTGGGAGGAAGCGTTCTGTTAAACCTTTCTTTAAAGCATCTTTTTGATGTCCTGGGAAATGCACCTGCCCACTAGAGTTCAATTCAGCAAATAATTGTTAAATGATCACCATAGGCAGGGGACTTGCTATGAATATAACAAAGATGAAAATGCCAGTTGACAGAAGCATGACGTCTCCTAGAGGACCCAGATCCAAGTGAAGCAAGTGCAGTCCAAGGCAGGGCAGGGTCTAGGCTGACAGTTTACAAGGCTCAGTTTCTTAGCCACTTACCTACTTCTGAAATGCATTCTTATATGTTTAACATCTTTATTGAGCGATAATTTACATAACGTAGGATTCACTTATTTTAACTGTATGATTCTCTGATTCTTAACAAGTTCACAGAGTTGTACAACAATCGCCCTTTTAGAACTACCCCCAAAATATCTCTCATGCCTATTTGAAGTCACTTCCCATCCCTGCTTTGAAGTCCCACCCCCAGTCAACAGCTTCTGTCTACTTTCTTTATAGATCGGCTTTTCCTCAAATTAGGATCTGCTTCTGGAGAACTCACACCAAGACACGGCCCCTTGTCCAGTCTTATGAGCTACCAGTCTGTCCTGGGACATGGTGGCAGCTGTTGTCTCTTGCCTTTATCGTGGTGGTGGCTGTGCTGACCTGGGGAACCCTGGAACTTCTGCTATCAATCCCAACAGGCCAGAGCTAGGTGGATGCTCTGGTCTCATCTCATTGGATGAGACCCCTGTCCTGCCCTAACAGTCAGGACAAGGGTCTAATCCAATGAAGAGGGGCATCAAAGATTGTTCAAGAACAATCAGATTGACCATGGGAATGGGTCAGTGGTGAGCATGTAGGATAGTCTCTGGGGTAGAAGTTAGATGCTAGGCGCAGGTTAAGGAGCCTGGAGCTGATGGTCCAGGAGGGTTATGTCACCTAACAAAGCAGAGAGTGTCAGCTCATCTGCAAATGGCGTTTGCCTTTGGGGTAATTCCAGCCCACACTGAATAGCAGGTCCATGTGTAATCTCCAAAGTCTTCTTCAACTTTATGAGAATGGGCCTGGGCATGGTGGCACATGCCTGTAATCACAGCACTTTAGGAGGGCAAGGTGGGAGGATTGTTTGAACCCAGAGTTTGAGACCTGCCTGAGCAGCATGGTGAAATCCTGTCTCTACAAAAAGTGAAAAAAATTAGGTAGGTATGGTGGTGGTGCACCTGTAGTCTCAGCAACTGGGGAGGCTGAAGCAAGAGGAACACTTGAGCCCAGGAGATTGAGGCTGCAGTGTGCTGTGATCATGCCACTGCACTGCAGCCTGGGTCACAGAGAGAGACTATGTCTCAAAAAAAAAAAAAAAAATGATGGTTGTATTAACCCAAGGCCTACTTAGAATCTCAAAGACCTTTCTCTCTCTCCTCATCTCCTGCCAGAGCTTGACCACTCTGTGGTTCTAGCTGCACTTTTATCACTTCTCTGTTCTACTTGCAAGATGGCTTCTTTTCATTTTTTTGTGAACTTTGGGTCTGTATGTTGTCAGCAATCTTCAGTGGGCATTTTTGGGCCTCTTGGTCTTCTTGTGGTCTGGTGAGTAGAGATGTTGACTGATACAAGGACAGTGGAATTCCCCCATTGCTTCAATAATTTTAATAGCTGACCCTTTGAGGAACATTGAAGCTGGATGGTCATTCAGACTTGTCCCAAATTGAGTTGGGCTCCAGCAACACCCATTGACCAGTCATTGGATGAGTGATGTCTTTGGGGAGGAGGCGTCTTTGGTTGAGGTCATAGAAGGACTCAGCTCTGAATTCTTTGCAAACAACACACTCAGCAGATGAGGAGATGTGTACTTAGGCCCAGAAGTAGGAATCTGGACAGCAGACCACAGTTTCTACTATAGACAACAAAAGCCACACAGTGAACATGGAGCTAAAAGTCACTGTGGTTCATGAACTATAATATACCTCACAATAGCATGCTATAATATGTAAAAATACCCCTCGGACAGATAAGAGAAGAAGGTGGATAGAAATTCAGGCTTTTGGCCCTTTTCACCACTTCCCAACCCTCTTCCCTTTTTCTCTCTTCTCTTGTCTCCTGCCAGAGCTTGACCACTCTCTGGTTCTAACTGCACTTTTATTACTTCTCTGTCCCACTTGAAAGATGGCTTCTTTTTATTTTGTTATGACCTTTGGGTCTTTATATTGTCAGTTGCTATAAATGAATAAAGGCTTTTTCCTTCTTAGTGTGTTGGTGAAGAACTAGGAGTATTGCACTCACTGATCAGGAGGGAACAGGTCTAGGGAGTGCATAGAAGCTTTCCAAGAGGAGTGGACAGGAAGCCTGTCCTCCCCCTCGCCCTCCACCCCCATCCCGCCCCACCTCCTGCGAAGGCAGGAGGACCATGAACCTGCAATTTGGCTGATGGCAGTTAAGGGGTAATCAAAAGTCCAGGCATAGGAACTGGTTCCTTAGTGTCCATCCAAAGCCTCAAGAGGCTGACCTGGAAGGATGCAGGTGTGAGAAGCCATGTGTGGATCCCAAGTTTAAGGACATAGATGTTTTCCTTACAGAAATGGAATTTGGACACTATATGGTTACGTGGTCAGCCAGCAACAGAGTTCAATAATAATAAACCCCTAATAAAATATTTATGTTTTTCCTTATATTACGTTTCTCCTATGAAACACTTATTGATTGATTGATTGATTGATTGATTGATTGATTCATTATACTTTAAGTTCTGGGATACATGTGCAGAACGTGCAGATTTGTTACATAGGTATACACATGCTATGGTGGTTTGCTGCACCCATCAACCCATCATCTACGTTAGGTATTTCTCCTAATGTTTTCCCTCCCCTAGCCCCTCACCCCCGATAGGCCCCGGTGTGTGATGTTCCCCTCCCCATGTCCATGTGTTCTCATTGTTCAACTGCCACCTGTGAGTGAGAATATGTGGTGTTTGGTTTTCTGTTCTTGTGTTAGTTTACTGAGAATGATGGTTTCCAGCTTCATCCATGTCCCTGCAAAGGACATGAACTCATCGTTTTATATGGCTGCATAGTATTCCATGGTGTATATGTGCCACATTTTCTTTATCCAGTCTATCACTGATGGGCATTTGGGTTGGTTCCAAGTATTTGCTATTGTGAACAGTGCCGCAATAAACATACGGAAACACTAATTTCTTAGGGTGATGAAACTAATAGAAACACAGCCCTTGAATGTATTTGTACATATTGTAGCATTCACAATTTTTTCAGACCTCATAATTGTCAAAATGAAGGGTGGATTTTGAGTACCTCTAGGATTTGGAAATAAATTATGTGACTTTTTACCCAAGGTCATTCAAAGACGCTTGTGTAGCAACTCTATATTTGTATTGCAAGAGCTAGACTGGAACTTTAAAATATCATCAGATCTCTGTCAGGTAAACTCACAGAAATGAGCTTATTGGTCAACACACTTTTTTTTGCATCTTCAGGGTGCCAGGCACTGGGAGAATCGGGGCACCACAGATCTGACTCCCCACTTGGTGGAGCTGACAGTAAAGCAATCACGTCAATAATGGCAGCATTCTGCAGCATATCAACAGCAAAGTAGAATGCACCTTGGAAGGCCACAGTGGGGACTTAATCTAGCTTGTGGGCCAGGCAGGAAAGAAGGGCCAGCCTCATAGTGAGAAGGCTTCCAGGGATAGTAAATCATGATGTGCTGAAGGATCTGAGAAGAGCCCAGCAGGGCTGAGGTGTAGCAGGCAGGGGTATCGCAGTAAATCCCCAGCAGGAAACAGATGGCAGGCTCATCTTAGAAAACATTGTGTTTAGGCCAGGTGCGGTGGCTCATGTCTGTAATCCCAACACTTTGGGAGGCCGAGGCGGGCAGATCACAAGGTCAGGAGATCGAGACCATCCTGGCTAACATGGTGAAACCCTGTCTCTACTAAAATATAAAAAAATTAGCTAGGCGTGGTGGCAGGTGCCTCTAGTCCCAGCTATTCGGGAGGCTGAGGCAGGAGAATGGCATGAACCCGGGAGGTGGAGCTTGCAGTGAGCCGAGATGGGGCCACTGCACTCCAGCCTGGGTGACAGAGCAAGACTCCATTAAAAAAAAAAAGAAAAGAAAAGAAAGAAAACATTGTGTTTAATAAAGGGACCATTTACTATGGTATGGGCTGAGTGTCAGGACAACAGGCTAGATGGTATAGGGCTGTGTGATGATGGACTTGCCACCATCCTTAGGCCTGGAGGGGTCAAGGGGTCATGGCGTAATTCCCAGAACCTGGAAGGGGAAGGAAACTTTGGTTGACCAATGGAACAAGCTAAGTAGGTTCATTGGGGAGTGAGCCAAGGGAATGAGTTACTGAGTTTACTCTTCTACTGCCTTCCAGTCTCCTGTCTGGACTCCTGTGGCCCTGAACACACCAAAAGTCAGAGGGCATGGAATCTCACTGATGTCATGATTACTGGTCAGCCTCATGAGCCAGAAGGCAGGATGGAGGGGGAATGAACAAACAGAAGGAACCCTCACAAAACAGAGAGGGGGAAAGAGAGATAGACATACAAGAGAGAGCTAGGAAAGTTGGCAGTGGCCAGATTTTAAGAGATACTTGGCTCATATTAAGATTAAGGTTTACTTGGAAGTCACTGGGCAGTCATCTGTGTGATCAGATTATTATAAGAAGAGAAGTAGCAGACTGGAGGGTGGATTTGAGAGGAGCAAGGGTGGATTCTAGAAGGCCATTTGGGAGGTCATGACAGCTCCCTAGGAGTTGGGGGGAAGTGAGCTAATTCAAGAATATTAGAAGAGTCTCGTTCAGACAGCTGAGTGGACGTGCCTTTCACTGATTTAGGAAACATTAGCATTAGACCAATTATGGGGGTGGGGAAGGAGAAAGCTTAAGTGCAGGTGTGATCATGGTCAGCTTGAAACACCTCTGAATACAATTGGGTGGGGTACAATGTAGCAGCGGGAAGTTAAGTCTGGAGCTCAGTAGATAGTCCTAGATGGAGGGGAATGTTGACTTATAGATGGGAATTTAGCAATGGATATAGTAGAGGTCTCTAAAGAGCACAGGTAGCATGAACAGATACAGAAGGCCTAGGACAGAATCCATAAAAATGTCAACATTTCAGGATTGTGCAGAGACAGATGACTGAGTAAAGAAGACTGAGAAGGAACAGATAAGTAGTCGAAAACCAAGTGGGCAGGGCAGGAGGCAGGTTAGGGTGAGTTGCAAAGTGGCTGAGAAATGAGAAAATGAAACCGTGGGGGCTCTCATCTTCTCCAGGAAGGTGTGCTGGGAACGGGGAGGGGAGATAGGGGCTAGCAGGCAGAGGGTGGTAGGAGCAGAGAGAGCCCTGCTGGGAAAGGAGGACTTGAGCCTACCTAAATGATGACCAGAGTCAGTGGAGAGGCAATGGCAATGGAAAGAACAAGGGTCCAGGAGGAACAGGATAATCATCAGGGAAAGGTTGGAATGCGGAAGGCAACCAAAGCATCCTGCAGAGCGTGCATTTTGAATTTCTGTGATCCTCTGGAAAAACAACCTTCTGTGCTTCAATTTAAAGGAAGGTGCATGGACTCTGTGCTCCCCTGATTCTGAACCACACTCCATCAGCAAGGCCACATCCACATTCAGAGCTCCAGGAAGCCTCCCCTATCCCTGTGGACAGGACTTGGGGAGTGGCCTTGTACTGCACAGGTCACTGTCTCCATTCTAACCTAAGTG
This sequence comes from Homo sapiens, assembly GCF_000001405.40. Lineage (NCBI taxonomy): Eukaryota > Metazoa > Chordata > Mammalia > Primates > Hominidae > Homo > Homo sapiens. Next base: position 40,804,102 of record NC_000021.9, on the reverse strand, counting down.
AGGGAAGAGTGGATTGGTCCCTGGAGTGTTTACAGACTTGGTGCTGATGGAGGGGTGGTTTAAAGGATTTTTAGCTATTTCCCCCCTTTCTTTATTAAGCAGAAGAGAAGACTGGGTCCTGAGAGTAAAGAGTCTGAGGCTTGAGTAGGTTAGAGAAGGAGAAATGGTCATTTTGTAGAGCAGGAGAGGGGATGCTCCTTAGAGACACTGAAGGACCATTTAGGCTGGTGACGGCAAATTTATTGTGACACAAATCTTCCCAGCTGTGGGATTTTCCCCAACAACACTCAACGGTCCAGACACAGGTATAAAGGTGTTTTTTTTTTCCCCATTCTTCCCTTCCTCTTTTCCTTCCTGTCTGATCTATCCAAGTTGGAGTTCATTACCCACAGATTCTATACATAAATGCCAGTATATTCTATATATACTAAAGTCTGTAGATTCTAGTAATTCCTAACTCACCAACCAACTACAAGGTTTAACAATAATAGAATCACACATATGTCACCTTTCTAAATCATTAACCTGAGAGACGAAAGAGAAGGGGGAGTCTGGGGGCCCGAGATCAGTGACTAGAGGGTGTTGCAGCACTAAAACATCACACGATTGATCAGACCTATCATGGCTCTTTCACTTTCATGAACATTTTGTGTTTTGCTTTAACAGAATTTGAGTCACTCCTATAGGTGGCTTTAGTGGTCCTTCCCTGGGTGTTTTCTCAGACTTGTGGTGGGTAATGGGGTAGCATATGTGTGCTCACGTGACAGAGTGGAGTTCTCATCATTTCACTGCCTTCTTGGCAAACAGAGGCAATGAGAACGTCAAAGGCATCATTTGCATTTGTAAAGCAAAAGCCAGTGATCACATCTGTATCTACCATATGGCAGATGTTCCATAATTATTTTGAAAAACATATGAGATTTCAGCTGTGCAGCACTTATTGGAGACTTGAGGAAAGAAATTTAGGGGCAAGAAATTTAGGAATGAGTATTATTTTCCTCTTAGAAACTGACTTCTCTGACTTACCCTAAATTTAGTACTTCCAAAGAGAATAACAGATTTTCATCATTGTAAAATATCAGCAAAAACAGACCAAAGTGCTGCCATAAGGAAAGGAATTCTGTTAGTGGTACCTTGTCTGTCTAGTTGTGAGGTGTGGTCAGCTGCGTAATGCTGTCACTTCCCCAGGATATCCATGTCTGTATTAGTCTGCTTTCTGTTGCTTGTAACAGAATTCTAGAAATGTGTAATTTATAAAGAAAAGGAATATGGTTCTTACTGTTATGGAGGCTAACAAGTCCAAGGTCAAGGGGCCACATCTGGTGAAGGTCTTCTTGCTGGTGAGGACCCTTTGCAGAGTCCTGAGGCAGCCCAGGCCATCACATGGTGAAGGGCTGAGTGTGCTGCTGAGATTTCTCTCTTTCTCCTGTTACGAAGCCACAAATGCCACTGCTGTGATAACCCATGAATCCATGAATGGATTAATCCCATTGTGAGGGCTATGCCCTCATGACCAAATCACCTTTAAAGGCCCCACCTCTTAATACTGCCACATTGGGGATTAAGCTTCAACATTAGTTTCAGAGGGAGTAAACATTGATATCATAGGCTTTTGCCCCTGGCCCCCAAAACTCATGTCCTTCTCACATACAAATATATGCAATCCATCCCCATAACCCCAAAGTCTTAACTTATCCCCACACCAACTCGGAAGTCGAAAGTCCACAGTCTCATCTGTGAGTCTGTGAAATCAAAACGGGTTGTCTACTTTCAAGGTACCTAGAAAGACTCACAGATTTCTATTTTCAAAGTGATAAATAGGCAAAAAGAAAGGCTTAACTAGTCCCAACCAAGTCTGAAACCCAGCAGGGCAGACATTAATTGTAAAGCTTGAGAGTAATCTCCTTTGACTCCACCTTAGCCTCCGAGACACTGGGGTGGGAGTTGGGCCCCCAAGGCCTCAAGCAGTCCTGTCCCTGTGGCTTTGCTTGGTGTAGCCCATGCAGCTACTTCTATGTGCTGAAGTCTGGTCCCTGAAGCTGTCCAACGTGGGCATTGCATGCTACTGGTGACTCCACAGTTTTGGGATCCTGGTGGAGGTCCTGCCTCTATGGCTCCATTAGATATTACCCTGGTAAGGACTCTGCAGCAGCTCTGACCCTACAGTTACATACAGCATTGCTCTAGTGGAAACTCTTTGTGGTGGCAACCCCCCCTGTGACAAGTCCCTGCCTGGGCCCCCAAGCTTTTGATGACATCCTTAGAAATCTGGGTGGAGGCTGCCAATCCTCTACAACTCTTGCTTTCTGCAAACCTGAGAATTAGCACCACATGCATGCTGCCAAGAGCCTGCAGAATTAGCGCTACATGTATACTGACATGTGTATTCCTTCCAGAGCTGTGCCACAAGCCATACCTAGGGTCTCTTGAGCCTAACTAGGGCAGTTGTGGAGCACCGTTCTGGAGTGCAGGAAACAGAGTCCTCTGGTGGCCTTGGGCACTGAGCCTATGGAGGGTGCCCTTGGTCTAGCTCCTGAAACCATTCTGCCATCTTAGGCCTCTGGGCCTGTGATGAGAGAGGCAGCCTCAAGATCTTTAAAATGCCTTCAGGATCTCTTTTTTCTGCTATCTTGAGGAAAAGCACCTGGCTCCCTTCTATTCATACTAATATGTTTAGCAAATGGTCTCTGAGCTACACCCTTGATTTTCTCTCCTGAACACACTTATTAACTTTTCACTTGGCCAAGATGAGAGCTTTTCAAATCTTTCTGTTCTGTTTCTCTTTTAATTATAAATTATGTTTTTAAATTATTCCTTTGGTCCCAAATATCAGCATAAGCAGCCAAAAGTAACCATGTAGCTCCTTTTATATTTTCCTTAGAAATGCCTTGTGTCAGACCAAGGCAGGGGGATCACAAGGTCAGGAGTTCGAGACCAGCCTGGCCAACATGGTGAAACCCTGTCTCTACTAAAGACACAAAAAATTATCCAGGTGTAGGGGTGGGCACCTGTAATCCCAGCTACTTGGGAGGCTGAGGCAGGAGAATCACTTGAAATCTGAAGGCGGAGGTTGCAGTGAGCCAAGATCAAGCCACTGCACTCCAGCCTGGGTGAAAGAAACTCCATCTAAAAAAAAAAAAGGAGAAGAAAGAAAGAAAGAGGAGTTTGAGACCAGCCTGACCAACATAGTGAAACCCCGTCTCCATTAAAAATACAAAAATTAGTTGGGCGTGGTGGTGTGTGCCTGTAATCCAAGCTACTCAGGAGGCTGAGGCAGGAGAATCACTTGAATCTGGGAGGCAGAGGTTGCAGTGAGCCGAGATTGTGCCACTGTACTCCAGCCTAGGCAACAGAGTGAGACTCCGTTTAAAAAAAAAAAAAAAAAAAGAAAGTAAGAAAGAAGAAAGAAGAAATGCCTTGTGTCAGATATCCTAGTTCATCATTCTTAAGTTTGGCCTTCCATAAAGCCCTTGGGCAGGGACACGCTTCAACCAAATTATTTGCCAATTTATAGGAAGAATGGCCTTTACTCAAAATTTCAATACCTTGTTTTTCAGTTCTATCTGAGATCTCATCAGAATGGCCTTTACTGGCCATATCTCTATTAGCATTCTGGTCACCACCATTTAACCAATTCCTAAGGAGTTACAAACTTCCCTTAGTTTTCTTGCCTTCTAAGCCCTCACCAGAATCCAGGCTTTTTCTAGCCTGCTCCCTCAGCTTCCATCCTCTGCCCATTACCCAGTTCCAAAGCCACTTCCACATTTTCAGGTGTTCACTATCATCAACACCCCACTCCTGGTACCAATTTTCTGTCTTAGTTCGTATTGCTTATAACAGAATGCCTGAAACTGGGTAATTTATAAAGAAAAGTAATTTATTTCTTACAGTTATGGAGGTTGAGAAGTCCAAGGTCAAGGGGCTGCATTTTGTTGAAAGGTCCTTTTGCTAGTGAGGGACTCTGTAAAGTCCTGAGGTGGTGCAGGGAATCATATGGTGAGGATGCTTAGTTATTGTTCAAGTCTCCGTTTTTCCTCTTATAAAGCCACTAATGTCACTCCTGTGATAATCTATTAATCCACTGACTCGTTAATCTATTAATCAATAAATGGATTACCTCTTAAAAGTCCACATTTCAATATTGCCACATTGGGGATTAAGTTTCAACATGAGTTTCAGAGGGGACAAACATTCAAACCAAAGCAGTGTACTGTCTCCAAAACCTGTAAATGCTACCTTATATGGCTAAAGGAATTTTGCAGATGTATTTAAATTTAGGCTCTTGAGATTAGAAGATTATTTTGGATTAACTATTAAGCCTAATGTAATCACAAGAATCTTTAAAAGAGAAAGGCAGGAGATCAGAAGGATAGTAAAAGATGTGATGATGGAATAAGAGGTTGGAATGATGTGTCTCTCATAAGCCAAGGAATTCAAGAGGTCTTTACAAGCTGAAAAAGACTTTATGAGGTGGAAAAGCTTTACAAGCTGAAAAAGGGAAATCAGATATTCCCCATGTTCCTTCAAAGGGAGTGCAGCCCAGTTTATATCTTGAGTTTAGTTCTGTGAAATTGAACTTGGACTTCTGTCCTCCAGAATTGTAAGAGAATAAATCTGCATTGTTTAAAGCCACCAAACTTGGGGTAATTTGTTATAGTGGCAATAAGAATCTAATACTGTAGAATAATTTACTTTGAGTTTTTTTTCTCTGAGTTTCACCAATCAGCTATTCCAATGTATATTCATTATTGATTTTCCTGCATAGGGAAGGTAATGTCAGCAATAAATTTGAGTTAATGTGTTAGCTCTCAATTTACCTATTGGCAATATAGATTCAAATTAGAGAGGAAGCATCACCTACCCCAAAGCCCCAGCAATCTAGTTCTTTTAACTCATTTCACTCCCAGAGTAAAACAGGTATTTTGGTAAGGGAATCACTGATGTTACTTACAAACACAGGCTCTCAATTAAAAAAATAAAATTTTCTTTTTGGTCCAAGCTTTCTCTTTACACACCTCAATACCATCCTTTGCCTACAAACTTAACTGTGGATATCTAAAAATGTCTTTATAGGGTAATAACATTTTTCCAAAAGTCAGTAGCTTAATTTTAGAAGTAAAACATTTTAATGGCTTAGGCTATAGTTTTATAGCATTGGGAATGGAATTTTCCTGTTTTTATGGTAAATTTGTTTATCTAAATTGTTCTAATTTTAATCTCTTTAATTTTGTATGACCTTTATTTTATTTTTAATTGAAGAGCAATATATACTGAATGGGTGAAGTTTGTAAAACACTTGAAACACACAAAAAAGCAACTCTTGTAGTTCTACAATGTAGAGAGATACTGCTAACAGTCTGGTATGTCTTTTATTAAACATTTACAATTAGGTGATTGTTTTATTCTTTTTTTACTGCTTCATGAACATTTTCTTCACATCAGTAGACGTTCTTCCATATTACACTTATAATGACAACATCCTAGTTTATCGTATGTATCTGCTACTATTAGCTGATCCTCTACTGTAGATTCAGGTCATTCCTGAAATATTATTATTGCCAATTCATGTGCTTTGCTCATTTCTTTTTTGGTGTGTTATTTGAAAAATAGGTTTGCAAGCTTTTATAAATGCTAGGCTTATTAATTTTTAAAAGGTATGTATAATCTTCAAAGGTCATTATTTGCCTTTTAATTTTGTTTATGGTGAGCTTTATTGATATATAAGCATTAATAAATTTCATGCAATCGAAACTACTTGGCATTTTCATTTAGGGTGTGTCTGTGATGATTTGTATTCTCTTTTTTTTTACAGATAGGTTTTCTTTTGTCTTGATGGTATACTGGATTTTAACTCTTTTCTTCTTTTAGATCAAATGCATATTTCCTTCTTCGTGGTGGAGCAGTGGTGTTTTTAGTCCTTAACTAACCACTTAGCTTATTCTGTATTAAGAACATTTTTTCCCACTTAGTATATTTTTGACCCTAAATCTGCTGGCTAACTTGATAGTCTGATTCATCTTAAAGCGGCTCCAGGCTGAATTCAATTACAAACATAAGGATAGTATTACTATCTTCTGTAAATATGCACATACTTACATTGTGAGTTAAATACCTAAAAAAAGTAATGTGCATCTAATGAAGGATCTTTTTTTTTTTGTCCCAGATGACAAGATAAAATTCTTAGTACATGGTTTCCATTTTTCATATTTTGGTAATGTCCCCACTATTAACAACATAAACTGATAAATTAGAAAACACCAGATCCTTACAACTGTATTAAATTTGAAGAAAAAAATGATTTCTTTCTATCAAGGTAGAGAAAAAAGAAGCTGAATAAGCTCTGGGTTTCTGGAATGTCTCCATTCAGCTCTTTCTCTGCTTATGTTCCAAACAATTGCATAAAAGCAATCCCAAACAAATGTTTATAGGGCTGCACTCCGAAATAAAGATAATGAATTCTACATAACAAGTACACTCTTTCCCCTGGCTGTTTGCATTTAAAATGTACATTTTGCAGTAATTTTGATGACTTCATTTTGAAGCAGTTCTTAACAGACATTTTGGAAATGTCTCATGTCATGAATTTATTCATAAACCAGCCTGTCAAAAACCTTAGTGTTCACTGGGGAGAATGTGTCTCAAATGCACAAGTGGTTGTTCCACCTACATCATCCACCATCTTGAAATATCATTATTCATTTCCATTACTTCTTGGATGTTCTGGTTCACTGCTACTGGGTTTCGCAACAGTGTGGAGAAGAGACCATGACATTGAATTACCGGCTAAGCAGCATCCATAAGTGTTATATTCCTCCCTTAATTATGATGAGAACTTGTGTTTAGGAAGCTGTGATGTTTACTGATATGGTTAATGGTCAATGTCACTCATCAAAAGGGTGATAAGACAATAATGGGATCTTGGAACAGGGAAGTCAAGATAAGCACAATGTGTCATTTTTTCCCCTACAAGCATACAGTCCTTAATGAAGACAAATAGGCCCTAATGTTTATTTGTTCAATGAACATGCTATTGGATTGTGAACAAGAGGTCAGCGTGACTAGCAATGAGGTGTAAGCTGCTCTATCAAAGGGTGATATTTAGTGACTAGAGCAAGTCCTAGAATGTTTTACAGTAAACCATTGTAGTTACAACACATTGTTTCTACCCCTCTGATCTCCAAGAGACAAGGAAAATAAGTGGATACTCTTGTCTTTCCAATCTGGAAAATAGAATTGGAAGTGGATGCTTTTTTTCATTTCTAATTCATAGCTCTTTGATCTTGATTATTCATGAAGCATATGCGTCCATGACCATGTGTTAAATCAGCACTTATCATATTTTATTGTGACATTCATTCCTGGGAATTTTATTAAAATGCAGATTCTTGGGTGGGAGCTGAGATTCTGCATTTCTAACCAGCTGTCAAGTATTACTCATACTGTTTCTGGTCCATGGACCATACTTTGAGTAGCTGACTGATTCCAACTTGCAAGACAGAGACAGCAGAACCTGCCTACATAGATTTAGAACCTTGTCTCATAATAGTGCATGTATGCTTAGTGAGGCAGCATAGTAACATGGATAAAAGTGCAGGCTCTGGGTGTGAATTCTACCACTACTTTTGCTAAGCTTTGTGTAGTGCCAGTCACCCCTATAGTCTCTGTGATCAATGACAACAAAGATTTATTTTGTGCTCACATTACGTGTTGGACTGACTGTTGGCCACAAGTGTGCAAATTCTGGGAACCACTTTAAAGACAGCCTTCTCTGGGACATGCCATTTTACCCTCATCTTTTGGGAACCTACAATGACTAAAACTTCTGCTCGGATTTGCCGATGTCATGTCCACTCACATGCTATTGGCCTGAGTCAGGAACATGGCCAAGCCTGATGTCAATGAAGCAGGGAAGTAGACTCCTTCTGCACACAGCGTGTATAGACATATGGCCTCCTGCAGGAAAGGGAGTGAAGAGTTGGGACAAGAACACACTTTTCCATTGTGACTTAGTAGCTATGTACTCTTGTTATTTTCACAGGATTGTTTTGAGGATTGAATAAGCTAAAATGGATAGTACATTGTACCTACATGACACTTAGGAGAAGCTCAATAAATGCCTGTAATTATAATTGCTTTTGTTTTTGTTCTCATACTTCACCCTAGTCCTCACTGCACAGTTGCTGTACCCTTGAGGTTGAGAAAAGTCCCTCTCCCTGCCTTTCATGATACATGAAACATACTGAGGCCCACTAAATACCAAACAATCAGATCATCTGAGGCATCTGCAGTTAAAGAAAACTGGATTACTACACAATCAGTTATTTCCAAATAATTTTAGACAACGATTGACTTCTTCCTGGCCATCATATTTTCTGAGTTTTTGACTTGAGTTTCAGATCACTAGATTTCCCCTGATTATTCTCTGAATTTGTTTTATGGCCTGTTCTTGGGTCGTTTGTTCTACAGATGTGTACTGAGCATCCAGTGAAAGTCAGCTGTTGTGTGAGGAGCAAAGATTCATATAAAGTGTGGTTACTATTTAATGAAAGTTTGTGAGTACACTCTTCATAGACGCCCTCATTCACTGTTATCTAATTGCCAGGCAGTGCTGGATGAGGGTGCAAAGGTGAAATCCAGCCTAAATAAATAGGAGTCTGGGGAGCTTGAGCATATTTAGTTAGCCAAGGGGAATCACTATAGCTTGTGAACAGTCCAGGAATATGACCTTGGATTTCGAAAAAAAAAAAATTGTGGGTAGTATATGTAAGTTGTTGGAGCCTCTGCCATTGGGCACTTGGTGGAGTGAGATTATAGGGCTGTGAGCCAGAGCATGGTGTAGTGAATGGGATAGATGTGTTTGTGTGAGAGGAAAATATCCAGTGGCTGCATAGCTCTGAAGATTATCAGTCCAGGCAATTGTGGACAGGCAATAAGTTTATGTGATGGAGGAGGTAGTGCATTCAACTGGGGCCGAGAGTTTGCGTTGTGAATAGTATAACAAGACACAGATGTTGGAAAAAGGGGTTCAAATAATTTGCAGACCAGCTATCCAGGTCAACTAGCTGATGATCCATGACACAGTGCATGTTAAAGGCCTATCAATCTTATTGTGTAGAAGGAGTATAGACCAAGGGATACGTAGTCATTAAATGCTGAAGGTTGAGATCCTTGTTGATGCAATTGTTCACTTTACTAAGAGGTACTTTTTTTTTTTCAATTTGACTAAGAACAGGCCTGAAGATTATCAGTCCAGGCAATTTTGGACAGGCAATAAGTTTATGTGATGGAGGAGGTAATGCATTCAACTGGAGCCGAGAGATTGTGTTGTGAATAGTATAACAAGACAGAGATATTGGAAAAAGGGGTTCAAATAATTTGCAGACCAGCTATCCAGGTCAACTAGTTGATGATCCATGACACAGTGCATGTTAAAGGCCTATCAATCTTATTGTGTAGAAGGAGTATAGACCAAGGGATAAGTAGTCATTAAATGCTGAAGGTTGAGATCCTTGTTGATGCAATGGTTCACTTTACTAAGAGGTACTTTTTTTTTTTTTTTTCCAATTTGACTAAGAACAGGCGTGCTTTACTCATAACACACTTGTTTTTGGTGCAGTATATCGCAAAACAAAGTTGCTGTGTTAAGTTTAACTGTGATTTAAACTGATGTTGCCTGAGTCCCCAAAGACCAATGAAACACAAGTGGGATGGAAAAAGCAGCCACTTCTATTGTTGCCAAATGATAGAAAAGATTTGAAAAATCAAATGCATCAGGTTAGCCTCACTGTGCAGCAAGGAAAAAAATGAATTAATTATAAATAAGATGAATAAATAATTTAAATATATCACTTATTGCTTCTTTATTGCTTAACACTTGAAAAATTGTTTCAATTAGAAACTTAAACTCAATTTGATAGACGAAGAGTGTGCAGCTCAAGATAAATGTAAATCCCTTTGCGATATAAAAATTTGATTTTGCAGTATGAGCTCTATTAAAAAGAAATTAATAATCTCTAGAAAAAGAAGGCAGTGCCAAGGAAGGTTGGCCTTTTCCCACAGAACATTGCTTTTTAAGAGGAAAAATCAGTAAGCTTATTATAGAGAAAATTTTTTAAAAAATCAGAAACGCAAAATACTAACCACCAACCCCACAAACAACAAAACTAATAAGCATTTGTCTCTCTGGATTTCATATTAAAACCGTAGAGTAGGTTTTTGTGCTTCTTATATTTCACATGATTTTTTGTCTAAGCCAGACAAAATGCTTCATTCTCTCTTTGAGTTTGTTGGGCCTATAAAAAATGGTAGAACAGTCCAGGCATCGTGGCTCATGCCTGTAATCCCAGCACTTTGGGAGGCCGAGGCAGGTGAATCACCTGAGGTCAGGAGATTGAGACCAGCGGGGTCAACATGGTGGAACCCCGTCTCTACTAAAAATACGAAAATTAGCCAGCCATGGTGGCGTGCGTCTGTAGTCCCAGCTACCCGGGAGGCTGAGGCAGAAGAATCATTGGAACCCAAGAGGCAGAGGCTTCAGTGAGCCGAGATCACACCACTGCACTCTAGCCTGGGGACAGAGTGAGACCCCGTCTCAAAAAATAATAATAATAAAATAAAACACCAGAACAATTTCATATTTTTTGTACCTAAAAAGCAAGGGATTTATGTATCTGAAGTCACAATGGACCTTACCCAAGACAAGAGTATCCTGGAAAGTTGCTTTGATTCCTGTGCCATCATGTTCTAATGCTGCAAACCCTCTCTCCGCATTCTTGGCAGATATGGCCAATTAATGAGATCATGATCTTTTGTATGTCCAGTCTAAACCTCAGAATCCCTCCCATCACAGGCCTCCAGCCAGCCACTTCTTGGCACGTGGTATGAAACCTACTGCCCATCTGTCCCAGCAGCTGAAGGACTAAGAGTTCAATAACATTTTATCTGGCACATGAACAATTTGCCTGATTTCTTAACTACGTGCAAACATCTATCACCTTATGTTTTAGTTCAGTCTGCAGAAATGAGTTCTTTCTATTATGTATAGAAAAAAAGCAAATGTCTCAGGAAATTATGTGGCCTATGTATTTTACCTTTTGGACCTAAATATACATCTAAGAACTAAATATGGCCTGAGAATCAGCTCCCCTCCTCCCCAGAATCTCATAACAAACTGAACACTCATCATCCATCAAAAAGCAAACACAAAATAAGAAAACACCAGCTGGGCCACAAATGCCAGTCCAGGCAGCTTTCAATTAACATTCAGAGCTGTCAGAAACTCTACAGCAGGGGTAGAAAACGGATGGTCTCAGCCCACAGATGTCTTGCTTGGCCAGAAGGAGTTTTATTTCTTTATTCTGGCCCTATGTGGGTCCCCTCCTCTCCAGGTATCATAGGCTTCCATACTGCCCCATTCTCTTTATCCCAGTGACATCTGAAGACCCCTGACTTTGTGATTCCTGATGGCAGAATTCTGTCTTTCCTCATTCTCAGTCACATATCCGTTTATCTCTCTTTTATGGACTGAATCATGTTCCTCCAGAATTCATATGCTGAAGCTGTAAACTCCTAATGTCACTGTATTTGGAGATAGGATCTTTAAAGAGGTGTCTAAGTTAAAATGGGGATATTGGGGTGGCCCCTAATTCCATGTAAGACTGGTATTTAAGAAGAGGAGATGGCCGGGCACGGTGGCTCATGCCTGTAATTCCGAGGCAGGTGGATCACCTGAGGTTAGGAGTTCAAGATCAGCCTGGCCAACATGGTGAAACCCCATCTCTACTAAAAATACAAAAAATTAGCCAGGCGTGGTGGCGCATGCCTATAGTCCCACGTACTCAGGAGGCTGAGGCAGGAGAATTGCTTGAACCCAGGAAGTTGAGGTTGCAGTGAGCCAAGATGGCGCCACTGCACTCCAGCCCGGGCAACAGTGAGACTCTGTCTCAAAAAAAAAAAAAAAAAAAAAGAAGAAGAAGAAGAGATTAGGACACCGGGACACAAAGAGGGATGGCCATGTGAAGACGTGCGGAGGAAGACGACCATATATAAACCTCAGGAAAAAACCTACCTCCAAACACCATGATCTCTAACTTCTAGCCTCCAGAACTGTGAGAAGCAAATTTCTGTTGCTAAGATCCAGAGTCTGTGGTCTTTCACTATGGCAGCCCAGACCAACTAAGACACCATCTCTAGTCCTGAAATCGTGAGGAAGCAGCACTCCCCAAGTCAATCTACATTCAGTGAGCTGTGGGGAAATGGACTGCAGTGCTGAGCTTCACGGCCTGAGTCCCTAAGGTTGGGATGAAGACAATGTGAGGAGAGTCACTTTGATTTATAGCTCCAACAATTATGAAGCCTCTTAGGAATAGGGCAAGAAAGCATTTTACTGTGTCTCGACTCCAAGAACTATAATGACATCTTTTAAAATTTCATTATTCTTTTTGTTTTTTTGAGACGGTGTCTCTCTCTGTCGCCCAGGCTGGAGTGCAGTGGCGCAATCTCGGCTCACTGCAAGCTCCACCTCCTGGGTTCACGCCATTCCCGCCTCAGCCTCCCGAGTAGCTGGGACTACAGGCGCCCGCCAGCACGCCCGGCTAATTTTTTTGTATTTTTAGTACAGACGGGGTTTCACCGTGTTAGCCAGGATGGTCTCGATCTCCTGACCTCGTGATCCGCCCGCCTCAGCCTCCCAAAGTGCTGGGATTACAGGCGTGAACCACTGCGCCTGGCCTTAAAATTTCATTATTCTATTTACAATATAAATAGCAATACTAAGCCAACGTAAGCGGATATTGTCAGTGTTGCACGCTTTATTAGAGCTTCTTGGAAGATAGACATAAACACAACCTGCCATCCAGCCGTGTCCACGTGATGGCTTGGAGAGGCTTTTGCTTCAGCAGCCAGTCAGTACTAAGCATATTTCTTTTTCTTTTCTTTTTTTTTTTTTGAGATGAAGTCTCGCTTTGTTGCCCAGTCTGGAGTACCTCTGCCTCCTGGGTTCAAGCGATTCTCCTGCCTTAGCCTCCTGAGTAGCTGAGATTACAGGCAGGTGCCACCTTGCCCGGCTAATTTTTTTTATTTTTATTTTTAGTAGAGATGGGGTTTTACCATGTTGGCCAGGGTGGTCTTAAACTCCTGACCTCAGGTGAACCACCCACCTCAGCTTCCCAAAGTGCTGGGATTACAGGCATGAGCCACTGCACCTGGCCGATTGAATGTATTTTTCTATGAAGACCTTTTCCCTGTTTTATGAAGCATCAACTGTGCATTCTGGGTGGAATAACAAATCTGAGTGGAATACTTACTATTTACTTGTTATGTGCTTCCTAGAACATGTTACAAATTCTTATTTATTTTTTGTGCTGTATGCTATAGCATCCCAAACATCTGTGATGCTGTGTTACACTAGAGACAACATTCTCAGGCTTGCATGCACACTCACATACACATGTGCACACACACCCTCATAACACACAATTACTCCCTCCACAAGTCAATCAACCAATCATTTATACAACTTCATCCCATAGAGTGTTCTTTAAATTTCAAGCCCATGAAGGATGGTGAATTCTCAAAGCAATTTCATTGCAGAGGGCAAAACGAGCTGTCAGAACTAGTATAGGTTCTATTAAGGGTAAGATAAAGTAAACTCTAATCAGGGCCAGTAAGAAAAAGCTAACTACGAGAAGCTTGAGAAAGATAAACGTTTGCCTGGCCAACACGGCGAAACCCCGTCTCTACTAAAAATACAAAAATTAGCTGGGTGTGACGGAGCACACCTGTAATCCCAGCTACTCGAGGGGCTGAGGTAGGAGAATTGCTTGAACCCGGGAGGTGGAGGTTGCAGTGAGCCGAGATTGCGCCACTGCACTCCAGCCTGGGAGACAGAGCGAGACTCCATCTAAAAAAAAAAAAAAAAAAAAGAAAGAAAGAAAAACGTTTGCATCCTAGGGGGCTATTTAACCAAAAGGTGTATGGCTCCTGTGAGCTCCAGATAGTGGCTTGTGAACCTCTGATATTAGAAAGGATAAGAAATCATCCGTTTCTGTACTGAGCCTCAAAGAGAAGACTCAGCCCTAGTTAGGAAATACAAACAAGACCTATTTCCGCTAAATTGGCAAAGCCACCAATCAGAGCCATATAGACTTTGTGTGGTCAAGCTTCCCACCACTGATTTCATGACTCCTAACGGTAGAATTCTGTCCTGTGAGGCTGAGAATGAACATCTAACTTTAAGAAATACAGCAGAGGCCGGGCACGGTGGCTCACGCCTGTAATCCCAGCACTTTGGGAGGCCGAGGCAGGCGGATCACGAGGTCAGGAGATCGAGACCATCCTGGCTAACACGGTGAAACCCCGTCTCTACTAAAAGTACAAAAAATTAGCTGGGCGGGGTGGTGGGCACCTGTAGTCCCAGCTACTGGGGAGGCTGAGGCAGGAGAATGGCGTGAACCCGGGAGGCGGAGCTTGCAGTGAGCCAACATGGTGCCACTGCACTCCAGCCTGGGCAACAGTGCAAGACTCCATCTCAAAAAAAAAAAAAAAAAAAATCAATCTACTCCTTGCATCATGTGTGACATTTTAATTACCTAGGCAGCTTATCAGGACATAATGAAGCAGCTGCTATGATTATAGAATTTTGTCCCAATTATTTACAAAGCTGCTCAGCTACAGAAATGTCTCATTGTCATATCCAGCATGCTTAGGTTCTAGAGCAGGTGTTAAGCCTGATTTACTGGCCAAATCAGAAAATTATTCCATGGCCGTCACTTTTTCTTTGGAGCCAAAAGATTAAAATTTAAGTTATTCTCTGAAAGTGTGATTTTTTTTTTTTTTAATCTTGATTGTCTTCTTCCGGCTATCAGCTATCTTTCCTCGTCGTCCTGAAGGTCTTAATGTTTCCCTGGTTTCATTCTCTGTCTTCTTGGTGTTATCAAACTCTGCTCTATCGGCACCCTTCCAACAGGTGAGTATGCAATATTCTGATTCTCCCAAAGGATAAGATGAAGCGTTTGTAGCAAAATGCTTTTCACAGACCCCTAGTAATACTTTTTTCCAAGCATAATGAATACCGACTATGCGCCAGGCAATGAGATAAAAATACTCATATTTTTTTCTAGTAGGAATTCTAAAATTAGATTCTGATTGCTAAGCAGAAAACAGTTCTTTTAAGGCTACCTCTAAATTGTGGTGCTATATGGTTGCTGAAATCCATAAAACAGTATAAAAAGGTCAACTGTTAAATTAATCTTTGTGATTGATTATTGCTGTCCTTGCAATAATCTGGTTTAAGTTAGAAGTTGCATTGTGGCTTTAGTTTTAAATCGTCACAGAATCCCTTCCATATGCTTTTACAGAAAAGAGAGTATGATATTTTAAAAGAAGTTCACATGGAACATTCTCTAGGGAGGTAGACATATTGTGTGGGCCTAAATGGATGAATTTACAGGATGCTGGAACTTGGAGAAAGTGGTCAAAAGTAGCTATCACTGCAAGTTACCTAACATTACTACCTTGAGGCCGGGGAAGTTGGAGATAAGAATGAGTGCTTCCAAATAAAAAGCAGATGGAAGAAAGGGACCTATATGGATAAGAGATGAATGAGTTTCTACTGAGGAGGCCATGCTTATGTTCCCATTGTGACTGGGATGGCTGAGATACAGTACTTCCTCTAGTGAAGGTATAAAACAAAAGTTATTTTTCTCATTAAAAAAAAGTTACACTTTAACACAAAGGGGAACCAAATTTACTTACAAACAAAACAAGTAAGGATAGACAGGGTCACACCCCCATGGCCTGAATTTGCATAATGTTGTCCTTTTAGATTAAGAAGAAATGTGTGCTGATGAATTGTTCATTTTTATTCAGAGCACAGAAATCTAGTTTCAGAAAAGAAGTGTAGGTCTACTTGAGTCATAATGTTTTCTTATTGAATAACATGCATTCATTTCAGAACTAAATGCATTTAGTTTATTGGGAATAATGAAGTAATTCTTGGAAGAGGGCGAGGAAAGTGGACAGCATGTTTTATTCTGGTGTTGATTTGCTTGGATGTTCCACAGACAGTCCAAGCTTTTTGTAGGTCAGAGAAACATCCTTAACCTGGGGCAAACTTTGACACCCAGCAGATGCCTTCAATCCTCTTTATCTATCATAGTGTCTGTTTTTCTGTGGTCTCTTTTACTACTTCAGGTTTGCTATTAATGATTATTTGAACTCATTTCCTCAGTATACAATTGGGGGAGGAGTGGAGAAGATTAATGTCATAGTGTCATTTTTTCCCTGTATTTTGTGGGTCTGACCTCGAATTCTGATCCTTATACTCTCTTAAGTTTATACATGGATAGAATGTTGTATCAGAATGTACTTATAATGGTTGCCTTTACTAAGAGTATATTAATTATGGGTTGAGCTTATAATTAATTGACTTCATGATTGTAAAAGTGAAGGGCCTGGTATTACACCGAACTGCTTCTTAGCACAAAGTAGGAACTCAATATATATGAGTGGAATGGATGAATAAAAGTGAGTATAAATAAACCATGACTGCTAAGATGAACCACTGTTCAATTGTAAACAATGCAAGATAACCCAATCGTTTTGACATTATGAGGGACGTGCATCTTTTCTTGAGAAATGGGGTGAGACATTAAGTCAGGGGCCTGATATGAGGAAGTGGTAGATTCATTTGTACCAGCTGTTTAGTGACAATGAGAAGAGATTACAGAAGTCCAGTGTGTCTAGACTAGGCCACATGTGATTTTTATCTTAAATCTGATAGTGGCATGCCAGTTAGGACACATCATTCGGCAAGATGTAATTGATATCTCAGGTCTGGGAAAAAACCTTAAATTGTTTTGTGCTCTTCTGAGTGGCTAGTATGCAAGCCCGCACATTTAAGATTGACATCACTTTTGAGGGTGTTTCTGCCCCTGAGTAGGGACCTGCCACATGGTGGCAAATGTGTTTCTGTGAAATACTTTCCCAGCCTGTATTTCATGGACTAGTCCTAGGTGGTCTTTGCAAAATAGAAAAAAGCTGTGTCCATGTTCAATGATTCAATGTATTTAGAAAATTGCCATACGTTTCAAATCGAGCCCTTGGGCTTTGGAATCAGGCAGGGCTGGGTTCCCAGTTGGCAAGTTTGCAAACTGTGTCATCCTGGGAAAGTAACTTAGCCTCTCTGAGTTTCAGATTCGTAATATGAAAAATAAGAATAATAACACCAAATTTTGGGGACTGACTGATGATTAAACAGGATTCCATATCCATATCATATTTAAGCAATTTTAGTGGTAGCCTATAGTAACTAAACTATAAATATTAGTGATTACGACCATTATTATGATTAGTATTGGTTTCTTTCTCTTGGGTATTTAAAATAGACATAAGGAACTCTGACGAATCCCAAGGTGAAGAAGTCACTGACTTGCCTTAACCAGCAGTTTCTCACTCTATTTGACCAAAGGTCTGGCTTTTTCACTTAGCATGAAGATGCCATGTCCCCTGCAGCACCTTTTGAGAAAACATCTAAGTGCACTACTTCTCAAAATTCAGTGTCCCTTCAAGTCTCCTGGGTGTCTCGTTAAACTGAAGATTCTGATTGATTAGGTCCAGGTGGGCTCAAGACTGTTTCTAAAAAGCTCCCGTGTGCTGCTGATGCTGCTGGTTCGTGGACCTCATTATAGGTAGCAAGGACTGGGAGCCCGTGACTATGGTACCTGCATGTCTGAAGTTTATATGTGGATGATTTCTTTCTTTCTCTTTCTTCCTTTCTTCCTTTCTTTCTCCCTCTTTCTTTCTTCCTTCCTTCCTTCCTTTTTTTCTTTCTTTCCTTCCTTCCTTCCTTCTTTCTTTGTTTTGTTTTGAGACTGAGTTTCGCTCTTGTTGCCCAGGCTGGAGTACAATGGCACGATCTCAGCTCACCACAACCTCCGCCTCCCAGGTTCAAGCAATTCTCCTGCCTCAGCCTCCCAAGTAGCTGGGATTACAGGTGCCCACCACCATGCCTGGCTAATTTTGTATTTTTGGTAGAGACAGGGTTTCTCCATGTTGGTCAGGCTGGCCTGGAACTCCTGACCTCAGGTGATCTGCCCACCTCGGCCTCCCAAAGTGCTGGGATTACAGGCATGAGCCACTGTGTCCGGCCAGATGATTTCTTTTAGATGAGATAATTGCATATCAGCATTAGGGAAAAAATACCATCTCAATGGAAAATGATGATGGGAGTATGTGGAAAGGAAAGAAACTAGTAGTCTACCATTTTATGTGGGTCTGTCTCTACCCTTCTGGACTGTAAATTCTCTGAGGAGGCAGATGTGTTGGTTTCCTCACTGCTCTATCCCAATGCCCATGGCTTTTCTTGGCATAGCATAGACAGATACATACATATTAAATGACTGAATGAATGAATAAATGAATGAATGAACGACAGGACACCGAGTCTTTTCATCCTGGGAGTCCCATTACATGCCACATCCCAGAGGTTGGCGGGAAGCCATACTGTGGTAACTGAAAGATATGTACAAGATTAGGATTTAGGCAGCATACGAAAGCCTTACTTTTATGCTTTATTTATTGAAAGTACTCTCTATTTTTTGTTAAAAGTCTGTACTGCTATTCTCCTGATAAGTGTATTGGCCAGTGAGGCCTTCCTGCCCTTATTTTAGGAAACTTCAGGAGCACCTTTTCCATGGTGGGACCACAAAGGCAGTTTTCCATCAGAGTAATTCCACAGTGAGCTCAAGGAAGGGTACAAGGATGGATTGAATAATTTCTCTTACAGCTCCTGAAGCTCTCTACAAGGGAGTATTTTCTTATTAGTGTTATCACAGCTCCTGGAGGATAATAGACAATCAACTGAGGAGGTCCTCAAATGAGATTTCTCACAGATTTGCTCATCAGTGTGGTGCAGGTTCATAGCTTTAAATCTCACCAAAGATAGTTTATGTTTGTGGCTCAATGCAAATTGTTTTGCCCACATCTAAATTTATTTCCATTTTATTTGTATTGGTCTCTACTTCTAAAAAGCTTTTAGTGCAGAATCATCGAGTTGACTTGGAAGTTATCTTTCTGTGCATTTAGACTTTATGAATTAGAAGACTAAATGGTATATTTTAAATGGATATAAAAAATCAAATGAATAAAATAGGCCATAATTCAGCTTTGTTTAGAATGAATATTGTCTCAGTTCACTTGGGCTACTATAACAGAATGTCACACCTGTGTGCTTCTCAAAAACCAACATTCTCCCCCCACAGTACTGGAGGCTGAAAGTCTAACATTAAAGCAGCAGAAGGTTCGGCATCTGGTTAGGGCCTGCTTCCTGGTTCGTAGATGGTCATCTCCTCCCTGTATTTTCTCACAGTGGAAAGGAAACAAGAGCACTCTCTGGAGTCAATTCTATCAGGGTACTAATCCCATTCCTGAGGGCTTCCATGAATTAATCACCTCCCAAAGGCTCCATCTCTGAATAACATCACATTGGGGGTTAGGATATCAACAATGAACTTTGGGGAGGCACAGATATTCGGCCCATTGCAAATATATTTGTGCAAAGGAGATTCTAATAAATGTTGACTTGTTTCTGTATGTTAATCCAAAGCACGTTGTATTAGTCCGTTTTCACACTGCTGATAAAGACATACCTGAGACTGGGTAGTTTATAAGAAAAAAGAGGTTTAATAGACTCATAGTTCCATGTGGCTGGGGAGGCCTCACAATCATGGTGGAAGGTGAAAGGCACGCCTTACACGGCAGCAGACAAGAAAGAATCAGAGCCTAGCGAAAGGGGTAACCCCTTATAAAACCATGAGATCTTGTAAGACTTATTCACCACCATGAGAACAGTATAGGGGAAACCGCCCCCATGATTCAATTACCTCCCACTGGGTTTCTCCCATAACACATGGGGATTATTACAATTCAAGGTGAGATTTGGGTGGGGACACAGAGCAGAACCATATCACATGTTTTTGTATATTCTCTAATAAAATGAATAATAAATAGTTATAAATATATAAAAATATTTATATATTTTTGTATATATTTATAAATAAAATAATAAAAGATGAGTTATTTTATAAATTTGTTTTAAAAGAAAATTTTCTTTTAAAATATTTTCTTTTCTCCAAAAATATTGCATACCTATTAGATTATATACAGAAGCAAATTTGACCTTTCCAATTTTTTAAAGGTCTGTATGTGAAGAAAGAGAAGAATGCGATTTTTTAGGCTACTTTGAGCTATGCTCCCCAGAGTTCTTTAGGAAGCAATGGATTCTTCAAATTGGGCATCCTTAAAGCATCACAGTCATTTGCCTTCAACAATGCAGTGCTCATGGACATATGAAAGACATTTTAATGCAGTTTTACATGTGACAAGTTGAAAGCGTCTTCCAAGAGTTCCACCACACTGGTGCTGTCCACTCCATTGCTCGGGATTCTTTGCAGTGATTTTTGAGAGGTGTGGGCCTTTTCCTCTTTATGTGTCACGTGACTCCACAGATGCCTTTCCTGTGTCACCCGCAGCAGATATTACTTTCCCAATTAAAGTCCTTTTAAAGAATGGCTTTTCTCCAAAAGTGGAACTGAGGCCTTTTAGTGGTTTCTTGCTATTTTTGACACACATACATGTATGCATGCACACACACACACGCACACACACGTACACACACATGCAGATAGTAGCAGGTTTAAAGCTACACATTCCACATCAATTTCTCCCCATCCCTGGCTTCCAAGTGCACGGTTTGGTATTGCTGTCTGTGTTACACAGGTTATTGCTGCAATCCCATGTGCCGGTGCTGGTCAACACTGAAGAGCTGTGCCCGCACCTCATCTATTGTAAATCAGTGCCAGCCTTAGGGTAAATTACCTTCCTGGAGTGAGAACTGTAACCTGCTAATGCTGCTATGTAACAGTCTCAGCAATGTCTGACTCCTTCTTCGGAATGTTGTTATTGAATTAGGTGTTATCCAATGTCCACTTTTACACTCTCCCTTCTCTCTTTTCTGTAAAGAATTTGGTTGCATTGTTTGTCTCAAGGATGAAGAAAAATACCAATAAATACCACCAGCAACCTCCCCTGGCAGGTTCAGGACATAAGCTCCATAATCTGAATTTCCCTCCTATGTTTCATGAAGGTAGATGATGTAATCCCTATGTGATCCGCCTCAGGGCAGTCATGTTAAAGTGTGACCCACCTGAATTCTCAACTAAAATTTACCATACAAAAATAAGTGGAAGGTCACTTGCATTACGGAGAAGCAATTCTTAATATGACACTTATTTATTTAATAAGTACAGACTGAATCCCAGCTATGTACAAAGCAGAAAGTGATTTTTTTTTATTTATTTTATATTTATTTATTTTTTAGACAGGGTCTCACTCTATGGACCAGGCTGGAGTGCAGTGGTGTGATCATGCCTCCCTGCAACCTCAACCTCCTGTACTCAAATGATCCTTCCACTTCAGCTTCCCGAGTAGCTGAGTCTACAGGTGCATGCCACCATGCCCTGGCTAATTTTTTGCATTCTTTGTAGAGATGGGACTTCACCGCATTGCCCAGACTAGTCTCAAACTTCTGGGCTCAAGCGATCCTCCCGCCTCGGCCTCCCAACATGCTGGGATTTCAGGCTTGAGCCACTGCGCCCAACCAGGAGGTAATTTTAAAACTCACAAGCCACACTTCCTTTCTGTGAGAAGTTTGTAATTTAGGATGAAAACTAAGATGCTTAGGCTAATAATTAAAATGAAAGCCCATTACCGATTCAAAGTAAAATAGAAGTTAAGAAAGGCAGAGGCCACTTATGGTCAGTTGGTTAGGAAATAGTTGCTGGACGTGATACCATTGGAGTTGGGCTTGGAGAGTGGGGCTTAATTTCTGGCAGGACTAGAAGAGAAGGTTTTTTTTTTTGTTGTTTTTTGTTTTTGAGATGGAGTCTCGCTCTGTCGCCCAGGCTGGAGTGCAGTGGCGTGATCTCGGCTCACTGCAAGCTCCGCCTCCCGGGTTCACGCCATTCTCCTGCCTCAGCCTCCCGAGTAGTTGGTACTGCAGGCGCCCGCCATTGCGCCTGGCTAATTTTTTTTTTCTTTTTTTTTTTTTTTTTTGTATTTTTAGTAGAGATGGGGTTTCATCGTGTTAGCCAGGATGGTCTCGATCTCTTGACCTCGTGATCCGCCCACCTCGGCCTCCCAAAGTGCTGGGATTACAGGCGTGAGCCACCGCGCCCAGCCAAGAGAAGGTATTTAAAGTAGAGGAAAATGGGAAGAAGATGCAGTAGCTTGACCATTTAATGATGAAACCTAGTGCAGTTTGGCTACAGAATGTAAGTAGGACATAGCTGAGGTCTGTTGAGAAGCAATAATGGCCTGGGTTGGGGTGGTTTCTATGGAAATGCAAAGAAAAGTTAATTAGCTCACAGCGTGAGCTTAGTACATTCATCTCTCTGTATGTGTGGGGGATTGGTTTCGGGACCCCCAAGTATACCAAAATCCAGGCATACTCAAGTTCAGAAGTCAGCCCTATATAACCTGCATATAAAAAAAGGTTGTATACTTCAGTTTTCCATCCCTCAAATACTGCATTATCAAGCTACGTGTGGTTGAAAACAAATCTGTGTCTAAGTGGACTTGTGTACTTGAAATCCGCATTGTTCAGAGAGTCAATTGTATGTACATTGGAAGAGTGATTGCAGTAATGAATGCTATTTACTAATCTGATGTTCTGCCGTTCTATATGCTGGAAAGTAAACACATGATAAAATTTAAAATGTACAAAATGGGCCAGGCACGGTGGCTCATGCTTGTAATCCCAGCACTTGGGGAGGCCAAGGTGGGCAGATCACTTGAGGCCAGGAGTTTGAGACCAGCCTGGCCAACATGGTGAAACCCCATCTCTACTATTTTTAGTAGAGATGTTAAAAAATTACCCGGGCATGGTGGCACGCTCCTGTAATCCCAGCTACTCTGGAGGCTGAGGTGGGAGAATTGCTTGAACCCCGGAGGTGGAGGTTACAGTGAGCCAAGATTGTGCCACTGCACTCCAGCCTGGGTGACAGGGTGGGACTCCGTCTCAAGAAAAAAAAAAATGTTACTATTAATAATTCAAGAGATACATGTTAAACATCTTGTTTTGATTTTGTGGAATTTAACTACATCAATCGCCTGAAATATGGCCACAGAAATATTCTAGTATTATACCATATTTAGTGTACATAAACAATTCAAGTACTAGTCTGCTAGGGTCCCATAACAAAGTACTTCAGACTAGTGGCTTCAACAACAGAAATTTATTTTCTCACAAACCTGGAAGCTGGATTTCTGAGACCAAGGTGTCAGCGAAGCTGGACTCTCCTGAGGCCATTCTCTGTGTGTCTTTATAGGCCCACCCCTCTACATGTTCCTGCATCCTCATCTCTTCTTTTTGTAAGGACACCAGTCAGATTGGAACAGGACCCACCCATATGACTTCGTTTTACCTTAAATACCCCTTTAAAGACCCTATCTCCAAACACAGTCACATTCTGAGCAACTGGGGATTAGAAATTCAACACATGAATTTTGTGGGGACACATTTCAGCCGGTAACACTCCACACACTTGACTTTTCAAGTTTCTTATAATATTTTTAGTTCATAAATAGGATAACAGGAGATATATATATATATATATATATATACACACACACACACACACACACACACGTTTATATTTGGAAATAGGTGAGGCACAAAATTATAAATGGTAAGTAAAATACTGAAACCCAAGTCACCTTTACAAAGTTTAGGTGGCCAAGAGGTTGCATGTCAGTTTCTAGAGCCTCATCATGCCAGTATGCAGGTGGGTGGTCCCTTAGCTTCTGATAGAAAGAACATGGGCTCTGGAACTTTGTTTGGAAAGAACACGTGCTTCAGCACAACTTGCATTTAAGGCCAGATTCTGCTATTTACAAGCAGTGTGACTTGTCTGGCTCTGCTTCCTTGACATTCAAATGGAGACGATGACATCTACATCTGCGATTGTTATAATTGAGAAGATGCATGTAGAAAGCCCTAGGCTCCTAACTCTGCTTGTAAAGGTGAGATTCCTACATGGTGTGAATGAGGACACACTTCTGAATTTGATCTGTACATCAGGTGTCTGTTTTTTCCTTCCCATGGATATAGCTGTATATATAAATCTTAGTTGTCTTTTTTAAAGAAAACCCAAGCTCCTTACCATCTGGTCTCTGCACACCTTCCTTACCCCACCCAGCCCTCTGCTCACTATGCAGTGGCCACATGGGCATTTTTCTATTCCTTGGTGATACCCAGGTAATTCCACTTCAGGCTCTTTACACTGCCATCCCTTTGCCAGGCCCGGCTGTCCCTCCAGGTCACTCAAGTCCTGGCTAAGGGTCCTTCACTTACTATGTATTCTGAAGTCACCTCCCATCAACTCACCTATTTTATTTTCCTCTTAACTTTTTATCATATAAAATTATTTATTGATTTGCTTTTTATACCATTTGTCTTCCTCACCTTTCCCCACTGGAATGGCAGATCCATGAGGACAGCAGCTTCGCCTCTCTTATTCCCTATTGTAAACTGGAATAGTGCCTGAATTTGATACGCATGCAATGAGTACTTTTACAAGAAAATGTTATAAATGTGTAACAGCATTGAAGGGTATAAACTTCCTTCAGATAAATTTGGCAATACATATTAAAAATTAATACTGACGTCTGAACCAAAATTTCTCTTCGTCAGAATCCATTCCATGAAATGATTGAGGAAGTTTTTAAAAAGTTTAAGTGTGTTTATCATCAGTCAGTCAGGCTATGGTAATAACATCCTAATAGCCCGTCTTGCCTCTCTCTACTCTCCTTCTTTCATACTTCAGCCCAAAATACCTTTCATTCCCATTTTTAAAAATACACCAAAATGATCAAGGTTAAAAAGTCAAAAGTCTAATATAGTAGAAAACAATAGTTAGCTATTCCATCTTTTCTGAGCCCTTCCATGGGCAGGATTATTCAAACACAAGTTTAGTCTACTCACACTCTTTTTTTTTTTTTTTTTTTTTTTTTTTCTGTTTTTGAGATGGAGTTTCGCTCTTGTTGCCCAGGCTGGAGTGCAATGGCACGATGTCAGCTCACCGCAACCTCTGCCTCCCGAATTCAAGTGATTCTCCTGCCTCAGCCTACCGAGTAGCTGGGATTACAGGCATGCACCATCATGCCTGGATAATTTTGCATTTTTAGTAGAGATGGGTTTTCTCCATTTTGGTCAGGTTGGTCTCAAACCCCCGACCTCAGATGATCCACCCTCCTTGGCCTCCCAAAGTGCTGGGATTACAGGCATGAGCCACCATGCCCGGCCCACATTCTTTATGATTTTTGATATACTGAACTTCTTTTCACACCTTACTTTTGACTTCTATTTGTCACACTTTATCATCCTTATACATCCTTCTTTCTTTGTTTAATAAGTTTTTCTTTTTTACTTTTACTGTACTTACTTAGAATGTATATATTCTATTTCCATTTATTTAGATGTTACCTTGGAAATTTACCATGTACATTTAAATTAGCAAAAGTCTGCAATTAAGCAATAACCTAAGCACCTTCTTCCATGAAAAGCAAACAAAAAACAAAAGCAGGTTTTGGAGCATTTTGATTCTGAACACTCACCTCAAAACCTACATGCTTCTGGGCCAGGCACGGTGGCTGGGTGACAGAGCAGGACTCCGTCTCAAAAACAAAGAAACAATCAAACAAAACTTACATGCTCCTGTTGTTTTCTCTACTTCTATATATTTATTTTTTTTTAACCCAGATACTAGGTATTATTTTATTATTAGCTTATTCAGATGTTATTTCTTTGGATTTGCTTACTGTTTTATAATTTCATTTGTTCATTCTTACTTGGATCCCAAACCATCTTTTTAAGGTCGTGTTCCTTTTTCTTGAAGCATATCCTTTAGAATTTTCTTTATTTCAGGTTTCTTTGTGGCATACCCTCTCAGTTTTTGTTATCTTTACCCATCCTTGTTTTATCTTTTTCATAAAAGAGTATTTGGCTGGGCACACAATTCTGTACTGACTATATATTTTCCCTTTGTACTTTGGAGGTAAAATATCATTATCTTCTAGCTTTCATTAGTGCTGTTGGAAAGTCTGAAGTCATTTAAATTGTTTCCTTTTTGTAGGCTGTTTGTCCTTGCTCTATGGCTTCATTTAAGATCTCCTCTTTGTTTTTGATGTTCTGTAATTTTGTCAAAGTGTGTTTGGACACAAATTTCTTTTTATATATTCTGATTTTATTTATCTCAGTATATTGTACTTTTGGGATTTTTAATACATATTTTCTGATAGTTCTAAAAATTGTATCTTTTTAATGATTTTCTTTTATATTCCTGAGATTCCAGTTAGTTATCTATTTAGTCTTCTCATTCTGTATTTTATTTATCTTAGTGTCTCTTTCACATTCTTCATCACAATTCTATTTTTGTCTTACAAATAGATTATCTCCTGGAATTCTTAATGATGATGATGATGATTATTTTCGTTTTCTCCCGTTTTCTGAATTGTGTTTCATCCAACGTTTGTATTTTTATATTTGTTGCCTTGGTCTTCCTCCTTCATGATGCAAGCATTCCTTGAATATCTGATGGCTGTTGATTTCCATTTATATTAAAGATTGAGCAGATAGGAAGGAAACTTATATAAGTGGGCAAGGGTTATGGAATAGTCTTTGTTGCTTTATGATGTGCTGTTGTCTGAAGGTTTTCGGCTCCCACCAAATTTATATGTTGTAACCTAATCCCCAATGTGATGGTAGTAAAAGGTGCAGTCTTTGAGAGGTGATTAGGTCATAAGTGTGGAGCTCTCATCAGTGGAATTCGAGCCCTTATAAAAGAAGCCCAAGGGAGCTCATTGGCCCCTTCCATCATCTAGGGACACAGCATGAAGGCGCCAACTATGAGCAATGAACCCTCACCAGACACTGAACCTGCCAGTGCCTTGATCTTAGACTTCTTGGCCTCCAGAACTGTGAGAAATACATGTTGTTTATAAGTCATCCAGTCTATGGTATTTTTGTGAAAGCAGTCCAGCAGACTAAGATATAGTGAGAGAGATCGGTGCTTCAGAATCTGCTGACATCTTTTGGTTGCTGACAGCTTTTCCTGTTTTCTTTGCCATAATGATTTTCCCTCTTTTCTTAGCTCATTACTCTTATTTTAAGGAAGCTTAAAGGGAATATCAATAGCTCATTCTACCATCTTGAATTAAAAGCCACATGTAATTTTTTAAGAAGAACACTCTCATTATATTAATCTCTTGCTTGAAATATGCTCCTTGCTGCCCATTGCTCATAGAACAAAGACCAGGATCCTTACGTTGGTCCCCAAGGCCCTGAACAGCCTTCTCCCCAGAGAATTTCCACCTTCACCTTAAATCATGCTCCATCTGGCTTTCTGTGCTCTTTTCTCTTCTGCTAGTCCACAATGACTCCTCCTGTCTAAGGGATGTGCACACATCATATGCTCTCTGTCTGCAGGGCCTTTCTCCTTCCTCTGGCCCTCACAACCCCTGCTCCACAACTGCAACCTCCTAATAGATCAATTTACCCTCTTGTATTATCTCAGAGCATCAGAGATCTTCTTTGTAGTACTTATCAAAGTTGTGATTTTTCTTTCATTTCTATGACTATTTGATTAAATCTGTCTCATCCGCAAATAGAAGTGGGCAGCTGATCATAATCCTGAAAGACACAGTACCTAGAACACCATAATCTTGAATGTTGAAATCCTAGAAAGTCAAAATTTGCAAAGTCTAAAATCCTGAAAATAACAACACTGAAAGATCAAATCCCCAAATTATAATTCTGGAAGAAATAATATAAAAAATTATATTAGAGGTATTTATTTATATTTTTAAAGGGGGATTTATTGGAAAAACATAAAAACATCATCGAGAAACATGATAGGCCACTTTACACAATAAAATAAGCAATAATAACATAAATATTTTTGCAAGCATAAACACTCAGGTATACTAATGATAGTCACATGAGCATAACAGTTAGGAACAGACAGCACATATTCATAAAGAAACAGGCTAAAAAGGGAAATGTATAAATTCACATCACTATGGTTGGTTATTGTGTGCACCCAGCTTTCTAACTACAGTCGTCTGAAATACCATGATGAACAACCTTAGTCTTTTGACGAGTCAATCAAAACTGCAAAGGTTCGCCACCGCATTTGCAATCGCCCAAAGAACCAAGATCTCCAGAAATTGCATCTTTCACAGATACAAATGTACAAAAAGGACATCTCTTCATTTATTGAGGAAGTTCCAATGTTTATACTTTGAGAACCAGGGATGCCGACGATGTGTCTCTCAGTCCAAGGTTGAAAACCTCAGGATCCTGGGAGCTGCTGGTGTAAGTTCCTAGAGTCCAAAGGTTGGCGAACCTAGAGTTCTGATGTCCAAGGCAGCAGAAGAAACATCTGTCCCAGCTCTCAGAGAGAGGGATCTGTGCCTCAGAATCCGTTGTAAGCTTTTGTTGCTGACAGCTTTTTCCAATTTGCCTTCTGTATTTGTTCTTTCCTGGTGCCCAGCGAATTGGATGGTGCACCTGACAACATGGAAGGCAAATCTTCCTCACTTAGTCCACCCAGATTCATACGGTAACCTCTTCTGGAAATACCCTCACAGACACACTCAAAATAATACTTTACCAGGTTTCTAGGTATTCCTTCAGTTCTTAATCAAGTTAACACCTAACATTAAGTCCACTGGTGACCACATTAAGTCACTACTGGTCAACGTGGGTAACTTGGCACCCATATTCCTCGCCTTAAACCATGCTTAATAACAAGATGGCTAGATCTGCCTAACATGATGCAACTATTTTCTGATAGTGATTTTCAAGATTTTAGATATTAGGGATTTTAGGCTTTAGGGATTTGAACTTTGAGATTTTTGGTCTTTAGGGATTTCAATCTTTCAGGATTTCAATTTTTGGGATCATGGCATTTGTGATTGTGTCTTTTGGGATTATGATACAAACCCAACAAGGGGTCAGATTGGGTTTGAAAATGAGCAAAATTATTTTGTAAAAATTATAATTATATG
Source organism: Homo sapiens (assembly GCF_000001405.40). Lineage (NCBI taxonomy): Eukaryota > Metazoa > Chordata > Mammalia > Primates > Hominidae > Homo > Homo sapiens. The sequence continues at coordinate 40,774,978 of NC_000021.9, read as the reverse complement.
TTATATAATTATTACATAATAATTTTGCTCATTTTCATTCCTTAGTCTCCATGTAGTGAATGAATGCATAACTGAATGAGAGATGAATAATAGCAGTAAAGGACCTTGGATGGTTTATCTTATGCTATTTTTTGAGGATATTCAGGAGATCTTTGTTGAATCTGTTCCATGATCATGGTAAGATGTTTAAGCTGAATCTCAGACTCACCGAGATAGAAGTAAGTGATGATGAAGTAAGTGATAGAACTAAGTGATGATGAATGTGGCTTCCAGTATGAACATGACTTATTTATGTCTAATAATGTGTTCCATTTGTACAGAACTTTAGGCTTTTTAATATAGTTTCACATATTCAGATTAATTTTATCTTCATATTTTTATGAGACATTTTGTTGGTTCATTTAGATGAACTGGAATAAGACTGACTCATGTCTCTGCAGGTTATGAGACACATTTAGAAACGAAGATGCTAGGATCATCAACCACATGGCCAGGCAACAAAGAAGGAAAGGAACTGTCACTCATGTGTACCTTTCCGAAAGTGGAGCCTGGAAGGCTGTTTGAGCTCCCAGGCAGTCTGGAGCCCATGCTGTTCCATTGCTCCTTCATGTACAACCCACGGAGCTTCACCTGACCATTAACTTCACTCAGTTTGATTCCCAGCACACCAGCCTCTGTCTATGTCTCTCTCACATCACTTTCCACTATGAATTATGCTTGTTCTTCCCCTCTATCACTTCTATGCTCTTTCACTCTACATCTTTTATTAAAATCTCAGAGAGAGAGAAAAAAGATTGGTCTTAGGGCAGAACTCTCATAGTAACTAAGTCACAGGCCGCCTGTCCTGTATGATGTGGTGTGCAAAGCACTGTTGTCTTAAAGTGCTCTGGAAGCTCCCTTCTGGTTGTTGGACAGCATCTCAGCTAGCACTTCCCCTTGTTCCCAGTGGGGAAGCCTCAACCCAATTTCAGCTTCCCATGGGACCAATATCTTCCTTTTTCAGGGTAGGGGGGATGCATCTGAACCCAGCTTCTACTGTGTCTTCAAGGCTTCCGTATTCTGGGGATCTGGACTTTCCAAACAGTTGCTTCAAACAGCTGACATCTAAATTCATCCTGCCTGGTGCCCCGGTAGCTGGATTATTCCCTTACTTACAAGATTGCTCTCACACTTGCCTTGTTTAAAGGGCAGGCAGCCTAGCAGAGGGGAACTTCCCCTAGAATTCACAGCCACACTGCCTGCCCACCACAGTGTCTTGGCCCAAATGCCTTTCTATGGCATCAGAGGGAAAATCAGGGGCCTGTGCTTTCTTTTGCTTACTTACCTTGGCTTGTAGGCACTTTGCTGAAATGTGTTAGGTTGGTGTAGTGGGTTGAACAGTGTTTCCCAAACATTCGTGTTCTCCTGGTACCTCAGAATCTGACCTTATTTTGAAATAGAGTATTTGCAGATGTAATTAAGTTAGGATCTGGAGATGAGATCAGCCTGGACTTACTATAAGCCCTAAATCCAAGGACTGGTGTCCTTCTAAGAGAGAGGAGATGGAAATTTAGACATGAAGACACAGGGAGAAGAAGGCCATGTGAAGACGGAGGTAGAAATTGGAGTTGTGTGTCTACAAGCCAAAGTATGCCAAAGATTGCTGGCAGATACCAGAAGCTAAGAGAGGCATGGGAATTAACACTGCCTACATCTCAATTTTGGACCAAATTTCTATTGTTTAAAGCAACCAGACATGTGGAAGTTTGTTATGGCAGCCCTCAGAAATGTAAACAGCTGGGTTTCCTAGAAGTAGAACCTGAGAAGGGGGTTCTCGTGCGAGGGACTGATGAAGGATTGGTTGAACAAGGGTTAGGTGGGGAGCTGCGTAAGTCAGGGATGTGGTTTCAGCTGGGGACTGGCCTCTGTCTGACCTCACAGGCTGGCTCTGGCGCACAGAGCGCCCTGCAGGGATATGATCCACCTGTGGCAATAGGGCCAATGCTTTGACCCCTAGGTCAGCCAGTTACTGACTGTGGGCTGCTGGGAGTGAGCAATGCCTCCAGCAGGAGCTGCTTTTTATTTGACAGAAGACAGCTCTCCGGGACAGGGTCCACCACCGCGGCGATTATGGCAATCGTTATTTCTTAAGGCAAATCCTGTGAAGTTATGGAATTTGTTACGGGCCCTGGTCCATAATGGTGGCAGCCACGAGAGGACGTGATTTGCGTGAGTAACACCCACAAAGGGAACCACGTTGCACAGCACAGCAGATGCCCACCATTCCGGCAGTTATCTGTATTTGGGAAGGGGGAGGTTGTATGATACAGAGAGGAAGAGGGAATTTGGCTGGGGAGGCCACCAAACCAAGACAGGCAGTTGGACATGGGCAGGGCTCCTGCTGAGGGAACTAAGACAGTTCCTAAAACTGCCTGAGCTCTATGCAGAGCCACCCGCAGCAGGAGGTATAGGACACAGGTCTGACATGCCTATAACTGAGAGGAAAGAGATAGGCAATAACCATTAAATCAGGCTGGGCACAGTGGCTTATGCCTATAATCCCAGCACTTTGGGAGGCCAAGATGAGTGGATCACCTGAGGTCGGGAGTTCGAGACCAGCCTGGCCAACATGGTGAAACCCCGTCTCTATTAAAAGTGCAAAAATTAGCCAGGCACGGTGACGGGTGCCTGTAATCCCAGCTACTCAGGAAGCTGAGGCAGGAAAATCGCTTGCACCCAGGAGGTGGAGGTAGCAATGAACCAAGATCACACCATTGCACTCCAGCCTGGGGGAAAAGAGCAAATCTCCATCTCAAAAAGAAAAAAACAGAAACAAATCACTTTTTAAACCTATTACTAGCAAAACATTTAAAAACAGAAGCTAGAAGTATGTGTTGACACAATAGCACATTTTATCAGCCCTTATTATGAAAATTCTGTGTCAATTCCCGTCCACCTGACTTTGAAGTTATCAGCATGTGTAGCAAAAGTGAATATGTTTCATGGCCTCTTTCCCATGAACGTATTCACATTTTATGAAATAATAAAATTCGCATAAAGATTACATCATAAACTCCAGTCTCCATTTTCCCCTCTTCATTGTATGCGACATACGCACGTTCCCTGAAAATAAAATGTGCGTGTAAAATTAACTGGCTATTTTAGGTTGAGTTCCCAGTGTACCTATTTGGAATGCCTTTCCAAGTCAAAACAGGTTTTGAGGCTGTAACAATAGCATCACAAATAAAACAAGTTGGATTCAGAGTTTTACCTAAAGTAATTGGGAGTAAAAAAGGAATTGTTCAAGGTTCCCCACTATATCTTCATACTTCCTTTCGCTGGCTCTTGATTTACTTAGAGATGCAGTTAAGATGGAAATGAGCCATGCCCAGAGGGATGGAGAAGGCAGAGTGAGTGAGTTCCGGTGTTGCTTTTATGAACCACGCAAGTGCTCTTTGCAGAAACCTGGTCCGGAAGCCTTCCCCCGTGTAGGTGCGGAGAGGAGAAATTGCTCACAGTCTGAAGGAATAGCATGCACAAGAACACATTTTCAAGGGGTTCTGCTTTCAAAACTCCACCTTTCGGGAAAAATGTAAAAGGTGCTTTGAGATGACCTTCACTCTTGTTTATTCCCAATACTCCCTCCTCCATCCGTTTCAATCATTGCAGCTCAGAACTGCGTTATGACAGCAGCCTGAAGAGGAACCCAGGCCTGCCTTATAGGACACCCAGCCCATGGCCTGCTCAATGAAAATACCTGGTAAAATGGGCAGCATGGTTCTATGCTAATGAAAGCTCGTGCCCTTAAGTGGCTTTCTGTCCCTCATGTGGGCTGGGTGGCCTGTCTCCCACTGCGTGAAGCCTACAGCTCTTTACACTGCCCAACTCTGTTTCTTGGTTTAGTTTGACTCTGCAGCTACCCTTGGGCATGCCCTGGAGTCCGGCAGCCTGGGGGTGCTATGCCATGTCCAGGCTGCCTCGTGTTTACCATGATCCCCTTGGCTGCTTTCTTTCTTTCATTCTAAATCTCCTGGAAGTTTCCAGAAGAAAAGACTGCCAACTTCTCACCTTGGCACCCTTTCTACCTCTTCTGTTTTTGCATTTTACTTTTACTTTCAATATGCCTCTGCATCTGTTTAGTAACAACTAAAAAGTTTTCCTAGCTAGGTTATGACTATCTCAGGCTTTGAAGCTCTGTTCTTCTTACCAGCCACATGGTTAGGGCTGCCTAACTAACCTTTCTGTGCCTCAGTTTTTTTCATCTGGAAGATGGGGATCCCATAATAACATTCGCCTCCTGTAGGGTTGTTGTGACAATTAAGTGAGTTTTCACACAAATAAGGTTTAGAGCTGCACCTGGCCATTTGCAGGTGCTGAGTGTTAGCTGTAGTTTCTTTTTCTACACCCCCAACTGTTCTGAAAGACGGTAAGGGCTGTGAGCCCTGACTTGGCCGTTATCAGCAATTTTGACAATATTGCATTCTTTTTCCATGGAAAAAACTCGAATAACTCTTACAGATGAGTTTCAAAGTCAATACAAGATCATCACTGTATTCTACAGTTCCAGACTTGGGTGCAGTATTGGTGCCTAAGCTGGCCAATTTCCTAGCCATTGGAGGTGTGAGTCTCACGGCACTACTTTAATACTTTGATGCTGAGATGCCAATAGAGAAAGAAAATATTGAAAAGTTGAGAAACTGATTCTGAATTTGGTTTTTATATTTTGATAAAAATGAAGAGAAACTAAAAGAATTTAAGGAGACCAGTCTTTTAAGAAATGTTCAAGTCTACTTTTTGTTTTGTCTAGGGAAGAAATGAAGACCAGTTATACAGCAACTCCCTTTTGTTTTTAGGAAGATAATTGGATATAATTTTGAGAATGTTCCTTGGTTTAACCTCGGGGAAGAGTTCAGTGTTATTGTTAAAGAAAAAAAAATGACCTTTGATAAGGCAGTAAGGCAGACTTTATTCAGAGCCATAGAGACCCTGCAATTGCATTTTGAAGTGGGCGAGAGAGATTGGGCACAATTCCAAATACAAAAAACAAATGGGAGTTTATAGCCAGGTAGTGAGGTGGGGATCAGTGGATGGAATATTATTTACAGGAGACATCAAGGGTAAGGGGCATTCTGGCTACATCACCTGAACATGACTCTTGCTGAACACAGACCAGGGTGATCAGACAACCACCTGGGGGTTGGTGAAGGAGAAACCTGATCAGATAGTTAGGGTGATCAGATACCCAGGATAGCCAAACTAAGCAGGATTCTTGCTAAAACTGGAGAAGGCAGAGACAAGAAAAAATGCTCCAAAGTCAGGGCTTAGTTGAGAAGAGCTTAGAGAGGGGCCTGCCTAAAGTCTGGTCAGGGAAAGAGTCTGTCGTGATACACAGTTAAGCACAAGACTCTTGGCAGATGCTATGAGATCCACCTCTCCAGGGATGGTTGAAGGAGGCTGGCTTGGATTTGGGACTCTCTGAAAGGGCTCTCACTGTGAAGACAGCAGGATGCTGACAATACCCACCTGTGTCCACCACAGCATGCAGGCCTCATCTACTTCTCCACCCACCTGTGTCTGCCACAGCATGCAGGCCTCATCTCCTTCTCCCCATGGGTGCAGCACAGCTGGCCAGCTTTGAGGTTGGGGTCATCTGTGGGTCTCTGACCAGAGCTCCCACATTCCCTAAATGGAAAATGAAACCTGAGAATTTTCTGTGCTGCACCATCTTTGCTAGAATACTTGGCTCAGGACCAACTATCAAGAATATGAGAGAACAAGTAGTGTATCACAGAGATGTAAGTGTCAATCCTTGTTCTGGAATGTTCCCTGCAGTGGGGATTCAGCACAGATCATGGCCACTTATAGCCTTGGGAAGTGAGAGCAGAGGGTTGGGGAAGGGCCCCCATGAGCCTTTCAGGTCTAGACTCTAGTGGATTAATAGGAGCAGACATCCCCAGCTGCCCTCTAGAGATAGTTCTAATATTTTAGTCACCATACTACTTCACCCTGACATCAAAGGACGTCTTCAATATGCATCTCTTTGATAATCTCCCCTCTTGGGTGAATTTCAGCCTGTCTCAATTGGGCCTCCACCTTCCTTTTCAAAGAAAATGCCTTGTTTTTTCCTCTTGTTCTATAAGATCTTCCATACCCCTATGCTATATCCGAGGTCTGGTGCTCAACTTCTGTTCTCAGTAACTACTGGCTTTTGTTTCTAACTTTCACTACAATTACAATCAACGCAAGCTTTGGGAAGCCTGCTTTTACCTTGAAGCACTTCCACATCAGGAGGTCTGAGTGCAGAGGTGCTCCTTACAACAGATGGATTGCTGCACTTACCGGGGAAAGGCCATCCTGTGATGTTCACCAAAACTAACAAACACCTGGAAATGGGAATTGTGTTTAATGAAAATAAACTGAAGCTGGCTTCGTTCATTATACCCAAAATATTAGCCATCTCTAATCTTTTCCTCACAGGTTATGCCCTGCAGGAATTACTGGGAGGGATAGAGAAGAATGCTTTCGGTTAGTGAAAGACAAGCTGTAATTGTTGGGAGCACTGGATGAGAAAATGCACATAAAATCACTTGGAAACTTGGATTAGCATGCAGGACAGATAGGTTCTGAAGCTCTTCCCAGAATTATCACACTGCAGCCCCTCAGGGTGGGGGTGGGGGGAGGGGTGTCACCGTAAGGTAATGAGGCAGGTGGGAAGGCCACCTGTCTTGGCTCAGAGCCACTGGGGTGCCATCTGGGTGCAATTCAGGCAGGGGGTGACTGGCCACCTGTCCTGGCTCAGAGCCACTGGGGTGCAATCTGGGTGCAGTTCAGGCAGGGGTGACCATGTTTTCTTTAATGAAGTTATAGCCTATGCTATGTGAAATACCTGGATGATTCCCTAAAATCGACTTTAACAGTGTTTGCCTATATTAGTCAACTTTAGAGTGTTTTATAAGTAGTTTTCCACTTAATCACATTCATTATTCTTGATTTTTTTTCTTTTTGTCCCTGTCACTGAACATTTGCATATGTAGACAAAATAAAATGCTGTATATCTCATAGTGAAACCATGTAACATGCACACACGCACACACACACAGGGAGAGAGAGAAAGAGAGAAAATGGTGAGCCATGTATCAATGATCATAACTGACTAAACTGGCAATGTTAAACTACTGCGGGTTCTACCTCTCAAAGATCCTGAATGTCACAGGTGGCACCATCCGTAGAAATGGTAATTCATCCCGTCAATTAGCTGTGATGCTCAGGACCAAATGTTAGCAAGGCTGGGATTAATAGCAAGTGATCATTTGCATCTGGCATTCAATTGGGAGCTGCCATGAGATGCTCCCACCCTGGGGTCTCTGTTCTAAATATACGACAGGCTGATACTTTGCAGGAAGGTTCATTCTCAAACATAAATAGCACACATGGTCTTTGCATTTTGCCTCCCATCCTAGCTGGAGAAGCTTATTTTGTATGTCATCCTAAAGGTCAACTTTCTCACGCTAAAAAAGAAAATGGGCATCAGGCGAAGGTGCAGGGAGCGCAGAGAATGCTCAGTGCAGCAGCTGGTGGTTGTCCTGTACCTGCTTCGTGCTTGTCTGTGTGTTTTGCCCAAAGTGATGTGGGCCCGAAGTTACTGCCAGGATCTGTCTGTGCCCTAGTTTTGCCCAATTCTCACGTCACCAATTCTACGACCCTTATTTCAGATTGAAATTTTTTCATGTGAGACCCACTACCTGAAGAAGGCAACCCTGCTTACTTACTCTAGTAGGAAAAGGAATGCTGGTTTTCTCAGAGTGAAACTATTTAAAATCTTACCCCTTATTTTTCCAAACACACCCCTCCCACAGTGCTCCTAACATGTTTTAGTTGACAATTAAACGTCTTTGTGAATTAGTTTTTTTGTTCCCTGTTCCACATTTCCCCTACCCATAAGGCTTACGTATTTCCTGTAAAGCAAGTACCCTTCTTTTAAAACAAAGAACCATGAAATTAAGAAAGGTTTTTTGGCTGGACACGGTGGCTCATGCCTGTAATCCCACCACTTTGGGAGGCCAAGGCGGGTGGATCACCTGAGGTCAGGAGTTCGAGATCAGCCTGGCCAACATGGTGAAACCCCGTCTTTACTAAAAATATAAAAATTAGGCATGGTGGCATGCACCTGTAATTCCAGCTACTTGGGAAGCTGAGGCAGGAGAATCACTTGAACCTGGGAGGCGGAGGTTGCAGTGAGCTGAGATTGCACCACTGCACTCCAGACTGAACAACAGAAAGAGACCCTGCCTCAAAAAAAAAAAAAAAGTTGTTTTTTTTTTTTTTTTTTTGGAATTGTTGTTTTGTCTTTTTAAAAACATTAGTGATGGTGACCAAAACTTGGAACTTGGAAGCTGTCAGTTGGGTGAGGCTTTCCAGGCTGTGTTTTCTCCATCTGATGCTCTTCTAGCAAGCATTTTCTTTCAGTAAAACTCCCAGGGGAAAAGAATGTGAAATAACTACTTTGTAAATGATACCAAGCCTCAATGTTAATGTTCAGTATTGATATTGAATGTCTCTCAGCATTTTAGTTAGTTATGTGTCATCTTCCCTTAGGTTTAAGAATGTCATATATCAGCTATCCTGTTAAGGATATGTATTTAATCCTTTGAAAATATATATATATATACACACATACCAAATACATATAAAATTGAAAGGCTCTGTTTTATATTTTTATGTATGGGGAAAATGGGGAGAATTTCAACTTACTTTGTAATCGGGTCCTAACAGTTCATGATTTTTAATAAGTAGCAATCTTACCAGCAGTGCTTTCCCACCGTAGATTTAATTAGTCTTTCTTCCCCCACCCCCAACCCCTTTTGCTAGTTGACGGAGCTGAGAGGAGGGAAACGGCCGCAATTTGAAACCTTGTTAGAAATTTATGAAGTGCTAAAATGTTTTATTCCCAGAGGCTGGCTTGCCAGCTGTCACGAGCTCCCTGCCTGCCTCCGCGGCTGTGATAGCAGGGGTAAGAGGGAGGCTGCCAGAGCTGCACAGGGTGGGGAAATGCCATTCCCATCAGCAGCACAGGGCGGAGGTCAGCTCCTCGTTCTCCTGCAGCTGACCAGCCACATGTGAGATGAGAATTCAGGGGATCTGGAGCGGGCATCGGAGCCCTAGAGTAAGACCCTTTGCGGCTGTTGATAACAGGCACTGATCGCTGATCATGCAATGAGACGTCAGCTTTGGTTATAGAAATTAAACAACCATTCTGTTGGTGGCCTCAAACAGATAATTGGCCTCTTACTAGCAAAATGTCCCTGAACTAATTTTTTCTGGAGGAAACACCTTCTCACAAATGTTACCAGGTGTGAAGGATGTTCTTCCCGGGGTCATAGCCTACCTGCAATGACTCTCTGTGTCCCCATCCCTCCCCCATTGCTTCTATGATGCCTGGAATGTGTCTCTCAGGAAACAAAGTTTAAAAAAATTTTTTTTCTTTGGTCCTTGAATGGAAATATCACTTGCACACTGTGGTCATAGATACCCCAGAGAATAAACAATTCATAATAAAGGTGCAAATCACCCACGTTAGATGCTGAGCTGGAGGAAGTGCTAAGTCTGACATGATGGAGACCAAAAGGCCCCACGGAAGCAGAGGAGGAGGAGGAAGTGCCTCCTCCAGGGCCAGGGGCTGGGCCAGGCAGTGCCTTCATGATTTGCCTCCAAGTTGCTCTGCGCAAGGAATTGGGCATGGAAGAAGGAGCCAGAGACCTCAGAAATCTTCATGGCAATGACATTGGTTAGGAAAGTATGCCCTCAGCACCCTCTCCTACTTCCTCTGCCTCTCCAAACCAACAATTATAGTAAGTACTTTTGGTTCCACAGAACTTTCTGACAAGTTCTTTTTTTTTTTTTCTGTGATACATGTGCAGAATGTGCAGGTTTGTTACATAGGTACACATGTGCCATGGTGGTTTGCTGCACCTATCAACCCATCTCGGTTTTAAGCCCTGCATGCATTGGGCATTTTTCCTAATGCTCTCCCTCTCCTTGCCCTCCACCCCCTGACAGGCCCCGGTGTGTGATGTTCCCCTCTCTGTGCCCCTGTGTTCTCATTGTTCAACTCCCACTTGTGAGTGAGAACATGTGGTGTTTGGTTTTCTGTTCCTGTGTTAGTTTGCTGAGGATGATGGTTTCCAGCTTCATCCATGACCTTGCAAAGGACATGAACTCATTCATTTTTATGGCTGCATAGTATTCCATGGTGTATATGTGCCATATTTTCTTTATCCAGTCTATCATTGATGGGTATTTGGGTTGGTTCCAAGTCTTTGCTATTGTAAATAATGCAGCAATAAACATACATGTGCATGTGTCTTTATAGTAGAATGATTTCTAATCCTTTGGGTATATACCCAGTAATGGGATTGCTGGGTCAAATGGTGTTTCTGGTTCTAGATCCTTGAGGAATCGCCACACTGTCTTCCATAATGGTTGAACTAATTTACACTCCCACCAACAGTGTGAAAGTGTTCCTATTTCTCTGCATCCTCACCAGCGTCTGTTGTTTCCAGACTTCTTAATGATCACCATTCTAACTGGCTTGAGATGGTATCTCATTGTGATTTTGATTTGCATTTCTCTAATGACCAGTGATGATGAGCTTTTTTTCATTTTTTTTTTTTTTTGGCGGCATAAATATCTTCTTTTGAGAAGTGTCTGCTAATATACTTGACCCACTTTTTGATGGAGTTGTTTGTTTTTTTCTTGTAAATTTGTTTAAGTTCCCTGTAGATCCTGGATATTAGCCCTTTGTCGGATGGGTAGATTGCAAAAAATTTCTCCCATTCTGTAGGTTGCCTGTTCACTCTGATAATAGTTTCTTTTGCTGAGCTGAAGCTCTTTAGTTAATTAGATTCCATTTGTCAATTTTGGCTTTTGTTGCCATTGCTTTTGGTGTTTTACTCATGAAGTCTTTGCCCATGCCAATGTCCTGAATGATATTGCCTAGGTTTTCTTTTAGGGTTTTTATGGTTTTAGGTTTTACATGTAAGTCTTTAATCCATCTTGAGTTAATTTTTATATAAGGTTTAAGGAAGGAGTCCAGTTTCAGTTTTCTGCATATGGCTAGCCAGTTTTCCCAGCACCATTTATTAAATAGGGAATCCTTTCCCCATTGCTTGTTCTTGTCACGTTTTCCAAAGATCAGATGGTTGTAGATGTGTGCTGTTATTTCTGAGGCCTCTGTTCTGTTCCATTGGTCTATATATCTGTTTTGATACCAGAACCATGCTGTTTTGGTTATGGTAGACTTGTAGTATATTTTGAAGGCAGGTAGCATGATGCCTCCAGCTTTGTTCTTTTTGTTTAGAGTTGTCTTGGCTACACAGGCTCTTTTTTGATTCCGTATGAAATTTAAAGTAGTTTTCTCTAGTTCTGTGAAGAAAGTCAATGTTAGCTTGATGAGAATAGCATTTAATCTATAAATTATTTTGGGCAGTATTGCCATTTTCATAATATTGATTCTTCCTATCCATGAGCATGGAATGTTTTTCCATTTGTTTGTGTCCCCTCTTTTTTCTTTGAGCAGTGGTTTGTAGTTCTCCTTGAAGAGGTCTTATCGCATCCCTTGTAAGTTGTAATTCCAGGTATTTTATTCTCTTTGTAGCAATTGTGAATGGGAGTTCACTCATGATTTAGTTCTCTGCTTGTCTATTATTGGTGTATAGGAGTGCTTGTGATTTTTACACATTGATTTTGTATCCTGAGACTTTGTTGAAGTTGTTTATCAGCTTAAGGAGTTTTAGGGCTGAGATGATGGGGTTTTCTAAATATACAATCATGTCGTCTGCACACAGAGACAATCTGACTTCCTCTCTTCCTATTTGAATGCCCTTTATTTATTTCTCTTGCTTGATTGCTCTGGCCAGAACTTCCAATGCTATGTTGAATAGCAGTGGTGAGAGAGGGCATCCTTGTCTTGTGCCAGTTTTCAAAGGGAACGCTTCCAGCTTTTGCCCATTCAGTATGATATTGGCTATGGGTTTGTCATAAACAGCTCTTATTATTTTGAGATATGTTCCATCAAGACCTAGTTTATTGAGAGTTTTTAGCATGAAGGTGTTTTGAATTTTATCAGTCCTTTTCTGCATCTGTTGAGATAATCATGTATTTTTTGTCATTGGTTCTGTTTATTGATTTGTGTATGTTGAATCTGCCTTGCATCCCAGGGATGAAGCTGACTTGATCATGGTGGATAAGCTTTTTGATGTGCTGCTGGATTCGGTTTGCCAGTATTTTACTGAGGATTTTTGCATCGATGTTCATCAGGGATATCGGCCTGAAATTTTCTTTTCTTGTTGTGTCTCTGCCAGGTTTTGGAATCAGGATGATGCTGGCCTCATAAAATGAGTTAGGGAGGAGTCCCTTTTTTTCTATTGTTTGAAATAATTTCAGAAGGAACAGTATCAGCTCCTCTTTGTACCTCTGGTAGAATTTGGCTGTGAATCCGTCTGGTCCTGGGCTTTTTTGGTTGGTAGACTATTGATTTACTGCCTCAATTTCAGAACTTGTTATTGGTCTATTCAGGGATTCATCTTCTTCCTTGTTTAGTCTTGGGAGGGTGTATGTGTCCAGGAATTTGTCCATTTCTTCTAGACTTTCTAGTTTATGTGTGTAGAGGTGTTTATAGTATTCTCTTATGGTAGTTTGTATTTCTGTGGGATCAGTGGTGATATCCCCTTTATCATTTTTTTATTGTGTCTATTTGATTCTCCTCTCTTTTCTTCTTTATTAGTCTATCTAGTGGTCTATCTATTTTGTTAATCTTTTCAAAAAACCAGCTCCTGGATTCATTAATTTTTTGAAGGTGTTTTCATGTGTCTAACTCCTTCAGTTCTGCTCTGATCTTAGTTATTTCTTGTCTTCTGCTAGGTTTTGAATTCGTTTGCTCTTGCTTCTCTAGTTTCTTTAACTGTGATGTTAGGGTGTTGATTTTACTTCTTTCCCACTTTCTGATGTAGGCATTTAGTGCTATACATTTCCCTGTAAACACTGCCTTAGCTGTGTTCCAGATATTCTGGTACACTGTATCTTTGTTCTCATGGGTTTCAAAGAACTTGGTTATTTCTGCCTTAATTTTGTTATTTACCCAGTAGTCATTCAGGAGCAGGTTGTTCAGTTTGCATGTAGTTGTGCGGTTTTGATGCTCTACATGTTTAGAGAAACTTCTCTAGTAATGAACTATAGAAATGATCCCTGAAAGTACTCTTCTGATAAGTTCTTTTTTAAAAAAGTAAACGTACCAGGGCACTCTCTAATTGGGATCGTTTCTCTCTGTATTAGTTTGTTAGGGCTGTTAAGAAAGCATCACAAACTGAGAGGCTTGAACAAGAGAAGTTTGCTCTGTCTTGCAGTTCTGTAGGCTCCAAGTCCAAGATGAAGGTGTCAACAGGGTTGTTTTTTTTCTGAGAGCTGTGAGGGAAAGATCTGTTCCAGTCCTCTCTCCTTAGCTGGTGGATGTCTGTATTCATGATCACATGATGTTCTCCCTGTAGTACACATCTGTGTTCAAATATAAGATGAGAGATGGAGGGGTGGAGGAGAGAAAAAAAGAGGGAGGGCGGGAGGGAGAGAGAGAGAGATGCTATGTTGTTGGCTTTGAAAATAGAGGGGGGGCCATGAGCCAGGAAATACATGTAGATTCTAGAAGCTAGAAAAGATAAGGAAACAGACTCTCTCCTAAAAACATTTGATAACAGGTACCGAGCTGGGAGACTTGGAGCAGATAAGAGCTGTACTTAGATTTAGCAAAACTGCATCTTCGTGATGAGCCAGACTCAAGGATGATAAAGTCCACTACTTGGAAGGATCATGGATGCAGCCTTGGGTTTAACTTGAAGTCATTCACTGAGTTCAGATACCAGACTGACTCTTTCCATAAGGAATTGCCTGGTTAGGTGAGGGTAGAAATTCAACAATGACTGTTGCATTCCAGAAGAAGGAAGGCAAAGAGCCAAACTCCAAGTTGTGCTTTGGGAATGTTGTGATTATAAGTAAGTGCATCAGCTCCAGGCTCCCCAGTGTCACATGCACACACTATGGGGACTGATCGTGTTGATTCTCAGTGAGGTGTCTTGGGGACCCTGTCCCAGCTGGGAAGGTAGGGATGTATTAGAAGGCTTGGTGCCAGGTGCAGAAAGGGGAAGATTCTGGAGGCCAGGCACAGTCCATGAGCTGTAGCCAGAGATATGGCATGAGAATAACATCTAACTTCCCAGAAAAACAGCACAGCCAAGCCAGGCATCAGTCAAGGATCACAGGAGGAGAGATTTGCAGGAAAGCAAGGTTCCTCTACCTGGGTGGCAAAATGCCACAGCTGCTGAGGCTTCCTTGACTCTTGCCTGCTTGAAACTGGCAAAGCAGTGACTGCTGGTGGCTATGAATGCTTGTTAAATGGCCCATTCTTACTCCCTGACTGGCCTGTGCCCAGGACCTCTGCAGTTGGATAGAAAGACAGTGTCTCTAGGGTAAGGCAGGTCAGAATCAAACACAAATTCCACTCAGTATGACCTGTGGCTCCTGTGCAAGCTAACGTCACCCTCTCAGCCTCAGTTTCATGATGTAAAAAACAGGAGGAATTCTGAAATATTTGAAGCAGCTGTGAAGCAAGGGCCAATTGAATCAATAAATGTGAATGTGGCTGGGCGTAGTGGCTCCTGCCTTTAATCCCAGCACTTTGGGAGGCCATGGTGGGCAGATCATGAGGTCAAGAGATTGAGACAATCCTGGCCAACGTGGTGAAACCCCGTCTCTCTCTACTAAAAACAATAAAAATGAAAAAAAATTTCAAAAATTAGCTGGGTGTGGTGGCATGCACCTGTAGTCCCAGCTACTCGGGAGGCTGAGGCTGAAGAGTTGCTTGAACCTGGGGGGTGGAGGTTGCAGTGAGCCAAGATCCTGCCACTGCATTCCAGCCTGGTTGCAGAGCAAGACTCTGTCTCATAAATAAATAAATAAATAAATAAATAAATAAATAAATAAATAAATAAATAAATGTAAACGTATCCAATACAGCTCCTGATTCTTCATGGAGGCAAAAAGATGAATGCCCCTCTCGTCACCTCCCCCTTTTGATGTGTGGAGGGCGATGGCTGCATTTTCATCTGGGACAGTGATGGAGATAGAAGGCGGCAGTGAGGAAGGAAAAGGAGGGAAGCAAAGACTGGCACCCCAGGCTGTGCAATGACTGCTGCCAGGGGCAGGCTCATGGGATGATGGCAGGAGGGATGGGGAGCTGGCTTTGAAGTCCTGGACTGAAGCCAGAATGGTTCTCATGCTCCCGTAGCAAGTGCTCCGAGGCCAGCCCCAGCAATCAACCCAACTGAGGGCAGCACAGAAGAGTCTGGACAGCCCACTCCCCGCCGTATTGATGTGCATAATTAGCCTGCAGGTGCACCTTGACTGGGGGACAGAGAGATAGGCAGGCCAGCTGGCAGGCTGCCCCCAGGGATATGGGTATTTATCCATGATCAGAAGGGCACAAGCGAGTCACGTGCACTTTAAAGATCATTCAGTTGGTTTTTTTATTCAGGCTTAAAAAGATGTAATCCAGCCTGAAAAGATTCCAGGGGCAATGAGGAATTCAAAGCAGAGCCGGCTATTAGGTGACCATGATGCTTGGAGAATGTGGGGGCAAGGAGGAGTCCTGATGCATGGGGTCATGGAGAGTGGTGGGAGTGAGATGGGCACTCAGGATAGGCTTGGAGCACGTGGGAGGCTGAGAGCCTGGGGACTGTGGAATCCAACCTGGAATCCTCTTGGATGGACTGGGAGACTCAATGCCAAGAGATGAGACAGGATGGGACTAAGAGCAAAGGCCCCAGGCTGGGAGGAGCTATGTGTCCCTTCTCTCTACCCTTCTCTCCCTCTCCTTTTTGTGCCTCCTCACTACCCCATTTCACACCCCTTCCAGGCAGCCTTGTGCAGTCCGGATCCCTGTACTCTAAGGATTGTCACAAGCATACTTGCGTTCTTTATTTATGATGATCTATTAACAAGAATAAATGGTTGTGGGTCAGATAAAGGGCTAAAAATCAAAAGTCATCCTTAACATCTTTAAGATGCTACTATGTATCATCTGTCAGGGCATGAGGGTCTTCATCAGGCCCACTAAAGAATCCCATTTCTCTTGAACCAAGTGTGTCATGACTGGGAGGAAGACAAGACCATTTGGGGTGTGAAGTTTTGGGCTAGAGGCCCTTTTAGGAGCCAGGTTAGCCCCCAGCTTCCCCAAGAAACCAAGCTGCCCCCCTCATCCTCGCCTAAGCAAGCAGCTGATGACAAAACCGGAGTTGGCCTGAGGGGTTCAAAGGAAAACCATAAATAGACCCCCCAAAATAAGAAAATCATGTAACTAAATTCTTTCCACTTTATGCCAGCAGTCACCACACCTCCTGTCCTCTGTATCTCAGTTTTAGGTCTTTTTTTTTTTTTTTTTGAGACAGAGTCTTGCTCTGTCGCCCAGGCTGGAGTGCAGTGGCACCACCTCGGCTCACTGCAAGCTCCGTCTCCCGGGTTCACGCCATTCTCCTGCCTCAGCCTCCCAAGTAGCTGGGACTACAGGCGCCTGCCACAGTTTTAGGTCTTTATTCTGTGTTCCTCTTTATTTTTTTCCCAGTCCCTTTTTCTGCATCTCTCAGAATATACACTAATGTCCTAGGACAGCCGTAACAAAGTGCCACACATTGGGTGGCCTAAAACAGGAGGAATTTATTTTGCCATAGTTCTAGAGGCCAGAAGTCTAAAGTCAAGGTGTGAGCACGGTGGTCTCCCTCTGAAGCTCCTGGTGGGAGTCTGCTTCGCCTCTCTCTGTGGCTGCTGGTGGCTGCCTTCTCAGTCCCTGTTGTCATATCTATCATACCGTGTTCTCCCTGTGGGTCTGTGTCTGCCTCTCTGGGTCTTTGTCCAGATTTTCCTCTTCTTATAAGAAAACCAGTCATTGAATTAGAGATCATTGTAATCCAGTATGACCTCATCTTAATTTGATGACATCTACAAAGTTCTTATTTCCAAATAAGGTCACATCCACGGGTACTGGGTGTTAGGACTTGAACTTACCTTTTAGGGGGACACGATTCTGTCCACTGTGATGGATATACGTGTATTCCCCCACATGAAACAGTACTCCACACATAGGGAGGATTCAATCGAGACTTGATGCCAAAACTTAGTGGCCCAAAGTGGCAAACATTTATGATTTCTCATGATTCTGTGGGGGCAGCTGTGCAGCTCTTCTAGTAAGGAGAGGCACTCTCTTGATTCTCTTAAGTGTCTGGGCTTCAAATCGGATGGCAGGCACAACTGGGCCTCAGCACATGCTCTTTACCCTCTGGTGGACTAGCCTAGCCTAGTACTCGGGTGGTGGACCCATGTCCCAGGAAGCCACAATGCTCATGCCCTTCCCAACTGCTTGCATCACATCTGGCAATATTCCTGTGACTAAAGCAAGTTGCATGGCCAACTCCAGATTGAAGGAGTAGAGAAGTCAGGGGAGCAGCCAAGTCACGTTGCACAGGACATGCATGAGGAATGAGAGAATTTGTTGCAGCCATTTTTTGCAAATAGTCTACCATAGAAGCTGAGTGACATGACCTTTTATATATGTGGAAGAGTAACAATATATACACATGGGCTGGGCACGATGGCTTACGCCTGTAATCCCAGCACTTTGGGAGGCCGAGACGGGTGGATCACGAGGTCAGGAGATCGAGACCATCTTGGCTAACATGGTGAAACCCCGTCTCTACTAAAAATACAAAAAAAATTAGCCGGGCTTGGTGGTGGGCACCTGTAGTCCCAGCTACTTGGGAGGCTAAGCAGGAGAATGGTGTGAACCCCGGAGGTGGAGCTTGCAGTGAGCCGAGATCATGCCACTGCACTCCAGCCTGGGCAACAGAGCAAGACTCCATCTCAAAAAAATAAAATAAAAATAAAAATAAAATACACACACATACACACACACACACACACACACACACGACCATTTGTTGGGCAATCTTTCTTACAGGCTGAATTGTAAATATTCCAGAGATAAATCGCACAGACTTGGGAGTTATATCGTCTGGCTTGCAATACTACCTCTAAGATGTGCAAACTGTATGGCCTTTGACCAACCTTTCTGTGCCTCAGCTTCCTCATTTATAAAACAAGAATAATAATACCTCCCTCCTATGGCTGTGAGTTGTAGGATAAAAGAAGTTAAAATATGAAGTGTTTAGTACAGTGTATTTGTCTATTCTTGCATTGCCATAAAGAAATGCCTGGGCTGCGCGTGGTGGCTCATGCCTGTAATCCCAGCACTTTGGGAGGCCGAGATGGGTGGATCACTTGAGGTCAGAAACTCAAGACCAGCCTGACCAACATGATGAAACCCCATCTGTGCTAAAAATACAAAAATTAGCTGGGCATTGTGGCAGGAGCCTGTAATCCCAGCTACTTGGGAGGCTGAGGCAGGACAATCACTTGAACCTGGGAGGCAGAGATTGCAATGAACCGAGATCATGCCAATGCACTCCAGCTAGGGTGACAGAGCAAAACTCTAACTCAAACAAAAAAAAAGAGACTGAGTAATTTATAAAGAAAAGAGGTTTAATTGGCTCACTGTTCTGTAGGCTGTACAAGAAGCATAATACTGGCATCTGCTCAGCTTCTGGGGAGGCTGCAGGAAGCTTAGAATCATGGCAGAAGGCAAAGAGGGAGCAGGCAGCTCCTATGGCCAGAGCGGGAGGAAGAGAGGGGGGAGGTGCCACAAACTTTCAAATAACCAGATCTCACAAGAACTCACTCATTATCGTGACAGTACCAGGAGGATGGCACTAAACCATTCATGAGAAATCCACCCCCATGATTCAGTCACCTCCCACCAGACCCCACCTTCAACATTGGAAATGACATTTCAACATAAGTTTTTGGCAGGGCCACATATCCAAACCGTATCATACAGTGACATGCATAAAGCAATTACTAAATAAGTGCTATCTGTTTTAATTTAATTCCCAACTTCTTGCATCAGATCTGCCAATATTCCTGTAACTAAAGCCAGTTGCATGGCGAACACCAGATTCTAGGAGTAGAGAAGTCAGGGGAGCAGCAAAGTCACATTGCAAAGGACATGCATGAAGGATGACAGAATTTATTGCAGCCATTTTTTGCAAATAGTCTGCCATAGAAGCTATATGAATATCTCATTTCAAGATGTATGAGCATCTCATTTTGCTCTTAAATTCACATCAGTAAACTTTGGAATCCCCTACACAACTCGCCTATACCTTGGGGGGCCAGGGTGCTACCTCAGTCCTGCTCTCTGCCTTATCTTTTTATTGCAGCATTTTCACTCTGCTGTGGCCTCTCAGGGTAGGGGAGACCTTCCCTTTCCTTTTCTCCACTCCTACCAATCCAGAGTTTCTATCATCTAAACCATACCCACCCTCAAATCTAAGATTCCTCTCAAGAATCCAGGCAACATCTTTTTAAAAACTTTTTTATTTTTTATTTATTTTTTAGCAGGTGGGGACAGAGCCTTTTTATGTCACCCAGGCTGAAATGCAATGACATGATCTCAGCTCACTGCAAACTCTGCCTCCCGGGTTCAAGCAATTCTACTGCCTCAGCCTTCTAAGTAGCTGGGATTATAGGCATGCACCACCACGCCCAGCTAATTTTTGTATTTTTAGTAGAGACAGTGTTTCACCATGTTGGCCAGGCTGGCCTTGAACTCCTGACCTCATGATCCGCCCACCTCTGCCTCCCAAAGTGCTGGGATTACAGGCATGAGCCACCGTAACTGGACCCTAGGCAACATCTTAACCTCATCCTTATCCCCCAAATCTCTCCATGTCCTGCCCACTGCATCATCTCCCTTCCTCTTCCATGTTGTGGGAACTCTGTCCTGAGCCATATTCTAAGTCTTCACACCATGTCTTGTGGCAAAACTCCATCATTAGACCTCCAAGCTTTGTTCTGCCTTAATGCAGAAGGAGGCTTTGGGAATTTAGAAAACTCTCTTCCCTCTCAATTGTCCTATAAATCCAGACTTTCAAATGAAATGCTTACCATAGACTTGAGAAACAAATCAGAAACTCAGAGCAAAACCCTGAGTCTTTATTTTAGGCTGTATCTTTCTTTGAAGCAATGGCTGCCATCAACTCCGTGTGTGAAGGAGACACAGGACAATTAAGAAACAAAAATGAGCGGTGGTGTTGCAGGTGCTGTTGGTGCCTGCCTGGAGCCTGTCACCTCCTTACCATTTCCTGGCAGCACTTCCAGCTGCCCAGTAGCAACACTTCCCCTAAGGACTCTCTTTGGCAGGTGAAAGTGCCTGAGATTGACTCCTGAGAGCAGCCACGGCCAGTGACAGCCGGAGGTGGTGATGTAAACCTCAGCTAGCTAGGCTTTCAGGAAGAGTAACTGAGGCAGGGTCCTGCTCTGGTTCTCAGTGTCTCCAAGAGATGAAGCTGCCATTTCTCATAGTGGCGACTTGCTATAATGTGCCCTTCATTGACCGTCTTCCTTTTATTGTTCACTTGCCTCCTTTCCTGCCTGTGTTTCCTGAAACCAACTACCTCACATAAACTACTTTTGCTTGAATCCCTGTCACAGAGTCTCCTTCTGGGGGATTCTGAAGGTAGACACATTTAATATGTCAAAAGTATTGCACCTGTTGTGTGTTTTAGGGGAGTGATGATTAGCAGAAAATAGAAAGGAGGCTATTATAGTGGTCCTGGGCATGGGAGAACAAGAGCAGGTGCTGATAAAATCAGGAGAACTTGAATAGTGGCAGAGCTGGCAGAAACACGGAGGATGTGTCGGAGGGTCTGGTGTGCGGTTGCTCCCCACAGCGGAGTCTGAGCAAGAAAAGAGGCTCTGGCCTGATGGCAAGAAGACCTCACGGCTGTTTCTTGCCATTGCTGTCACTGTCATGTTCATAGGTTCACTGCCCATAGCAACTGAAAGAATGTCAAATGCTTGCACAACCCCCTTCAATTTGTAGATGAAAACTGGAAGTGTGGACAGGTTAAGTGGAAGCTCAAGGTCATAAAGCCAGCCAGCTGCAGAACCTTGCACTGTAAGTTTTTGTTCGTGACAAGGCCCAGCTCCACTTCAGGTGCGGTTCAGATTTTTGTCTTCATTCGTTCTATAAAACTTCATTTTTTGCTTTTTACTTCTCGACTCTTCTAATTGTCCTTTGTATGTCTATTAGGTGTGGGTCCCCCATTAGGCTGATCTGTAGCATAATTTCTACAATAGGAAAGGGAGATAAATAGGACATTTAAGATGCCTGGACTCATCTAAAGGTTGTTTAAAAGCAATTACTACCATTAGTTTGAAGCCTACCTCTGGCTACTCTGATAGTAATGTGCACCCAGCAATCCAATTAGTTTGGAAATGGATTAGTCTATTTGTTACCAATGTGTGTGGTTTAAAATCAGTATAATATACATCTAAAGGTGTGTCCATTTTATCTATTGACACTTTGTATAAATGTGTTGCTTCATCTTTCCGTAGGTAATTTACTCACTCCCTTCTCCCATACTAAATGTTTCTTCATTACAAATTGATTTCCTAAACTATGATTCATGATGTTTCAGTTTCATTGTCTTTATTAAATGACTGTAATTCTTTCTTTAGTTTTAAGGATTTCCATTTTGTGTCACCACATTGGACTAACCATGGACAACCAGATTTTCCATAGAATGAGGTCATTTTCTGGGAACTAACAGACCAAGGAATACCCCCTGATATACTACATTGGAGGAATCCTTGCAGATACTCTCTCCAAATGTGTTAAATAAATAAAATAGTATGTTCATCAAGTACCTCTGGGGTACCAGAAGCACAGATAAGCTGGTGTCCAACATGGAGCAAGTCTGGCATTGAGGTGTTAGAAGAAAAAGGCTGGGCTCCCTGAACTCTGTTACATGGTGGAGGCTGAGGGGCCTGTTGTGTAGATTCAGGTGCAGGCCACGTGACAGGGTGTTAGCCATGTAAGTCCATATTTTCTCCCATTGCTTCACATCTATTTCATCTATTACTTCATTCATTCAACAAATGCTTAGTGTCTATTATTTAAACGTTTCTGGGGATATACTAGTGAACAAAACACTTGCCTTTCCTCCTTGCTTCCCTCTTCTCCCCTTCTCTCCTCCTTTCCTTCCTTTTGTAATTCTTTACTCCCCGCTTTTTAAAATTGAGCTTATTTTCAGGGCTTCCTTTGAACATCTGCATTCTTATCCAGTTTTGGAACACTATTTGTGTTGTTGTTGTTCTGTTGGACAGGGTCTTTCTCCGATGCCCAGGCTGGAGTACAGTGATGTAATCATGGCTCCCTGTGACCTCAAACTCCTGGGCTCAGGTGCTCCTCTCGCCTCAGCCTTCTCAGTATCTAGGATTACAAACACAAGTCCCTGCACCCAATCTATAAAAGTATTTTTTTAAATAACTGCATATTTTATCACATATTGCCTCAAATCTTGTTGGTCCTCTTGCCAAATTGTCAGATATTAGTGGAGACACAGGTCAGTTTCCCAAGGAAAAGCATTAAACGTGGTCCCTGCCTCTTGCTGCAGCATTTGGCTGCAGGAATGTGTGTGGATTCCAAGCCAGAGGGAGGGCCCCACCTCATTAAGCCGACCTAGGGGAGGGCCCCAGCTGTGCTCAGTCAGGAGGAAGAGGTGAGCTGGCTTTGGAGAAAAGAAGAGGTTACAGCAGAAAGGAAGCACCCATTCTTGACAGAGTCTTAGGGAGCCTTCTCTCCTTTCTGGATACAAAGCTTCACACTATAATAAAACCATGTGGCTTATGTAGTTAATTGGTAGATTATTATTACCATGTACAAAGTGCTGTCAGGAGTGCAAAAGAAAAGATGACCTGCACTTTATTCTTGTTTTGACTCTTCTTGGAGTTTTGTCTATTGGGATGTTTGCCATCCAGTTGGGCTATAGAGCTAACAATGAATAGTGTGAATTTGCTGCACAGTGAGCTGGTAATGCAGCAGATAAGCAGAACAGAGGCATCAGATCAGTGGCCGAGGAGATGGGGATGGGGTCATTTATATTATGAATATTGGATTACAAGGAGGTGATGCACTCTGCTTGCTTCAATGATTTTTTAAATGTAACTTTGTCTTTTTTTGTCTTTTAAAAATGTAACTTAATTTTTTTTACACAAAATATAAACATGAATAGAACCCCACTTAAGAAATAGAAAAGTGTCCTTGAAAAGGCCCCTGTGTGCTCCTCTCCAATCACGTCCCCACCCCACCCTACAGTAGGAACCCCTCTCCTGAACTCCTTGTTAACTAATCCTCAATGTTCTTTGTAGTTGTACCACATGTTTGTAGCCTTAAGTAATATTTTGCTAAGATGTGCATGCTCTTGAACTTTATGTAATTAGAATCACAGAGGAAGAGTTCTTCTGGGACTAGCTTTGTTCTCCACATTATTGCTTTGAGATTTATCCATGGTGATGTGTGTAGTTTGTTCATTTATTCAACAAATAAATTTTGGAGGCAAATACTGAGTGCCACACATGGTTTCTGGCTGCTGGGGATACAGTGTGAACAAAACAGGCGGAAGCCTTCATCTTAAGGTAGCTTTATTCTAGTGGGTGTGGGAGAGCAATGCATCAGATAAATGAATATGTAGACTAGTAGATTGTAATTAGTGCAAAGAAACTGAAGCAGTGAAGAAGAGTAATTTTAAGGGAGACGTGGAGTTTCAGATAGGCTAGAGTCGGTCTCGCTGAGAAGGGGCACTTGAGTGAAACCTAAACGAAGTGATAGAGTCCTGGGGATGTCAGCGGGGGTGGAAGAGGGCTTTTCAGGCAGAGCAAACAGCAAACACCAAGGCCTGCAGCAGCCTGTGTGACAAGAGCAGGGTTAGCAAGGGAGGGACAGGAAGGGGAGATAGGGACAGAGAGGATGTTGGAGGTTTTTGAACAGGGTGGCATTATATGACTTATGCTTTAACAAGATTTATCTGGCTATTGTGTTGAGCATAGAGCTGAAGGGGCATGGGGACTGGAGCGAGGGCTCCAGGTGGGAGTCATTTTAGTCATTCTAACGAGAGATGGTGTGGACATGGGGAAAGGAGCAGCGTGCTGGGTGCATCACAAAGGCTGAGTGTAGGATTTTCTGATAGGTTGGATTTGAGGTGACAGAAAAAGTGAGAAATCAAGGACTGTAGCCTGAGCAGTTAGAATGGCAGAGGGACTGCTCATCGAGTGAGGGAAACAGGGCAGGGAAGGAAGATCAGGGGCTCAGTAAAAAGAATGTTCGGTTTCTGATGCAAATTCAACATCCTGGTGCAGATGTGAGCAGGCAGTTGGGTGTAGAAGTTTGGAGTTTAGATAAGAGGTCTGGATCAGACATGGAAATTTTGTTGCTGCCAGCCTGGAGATGATACTAAAAACCTTCAGAACGGGTGAGATCAAAGGGAGAAAGGGAGTGAGTACAAAGAGACTGGGAAAGAAAGAAAGTCCAGAGACTGTGTTCTGGGATCCTTCAAAACGTAGAAATCAGGAAGTAGGAACCAGCAACAGAGACTTAGAAAAAGCAGCAAGAAAATTCCTATCAGAGGGAAACCATGCATGATCAATAGTGTCAATTATCACTGCTACAGCAAAACACAGGCCACTGGTGACTGCAAGAGCATGTTCAGTGGAGTGGAGGGGACAAAAGCCAGCTTAAAATGAGAGACTAGGAGGCTGAGGGAGAAAGTGGAGCCAATGAGGTCAGGCATGGTGGCTCATGCCTGTAATCCCAGCACATTGGGAGGCTGAGATGGGTGGATCACCTCAGGTTGGGAGTTTGAGACCAGCCTGGCCAACATGGTGAAACTCCATCTCTGCTAAATATATAAAAATTAGCTGGGTGTGGTGGCGGGCACCTGTAATCGCAGCTACTCAGGAGGCTGAGGCAGGAGAATCACTTGAACCCAGGAGGTAGAGGATCCAGTGAGCTGAGATCACACCACTGCACTCCAGCCTGGGTAACATGTCTCAAAAAAGGAAAAAAAAAAAGAAGAAGAAAGTGGAGCCAATGAAGGATTAGAGGGGAGAGGCTACGTGGGAGAAATAACAAGGTTTCAGACAGTTACAGGCCGCCCTTTATACATTCCTCTGTAGGTGCACATTTAAGTCAGTTCCATCTCTCAGCTTCTGTGAACAGCGCTGGAGTAAACATGGAGTACAGACATCCCTTCAACACACTGATTTCATTTCCTTTAGATCTATATCCAGTAATGGGACTGCTGGCTCATATGCTATTTCTATTTTTAAATTTTTGAGGATCTTTCATGCCTCTTTCCATAATGGCTATACTTATTTACATTCTCACCAACAGCGTGGAAGAGCTCTCTTTTCTCCACATCCTCACCAGCATTTGTTAAATTTTTTGTGTGTTTTTGATGATAACCATTCTAAGGTGAAGGGATATCTCATTGTGGTTTTGATTTGCATTTCCCTGATGATTAGTGATGTTGAGCATTTTTTCATATAGCTGTTGGCCATTTGTATGTCTTCCTTTGAAAAATATCTATTCAGATCTTTTGTCCATTTTTAAATTTAATTATTTGCTTTTTTGATATTGAGTTGTTTGAGTTCCTTATATATTATGGATATTAATCCCTTGTCAGATGCATAGTGCACAAATAGTTTTTTTTCCCCATTCTGTAAGTTGTCTCTTCAATCTGTTATTTCCTTTGCTGTGCAAAAGATTTTTAATTTGATATAATTCCATTTGTCTATTTTTGCTCTTGTTGTCTGTGCTTTTGAGGTTGTCTTTAAAGAATCCTTGCTCCATTCCATGAAGCATTTCCTCTATGTTTTCTTCTAGTAGTTTCATAGTTATGGTCCTAACACTTAAGCCTCTGATCTTATTTGAGTTGATTTTTGAATATGGAGATAGTGATCTAGTTACATTCTTCTGCATGTGGATATCCAGTTTCCGAGGACCGTTTATTGAGGATACTGTCCTTTCCCCAATGAGTACTTCTGGTGCCTTTGTTAAAAATCATTTGGATATACATACATATATTTATTTCTAGGTTCTGTATTTTGTCACATTCATCAATGTATCTGTTTTTACGCCAGTGTCATCCTGTTTTGGTTACTATAGCTATGCAGTATATTTTCATCAGGTAGAGTGATGCCTGAAGCTTTGTTCTTTTTGCTGAAGATTCCTTTAGCTCTCCAGGATCTTTTGCATTTCCATATGAATTTTAGGATTGTTATTTCTATTGCAGTGAAGAATGTCATTGAGATTTTTATTATAGAGATTGCATTAAATCTGTAGATCACTTTGGATAATATGTATATTTTTAAACATTATTTCAGTCCATGAACATGGAATATCTTTCTAATTTTTTGTGTCCTCTTCGATTTCTTTCATTGGCGTTTTATAGTTTTCATTGTAGGGATTTTTCACCTCCTTGGTTAAGTTTATTTATAGGCATTTTATTTATACCTTGTAACTATTGTACATGGAATTACTTTTTCAATTTCAATTTCAAATAGTTTGCTATTGGCATATAGCAAACACTACTGATTTTTATATGTTAATTTTATATCCTACACCTTTACCAAATTCATTTATTAGTTCTAATATTTTTTTTTTGATGGAGTCTTTAGGCTTTTCTCTAACCATCTATCTAATTATGATGATATTGTCTGCAAACAGGGAAAATTTGACTCCCTCTTTTCTTAATTTGGATGCCTTTTCTTTCTTTCCCTTGCCTAATTACTCTGGACAGAATCTTCAGTGCTATGTTGAACAAAAGTGGTGAATGTGGGCATTTTTGTCTTGTTCTACATCTTAGAAATGAAGTTTTCAACTGTTTCCTGCTCAGTATGATGTTCTCTGTGGATTTGTCATATATGGCCTTTATTAAATTAAGGTGTGTTGTTTTTATAACCAATTTCTGGAGGATTTTTATGAAGGAATTGAATTTTATCAAATTTTTTTCAGCATCTATTGAAATTATCATATGGATTTGGCCTTGATTCTGTTAATGTGGTAATATTATGTTTATTGATTTGTGTATGTTGAATCATTCTTGCATCTCTGTGATGAATCCCACTTGATCATGGTGAATTATCTTTTTAATATATTATTGAATTCAGTTTGGTACTATTTTCTTGAGGATTTTTTGCATCTGTATTCATCAGGAATATTGGCCTATAGCTTCCTTTTTTGTTGTTGTATTCTTTTCTGATTTTTGGATCAGGGTAATGCTGGCCTCATAGAATGAGTTTGGAAGTGTTCCCTCCTTGTCAATTTTTTGGAAGAATTGGTAGAATTCTTGTGAGAAAGATTAGTTGTAAATCTTCTTTAAATGTTTGGTAGAATTTATCAGTGATACCATTAAGTCTTGGGAGTTTTTTGAATGGGAGATTCTTTAGTACTGCCTCAATATGGTTATTCATTATTGGTCTATTAAGATTTTCTATTTCTTCATGATTTAATCTTGCTAGGTTGTGTCTGTCCAAAATTTACTCATTTCTTCTAGATTTTCCAATTTCTTGGCATATAGAAATTTACAATAGGCTCTTATGGTCCTTTAAATTTTTGTAGTATCAGTTTTAATGTTTCCTTTTTCATCCCTGATTTTATTTATTTGAGTCCTTTCTCTTTTTCCTTAGTCTAGCTTAAGGTTTGTTGTTTTTTTTTTATTTAAACAAAAATACCTCCTTGTTTTCTTGATCTTTTGTATTGTTTTTAAAACCTCTATTTTGTTTATTTCTGCTCTGATTTTTGTTATTTTTCCCCTTCTAATTTGGGGTTCAGTTTGTCCTTCTTTTCTAATTTCTTGAGTTGTGACATTGGATTTTTTATTTGAGATCTCTCTACATTTTGGATGTAGGCATTTATCACAGTAAAATTCCCTCTTAGAACTGCTTTTACTATATCCCATAGGTTTTGGTATGTTGTGTGCATATTTTCATTTGATCGAGAAATTTTTAAATTTTATTTTTGATTTCTTCACTAACTCCTCTGTTGCTCAGGAGCGTGTTGCTTAATTTCCATGAAGTTTTACAGTTTTGAACATTTCTTCTGTTATTGATTTTTAGTTTTATTCCATGGTGGTCAGAAAAGACACATATGATTTTGATTTTTAAAAAATTTCTAAGACTTGTTTTGTGACTTTCATAATCTATCCTGGAGAAAATATCATGTCTTGTTGAGAAAAATGTGTATTCTGAATCTATTGGGTGGAAAGTTCTGTAAATGTCTGTTGGATTCATTTGATCTAGAAGGCTGTTTAAATCCAACGTCTCTTTGTTGGTTTTCTGTCTGGATAACCTTTCCATTGCTGAAAGTAGGGGTATTAAAGTTCCCTACTCTTATTGTATTATAGTCAATCTACAGACCTTTCAGATCTATTAATGTTTTCCTTACATATTTGAGGGTCTCAAATATTGAGAGTCCCAGTTTTGGGTGCATACATATTTACAATTGTAATGTTCTCTTTCTGTATTGATCCCTTTGTCATTATATCATGGTCTTTTTGTTTATTTTTTACCATTCTTGACCTAAAGTCTATTTTATCTGATATAAATATTGTTATTCCTGCTTTTTTTTTTTGCTTCAATTTGTTTGGAATATCTTTTTTCCATCTCTTTAGTCTGTGCATGTTTTTATAGGTGAAAGATCTCTTGTAGACAGCATATAATTGGGCATTTTTAAAAATCCATTCAGTCACTCTATGTCTCTTAATTGGAGATTTTAATTCATTTGCATTTAAGGTTATTATTGTTAGGTGGGGCTTTACTACTACCATTTTGTTACTTGTTTTCTGGTTGTTTTATAGATCCTTTCTACCTTGTTTCATCTCTTATTGTTTTCCTTGAGAGATTTTTTTTTTCTAGTAGTATGTTTTGATTTCATGCTCATTATTTTTAGTGTATCTATTATAAGTTTTTGCTTTGTAAATACCATGATGCTTAAAATCATGTTATAGTTAAAACAAGTTATCTTAAACTGATTAACAACTTAACTTTGACTGCAAATTAAAGCAAGAAAAACAAACTACATTTAACACCATCCCACACACGTTCATTTTTATTTTTGATGTTTCAATTTACATCTTTTTATATTAACTCTTAACTAATTGTTGTAATTACTATCTTTAATAATTGTTTCTTTAGTCTTCATACTTAAGATCCAAGTGGTTTACGTTCCACAATTACAATATTATAGTATTCTAAATTTGTCTGTATTCTTACTTTTACCAGTGAATTTTATACCGTTAGATCTTTTCTTGTTACAAATTAGCACCCTTTTCTTTCAGATGAAGAACTCTTGTCAGCATTTCTTGTAAGACAGATCTGATGTTGATGAATTTCCTCAGCTTTTCCTTGTCTGGGAAAGTCTTTATCTCTCCATTGTGTTTGAAGGATACATTTTCCATGTGAACTATTCTTGGCTACAAGGTTCTTTCCCTTCAGCACTTTGAATATATCATCCCAATCTCTTCTGGCCTGCAGTGTATCTGTTGAGAAATCTGCTGAAACTTGCACTGGGGCTCAGGTGAATGTGATATGTTTTCTTTCTCTTGCTGCTTTGAGTATTTCTTCTTTATCTTTGCTTTTTGATAATTTGATGCTGTGCCTTGGTTAATTTCTCTTTGGGTTGAATTTGATTGGTGATCTCTGAGCTTTTTATACTTGGATACTGTCCTTTTTCTCCAGATTTAGGAATATCTTAGCGATTATTTCCTTAAACATGCTTTCTAGAACTTTTTCTCTTTTATCTCCTGGGGAACTACTATTATATAGAGGTTAGTTTGCCTGATAGTATCTCATAATTCTCATAGGCCTTCTTCAATCTTTTTTTAAAGATTTTTCTCCTCTGATTGGGTAATTTTATATGTTCTGTCTTTGAGGTTGTGGGTTCTTTAAGTCTGCTATTGAAGATTTCGAATAAGCTTTTCATAAATTTCAATAAGTTCAGTTATTGTATTCTTTATTCTTAGGATTTCTATTTGGATTTTTAAAAAGTGTTTCTATTTACTTGCTAAATTTCTCAAATTCTTTCAAAATTTCACTGCATTTTCCATCCACATTTTCTTGTGACTCCCTGAAATTAAAGAGGATTATTCTGAATTCTTTCTCAGACATTTGATAGATATTTAATTCTTCTGGGTCCATTATTGGAGTTTTGTTTGTTTCTTTTGGTGGCATCATATTTCCCTGAGATTGTTTTTGTTGTTGTTTTGTTTTTTTTAAACAATTTTTGCGTGTTTTATGATGATGCCTGCATATTTGAAGAGAAAGCCACTCTTCCAGCTTCTGCTGGTGTTATTAGTGTTGGACCTCTACTACTTGATATTGGGACTTAATCACTGCCCTGCCATTGTTTCCCAGTCTAGGGAACACTTATAGTGAGCACTGGAACTTAAACACTGGACTAGAACTAAATTGCTACTCTACTATTGTTTCCTGGTCTGGGAAAGACTTAAATACGTACTGGAACTTAATTTCCAAAGGAACTTAATTTCCAAACTCAGTTGTTTCCAGGTCAGGGGAAGACTCCACATGAGCACCTGAGCTTTGTGGGAAGTCTGGCCAGAGATTCAGACCTTCCTGCCGATCATGCTTCCTGCAGCACTATAGTGCTGGCCGGTCTCCTCAGTATGACATCTGCATCCCTGCTGATTGGAGCTCCAAGATTCCAGCACCAAGTGATCAGCACCCCCACTTTTTGTCCCCAGTTCACCCCAGGTAGTTCAGCCCTCCTAGCTCTCCCAGGGGTTCCTGTGCAGTGAGACCTGAGTGGGCTTCCCATGAAGATTCCCATACTGGTAGGGGGATCAAACATCCACCTCCAATTCCATCTTCCCACCTTAGAAACCATGAGTCTGTGTCAATTCTCTGTGAGTGGCATTATACAAGCCTGGAGAAGAGAGTGGCACAGTCTGAAATGACCATTTTTCTTAGTTATTATGGCCTAGTGGGTTTCTCCACTTCTCCCCAAGTTCTGGTGAATTCATGGTGGTATTCTTGTCTTTTAATAGTTTCCAGTTGTATGTTTGTGGAGGAAATAATGTCAGGGTGTCTTCTATTCTGCAATCTTGCTCATGTTTCTCCTTCATAATTACTGTTACTTTTTATAGAATTGTATTTAGATCTATTGGTCAGCAGATTTGATTATAAGAAATTTTGACCTATTTACATCATGAGAACAAAGAAAAATTTTGAGAAATGATAGGGAGAATTCCTCAGATCAAGGACTTGTGAAAGATCCTGAGAACTGTTGACCAGACAGAAACATGGTATCAGAATAACTCTCTTGTATCACAAAATTTTTTTTTAAATGTACTTCTTTATCTCAAATTTTAATTTTTTAAAATATACATTTGATTGTTTTTTTCTTCTAGTATAAGCAGATCCTCACTGCATGTTTTGGGGTGTGAAATTCGACATCTCTAGCAGGTTAACCTCTTGTATTATGTCAGAGTGGGGAATAAGCTCAGAAAAATATAATTTATGGAGAACATTTTCTCATTTTCTGGGACCTTGTAAAGACCTTATTTGTTCCAGGTGACAGGCCCCAAGTGGAATAAAAGGCCATTATTGTGAGAAATGACAACTCAGATATAGCAAAGTTGTTGCCAGGAGTTGATGATGCAGAAACAATTTATTTTGGGCAAGATGGTATTGAATGGGGAGTCTATTAGTGGTATTTTACCATGTGAATTTCTATATGAACCATGTCTGTGGGAGCACTGCTGCATTCATTTGTGGGATGTACTGCTTTTTGCTAGTTGCCGTCAATAAAATCTGTTCTGTAGCTCTTCAAAGTGGTTGATTCAGCCACTCTGTATTCAGGCCATAAAGATCATGAAATGAAAGTCTTCTGAGCTCCAATTAGAGTGGAATGTTATATCTCAATGCAGAAGTCTTCTTCAGTAAAGTAAGTGTAAGTATAAATTTGTTTAGTGAAAAGTACCTTTTGGAAATTGTACTTTTGAGACAGAGGCATTCAAACTCTGACTACCGCTTGCCAGGTGGGTAATTTAGGGGATACTGCTTAACTTTTTTGATAATTGTATTTCCTCATCTTTAAAATAAAAATAATGATGAAAATGTTAATTAAAAGGATGATGATGATATTGACAATAATGGCAATGATGATCATGACAGTGAAGATGGCAATAACAGTAACAATGAATCTGGTGATGATGATGACAATCTCAAACAACTGTTGTAAGGATAGGACGTAATCCATTCAAAGTAACCAGCACAGACCCTGGCCCACTAAAGGGAGATCATTAAATTTCAGCTGCCCTTAACTGCTTTCTCAAACCTCTACTCTGTTTTCTGGATTTTCTTTATTTGTGTATATGTATCAGTTTTATATTGCTGCTGTCACAAATTATCACAAACGTAGTGGCTTAAAACAACATACATTTATTCTCTTGCAACTCTGAAGGACAGAAGTACAAAATCACTTTCACTGGATGAAAATCAGTGTGTCAGTAGGACCATGTCCTTTCAGAGTCTGTAGAAGAGAACCCATTCCCTTGGCTTCTCCAGCCCTACAGTGGTGCTCCTCATATTCCTTGGCTCCTGACCCCTTTCTCCATCTTTAAACAAATTCATTAAAGTTGCAGGATACAAAAATCAACATACAAAAATTAGTTGCATGTCTATGAGCTACACCAATAATGAGCTACCAGAAAAAGAAATTGGGAAATGAGCTGCATAGTGAAGTAATCAGAAATCAATTCACTGTCCTTAGTTCTGCTGGGACCTCCTGTTCAGGATTTGGCAGTACCAGTGACAAAGGCTAAAGCTGCTTGGAATTATATATTCTCCATCTTAAAATGCCAAGGTTACCTTGGACTTCAACCTCAGATGTCGCATGTGACTGTCTAGGTTGTACATAAAGATACGAAGGGTGCCCATTGAAGTTGGCCAGTGCACAACTTGTGTGGCTGTACGTGGTGGGCTTTTTCTGATGCCCACCAGACTAAAAACTCTAGAAATGTGTGATCTCTATCTATCTTGTATTCTCAGCACCTACTGCAGTTCTTGGCATACAGTAGAAATTCTCATTTAAGGAAATGAAGGAATGAACATATAGGAATAGTCAATACAAGAACACTAAGTAACACCTCATCTGGAGTTACTCAGGTCAGTATACTGAGCTGCTCATTCGAATCACCTGGTGGAAATTTTAAAAAATAAAAATCTCAGCCCAGATCCTATTGACAGACATTCTGATTTATTTCATCTGGATGGGGCTGCAGTATTACTGCTTTTCTAAGAAGTATCCAGGTGAATCTACCGTGCAGCCAGGTAGCTAGAACCTGCTAGTCTGGAAGAGTGGTTCTCAGACTTCATGCATTAAATTTACCCAGTGGACTTGTTAAACACACAGGTGACTTTTCTTACTCTGTCACTCTGAGTTTGGGGGCTGAGATATTGCATTTCTAGTAATCACTCAGGTAAGGCTGATGTTGTTGGTATGGGGAACCATGGTTTGAGAACTGCTATTCAGGAAGACAGCAGAGAAGATAAGTTCCTTTAGTGTGCATAGGTGGAAAACAGTTGGTAGAGTGATTCTGGAAGAGTGCATGCATGTGCATTCACATGTTTTATTAACATGTGAATATGAAAGATATTAAGCACCCATTTGTCCATTTTAAATATATAATTGTATCCCTTCTGTCCAACAGCATTTCACTGTAGACATTTTTAAGTGTCAGTTTTTTAGCTGAAAAACTAGAAAACCAAGGAAGTAAATCATTGCCCAAGCTAGACTTGATCTTTTCAGCATGTCAGAGTCTCATGCTTTAGAAAACCAGAGACCACTCTCACTATTTTGTGTTCATCCTCTTTCTCCATTTCCAGTCACTTTTTCTGCACTGACTTCAGGTTAATCTTCCATAAGAGGGCCTTGGTGTTCTCATCTTATTCCTATGCCCCCACTAAATTCTGAGTAAGTGTAACAGCCTTTGTCCTTCTGCATGCCACACAGTAGTTACCTAGCTAAGATATTGTCAATCAGTTTGAGAGACTATAAGCTGCCTAACCTAGAGTTGGAGGATAATACCAATCTGAGATCTTCTGAGCTTAGCATCATTATCAACTTCTGTTACTTCCACTAAAACCTTTGTAAATCACAGCAGATATATTTCAGAACTGTGCCACTTATCTCAGTGCCTCCAGGCATTTCAAAGTAGTCACTTCACACTTGCCATCCTCCCTGTCCTTCTGAGTCCTCCTCTCAGCCCCAGTGTGTCTACCACCTCAAAGCCTATGGTTGTTAGCCTGCCTTACTTGGGTCAAAGACCTTGACTCCTTCCAGATGGATCCTAAACTTCCCTTCCATTCACTTTATCCAAAATGAAATTGTACATTCTTGAAATACACAGCAGCACTCAACAAATGCTGAAAATTATATGATTAAAGTAATTTGCACTCAAATGTAAATAAGGCTTGATGCTCCATGGAAGTTTTGAATTTTAAAGAAGAGCTTTTTATTCCCAATGGCTCTAATGTGTGGGAAACATATTGGGGGAGGAGGCACATGGGGTCAGCAAATGCTGTGGACAATTCTCTGCCCTCTTTACCTGGGCTGCCGTTAGTTTGTCTGGCAGGGACTGAATATATGGCTTTAATATTCTGGCCAAACTATCTCCTCATCTCCCCTTAGCTTTGCAAAGTGGCTGCAGTAAAACCTGCCATGCTTGGATTGGCACGGCTCAAAGCTAACTGTATTTGAAACTTCACATTTCAAATCTCGAAGAAGACTTCTGTATTAAATTTAGAGTTTTTTATCCTCAAAGGAGTTGTACATTTTATTTGTGTCAAAATTTACAGAGCACTGTCTTAGGCGCTTTCTAGCAGTTGCTTTAAAGGGTT
This sequence comes from Homo sapiens, assembly GCF_000001405.40. Lineage (NCBI taxonomy): Eukaryota > Metazoa > Chordata > Mammalia > Primates > Hominidae > Homo > Homo sapiens. The sequence goes on along the minus strand of NC_000021.9, from coordinate 40,740,088 downwards.
GTCAGCTCCAGGCATTTCCTCTGCCCACATACAGGTGTTGTCACATGTTCCCAGGTGAGGAGTTAGCAAGGGTTTGCTGTAGCTCTTGGTTTAAATGTTGGCAAAAAAAAAAAAAAAAAAAAAAAAAAAAAAAATTACACCTGCATCATCTAGAGGTGGCCTTTCCCAATGGACATTTCCACTTGTGATGATGGACTGAATATTGAAAATCATTTCTGGAAACTGTAAAGTGAAAGAAGCCACTGACACTGAACTGCCTGCCAGAATCAGGAGATAATTTCTTTTCTGGGGGAAAAAAAAAAAAAAACTAATTCTCTAAGTTTTAACTGATTTCGGGAAGTTAAAACTACAGTTTATCCCCAGGGTTATGGGCCAAACTGTACTTTTAAAAAAATTATATGTTGAATTCCTAACCCCCAGTACCTCGGGATGTGACTGGATTTGGAGATAGAGTCTTTAACGAGGTGATGAAGTTAAAATAATGTCATTAAGTTTGGCTCTAATGCAGTCTGACTGGCATCCTTATAAGAAGAGGAGATTAGGACAAAGACTCACACAGAGGGATAGCCCTGTGAAGACACAGGAAAGAGAGAGGCCCCAGGAAGAGCCAATCCTGCAGACAACTTGGTCCTGGACTTCTAGCATCTAGGACTGTGAGAACTAAATTTCAGTTGTTTAAGCCACTCATCTGTAGTGCTTTGTTATGGCAGCCCCAGCAACAAGAAAGTTGTTGTCAAAGAATACATCCTTTTGCTGGACCAGCCTCTCTGGGGCTGCCCCTTCCCTGAGCAGGTGGATTTCTCTGTCCGACTCCTCAAGGGCATGGCCCCCACCTCCCCCCAGCATTGCTGCAGACAGTGCTCCTGCCATTGTCCTCTTGTCGCCTGTCTAGGTTTGGTTGTCCTTGTTCTTTCCTCTTTGCCTATGGCTGAAATTAAGAATGGTGACAAGATAAGACTATAATCCTCTCCTTTAGTCTCAGTACAAATAATACCACATTAAAATCTGGAGAAAAGGAACATGATGATCCATGGGAAGGACAGCCAGCTCTGTAAAAGCATCACTGGACGCTAGCAGAAATGGTGCACTCCCCACCAGAACTCATGCTCCCCCTTCTTCCTGCAGGGTTGGAGCTGGGAAGCAGCTGCCCAGACACAGGCTGTGGTTTCCATCCCTCTCCTTGTTGGGGATTGTCCGTGTGACTCGCCCCTGCTGAGGGATGGCGAGTTGAAGTGATGCACCTTCCAAGCCTTGGTAGTGAAGCAGGAAGTGTGTTTCTCTGCATTCTCTGCTATCTGGTTCTAGGACTTTGCTTCTCCAAGTGTGGTCCCCTGACTGGCAGCATCAACGTCACTCGATGATTTGTGAGATGCGCAAAACCTGGGGCCCATTCCTGACCTACTGAATCAGATTCTCTGGGGTGGGGCCCCGCAATCTGTCTTTGAACAATCACTCTAGGTGATTCTAATTGACCTCCACTTTGAAAAACACTGGGATAGAGGACATGAGAGGTCTCCAAAAGGCAAGAACCAAGGTTCCTGAATTGTTGTGTAGAGGAAGGGCACCCACCAATCATGAACACTACTGGGGTGACCTTCATGTGACTCCTAAGCAAGATGTAAATGCCTGTTAGCTTGGACCACTGAAATTCTGGGGTTTATTTGTTACAACAGTTAGGATTGTCCTTAATGAAGGGCAGAAGAAGATGCGATTACAATTAAGTGGTTACAGAACCAGCTCTGGGTCCCTGATGCAACTCTTTCCCACTGTTTGCTTTAGGAAAAGAGCAAGAGTTAGAATTTCATGCATTGGCATGGTCTACCTGCAACCTGTTGTGCATTTTAATTTAATTTAGTTTCTTGGTAAAATTTTTAAAACCTTATTTGGTAACCTCTCAAAAGCAAGAAACTAATTGTTCTTCTGATGTAAAATATCAAGCAAATACAATCAACTATTGCTACTTACGGGGAGGGGGTACATAACAGAGCAGACCCTTCTCTTTGCCAAGACTGTCGTGAAATGCATTTCACATGAATGAAACATATGCCTCCCACTAGTAGGAGCCACAGCATCCCTTGAAGGCTATCACTCCCCTGAAATGAGAGCTACCTCTCAGACTAAAGTGTGGTCAGAAAGGGAGACTTGAATGGGAGGATCATTTTATTGACTGTGCCTTCAGAAAAAGAAGGTGGTTTCTGCATGACAGGAGGTAAGGCTGCACCTCACCTTGATATGGGCTGGAAGACTGGGAGCCCAGAACCCACTCAAGAGCCCCTTCTGAGGTCAGCTGGATGCTGGATGTGGCCAGGCTCTGGAAAGCCAGCAGAGAATGAGATGCTCTTTCTGCCTGCGGAGATTGTGTTCCTCTCCCTGTGGCTTAGTGTCATCAGCCCTATAATCACCTGATAGTCATGACACATGAACCCAGACAGGTTGCTGAGTGTTTTTGAGATGGAGTTTTGCTCTTTTGCCTAGGCTGGAGTTAAGTGGTGCAATCTCGGCTCACTGCAACCTTTGCCCCCTTGGTTCAAGTGATTCTCCTGCCTCAGCCTCCCGAGTAGCTGGGATTATAGGCACCTGCCACTATGCCCAGCTAATTTTTGTATTTTTTTTAGTAGAGATGGGGATTCACCATGTTGGCCAGGCTGGTATCAAACTCCTGACCTCAGGTGATCCACCTGCTTCGGCCTCCTAAAATGCTGGCATTACAGGCGTGAGCCACTGTCCGGCCGGTTGCTGAGTTTTTAAAAGCAAACCTCTCCAGTAACTGGGTAAAATGTTGATGTATTTCCTTATAAAGCTGTGTGTCTCTATTTTTTATATATATACACTTGTGATCCTATAATATGTATCATTTCTGCCTTACAGTGAAATTAAAGCCTGCCTTTTATTTTATAACCAAGAGTCAGAATTCAAGAAATTCACTAGTAAAGCAATCCATTAGTAAAAATAAGAAATTAGAATAAAGGAAAATATTGTCTATTGTCCTAACTCCCATAATTCTAGAATCTTCCTTACAGTATTTGTTCCGTAGCATCAACTTGCTTTCTGATTGAAATCACTGTGTGACTGTAATTTTGCTTTCTGCTTAACATTTTATCTTAAGTATTTTCTATAGTGTTTCACGGTCTTTTTAAATGTAATTTTTGATCCATAATATTCCATAAAACTAAAGTTCCACAATAAACTATCTTCTTCTTGTGGAGTAGTTATATAATTTTCAATTCTATAAGGGTTTTTAAGTAAAATTAAAAAGAATAACTTGGTGCAAAAAAAACCCTATGCTATTTAAGATTGTAACTTCAGTATATGTTATAGAAGAAAGAAGCTTGGGCTTGACAATCTGTGACATCATAGAAAGATATTTGGTCTTTGTCCCTGGTTCTTGACACAGGAGCTCCTAAAACCCTTGAGATGTCCTGAATGACAAGTGTGAAGGAAGCCTCTTTTGTTCTAATGAGGTGGTTGGAGGCCCTAGATACCTTCAGGATGGGGGGCTGCACACCAAAAAGACCAAGTCACAGTGACAGGGTTGGTCACAATTGGGGAAGCCTCAGAAGAAATCAACCCTGTGGATACTGTGATCTTGAACTTCTAACCTCCAGAACCATGACAAGATACATTTCTGTTGTTTGAGCTGCCCAGCCTGTGATATTTCGTTACAGCCCTAGCAAACTAATATACCCACGGCCCCCATGAGCTTACCCCCTGACTTTTGGAGAGAGAAGAGGAGCTGGAAGTTGAGTTCAGTTACCAATGGCCAATGATGTCATCAATCAAGCCTATGTAATAGAACCACCAGAAAGCCCCCTAAATGATGGGCTTCAGAGGAGAGCTCCTGGGTGGGTAAATATCCTTGAGTGAAGAGAGGGTGATGCGTCCAGGGAGGGAGTAGGGGCTCTGTGTCCCTTTCCCCATACCTTGCCCTATGCATCTCTCCTCACATTTGGCTATTTCTGAGTTACATCCTTTATTTGAAACTGATAATACTAAGTAAAGTGATTTCCTGAGTTTTGTGAGCAGTTCTAGCAAATTATGAAAACTGAAAGGGGAGATTCATAGGTTCCCCTTGACTTTGTATTCAAGTTGGACTGAAGTGTGGGTAGCCTGGGGATGAGCTACTTGCACCTGGCATCAGAAGTGAGGGCAATCTCGGGGAATGGAGCCCTTAAGCTGGGGGTGGGGAAGTCTGCACTACCTCTGGGTAGTGAGTGTCAGAACTGATCTGAAATGTAGGATATGCATTTGCTCTTCCAGAGAGAATTGGTTGGTGTGAGAAAAAAGTCTGCCCATTTGGTATCAGAAATGCTGTAAATAAAAAATAGTGCAGAATGCAACAGATTTGGGTTTGAATCATGACTCTGTCACTTTCTAGCCATGTGGCCTTTGTGATCTTTCATACATTAGTTAATATCTGTCCTCCTTCTTAAAATAGGACTAATCTCTACCCTATAAGGTGCTGGTGGTTGTTCTTTGAGGGCTAAAGGATGCAATGACATTTCAAATCTCTTAGCACAGTGTGTCTGGAATGTAGGTGGGTACTGCACAAATGGTAAATATTTGTATTACAAAATAGGCCCCCAAAAGTGGAAATACTGGGCAAGAGTTTGCAGCCTTTTTTTGGGATCTTGACACCTATAGCCAACTTGCTTTCTAAAACATGCACACACTCATTTCAGATGAAAGCAAGTGTGTTTTAAACACTGTGGCAGTTTGTAACAGTTCCTTAATTGCTGTAAATTGTATACGTTCCTTAACTAGTTGTATTTCCTCCTTGCTACTTGCCTGCTCATGTATCTTTTGAATGGAATTTAATTCAGTAAACACAAATAGTCATCTAGCTTGTATCAGTGCCGTACTAGGTGTTAGAAATGCAAGCATAATAGGATGCAGTACTTACCCATTTGGAACTTTAAATCAACTGGAGGAGAAAAACACGTGGATCAGTACCCTCAGTGTGATACATGCAAATAACATATATGTACAGGCAAAGAGAACAGAGAGTAATGAATTCCTTTGCTAATTTATCTCTCAATGCTTTAGCAATTTTTTAAAAATTCATTTGTGAATAGTTGACCAGTTTAAATATTGAACCAACCAGCATTTCTGTTTTGTGACAATAACAAGTCAAAATCCAAGATTCTCTTCTTACTTTGTCTACTCTCTTCTCTTCCAAAAGCACATTCACGTTTGTCTACATAAATACATGAGAACATTCAGAACCCAAGAAGGTGGACTGACAAAGCTGAGGGACGGTAGAGACTGCACGTATTAAACAAGCAGGAAAACAACCCTCAGAGTCTACATTTTCATACAACATTAGAAGGAAAAAAGGGTATTAACTGAAAAGAAGGGTGTGGAAATCAAGTGTGAACGAGCCATATTGAAACTCTGGCTGGAATGGTGGGATGGAGGTCCCAGTTGAATTTTTCCTAAGAGGCTGCTTGGTAAACATTATCTGTAGACCTCTCCGACAATTGGATTTACATTCGAAGAAGCAGATTGAGGCTCACCCTGATAGAAGAAAGTGCAGTGATTTACACAGGTTGGATGGAAGACCTTTCTGTCCTTTGTGTATGCATGGCTTGACTCTAAGCTCTGGCCCCTTTGTCTCTTAAAGAGGCCTTTCTCAAGGTGGCTCTTGAATATTTTTAAAAGTATTTTTCAAGGCTCCCTGCATCCAAGCATGGCACCCATGTGCTGTGGGTCCTTCTCTCCCTCTGGCCCATGAGTGACTTATCTGAGAGATGGGTTTGGGAAGAGGAAGCAGCGTGCCCCTTTTCTTATCTTCCTCCTGCTCTCCTCTTGTAGCCCCGTAGCTTGATCTCTGTAGATGCTGTTAAAGTGGAAAGCTTCAGGTGAAAATTTCCTTGGATTGGAGACTCTCAGTGTCATCTTTTGACAACATTTAGCGTTTCTTGGGGTGACTCCGATTTCTAGATGACCCCACATCGCATCTAATGCACATCTAAGTTAATCCTCACAGGGCTTACTCTGCTTATCATTTATTAAGGACTGACATTTGTATAATTAAGTTAGGGCCCATCATCTGTTTAAGATTCAACAGTAAGTGATGTCGGGGTTTACGGATGCCAAGACACCCCAGCTCCCTGCCTATATTTGGAATCAATTAACAGAAAGATATAGAGAGGGGTCAGGTGGAGATCAAATATCATCTGTTTATGACAAAGTCTGAGCTTGACAATGTGGTGCTGACGGGTGGCAGCAATGGCCTTGCTAATCCTAAACCCCAGAACCAAACCAAGCCAGGCCCCTGGAGCCCTTCCCCCAACCACAAGCAGGGTCTTGCTGCAACTTAACATGGGGAGAGTGGAGCAGAGCAGAGCAGTGGGCATGGCCCCTGAGGTCAAGGAGGCTAGAGGGGAGAAGAAAAGGAGGCGTGTCACTTTCTCTTCCCAAACTCACCTCTCTGATAAGTCACTCATGGGCCAGAGGGAGAGCAGGACCCACAGTCTATGGGTGCCATGCTCAGAGGCAAGGTTTCTCAGCAGCGGCCTATTGACATTTTGGGTTGGATGGTTCTTCAATGGGAGGGACTGTCCCACACACAGTGGGATGTTTGGCCACATCCCTGGCCTCTACTCATTAGATGGCATAGCACTCCCCAAACCCTCCCTCATGACAATCAACAGTATCTCCAAACATTGCTAATTTTCCCTAGGGAGGGCAAAATTACCCCCAGTGGAGTAATTCCGCTTCTCCAATGTGAGGTCTCACCAAAAAGTAGACTGGGAGTAGGGAATTGAAACCGCAAAAGAAACTGCAGGCAGCAACCTCCTCAGTCCCATCAGTCAGTATCCAGCAGGCTCCTCTGTTCTTTCCAAGCTCCTGGTTCATACCTCCCCTGGCACTTGTCTCCAGCCTGCCTCCCTGTAAGTGCCTCTCCAGTGGGTTATTTACGAGTGCAGCAACTACCTGGCCTTTTGCCCCTCCAGCACCTGCATGCATGTCTGCACCCTCCCAGTGCCTGGCACAGTTTGCCATACCTGGGGCCTCTTTTGTATAGGTCAGGAAGGTAATGATTTTAGAGAAAGTTTCTCAGATACAGGAAGAAAAAAATAGATGAGAGTATTTTCCCATATTAATCTTTAACTGTCGCTGTAATTGCCTCAAATCACTTTATGCATCGTCTGACCTGCCAATCACATGGATCTTACCCAGCATAGAAAAGCAGAGACTCTGAAATAGTAGAAAAAATAGCAAGTGATCATCATATCCGTGGTGCTGGCTCCAAGCCCAGGACTCGCACAAAGTACCATTAAATGGTGATAATAGTCACATATATTGCTTTCTTCACATTTTAAGTCCTCTCAAAAAGTGTTTCATATTCATCATTTGTATGCATTTGTCTTGGATTCAGGCTAGACTTTTCTAGTTTTATGATACAAGTAGCTAATTAGGACTAGTATAGGGGCAAAAGTAACTTATTTTGCAAAGCATGCTCACTTGAAATTGCCTCAATAATTGTATGAGCTATTTTAGGAATCAGAGCTAATGTGTGATTAATTAGAGGACCTTGTCCACATCAGTCAGGCAAGGAGCCTCCAAGGAGATGAAGTTATTGAATCAGTGTATCTCCTCTAAGGCAGAGAAACATGCATTCTTCTTGTGATTTCATGACTCTTAATTGGAATGAGTAAGAGACTAGATATTGCTGAGTCAACCTTCAAGGTTCTTGGCATCTCCAATACACCATTCTCCTTGAAAACATTTCAGTATGTTCAATGTTGGGCAGTTCTAATTGTTAGAATGTTCTGCCTTACATGGTGGTGGCATCTGCCTCTCTTTAACTTCATTCTTAAAGGAAGGGAGGGTCCTAGGGTGATATAATAGATTTCATCCTCCTGCCCACAGCAGTCATTGCAGAATCTTCAGAATTCTATCACATTTGTCCCATATTATGGTCCCTGGTTCCTCTACCATCCTTGTTTCCCTCTGTTAGGGGTTGAATGGTATCCCCCAAAAACTATGTTGAAGCCTTAACCACTGACCTCAGAAGGTGATTGTATGTGGAGATGGGGCTTTTAAAGAGGTAATTAAGCAGGCCTGGTGTGGTGGCTCCTGCCTGTAATCCCAGCACTTTAGGAGGCCAAAGCAGGTGGATCATGAGGTCAGGAGTTTGAGACCAGCCGGGCCAACGTGATAAAACCCTGTCTCTACTAAAAATACAAAAAATTAGCCAGATGTGGTGCACACCTGTAATCCCATCTGCTCAGGAGGCTGAGGCAGGAGAATCACTTGAACCCGGGAGGCAGAGGTTGCAGTGAGCTGAGATCGCACCATTGCACTCCAGCCTGGGTGAAAGAGCAAGACTCTCACCCGGGGGGCGGGGGGGGGGGTGCAGTGGGAAGGAGGTAATTAAGTTAAAATGTGGCCTGTAAGATGGGCCTTCATTAAATATGACTGATATCCTTATAAGAAGAGGAAATTAGGACACACACACAAAGGGGAATGTGAACATACATTGAGAAGACACTTTCTACAAACCAAGGAGAGAAGCCTCAGAACAAACCAACCCTGTGGATACTGCAAACTTGAACTTCTAACCTCCAGAACCATGAAAAAAAATATTTCTGTTGTTTAAGCCACCTGGCTTATGGTATTTTGTTACAGAAGCCCTAGCAAACTAGTATACTCACCGCCCCATGAGCTATAGCCTCAACTTTCCCCTCCTTATCATGAGGACCATGATTGCAACTGCCTTGTGGGTTGATGGGGAATTCCATGAGATCATGCAGTGTCTGTCCTGGTATTTAGTGAAATTGTCTTCTTGTTAACATTATTCTCACTATCACTCCTATCATACTACCTGTGTTTAAGTGACTAATGAAAACATTAAATACAACAAAGTTAATACTAGCCTAATTTTGTGTTACTTCAGAATCTGTAAGGTTGACTTTGACCCATTCCTAAATACTTCTTCAGAACAGTCATGCTTATGGCTCACATCCTTATTACCAAACCTTCCTTACCGAAGCTCATATTTGTTGCCTCTGACATTCTAGTTTACTGGCCTCATACTTTAAAAGTATGAGAGAAACAATAAATATGTAAATTATTTTGTTTTTAAATGCATAGAGTTGGTCCAAATATGCAAACATAAAAATAGGTCTTTAGGTAGTGACTTGGGGTCATAGGTTTACTTTCTATGGGCTAAACATTTTTCTGATGGTAACAGGATCATTCCATAATATTTTGTAACAATTTCTGTTTTGGGCTTTAGTAATCATTGAGCAAGTTGCATGTGCTATATTGTTAACATTGTACTCTAGGTGCCCCAAAATATGCAAATACTCTAAATCTACTGATTTGAAATCTGGGGTATTGTGAGTCCGGGGTCTTGCTCCCACCCCCTCCTCTCTTGCAGTTTGTGTTGCCTTGGCAACAGTCTTCCAGCACATCACATCAGGTGGCCTCTTATAGAGACAGCATCATGGGCTGGACAGCGTGCCAGGCTTGTGGCCCTGGGGCATCCTTGATAGATGCTATGGGCGTTATTTTCTGCTTATAAAATCTTAGAACAGTTATGTCTTTACAGATAAGATTTGATTTTTATCAAACGGTGGAAAATGCTGTGACTGGCACGGTCTTCACACTCTCTCTTGGAAATCTGCGATCCTGGGTCGGTTTAATTTAAAACATTCCAGTAATAACTTTCAGACTTTACAACTCAATTTTATTTTGAGAAGTCATCATGAAGGAAATATTTAAGAAGTCTCATTCCTTTAAGTTTAAAAATGTTCCACAGGATTCATTTGCAACAGCCAGCCACTCACCCCAACCCCAAACTTCCAGAAAAAATTATGCCTCCAGGACATTTCTCCAAATGAAGTGTCAAGTCCAAATCAAGTCAAATTTCCAATGTGGAATAATGGACTCTATTTTATGACCTCCTGCGCCCCGGAGGCTCTTCGGAGCCCATTACACAGCTGGTGCATATTAGGTATAGAAGGAAAGAGACCTGAGTGGCTACGGGTTTCTGCTCGGTGAAGCCCAAGCCACATTTCATAGGTTCTGGGATTATTAATGGTATGTCTAGTTGCCTTGAGAATGTTCAACTCCAGTCTGTTATGAATACTTAATAGCAAGGAGAATGTGATTCTTCTCTTTTCAGAGACGTTTCTGTGACTCGGCGAATTCATTCTAGTGTGATAGGCAAACTGTCAAAATTAATGAATTCCAACTGAGATTTGGTTGTAGTGCAGTTGTAAATTAGCATTAATACCACAGTGTATGTTGAATGTGCTACATTTTCACCATGGATCTGGCCTAGAGGATGTCTTTGGAGGAAGCCACTCTAAAAATCATGTTTTCTGGTTTGGTTTTTTCAATTTTTGATCATAGTTTTAATTCTGGAAGAAGTATATGAAAGTAGGTCATTAAGATTTTATAGAACACAACAAAAAAAGAAACAGGAAATAAATGTTATAACCAAAGACATGTTAGCAGAGTTGTCTTGTTTTTGTGTGGCTGTGACTTAAAGATCTGATTACTGAACCTCAATCTATCTAAATGTTAAGTGATTACAAAGGAACACGATTCAGTTTATAAGGCTTTAGATGAGCTCCAAGGACTACACGGCATACCTAGCCCAAGCACATCTTATTATGAGAATTTTAAATAATCTGCAGCAATGTTTAGATCAAAGGTGTTTTAAGTGGGGATTTGGACCTTTAAGGAGCTGGAAACAGAACTGTGTGTGTCCTTTTTGTTCATGACAGAGTGCAGCACTTTCTTCTCATTCTTAAAGGGTTCTGAGCCCAAACACAGTCACTGCTTAACTGACAACCTAGCACCAAATCCCAGCTCTGTTCCTCACGACAGAGTTCAAAGTTTATATGGTTTCTCATCTCTGACATAAAAATAGCAGCAATAGCAGCCTGTGAGGTGTAGTTTGAGGATTAAAATAAGGTTTTGTATTTAGATTACTTAGCATAATCCTAGCACATAATGTGTATTCCATAAAAGCTAATTATTTAATCATGCCAAGAACAGAAGCAATAGTTACAGCTTTGAATATAAAGTTTGATAATGCACTTGGTGATATTTTCTTGGCAGACACGGGGCTAGCGACCCATGTCAGTGGAGATTGAAATATTGCCACGTGTAGATGCATTACCACTGAGTGAAGGAGCACACTTGGGCATCTTGGTGCTTTGCTGACACACAATACGGAATCCAGGGTAACTAATTTCCTTCTCTTCTCTAGAGCTCTGACTTCTCACCTAGTGCAGTCTGTAAGAATAAACATCTATAGGATTAAATGTGACAATGATGGGTGAAAATGCTTGGGAAGGGCCTAAGGTGCTGTGCAAATGGAGAGGCGGCATTCAGAATCATTTGTAGTGGGCTAGGCATGGTGGCTCATGCCTGTAATCCCAGCACTTTGGGAGGCTGAGGCAGGTGGATCACCTGAGGTCAGGAGTTCGAGACCAGCCTGGCCAACATGATAAAACCCCGTCTCTACTAAAAATACAAAAAATTAGCCGGGCGTGGTTGTAGGTGCCTGTAATCCCAGCTACTCAGGAGGCTGAGGCAGGAGATTTGCTTGAACCCGGGAGACGGAGGTTGCAGTGAGTCAAGATTGCACCACTGCCCTCCAGCCTGGGCAACAAGAGCAAAAGTTGTCTCAAAATAAAAAAAAAAAAGAATCATTTATAGTGAATGTTTAATTTTAAAACACTATATGTCACTGAGACTTATTGATATTTAATTGAATTTAGCCTAACAGTCTTGTGTTCAAGAAGTATTAAATATTTGTTGAGACTCTTTGCTACATGCTAGAAACTATTGTAGGAATTGGGAATACATCAGGGAATAAAATCAACCAAAATATTTACTTTTTAGGGACCAAAATTTTAGGATAGGTTTAGAGGCAGACAGTTGAAGCAAGTATAACAAATAGGTAAATGATCGAGTGCACTAAAGACGCTGAGGGCCATGGGGAGTAAGTGCAGGCGTGGGTCGGAGGGGGCGCTGCAGTAGTGGAAGTGCCGCCATCTTTACCAGGCAGTCAGGGGAAGCATCCCTGAGGGGGAGACGGCACAGCCAAGGCTGGAAAAGGTGAGCCAGGGAGTTTCTGGGAGAAAAACATCCCAGGTGGAGGGAGAGCAGGTACAGAGACCCAGAGGTGGGAGCCTGCAGGGGTGGTCTAGAGACGACAAGGAGGCCAGTGTGGCTGCGGTGGGATCCCCAGGGGAGGGTGGTAGGAGATGACATCAGAGAAGAAACAGTGAGGATGGATCCTGTAGGAAGATAGGCTTTTACCTGGAGAATGGGGTCCTCAAAAGCTCAGAACAGAGGCCAGAGATGGCCTGAGCCATCTTAACTGGATCACTCTCACTGATGGAGCTGATGGATGAGAGTGTGTGTGTAGGGGACCAGGGTAGAAGCAGAGAGACCCATTGGGCACCAGGGAGAGGTGATGGTGGATTGGACCAGGGAGTGGCAGAGGAGATGGCACAAGGCAGATGCAGGGTATATTTTGAGGGTACAGCTAAGAGACTTATTGATGCTGTGAATATAAGATATGAGGAAAACAGGGACCTCTACAAGCACCCACATGTTTGGGTTGGGCAACTGTTAAGAATGATGCTTTTTACTTCTTCGATTAAAACTCTCATATTTTAAGGATATTTTTGAGTATACCTTATGTGACTCTTATTAATTTTTTTCTGAAGTACTAACAAATGTGCAGAAGAATCACATACATGAGGAGGAAGGCAAGAAAACTTCTTGAAGTTTTAAGAATACTGGATCCCAGAACAGGGGCATAGCTAAGTGGACAAGGAAATTAGGACAATAATTTAACCAGGGTTCCAATCAACAGATTTTTTAAAGTCTTGCGTGTTTGAGACTCCTAAATAAGCCTCTGTAGGCGAGATTTCAGCATCGTGTGTTTTCCATCATTGAGAGCCTGTGGGGCGTCATTAGTCTCCAGCTGACTGATGTAGGTGAGAATGTCTTATTTTGTTTTTTGTTGTTTGTAACAGAATGCCTGACACTGGTATTATAGAGAAATGATATATTGATTTCCTCCAATTATGGAGGCTAAGAAGTCCAAGGTTGAAGGGCCACATTTGGTGAGGGTCTTTTTGCTGATGGGGACTCAGAGAAGAGGGGGCTGGGTATGCCAGCTCAGATCTCTCCTCCTCTTCTTATAAAGTCACCAGTCCCACTTCCATGACAACCCACCCACTAATCAATTAATCCATTACTCCATCAATCCATTCATGGATTGATCTATTCATGAGGGCAGAGCCTACATGACCCAATAACCTCTTAAAGGCTCTACCCCTCAATACTGCCACATTGGGGATTAAATTTCAACATGAGTTCGAGTGGGGGCAAACATTCAAACCATAGCAGAGAATCAGACAAATTGTGCTGCGTCCACTTGGAAGGCACTGTTCCGCATAGGGTTGGTTTGGGCTCCTTCTGATCATGATTGGAATTAGACAAACTCTCTGGAAACACACTCACTTACAGACTTTGCTTTCTGTGAGTATTTTTTTTTTTCCTGTTAAAGCTGACTCTTCTATGTTCAGACCCATATTTTTAAGTTATCTTTTTACACTGAAATTCTTAATCTTTCAAGTTTAGATATGGATTTACCTTGATTTTATGGACTGTGAATGCCCTCTTTTCTTATCTTTTTCTATTTTATCTATATAATGATACTACCATTTGGGGTTAGATCAATATTTATGATTTACATTATTATGACTATGTAAATATTAGCTACAGCTGAGCCACATAGTATATGATGAACACTTTTTCTATTACAGCTTTGTGTTTTTCCTAGGATTAATAATCACTTGCTTCTTTGTTTACTTAGTTTTCACTGCATGTGTTACTAATTCATTCCCCAAATTCTCCAACGGACTAAACACTCTTCTTAATACATTCAGATGCATTAGCGTGCTTGAATGTTTATTTTTTTCCTGGAAACATCTCTCCAGGAGCCTTCTTTCTGCTTTAATCTGGACTGATTTCTGCTGTATGTTTGTTGTTCTGTTATCGTTCACAGTTATTCTGGAAATTCTTTTTGTTTCTCACCTATGTTGTACCGTCTGTTTTCTGGATATCGTATGTTCTTTCTGAGTTTGCAACCTTTTAATTCATTTTTTAATTGCTTTTTGAAGAAGGGTACATGAGAGGTCAAAATTTTGACTTTGCATGATCTAAAATTGTCCTCGTTTACTTGTTTGATACTTTGAGTATGGAATTCTAGGTCAGTCACACCTTGCTTTATAAATGGCTGCACACTGAGGTCCAGAAAAGGCAGGCCCTTGGTCTCCACACTCCTAGGTCAGAACCTGAGAGCAGGTTCCAACTACAGAGAACCCCAGAAATGATGGCACCTTTTCTCACAAAGAAATGCTTTTTCCACCTCCACAGAGGTCTGCCTTCGGTTACATTTAAGTGTTGATTGCATTGTCCATACACTCAGTGCTGTGTGAGCACACGGTTTACAAGGATGACAATGCCCCCTTTGCTGCATTCAAGGTACAAATGTTTTGGCAATGAATAAAGTCACATATACGAACAGTCTGTTGATATGCAAGGGCAAAAATACAGAACTGGATCAGGTGGTATGAGTACAAGGGATGGTAAAGTCAGGTGAGTTTCATTCATGCAGTATTCCCCAATGTCCTCTGGGAAGATAGAAGAGTACCTCATACCTGGAGCCCGGACGCAGGTTTTTTTTTCCATCACTGCTTTGGCGACAGTAGGCATTGCTGATAAGAAAAGGCAACTGGACATCTACACTTTGTCATTGCTTCCTCATCCTGCCACAGAAGCTTCATTAACATGGAAATAAAGGGATTTACAAACACTCTAAGGACAAAGGGGAAGAGAGATGAGATGCTGGCAGTCATGAGATGCCAATGGCAATGGATTTAACATTGTGGAGAAAGCCAAAAGAAGTCATACTAGAGGAAGCCAGTGAGCCAGTCTCTCATTCAGAGCAAACCCTGGAAAGGCTGGTAAATTCGAGGGACCAGATTAGACTGGAGTCAATCCTTAAAGAGTCTTTCAAAGTTTTTTTAAAAATTGTCATCACTCATGACTTAGGGTGTATTTGCATTTATGAGAATGGTCATTTATTTTGTTTCTGAAACTTAAACCTGTGCGTTACATGAAGAAAGAAATTACTTAAAACATTAGATTTCTGTAAGTCCTTAGGTCAGAGCAAAATGAAAAATGAAGCACTTCTGAACATAGTGAAGTTCTAGCAAAAGAAAATAATGCTCAACAGTGTATTAGTCAATGAAACTAAGAAGAATTTATGTCTTTTTGTCATTTCACTTCAGTGTTTTCACTTAATGCTGGAGTGAAAGGTTTAATTACCGAACTTGGATTTTACATTTTTATGCTGAGGTACCAGTCAGTCTCTGGTTATAATTCATTTTCTTCTTTAATCATAGGAGAAATGATTCAGTTGGCTTTGGTTAACGTCCTCCTCCCCTTCCCTTTGATAATCTTACTTTATTGTTGCTTCACTGTTTTTTTGTTGCTATTTCACATTGCCATGTTTTTGGACATTCAATTTTGTAATTTTTTCCCTCTCTCTCCAACTCTTTGCCTCTTAATCTGCAGAAAGCAATTCTGTTAACATTATTGTGATGTTATCTTTATTTCTCTGTTATTTCTGCTGATTTTCTTCATTTGTAATTCTTTACATAACTCTGTACTCTTTCTTCATTCGTTTGTTCTATTCTTGTTCCCCAGTTTTTATGCTTCCGAATCCTAAGGAGCCATTTACATCATTTTGGTTTATTCATGTGCTTTACTGCCTGTGATCATAATGCTCACTGGGTCTTCTGCTCCTTCCAAATCGCTAGCCACTTTCATGCCTTTTGAAACCTTTGAGCTTAAAATGTAAATGCCGGAACGTAGTAAACCACATACATATTATTCATTACAGATTCTATATTCCTCTCTGAAAATGTACACTTAACCCCTAGCAATGTTAATGAGAGTGACTTTAATCCATCCAAAGGGATGGAGAGACTTTTATCTCTAAAATGAATTCCCTATACACATATGGAAGTAGTACTCTAGAAATGGATTGCAAACAATACTCAGACATTTTCTGGGTAAAACACTAATTTATTTTTACTTTTTTTCTCCAGAGCTTTGTAAAACCCATGGCAAAAATCAGGCTTTTTCCTTCTTGTTGCAAAATAAGTACAAATATTGGATAAAAAGAACATTCTTACACAAAGTAGCTAAAATCTTCGAAGTGTGTTCTTATAGCACCTCAGAAATTCTTTTTGTCAGCCACTCATCCTTGTGGTCCCTTGATATCTATATAATGGAATTTAGATTATAGTAGATGATGTATATAAAATACAGATTGTTACTTCTTAAAAGGAATCTCTTTAGTTATATGTAGTATGAAAACCATAATATTTTTCTTTTAAACATTTATTTATGCATTCAATAAAAAATGTGAGGGCTTCTATTATGTATTAGCCAGCACACCAGCTGCCTCTAAGAATAAGATTGCATCATCTCCTATGAAGCATGCTGCCCCTCTTCTAGATTGCAATGGAGTGGGGTGCACATGCAAAATAGCTATGAAAACATTGATGACAGTGTGATGCAAGAAGCTGAAAGGTAGGACACGGTGTCTAGTATGAAAGGTAGAAGACCGGGAATAAATTCTAAGGAATTGGTGTTTAGCTGACATTCAATGAATGAGTAGGAGTTAATTGGATAAAGGAGGGTGAAGTGTTCCAGCTAAGAGCCTAGTACCAGCACAGACCCCGAGTTGGAAGGGGATTGGGGACCTAGGACACTGAGGAGACCAGCGTGGCCAGACCCTAGTGTATGACAGCTGTGAGATGACATTGGATTTTTTCTACTCACAGTTTCTTAACCTCCAACATTCAAGAATGCAACCTACATCTCAACAAAAAACACTGTTACGTTACCCTAATGGTAATTAGCACTAAAAAAAAAAAAAAAGAGCGAGAGAGACCCAGCTCTCAGTTCTCCTTTTGGATTTTATATTTTTCACTTTAATTCCAGCAGATTTGCTTCATGTCCTCTGAAGCTCTTTTATTAGGTACATAGACATTTAGGATTGTTATGTCACCTTGATGAATTGACCACTTTATCATTAGGGAATAACCATCTGTCCCTAGTAATATTTCTTATTCTAAAATCTACTTTGATATTAATATAATCACTCCCACTTTCTTTAGAGTAGTGTTAGCTTATATTTTTTCTATTTTTTTTACTTTTGGTCTATCAGTTTCTTTATAATAGAATTTCTCCTGGATAGCGTATAGTTAGGTATTTATTTTTTATTCAATCTGACAATGTTTTACTTTTAAGAGTGTTTAGGCAATTTATATTTAATGTGATGGTCAATTTGGTTTCGTTTAAACCTATCATCTTGCTAATTGCTCCCTATTTTTTCTATCTGTCCTCTGTTCCTTTATTTTTCTCTTTCTTGCCTTCTTTTGGATTAATGGAGTATTTTTTAAATTGTCAATTTTACCTGCATTAAAGGATTAACATGTAAGTTTTGTTTTTATTTTGCTTTGTAAGTGGTTGCTTTTAGAGTTTACAATGTCCATCTTCAAAGTAACATGGCTTACTTTCAAATAATACCACTTAATTTATAGAAGGACCTTACAACAATAAATTTTTATTTCCTCCTTCCTCCTGCCTTTGTGTTAATATTGTTATTCATTTTATCTATATGTTACAAACCACACAATGCATTATTATTGCCTTAACAGTAATGTATCTTTTGATGATTTAAAGTGAGAAAATATGATTTTATATTCACCCACATGCTTAACATTTTTGTCACTCTTCATTTCTTTATGAAGTCACAAATTTGCATCTGATATTATTTCTTTTCTTCCTGAAAGATTTTAACGATTTTTGTATTGCTAGTCTACTGACAATGAATTCTCAGCTTTGGAATGTCTAGAAAGTTATTTTGTCTTTATGAAAATTTTTCTGCATATAGAGCTTTAGGTTGACAGTTTTTCTTTCCTGTCTTTTTTTTAAAAAAATGCTTCAAATTTCTCTCCCCTTGTCTTCTGTTTTGCGTTGTTTCTGATGAGAAGTCTGCTGTCATTCTTATCTTTGTTTCTCTAAATATAACATGTATTTATTTTTTAATCTGGTTGCCTTTAAGTTTTTTTCTTTATGTTGGATTTGAACAATTTAATCATGTGTCATGTTGTGGTTTTCTACATGCTTCTGTTTGGTGTTTGTTGAATTTGATGGATAGTTGAGGTTCTAGTGTTCATTAAAGTTTGAAACTTCTGTATATTAATTGTTCGATTTTTTTTCTGTATCTCATTTTCATCCTAGAACTCCAATTATACGTATATTAGGCCAAACGATATTGGCCCACATCTCACCAGTTTTGTGTTTACTGTTTTTAAGCCTTTTTAAAGTTTGTTTTTCAATTTGGGTAGTTTTAATTGCTCTGTTTTCTGGTTCATTGACAGTTTCTTCTGAAGGGTGTAATCTGCCATTAATCCTATTTGTCTAACTTTCATTTCATATATTACATTTTGAATCTCTAGAAGGTCCATTTGACTGTTTTATTTGCAGCTTGGCTGTTTGTATTTTCTCCATTTCTCTCATCAATGAGCTCTTCCTTTTTCCTACTGTCTTGTACATATTGACAGAATATTTATAAGAGTGATGTTAATATCCATGCTTGCAAATTGTATCATCTCTCATTTATGTGTCTTTCTGTGGAATAGTTTACTCCTAATAATATGCCATATTTCCCTTATTGTGTCCAATTTTTTATTGAATGACAGACATTGTAAATTTTATATTATTGATTGATTGTTGGTTTCTATTAATTATCATCAAAGTTTTTTGTTGTGCAGTTCAATTACTTAGACTCAGTTTGTTCCCTTCTAGGATCACTTTTAAATTTTGTTATGATTAATTTGTCCCCTGCAGCTGTGTGATACATTTCTGAATACTCAATCTGATGTTCTATTTATTAGAAGTTCTTACCTCTTTTGCTGGTTGAAACATGAACTATTTTCTCCCCTGTGTGAGCTTCACAGATTTTCACCCACTTCTTTCTGGTGTTCCTAATCCAACCTTGGTAGTTTTCTTACACGCATGCAAATATCAGCACACAGTTAAGGACTCATCAACTGGAAGCTCCTTCCGCTCTCTGGAGCTCCCTCTCTATATAACTTCCTTCTTTCCACTTTGTAAATTCTAGCAGCCTTAGTCCCCTCAAGTGTCATACTTGGTCCCCCTAACCCCACAATATAACCAAGTTTTATTCAAATTTCCTCCTTTTGGAATTATCTTAGAAACTCAGGAAGTAAGCTGGGCCACTCATAAGGTCCACTTTGTTTGTTTCCTTCTTTCATTTTTTTTTTTTCTGTACTGTCTGAAACTTTAGTGAAGACATAGAGTAAATCCAGTTCTTGTTTCTGTGTTTTTGTTTGTTGTTTTATGATGGACAGAGACAGAATTTCATATTTCTAAGTGATGACAGTTGCAACATCATTTCACAGCTTGGGAGTAGATAGAATGAGTGAAATATATTAACGTTAAAGGCAAAATTGCTATAACATATGAGCACATTTTAATAACCTGACTTGGAATCACTTCATAGAAGCCTTGGAATGCTTTCCAAGTCATTATAAGCCCATCATTTAACTGATTTGTGATTGTCTGATCGAGATGACACTGAATTTCTAAGCATTTATCCAAAGAAAAAACCATTTTGGAGTCTCAGAATCAGCTAAATGTTATGCTTTCTAGATATGTTTACCTAAGGCTAAGTTATATTCCCTTTCATTTTGGAAGACCTTTACACAAGCAGTTCATTTTAGTAAGCATACCCACTCACGTATTCCTATGAAATCAATAAAGCTAACTTGAACCCAAATGGCATTTCCATTCAAAATTAATGTACCCAATTTGCAAATTCGATAGCCTGTTTTAGTTCTCATGTTTTCTGACCTCTCTGAAGCAATTGACAGTGTTGAAAACTGTTGGTTAACGTCTCAAAATGTCTTTTTGTTTCTAAGACATCACTCTCTAGGGTTTGAGCTACTGATCTCCTAATTTCCTATTTATCTCCTTCATGATTTTTTTCCAATTTCTTTAAACTCTTTTAATTTTTTAATTGAAATGTTACATACATGCAAATCACTGTGTACACATGCAGTGTGCCCAGCACCCAGATCAAGAAAAAGAACATAGCCTGCACCTTGGATGCCACCTCATGGCCCTTTCCATTCTCTGCACCTGACCCCACCCCCACGGGCAAACTTTATTCTGACTCTCAACATCATAGATTAGTTTTTCCTATTTTGATGTTTGATATAAATGGAACAATACAGTGTAAATCCCTTTGGTGTCTTTTTGCTTTTCTTCACCATTATAGTTGTGTGATTTATAATATTTTATGTGCAGATTGTTCATTGTTATCAGTATGTAGTGATTCAAGGTGCCAATATATCACGATGTATCAATTTTATTATTGATCGATATTTGGTAAGTTTTCAGTTTGTGACTGTTACAACGTGTTGCTGCTGTAGATATTCCAGCGTGTATTTTTTGATGGACATATGCATGTGCTTTTGTTGTATAAATACTTAGGAGTGAAATTGTTGAGTCACAGTGTACACATGTGTTCCCTTTAGTAGAGGCTAATAATTTTCCACAATAACTACTGATTTACATTACTACCTGCATTGTTTGAGGGTCTTGTTGCTCCA
This sequence comes from Homo sapiens, assembly GCF_000001405.40. Classification (NCBI taxonomy): domain Eukaryota; kingdom Metazoa; phylum Chordata; class Mammalia; order Primates; family Hominidae; genus Homo; species Homo sapiens. The sequence goes on along the minus strand of NC_000021.9, from coordinate 40,719,326 downwards.
CATTCTTAAGACCCTCAATATATTCTGTCTTTTCCATTGTAGTTATTTTGGTGGATGTGTAGTAGTACCCCACTGTACTTTTAATTTACTTTTTCTTAATGACCAGTGGCATTGAAGCACTTTTTAATGTGCTTATTGGCCATTTATATATTGGCCTTTGTGAAGTGACTGTTCACACCTTGTGTGTGTGTGTGTGTGTTTTTCTTCTTTGGAGACAAGGTCTCACTGTGTCGCTCAGGCTGGAGTGCAGTGGTGCGATCTCGGCTCACTGCAACTTCCAATTCTGGGGCTCAAGTGATCCTCCTACCCCTGCCTCCTGAGTAGCTGGGACTACAGGAGCATGCCACCACACCCAGCTAATTTTTGGTAGAGAGAGTCTTGCTATGTTCCCCAGGCTGATCTTGAATTCCTGGGCTCAAGCGAGCCACACACCTCGGCCTCCAAAAGTGCTGGGATTACAGGCATCAGCTACTGCACCCAGCACTTTTGTCCATTTTTGTTGGACTATCTTTTTATATTGGTGTGTAGGAGTTCATTATGTATTTTGGGTACAAATCTTTTGTCAGATATTTTCCTACCTTATAAAATACTCCCTATCCCTGAGGATTTACTTCTGGTTTTTGTCTCTTCTTGTTCTTTACACTTGATATGCCTTGGCTGTGCCCTCACCCAAATCTCATCTTGAATTCCCACATGTTTTGGGAGGGACCCAGTGGGAGGTAATTGAATCGTGGGGGCAGGTCATTCCCGTGCTGTTCTCATGATAGTAAGTCTCACGAGATCTGACGGTTGTTAGAAGTTTTCCTGCACAAGTTCACTCCCTTTACCTGCTGCCAACCATGTAAGACGTGACTTGCTCCTCCTTGCCTTCCACCAGGATTTTGTGGCTTCCCTAGCCATGTGGAACTGTAAGTCCAATTAAATACCTTTCTCTTGTAAATTGCCCAGTCTTGGGTATGTCTTTATTAGCAGTGTGAAAACAAACTAATGCAACACTTTTCTTGGAATATCTCACCCAGTGATAGACTTAAATTTCCCTGGCTGCCAAATATGTCTCTAGGGTCTTGGACTCCTATTTCCAATTTGCTATTGGGTGGCCCAGGGGCAGTGCCCTCTTTACGTTAGTGAAACTGACATGTTGTTTCCTTTACCAACCAGCTCTGTCTTGTAGGCTCTCTTTGTAATAGTGTAACTGTGCAACTGGGTATGCAAGCAATTACATTTGCCTCCTATTGACTTTTTTTATTTTCTTCACTCTTTTTGCTCCCACATCCCTGCCCACCGATGCTGGTAGGATCATATCAGACATATCCATAATTAGGCCTTTTTTCTCCCTTCTCACCACCAATGCCCAGCTGGCCTAGACTCCCAGCAGAGCAGTCTAGCCAGGCTTTCTGCCTGCAGTCTTCTCTCCCTGTCTACTCAGTGTTTACTTTCTCAAACTTCAATTTGGGAAATTGATTGTTCATTGTCAAAACTTTCATTGACTTCCTACTTTTTAAAATAGCTTTATTCAAATATAATTTAGATACCATAAAAAGAATCCACTTAAAGCATACAGTTTAGTGGTTTTTAGTATATTCACAGATAAGGTGCCTTCACCACAATCAATTTTAGCAGGTTTTCATCACTTCAAAAGAAACCCTCCTATCCTGTCCCGTTACCCAGTCCTAACCATAAGTAAGCCACTAGTCGACTTTCTGTCTCTACAGATCTCCCTCTTCTGGACATTTCATACGAATGGAGTCATACAGTATGTGGCCTTTTGTGGCTGTAATTGAGGGTCATCCCCATTGTAGCTTGTGCCAGTTCTTCACTCTAGTTTATTGCTGAGTGATATCCCATTGTAAGGCTAAGCCGCATTTTGCTTACCTGTTCTTCAGGGGATAGACATGTAGGCTGTTTCCACCATTGGCCATTATACATAATGCTGCTTTAAACATTTGCTCACAGTTTTGTGTGGATGTATGTTTTCATTTCTCCTGGGTATGTGCCTAATTGTCCTTATTGTCTGCAGGGCTAAGCGCATGCTTTTTAGCTTGGCACCTGACACTCTTTACAATCTTGACTTTATAATCAGCACCCTTCCACGCCTTGGTTATTAGTGTGTCTGCTGGTCTTGGCACAGTGCCAGATACATGGTAGGTGCTGAAGAGTGTTTCCAAGATAAATGAATCTAAGAAACCTGTAGCTCCCTCTCCTAATCGTGCAACACTTTTAGCTGTGCATTGAATTTCCTGCTTCCCAGCACCTTTTTATTTCTCTCCTGACTGGGACAACTCAATGTCCTAATATTTTTTAAGACTTCTGCCTAGAATGTACTTTTCTTTCCTCCTCTGGAAAGTTGTTTCCATTTTTCATAGGTCAGATTAGTTTCTCTATCACTTATGCTTCTGTTGCATTTTGTGAATGTTTCTGTCACAACCTTCGGTAAATAGAATTATAATTGACCTCACTATGTGAACTAGAGTACCCTTCAGACTGAAATTTCCTTGGCAGTAGTACCAGGACTTGTTATATCTTGCATTACTGGGCCCTTACACAAGACCTGGTACCTAGTAGGTGCTCAATAAATATTATTGCATCAGTGAATGCTTGTGTCACTGCCTACTGCAAAATTCCTCCCACATCTCCCCTTTTCACCCTGCCCTGTTTGAATTTTAAGAAAAGCTAAAATATTGATTTATTTTCTTTTTGGTGTAACACTCTTCTTTATGTTTGTCAGTGGAGCCTTGGTTATGCCGTCTGTTACAGGGATGTAAAATATTGAGAAGTCTGCAACTGAAGAAACAATTCTCCAAGGTCCCTCCCATTAGCTCCCTTAGTGTTGGTACCCCAGGATTTTCAACCCTGAATTTCACAAGATTGTGCTGAATGTTTCATTTAGCTTTCTGTTTTGAACCCACAGTTATTTTTTAGGAACTTTCACACACACACACACACACATAATTCACATTAAGGTTGCCTCTGCCCTTACTGGAGGAAGCAAATGTTACTGTATTAAAGAGCAGGAGGCACTCTATAAAAAGAAGTGCTATTATTTAGGCAGATGGATGGTCCCTTAGATGGAAGAAACAAAAGCTGTTGGAATATAGTTTGGGTTTTCTTTTGCCTGTGGCCATATGATGTGTCTCTTAGAGAATGAGTTTATGTTACATTATTAAACCCTGTGGCATGAAGGAGAAAGACTAATGTAAAATTCTTTAAAAATATAAGGAGAAGTGACAGTAATCCCCCATAGGTCGCTTATCTCTTTAACTGCTAGGATTAAACATTTATTTATCATTTTTTTCCTGCAGTCATTTAAATAATTTCACAAGCTGGCTTGTGGAATGAGATTTTCAATAAGAAACTATACATTTAATTAAGCAATGTTTCTTGTATACATTTACATTTTTAAAGTCTTGCTATTCTTAACAAGACTACTTTTAGGATACAAGAGGATAAATTCAAATATGACCAAATTTTGCTTAGTTCAAATTACCCACAGTCGGGTTGATAGAAAAATAATGTAGGGAAAAAAAATAAAAGAATCCTGGTGGAATTAATTAGCCTTGAAGAGTGACAGTTACCTCATTCCTAACAATATGTTTGGGGTAATGTCAGTTTCTTGGAAAGCTCAAATGTAAAATTACAGTGCTACTATCAGCATTTTTATTTGAGTTGAAAACTGCCGTGTTGAACTATTAACTATGCTTCTGATCTGAACCGATTTCTTAGTTAGCAATAATTTTCATATTCTGACTTATGAAGCATTGCTAAAGACTTTAGTTATGGTTGGGAGAGAAAACTATAAAACACTTACGACTTGATGAACACCCCTGCCTCTCTTCTCTGTGGGTAAGAGCTATCGCTTGTACAAAATGTATTTTTCTCTGCCACCTTTTGGCAATTGGTGTTCACTGTGCTTCCCAGCTTAGCCATAGCCCCAACTGGCCCTGGAGGCCAAACTCTTGGTTTCTGCCAGTGATGGAGACCAAGAGAAAAACGATGGATGTTTCAAGTAAGATACCTGGAGGATGCTAAATCTCATGGACACAGCTTCCCCTAGATCTGACTTTCCGGAATAAAGGCAGGCATATAATGAAACTAAAATAGTGATGTGAAAAGGTTTCACCTATTCTGTATGAGTGTGAAGAGTGAAACTTTCGTGAATTGTTGTCTTGGTTCATTTTCTGCTACTAAAACAGAATACACAGACTGAGTAAATTGTAAACAACAGAAGTTTATTTGGCTCATGGCTCTGGAGGCTGAGAAGTCCAAGGCCATCAGGTGAAGGTCATCCTAGGTGGAAGGATGGAAGACAGAAGCAAGTGTTCAGGATAGAAAGAAAATGGAGGCAGAATGTATTATTTTATAAGGAGCTCACTCCTGTGATAATGACAATAATCCATTCATGAAGGATCTGCCTCTTACGAGTCACCTTTTAAAGTTTCCACCTCCCAGTACCATTACCCTGGTGATTAAATTTCAACGTGAGTTTTGGCAGGAACATTCAAATCGTGGTATTCTGCCCTGGCCTCCTGAAACTTCTAACATACAAAATGCATTCATTGAATCCCAGTACCCCAAAAGTCTTAAGTAATTCCAGCATCAGTTTGAAAGTCCAAAGTCTCATCTGAATCAGATATGAGTGAGACTCAGGCATGATTCATCTAGAGGCAAATTCCCTCCAGCCATGAGCTATGAATCAAAGCAAGCTATCTAATTCCAAAATTCGATGGTGAGACAGGAACAGGATGGACATTCCCATTCCAAAAAGGAGAAAGAGGCAGGAAGAGGTAACAGGTTTCAAGTAAATCTAAAACCCAACAGAGAAAACAACCTTAAGTTTAAAGCTGGATAAGAAACCCCTTTAATTCCATGTCCCTCACCTGGGGAACACTGGGGTGGGGATTGGGTCCCCAGGGCCTCAGGAAAAGCTGCCTTGGTGGCTTTGTTGGGCTCTTGGGCTCAGTTTACCCAGCAGCTCTCATGGGTTGGAGTCTTATGTCTGCAGCTCTCCCAGGCTGATGTTATGTGCTGGTAGCTCTACAGTTCTGGGATCTCAGGGCCAGCCCCACTTCCGTGGCTCCACTAGGCATTACTCTAGTGGACAGTCTCTGCTGCAGCTCTGGCCCATTAATTCGTCTCAGCACCGCCCTAATGGGGACTCTTTGTGCCGGCTCCACCTCTAAAACAAGTCTCTGCCCAGGGCCGCAGGCTTTCTGGGAAGTCTTTGAAGTTTAGGTGGAGAAAGCCATGCCCCACAGCTTTTGCATTCTGTGCACCTGCAGAATTAACACAACATGGATGCCACCAAAGTTTATGATTAGTACCTTCCAGAGCAGTAAGTTAAGCCAGGCCTGGGACCACTTGAGCCATGGCTGGGGCAGCTGAGGAATACTTTGTCACAATGCAGCGGATAGGTCCCGAGACAGCTTGGGTAGCAAGCCACGGAGAGTGCCCAGGCCTAGTTATTAGCTCATCTAGTTATTAGATTAATGTCTCTTCTGCCTCTATTCTGCTCCCTACTTCTTCCTTTATTGTGACAATCTAAAGTTGGTGCTTAGTGTTTAAATGACTGGTTACATGACCATTTAGTTTCTTAACAAGATGTAGTGCTAAAATGCATGAGCTCATTCCACCATACCAAATCTTGACCACCATATGCCATCCTCATAACTTTCTAACAGTTCTTCCTAATGAAGTTTTCTTTCTAGGCTATAGTAGGCCAGGAATCTCATTACACTTGCCCTTCCTCATCCCCACACCAACATATTTATTGATATATTTCCTAACCTTAGTTAAAGAATGAAGTTTTGCCATGTGCACTCTAAGGTATATTTGTGCAAGGAAAGACAGCAATCCTTCCCATCTCTCCTTAGTGAGGTTAGGGGTTAACCTTCTTGGTTTTACTAAATAGAAGTCTACATTCCATATAGGCACACGAGAGCAAGTTTCCTAATGTAACTGTGACACAACACACGTCTCAATGCCCTGCAGGATTGTGTGTCATTGACCACTGTGTTTATACTGATAAACTTTTCTATAATTGAAGCCTTTGGCCCTGGTAACATTTCCATCCTATATGACACCAGTGAAAAGTTAGAGTTTTCATTGGTGCCATATATGGCCTAACAGCCAGAGTGACCCTCAGATCTCACCCCAGTAGTGGACCTGTCAGGTAGATATCATCTGCCAACATCCCCAAGGAGGTGTAGGTCTTCAAGTGTGAGATCATCCATGTTATTTCCAGCATTGTTGAACAAGACACTTCTTGAGACGCACAGATTGACAATAGCTTTTGATGCTTCCCCTGATCAAGGAGAAAGAGGGTCTTATCGGGGGCCCATCTACTTTGGAGACATCTACATTGTGTGTCCCTCACAGGGGAGCAGAATTCACATCAGTATGTAGGCTTTCCTGTTCATAGTGGAAGGGGGGCCACAGTTTGTAAGCATCTCTCTATATCAGGACCTCGCTAAAGGCTTTCGCCTGTACCCCCCACCTTCTCTCTCTCTCTCTCTCTCTCTCTGTCTCAACTTCTATACAGTCAGTTCCTAAACTGTGAGAGGTAATTCCAATCTACTTAAAAGAGTTGTAATTTTGTAAAATAGAAATTCCAAAAATACTTCAAAAGGTTACATTATATTATCAACAGAAGTTTGACATACCACATGAATTATGAGATGGGAAAATGAAAAAATATGGGGACAGTGAATGCACCAACTAGCATTTACGAAACACACACAGCTTGCTAGGCATTAGGCTTAGGGCTATGAGCCCATTGAATATGTGAAGTTTAACTAAAAATCAAAATGTTTATATAATAGATAAATGTTAGATTCTTTTTTTTTTTTTTTTTTTTTTTTTTTGAGACGGAGTCTCGCTCTGTCGCCCAGGTCGGACTGCGGACTGCAGTGGCGCAATCTCGGCTCACTGCAAGCTCCGCTTCCCGGGTTCACGCCATTCTCCTGCCTCAGCCTCCCGAGTAGCTGGGACTACAGGCGCCCGCCACCGTGCCCGGCTAATTTTTTGTATTTTTAGTAGAGACGGGGTTTCACCTTGAAATGTTAGATTCTTACATGAGTATGTTTTCATAAAACAAACTACACACTGTCACTGTCCAGATTCAATGGGTTCCCAAAAACATAACAGCCTGAGAGTCTTAGTTGTGTCATTGCCTTATTCAATGTAATAATTATTGCTTGTAAAAATGTTTTAATCCAGTGATAATCCAGATTTAGTACTTTCTTCCATCTTGGTGTATTTTATTTATTGCTCATGCTCTATTGGGGAGCTTACATGGGATGTTAGTTGGCACTTTCTGATTACTTTATTTAAAATAGAAAAACATTTCAGAAAGACATGGTTGTAGAGGGTAACTAGCAGAGCCTCATTTGATGTCTCCTGTTGAGTTACCTGAAGGGAGATGCTCAGAGGAAGAGTTGCATGCAGAAGGCCTCCTGGGAGTGTATTCTCAAGAGAGACATCAGCAAGGGTGTGAGGAAGGCAGAATGAGTGGAGGGAGAAGCTTCTCTGCAAAGCTCTGATGATAGCGGTCTCAGGTGGGATGCACCTTCAGCATTGTTGCAACTTAACACGAGGGGGCCAGGCTTGTGGAGCCACCTTTGACCAGTCATTCCCTGCAGGCCTCAGACAAGGCAGTTCCCTGTAACTTGGGCTGGTTCCCAGTGTAGGACTCAACATAGGATCTTTCCAGCTGCTTTGGGGCAGGGTGCATTGGCGCTAAAGAGGAAATCTGAAGGGAGCCCCACAGTGTCCACCAAGTGGCAGCAGGGAAGAACATGCTGTGAGTAGAGTCAACCACATCTATTCAGCCTTGTGCCAATGCTTGGATGCTGTGCTTCCTAACAGCAGGGTGGAGACCACCCGCTACCCTCACATTTAGTGAGCAGGTTAAATCTTATTATTATAAGATGAGTCCAATCACCTTTGTAAATAGTGTTAATTTCTTCATCTCTTTCTTACCAAATCATGTCAGTTAACTACAGGCAAAGTGAGGGGCTCATGTATTTTATCACATAGACTTAGTAGCAACCCCAGCACATAGCAGGAGCCTGTAACCCCTCAGCTCCACACCACGGAGAAAGACTAGATCTGGAAGCACAGGCCATAGACCCACTCTATACAGAGCTGCCTGTAATCCCCACACAAATGAGGGGGGACTGTTATGCCACATTTGGTTCTAAGATGAGAAAACAAAAATCTCAAAAGCCTTCATCAGAAAGACTGAATCTAGTTCTGCCACCTCCTAGCCCTGCGTTCTTGCTCAAGTGACAGCCTGTATCCTGTGTCCTTGGTCAAGTGACAGCCCTGTGAATCTCCATGTCACCGTCTGCAAAGTGGAGCCTTTGTTTACCTAGCGGAGCTGTTGTTCATCTCGAGTGTTAGAAGGTTGTCTGGTATGAGATACTATGAAGCATACAATAAATGTTATTCTCACTTCTGACCAGTGAAGTTCATTCGAAATATCTGGGGCTTCTCTTCTCTCTTACAAATATGTAACTAGGTATGCACCTGCTTTAGAAAGTCATGGAGAAGCTCAGATGTGTGACAAGTAGGCCTTCATTATATTTATAAATCTTTTATTTAACTTGTAAATTCTGGAAGTCACGTTTTATTTCTTCACATAACCAACACTCCAGAAACACTTGTTATAGGCCCTTAAATGAATTAAAAAGCCAAATGTGTATGAACACATTTGATGATATTTACTTGTAGAAGCGAAAAGAGAAACAATTTAAATGAAAAGAGCAGAAAAACAGTTCATAAGAATATGTATAAATTGTGCATTCACTGATATTTACTTGTGAAGTCCGTATAGAACCATGGAATAATGTAGATGATGTATAAAAGAATTAAACAGTTATAAAAATGGTACATTTTACGTATGTACACTTTAACATGATATAATTATATAGATAAGGCATGGAGGCAGGTGGACCACAAGGGAAATGTAAAAATCAAAACAGACACTGTAGGCTGGTGGAGTTGAGTCATGCTTTTGTCAAAATTCTCTTTATTGTTATGTCCTATTTTAAATAAAAGTGTATTGTTGATTTGACATTGTATTTTCTGATAATGGTGCTTTTTTAACATGCTTTACTCTACAAAGAACTTAAATTTACAAGAAAAAAAACCCCATCAAAAAGTGGGCAAATGATATAAACAGACTCTTCTCAAAAGAAGACATTTATGCAGCCAACAAACGTGAAAAAAAGCTCATCATCACTGGTATTAGAGAAATGCAAATCAAAGCCACAATGAGATACCATCTCATGCCAGTTAGAATGGTGACCATTAAAAAGTCAGGAAACAACAGATGCTGGAGAGGATGTGGAGAAATAGGAACGCTTTAACACTGTTGGTGGGAGTGTAAATTAGTTCAACCATTGTGGAAGACAGTGTGGAGATTCCTCAAGGATCTAGAACCAGAAATACCAGTTGACCCAGCAATCCCATTACTGGGTATACACCCAAAAGATTATAAATTATTGTACTATAAAGACACATGCACACATATGTTTATTGTGGCACTATTCACAATAGCAAAGACTTGGAACCAACCCAAATGCCCATCAATGATAGACTGGATAAAGAAAATGTGGCACATACACACCATGGAATACTATGCAGCCATAAAAAACGATGAGTTCATATCCTTTGCAGGGATGTAGATGAAGCTGGAAACCATCATTCTCAACAAACTAACACAGGAACAGAAAAGCAAACACCGCGTGTTCTCACTCATAAGTGGGAGTTGAACAATGAGAACACGTGGACACAGGGAGGGGAACATCACACACCGGGGCCTGTTGGGGTTGGGGAACTAGGGGAGGGATAGCATTAGGAGAAATACCTAATGTAGATGACGGGTTGATGGGTGCAGCAAACCACCACGGCACGTGTATACCTATGTGACAAACCTGCACATTCTGCACATGTATCCCAGAACTTAAAGTATAATAAAAAATAAAATGTTTTACATATGATTTGCAATTTTAATTAAAAATGTGGCAAATTTCATTGCATAATAACCCTCAGTGAAGCTAGTAAAGAGAGCAATTTGATCCCAGCAACAAGATCTAGGCATTCACACATTCAGCTTCCCTTTACTGAGAGTCCAGTGAGAGCTGGGCTCTATGCTCCAGGTAATAGTGGGAGTAAATTAAGACCTTGTCCTCATGAGGCTTATCTCTAGTGGCAGAAGATAGACAATAAGTGAATATAAAATATATACAGTCCAATGGTGGTCAGTGTGGGGAGAGAACAGGGTTTGGGGCATGAGGCAAAAAAACAATCTATTAAAAATTAACATCCAGGATAACTTAACAGTTTGTGTACAAAATGTGAAATTAGGATGGTGCCTTATTTTTTAGTATCAGCCTGTCTGCTCACAGCATTTTCAGAAAATTTGAATTATTTGGTTTTATTTGAGCCTGCGCCTCATGATTAATTTTCAGGATAACTTTCTGAGGCCAGACATTGAACTGCAAATGTCAAAGGCATGTTTTACTCACCTATGGATCCCTGTGTTGTCTTCTTGCAGTTTTCAGTGAAGACCTACACTCCAGCCTCTACTTTGTCAATGCATCTCTGCAAGAGGTAGTGTTTGCCAGCACCACGGGGACTCTGGTGCCCTGCCCCGCAGCAGGCATCCCTCCTGTGACTCTCAGATGGTACCTAGCCACGGGCGAGGAGATCTACGATGTCCCCGGGATCCGCCACGTCCACCCCAACGGCACTCTCCAAATTTTCCCCTTCCCTCCTTCAAGCTTCAGTACCTTAATCCATGATAATACTTATTATTGCACAGCTGAAAATCCTTCAGGGAAAATTAGAAGTCAGGATGTCCACATCAAGGCTGGTGAGTACAGCTCTGGGCTTTGTTTTTTCTGTGCCTGCTTGGGATGGGAGGATAATGACAATGACACATAGCAAAATGCCATCACAGCAGAGAACCAATGAAAACCCCATCATCAGTTCATTCTGACCTTGCTGATGACTTCTTTAAGGTCTCCTTGTTTAGATTTCAAAGTGCCTTACATTGTTGGAACTAAACCTTGAAAGAAAGCAGTGATTAGCAAGTTGGCAAGTTCTAACATCCCAGCCTCCTTATATTTTGTCTAATTTGATACTCTAATTCAAATTTTCAGTGTCTCAAACCCAATGTGTTTGCTTCCACCCCTCCTTTTTTCCCACTTGCCCTTCCCCTACCCCATCCTAGGGGAGGAGAAAGAGAGAGAAAAAAATGACAAATGGTTGAGCTGGAATAAAACCATAGCATCAAGATGTACTGTTATGGAAACAGAATCAATCTAATATCCTTGCTTTCCTTGTGAAATAGAAAGGCTATTTTAACATTTTTGACTGTATCACATGTTGCTGAAATGTTGTCAGTACATAAATCCTGAATGGGCTATGTTCCTTTTAACAACATATTGTGTCTTTTTTTAATCACCATTGCTACAAGTCAACCCAGGAAAGAATACTGCCTGAGATACACAGACATCAAGGGCTATATATACAGGACAGATTGTGTGGTTCTATAGATTTAACAAAGCCCTGCAAAACAAACTCACAGCTAGACTCCTGTTAGCAAACAGCATTTTAATTTTTTTAAGTCTAGCTCTGAAATACTTGTGTAGACTGACATAATATAATAGCAGGGCAAAGAGAATGTGACTTTGATTTTTTTCTTATACACCAGGTAGCTGGGGGAGCTTTGCAATAATTTCTTCAGTAAGTGAGTAGGTGCTGGTAGAAGACATCACAACATGAGAAAAATATGAGGTGTTTCTGAATTCCTGCATATGATCTCTTTGATGTAAGCCATCAAACATTAGACTATGACTCATGCTGCTAGCTAGTCATTTTCCCAACTATATTTTGATCTTTGTGACATGCTCATGAATTCCAAGACCTGCATGAGAATTCACATAAGAAAGAAAAAAAGGATTGTCTTTAATCAAGATATATGAAAATTTGATGTGTCAAATAATTACAATGCAATTTGTATAGGGACCTCTAAACCTGACAAACAGGGAGATACAGTGAATGACTTTTACTGGGAAGACTGCACATTTTAATGATGTGTTATAAAAGCGTATTTATAATCTGCAAAACACCACTTATAGGGAAACCTAGAATTTCAAACAGCTCCATCTGTGCGTATTAATCCATTATGTCTGCCTTGGATTTTCTGTCAGATAAAGGAATGAAATGCTTACTCCTGTTTTAACTATCATCTTCTAAATTAGTCATAGAATTCATTGTTTTTGCATGACACTGAAAGTTTTAGAGCATGGACATTGCATCATCTTGTCTGGCGTCTGTGCTACCTGCCTCTTCCTACCCAGTTGTGCTTTTACTATTTATGTGCTGGCGTTCTTGACATCTGAAACCCTATGGACTATGAATCCAGCATATGGATGACTACTGTATCAGTTTGAACATATAAGATGGGCAGTCATATTACCCAAATCAAATTTCTCTCCTGATTTCATTTTGCTTTTTATTGTGAACACATAATGGTTATAATAATCTTTTAGGTTGTTCACTGGATACTTGAAAATCTTTTTTCATCCTGTTTATGTAAATATGAGTACAGAACTGGAAGCTTGTTCAAAAAGACAGATGAAGGGCATAAATGCTACCCTTTGACAGCTGAAGGGTAGGTTTGAGGGTGATGACTGCTCACTCACGGGGTATCCTCTTCTGTATCAGGTCATCCTAAATGTCTAAATATCCCTGTAGATTGGTGTTTGGATTTTCCTGGAATAAGCTATTAGGTAGAATGACTTCATAATCTTTCCCTTGGCAGCACAAGGGATTCTCATTCTTAAATTTCAGAAATTTTGACCTAGGTCTGGGTGCTAGCAATTGAAGGAAGGTTTACTCATCATGTCTCATTAATCATCAATCCTAGTCCTAACATAAGATATTTTCTTGCCTGTTCTAAGGGCTGGAATGCAGGTGGGCCACTTCAGACAGTATTGCTCCTTACCCAGGCTGCCTTTGCTACAGAGCAAGTAGCAATGAGCCGCCTGATCCTGGGCAAGTCAGAAGATTTCTCATGATTGTTTTCTCCTTAGCAGACTGTGCTTTCTTTCTTTCTTTCTTTCTTTTTTTTTTTTTTTTGAGACTGGAGTCTCGCTCTGTTTCCCAGGCTGGAGTGCAGTCGCGCGATCTCGGCTCACTGCAAGCTCCACCTCCCGGGTTCACGCCGTTTTCCTGCCCAGCCTCCAGAGTAGCTGGGACTACAGGCACCCGCCACCACACCCAGCTAACTTTTTTGTATTTTCAGTAGAGATGGGGTTTCACCGTGTTAGCCAGGATGGTCTCCATCTCCTGACCTCGTGATCTGCCCACCTCGGCCTCCCAAAGTGCTGGGATTACAGGCATGAGCGACCCCGGCCACAAACTGCTTTCTAACATTTGACTAGGACTTTTGCTTGTGGCCGAGATGGAGGTGTGGGAGCCACATTTACCCTTTTATCTGAAACAACCAAAAACCAGTGTCCTGAGGCTGATAGGGTTTAACTCTATGTCCGCACCCAAATCTCATCTTGAATGATAATCCCCATAATCCCCATGGGTCCTGGGAGGGACCCAGTGGAAGGTCATTGAATCATGGGGTAAGTTTCCCCCATTCTGTTCTCGTGAGAGTGAGTGAGTCTCACGAGATCTGATGGTTTTATAAGCATCTGGCACTTCCGTTGCTTGCATTCATTCTCTCTCCTGCCACCCTGTGAAGAGGTGCCTTATGCCATGATTGTACGTTTCCTGAGGCCTCCCCAGGCAGTTGAAACTGTGAGTTAATTAAACCTCTTTTCTTTATAAATTGCCCAGTCTTGGGTATTTCTTCATAGCAGTGTGAGAATGGACTAATACAACCAACTGAAAAAAAACAACGAAAAATGCAGACAAAATATCTGAAGCAACCATTTTCAAGACTGGACCTCAGGCAGTAGAGGAAAGCATTCCTTAAGGAGCTGGAAATAAGATGTGTCCTATGCTTGCCTTATGCTTTGGGATAAAGAATATCAAAATCTGCACATAAATTTGTATAGCAACTTTATTCCTAATTGCCAAAACATGGAAGCAACAAAGATGTTGTTTAGTATGTGAGTGGATGGGGATAAAGAATCTCTCCTTGACTAACTTTGGAAAGGCTCCTCTGAGCCCTCCTCTCAACTAGTTCTCAACCTTAGCTTTTCACATCTGGTCTCTTGTCCCCAGCTTTAGCAAGAATCCTGCTAAATCATCCCCTTACTCTTGATACTTGATCACTCTTAATATCTGATCAAGTTCTTCCAGTCCCATCTTTGATGTATACATGTTTGGCCTGATTTTAGCAAGAATCTGTTAGGCCAGTTTAGCAAGAATCCTCATCCCTTGATGTCTCCTCTTTCTAATTTTCCACCCACTGCTCCCCTCACTGTGTTCATTGGCTATAAACCCTCACTTATCCTTGTTGAATATGAAGTTGAATTACCCTTCCCTGTTGCAGTCATCATAGATGACTCCTACTGGAACAGACATGAATATAATCTTATCTTTTTAATAAGTGTTAGAACATTTTTTTCTGTTCTTTAATATTTTTGAGAGGACATCTCCCTCTCTTGTCCAGGTCGGAGTGCAGTGATGGGATCGTGGCTCACTGCAGCCTCAACTTCTGGGCTCAGGTGATTCCCCTCAGCCTCCCAAGTAGCTGCGGCTACAGGCATAAGTCACCACACCTGGCTAATTCTTTAAAAAAAAAAATTTTGTAGAGGGTATTCTCACTATGTTACCCAGGCCGGTCTCAAATTTCTGGGCTCAAGCCATCTGCCTGCCTCAGCTTCCCAAAGTGTTGGGATTACAGGAATGAGCCACAGGGCCCAGCTACAATTTTTCTTTAACATTAGACAAATTATAGTATAAAATGAAGTATTAGTCAGCGATAGAAAAAATGTGCTATCAAGCTATGAAAAGATATGGGGGAAATTTAAATGCCTGTTACTAAGTGAAAGAAGCCAGTCTGGAAAAGCAACATAGTATACCCTTCCACCTACTTGACATTCTGGAAGAGATAAACTAGAGAGACAGTAGAAAGATCAGTAGTTTCCAGGGGATAGTCAGGAGGGAGGGAGGGTTGAACAGACGGAGCACAGGGGATTTTTTTAGGGCAGTGAAACTGTTCTGTATGATACTGTAATGGTGATACCTGCCATTATGCATAGAACTTACAACATAGAGTGAAACTTAGTGTGAACTATGGACTTTAGTTAATAATAATAATGTATAAATATGAGTTTATTGTCACAAATGTATCACATTAATGCAAGATGATAATAATGAAAGAAATTAAAGGATGTGGCAAGAGGGAGAATATGGGAACCTGCTGTGAACTTTTCTCTAAACCTACAACTGCTCTAAAAAAAAATCAAGCTTTATTCAAAAAAATTAAAACATGCTTCAGGAAGCTTAATGACAAATTAAGCCCCAAGGGAAGGGATGGTGAAATTTAAAAAGAAGTGGAAAAATGCAGGCCAAAATTTTCCAAATTTGTTGAAAACTATAAACCCACAGATCCAAGGAGCTCAACAAACCCCAAGCTCAAGACACGTGAAGAAAAAATGCACAAAGGCACATCATAATATAATAAAATTGCTCAGCGCAATAATAAAATATCAAAAGCAGCTACAGAAGAAAGGCATATTACACACAAAGGAACAAAGATAAGAATGACAGTAGACAGGATTTTTGTTGTTGCTGTTGGGTGTGTGTGTGTGTGGATGTGTGTATATGTGTGTTTTATGAGACAGGGCCTTGCTCTGTCAACCAGGCTGGGGTGCAGTGGGGTGATCATCGCTCACTGCAGCCTCAGCTTCCCTGGCTCAAGTGATCCTCCCATCTCAGCCTCCCAAGTAGCTGGGACCAGAGGTGCATGCCGCCACATCAGGCTGATTTTTATTTTTATTTTTGTAGAGATGGAATCTCGCTATGTTGCCCAGGATGGTCGCTAACTCCTGGGCTCAAGAAGTTGCCCTGCCTTGGCCTCCCAAAGTGCTAGGATTACAGGCAAGAGTGGAAGTAAATTTATAAAATAATGGTGAGATGAAGGCTTTCTCAGACACAAAATAGCAGAAAATTTATCATCAGCTGAATCCTACTACAAGAAATCTTAAAGGAAGTTCTAGAATCAGAAGAAAAAAATGACACCTGATCAAATCTTAGATCTACTCAAAGGAAAGAACTGCAATGAAAATGGTAACTACATGAGTATCTAAATCAGATTTTTTAAAAAATTGCAATATTTTAAAAAATAATTGGCTATTTAGACAAAAATAGTAACAATGTCTTAGGTAGTTTGTAACATAGGCAGAAGTAAAACTTATAGCAACAATAGCATTAAGGCCTACAGTGAAGACATGGGAGTGTAATATTGGAGGTTATTTTGCTATATGTGAAGTTGTGTAATGTCACCTGAATATAGATGGTGATAAGTTACAAATGTATACTACAAAACCTAAAGCAACCTCTAAAATAACAAAACAGAGTTATAGCTAATAAGCCCACAAAGGAGAAAAAATAGAATCATTAAAAAATCCTCAATCCAAAACAAAGAAGAAAATGATAAGAAAAAGGAAACACGGTAAAAAAAAAATACATATCAAATAGCAAAATGATAAACCTAACCGTATCAATATCCACATTAAATTTAAATGTTCCAGTAACCTGAATTATAAGGCAGAAATTGCCAGATTGGATTTAACACTGCTTAAAAGAAACATTCTTTAAATACAAAGGCACAAATAGCTTAAAAGTAAAAGGATAAAAATGATATACCATCCTCATCAAATCAAATCAACCTAATTAAAGTAAACCACTGAAAGAAAGCTAGAATAGCCACATTAATATTAAGCAAAGTGTATTTCCAAACAAATACACTGTTTGCTCAGAGCATCTTGCATTAGTGTGATACATTTGTGACAATAAGCTCGTATTTATACATTATTATTAACTGAAGTCCATAGTTCACATTAAATTTCACTCTATGTTGTAAGTTGTATGCATAATGGCAGGTATCACCATTACAGTATCATAAAGAACAGTTTCACTGCCCTAAAAATCCCCTGTGCTCAGAGCTAAAGCAGTTCATTTCATAATGTAAAGGGGGGAGGTGAAGAGGATATGACTATTGTAAATGTTTATGTACCCAACAACAAAACTTCAAAATACATAAAGTAAAAATGGATAGAACTGCAATGAGAATCAGACATATCAAAAATTATAGCCGGAGATTTCAATACTCCTAGTTCAATAATTGGTAGAAGTAGACAGAAAATCAGTAAGAACAAAAAAACACGTGAATGACACTATCAATCAATTTGATGTAATTGACCTTTAAATAAAGAACATTCTATCCAACAACAGCACAATATAAATTCTCTTCTGAGACACACAGACATTTACTAATATAGACCATACTCAGAGCAACAAAACAAATCTCAGATAAATTTGTTTTAAATTCAAGTTGTATAAAATATGTTGTTTGATCATAATGAAATTAAATCACTAACAATAACATCTCTGAGAAATAACCAAGTACCTGAATACTGAATAGCACTCTTTTAAATGATCTGTGTCAAAAAAAAAAATTCAGAAAAAAATTTGAAGAAGGAAATTAGAAAGTTTTTTCAACTGAATAAGAAATGAACACACAATATATATGAATTTGGGGAGTGCCACTAAAAAAATAGGGAGATTTTATTGCTCTAAAAAACTTATATTAGAAATTTTTAAAAAAGTCTTAAATAGTGGTCTCAGCATCCATTTTAAACTGAAAAAGAGGATAAAACTAAAACTATAAGCAGAAAGCAAACAATGAAGATCAGAATGGAGATCAATAAATTATAGAACAGAAAGAAACAATAGAGGAAATCTATGAAACTAAAAGTTCTTTTAAAAAAATTGTTAAAATTGGTGTGTTTTTCACCAGAAAAGTGAGAGAGTTGGTAAATGACTAATACCAAGAATGAGGGAGATAACGTCACTTTATCTTCTACAGGTATTAAAATGATACTAAGAGAACATTAAGAAAAGTAGATGAAATAAAATATTTTTTGAGAAACACAAACTATCAAGACTCACTCAAGGAAAAACAGATAAACTGAATAGCCCTATATCTATTAAAGAATTTAAATTTATTGGTAAAAATTCTCTACAGTAAAATTCCTGGCTCAAATGGCTTCACTATTGAATTCTACTAATCCTTTAAGAAAGAAATAATAATTTTGGCCAGGCACAGTGGCTCATGCCTGTAATCCCAGCACTTTTGGGAGACCAAGGCAGGAGAATCACTTGAAGTCAGGAGTTCAAGACCAGCCCGGCCAACATGGTGAAAATCCATCTCTACTAGAAACACAAAAATCAGTCAAGTGTGGTGACACATGCCTTTAGTCCCAGCTACTTGGGAGACTGAGACAGGAGAATTGCTTGAACCCAGGAGGCGAAGGTTACAGTAAGCCAAGATTGTGCCACTGCATTCCAGCCTGTGTGACAGAGTGAGGGAGACTCCATCTCAAAAAAAAAAAAAAAGAAAGAAAGAAAGAATAAAAATTATAAACAAATTCTTCCAGAAAATTGAGGAGAGAGTATTTCCCAAATCATTTTATGAAGTTAGCATTACCCTAATACATAAACAAGACATAAGAAAACTAAAGACAAGTATCTCTTCTGACTATACATGTAAAAATTCTAAAAATTTAACAAATTGAATCCAACAACATATAAAAGGAATAATACATTATGACCACAAAGGCTTATATTCATAATGCAAGGTGAGTTTCACATTTGAAAATTAATCAGTGTAAACCATGTGATCATTTCAACAGACACAGAAAAACATTGATGAAACCCAACATCCACTAATGATTAAAAGAACTCTCAGAAAACCATCAGTAGAAAGGAACTTCCTCAATCTGATAAAAAGCAACTACGAAAATCCTGCTATAGCGAACATCATACTTGTCAAAGATGAAATGTTTTCACCCCCAAATGAAGAACAATATCAAAGTGTATGCTCTCACCACTTCTATTCTACATCGTCCTGGAGGTTCTATCCTGTGCAACATGACATGCTATAAGAAGATGTGCTGTGACCCAGACCTTCTTGTTTTATTTCTAGAGCATAGGCAAAGTAGATTTGTCATAATTAATTCTAAGAAATAATTTTAGAATTATTGAAATGGTAAATGAGCATTGACTTCATCTTAGTCATCAGCTGCATTAACCCTTAACAAGAATCAGCTTGTTTTTTGAAGCATTGAGGCTAGGCATTGACTTCTCCTCTCTAGCTATGAAAATCCTGGATGGCATTTTCTTTTAATAGAAGGATATCTTCTGTACATTGAAAATATATTGTTTAGGGCAGCCACCTTCATCATTGACATTAGCTGGAGCTTCTAGATAACCTGCTGCAGTTTCTCCATCAACACTTGCTGCTTCACCATGCATTTGTATGTTATAAAGATTGCTTCTTTCTTTAAATCTCAGTAGCCAACCTCTGCTAGCTTCCAGTGTTTCTTCTGCAGCTTTCCCACCCCTCTAAGCCTCCCTGGAATTGAAGAGAGCTAAGGACTTAGTTTGATTTAGGCTTTCGCTTAAGGCAATGTTGTGGCTAGTTTAATCATCTCTCCAGATCTTCTATCTACTCAAATTTTCTCCACACCACCAGTAAGGTAGTTTCACTTTCTTATCATTTGTTCGCTGAAGTAGCACTTTTCATTTCCTTCAAGAACTTTTCCTATGCATTTACAACTCGGCTAAATGCACAAAAGGCCTAGCTTTCAGCCTGTCTTAGCTTTTGATATGCCTTCATCACTAAGTTTAATCATTTCTAGATTTTGATTTAAAGTAAGAGATATGAGACCATTTCTTTCACATGAATACTTAAAGACCACTGTAGGGTTATTTATTGATTTAATTTCAGTATTGTTGTGTCTCAAAAAAAGGGATGCTTCAGGAGAGGGAGAAAGACGGAAAATGGCATGTCAGTGAGGTGGGCAGAGCACATATGACCTGTATTGATTAAGTTTGCTATCTTCTGTAAATGTGGTTTGTGGCTCCGCAAAACAATTACAATAGTAATATCAAAGATCACTGATCAATGATCACCGTAACAGATATAATGATTTTAAAAGTTTGAAATATTGTAAGCATTACCAAAATGTGACACAGAGACACAAAGTGAGTTCATGCTGCTGGAAAAATGGTGCTGATAGAGTTGCATGATGCAGGGTTTCCACAAATCTTCAACTTGTAAAAAACATAATCTCTCCGAAGTACAATAAAATGAGTATTTCATGTGAGAAACGCACATACAGCCATCCAGATGCAAAGAATGGACTCAGAGACACGAAGAACAGCAGAAGCGACTCTTTTTTTTTTTTTTTTTTTTTTTTTAAGACGGATTCTCGCTCTGTCGCCCAGGCTGGAGTGCATTGGCGCAATCTCAGCTCACTGCAACCTCTGCCTCCCGGGTTCAAGTGATTCTCCTGCCTCAGCCGCACTAGTAGCTGGGATTACAGGCATGCGCCACCACGCCTGGCTAATTTTTGTATTTTTAGTAAAAATGGGGTTTCACCATGTTGGCCAGGCTGGTCTTGAACTCCTGACCTCAGGTGATCTGCCCACCTCGGCCTCACAAAGTGCTGGGATTACAGATGTGAGCCACTGCACCCAGCCTAAGCAAGACTTTTGATGCAAGATCAGGCGCCTGTTAGGCAGGCACACCCAGGGCAGGTAGAGCAGGTAATTTATTGCCTAGCAAGCAAGTCCCTCCCCCAGTTCCTCATTGATTGAGTACTATGGAGTTACAATCTTCCTGGACATCGCCTAAGTTTCATTATCCCCCTTTTAAAGTTATAACCCAATCCCCTTCCCCACTTAAGTTTTGATTTCCCAGTAACAAAACTTTCTTCCCTTTTATGGGCTGACCCCTCGTCTACATTCTGTTTGCTTATCGTGACCTTCTAGGTGCATGAGCCATGCAATTTGTTACATCTGCAGGCTGGCTGCCAGTGCTTAGATTTATTATGCCTTGAAAATGGACCATTTAAAATGTTTTCTCACATTCGCTGCTGTCAATGTAGACCAACCGTGTGATCTCTTGCTCAATAAATAAGCCATGTGTGTGTAATCAAAGTAAAGTTGATTTCAGTTTTAAATAACTTCTTATAACTATAAGATGCTTTTCGTAAGCTTCATGGTAACCACAAAGTAAAAACCTATAGTAGATATGCTAAAAATATAAAGAAGTATGAAAGAAATTGAAGAGGACACACACACACAAAATGGAAAGTTATTTCATGCTCGTTGATTGGAAGAATTAATAGTGTTAAAATATCTATACTACTCAAAGTGATCTACAGATTCAAGGCCATCCCTACCAATGACATTCTTCACAGAAATAGAAAAAAAAATCCTTAACTTTGTATGAAACCACAAAAGACTCCGAAATGCTAAAGCAATCCTGAGCAAAAAGAACAAAGCTGTAGGTATCACACAGTCTAATTTCAAAGAATACAACACAGGTGTAGTACTGGCATACTATAGCATAGTACTGACATAAAACAGACACATAGACCAATGGGATAGAATAGAGAATCCAAATATAAGTCCATGCGCTTATACCCAAATCATTTTTGACAAAGGTACCATGAACACACATTCAGGAAAGGGCAAGCTCTTTAAAAATTAGTGTTGGCAAAACTGGGTATCTATATGCAAAAGAATGAAACTAGATCCCTGTCTTTAACTGTGTATGAAAATCAACTCAAAGTGGGCAAAATACTTAAACTAAGTCTTGAAACTATGAAATTACTGAAAGAAAACACTAGGGAAACACTATAGAAAATTAGTCTGGGCAAAGATTTTTGGGGTAAGGCCTCAAAAGCACAGGCAACAAAAGCAAAAATAGACAAATAGGATTACATCAAGCAGAAAAACTCTGCACAGCAAAGAAAATAAAAATCAGCAAAGTTGAAGAGACAACATGCAGAATGGGGAGACTATTAATATTTGCAAACTCTCCATCCAACAAGAATATAATGATGGATGAAACTGGAGGTTGCTATGCTAAGTGAATTAAGCCAGGCTCAGACAGACACACATTACATGTTTTCACTCACATATGGGATCTGGAAAAGTGGATCTTATGGAGGTGGAGAGTGGAATGGTGGATACCAGAGGCTGGGAAGCAAGGGGATGAGGAGAGGGGTTAAAGAGTAGTTGGCTGAGGGGTATAAAAATACAGTTAAATAGAAGGAATATGTTCTAACATTTGCTGGCACAGTAGGGAAATTATAGTTAATAATTTATTGTATATTTTTAAATTGCTAGAAGAAAAAAGATTTACTGTGCTCCCAACACAGGGAAAAGATTGAAGTGATTGATATTCCAATTACCCTGATTTTATGATTATACATTTTATACAGGTATGAAAACATCACATGTACCCCAGAATATGTACAACTCTTATATCACAATGAAAATATTTGATTAAAAAAATAAATAGGCCTGATTTTGTTTCAAAGTCATATTACCAGAGATTTT
Source organism: Homo sapiens (assembly GCF_000001405.40). NCBI lineage: Eukaryota > Metazoa > Chordata > Mammalia > Primates > Hominidae > Homo > Homo sapiens. The sequence goes on along the minus strand of NC_000021.9, from coordinate 40,696,718 downwards.
TTTTTCTTCTGATCTAAAAAGATGACAGATTTTACTGAATGAAGGCTAAAATGATTGCAGTGGACCCTACTGGCATCCCTGAATCAGATCCCCCAAGATCTGCGCGCTGGTTGCTAAGAACATGAACCTGCAGCCTTCAGAGGATTGCTTGGGCACTGGAACCATTCACAGAAACAAGAGTGGGAAATGCCTGGGAGTTCCATCCTCCTGAGGCCAGCCCTAAGCCAATGACAGACAGCTACAACAGGGGATCCCAGCTCCTCTGCATGACCGAGCATGTCAGGTGTGGCTGGGACTTCACCTGAAACCACACACCTGCTTTGCTGCTTCCCTCCCTGCCCTACTCACACTTTCCCTGCCTCTCAGGGGATTGTGTCCTTGCTCAGTCGCTTGAACCCAGCTCCTCCTTTTGGGGTCGAATAAGGAGAAGGGATGGGGAGTGTGCAGTTTTCTTCTGATCCCCGTTCTCTCTGAGCGAGCTGGGGTTCAGAGCACCACAGTGCTGTCCCTGCTTTGAGAAGATCTGGGCTCTCTGGGGAGAGCCTAACTTATGACACCAAGCACAGTACTTAGATAATACTCTGTCTTATAATGCAAATGTCAATCAAATTTAAAACAAAGTGTATTTTTTTTTTTGCCTGCATCTCAGGTTTCTAGCCCAGTGTCTGTTACTGCAACAAAGTTAGCAGTAGTTGGATGTAGAATGAAGATCAAGGCTGCACCCCTGTCTTCGGGGCTGACTATGGGCTCAGGAAACTCACATGGCCCTCTGAGAGATATATCGCCATAGACAGCAATGTTGGTGTCTTAAGTTATGGAGGCCTCAGGAACAAACAATGCTCTATTACAAAGATTAGGAGCTTTAATAAAACCCTGATTTGCATTTTTTTAAAAAACTATAGATAGTGGCTATAAATTCAAATGTGCATACATGTATATTCTGTAAAAGGATTAGAAGTTCTCCCAGAATGGAAGCTCTGTCTTTCTATATATTCAGTCTCAAAATATGTATTGAACACCTCTTGTGTGCCAAGTATTTTCTAAGATAATTTTTTAAAGGCTCACTGCACAGGCTATCTTTGTGGAATGAGTAATCGAATAAGGAGAAGGGATGGGGAGTGTGCAGTTTTCTTCTGATCCCCATTCCCTTTGAGCGAGCTGGGGTTCAGATCACCACAGTGCTGTCCCTGCTTTGAGAAGATCTGGGCTTCTTGGGACTGACCTGGAGGTTGGAGAAGCAAAAGTCACACAGGTTTAAAATTGTGACTACTAAGGTGTCCTGGTACTGGTGAGGGCAGTGGGTAGCTAGAGAGGAGAAAACTCCATGATATGTGGGTAAGTGCTGGGACTGAGGGGTTTCCTAGGACACTGGACATTGGGTGGTAACACTGGGAATGTCCCCGGTCAGTCACCCCATATTTTTATGGCTCCTGTGATCCCATCTAGTGTAGGCTGTACACCTGGTGGGAAGGCATTTCCCGTGTCTCCCGGTAAACAGGTGAACATCTTTTCTTCTCACTTTCCTGTCTGATACATGGAACTTGACCCCTTTCCTTGATTTCTATTAAAAATTATCCTACTTGAGTCATTAATGTTTGAAGCAGAGTCTGCGGAAGGTTTGGGGAGACAGAGTGATTTTATTGCAAAGAAACAAGCATCACACAGACAAAGGAGCTTAAATTGAAATCATTCCCCTGCTTAGGGGCACTATTCCTGTGACGGTAGACTCTCTCTGTTGACCAGTCCCTCTTTCTCCTCTGTCCTCCATCCTCCTCTTCTCCTCTCTGTCTTCTGCTTCTCACCATGCCCAGATTCTCACCAATGAGTTTGATTAGTTTGCCTATATCTTCATAGTCTTTTTCTAATCTATTACCGTAGACCTCAGCTCCCAGCAAAGGTTTACTTATGCAGGAGCCTTTCTGTACAAAGTCAGTTCCCTCCTCTCGGTGTAAGGATGTTGTTGCTGAGGTCAGTCTCTTGGGCGCCCTGAATTTTTGCCTAGTGGACCTCCTGCAGGAGGTGTGGAGTTGCTGCCTGGACCTTCACCTCATGCCGCTTGGGGATTACAGTGATGGGGGTCGCAGAAGATTTCAATACTTGGAAAAATCTCTCTGGTTAGATACAATAATGAAGAAATTCTCCAAGTTGGGGAAAAACGGCTAATGTTAAAAATGGAAACTGGAGAGGAAGGCTTTCATGAAAGACATGCTTTACTACAAAAATGCTCAGCATATCACAAGGTTAGCCCGACCTTAACAGTCCTCTTCTAAAGAGCTCACCTCTGCCTACTGGGAGATTTCCCTTGAGAAATTCACCTTTAGCTTTGTTGGTGTGTTAGTACCTTTTGAAACCATTTTCATGGCACATATTTGTCCAGTAAGTGATTAATTCTTTAAGTGAGGTGGTTAGATGATTAGACAATAAGTTATCTCTGTGGGTATCTTAGAAAATCATAGACTTATAAGATTTAGACCTTGAAGAGGTTCCCACCACAATGCCCTCATTTTAAATTTGAGGAAAACAAAGCTCTAAAGAAGTAAGGCTGGCACATCTAATTGGGACTATATTCATCAGTGTCTTACTTCCCTGGAGACAGATCTTCCCCAACCCTGGGGATCCATCTCTGGCTATTGGTAAGTGTGGCCTTACCCAACCTGCTTCTAGCAGACACTGTTGAATTTTCACCTACGTTAACTGATTCACCACAGTCACCCTAGGGGGCAGATGCTACCAACATCATCCCCATGGTATAGATGGTGAGAGGATTTGCTCACTGCCCCACAGTCAGGGAGTGGCCGAGCTTGGATTTGAACCCAGGGAGTTGGGCCTGCTAGGTAGGTTCTGAACACCAGTACCACCCTGCCTCTGAGCCTAGACATCAAGGACGTGGAAGTCCACTCTGCAGTCTTTCTGGGATGCTCCTATCATTGGAGTGTTTGGGCAGGCTGTCTAATCAACATCCTTCCCTAAACAATGGGAAGCAGGATCAGTGTTTCCCAAACTGCTTTGCAACTGTCATTTAAAAATTTACTAATGAAAAATTATTTTAATTGTCTCAGAGTTCTCAAGGCTTCCCAGAAAAATTGCCTTGCCTGAATTTTTTATTCATTTTTTGCAGTCAGAAAAAAAAATCTTCCTCGGCCCTTAGAGGACTAATAGCAGTTTGCCATCATCATAACTTTGCAGAGCCAGTAACTTTTCTTTCATGAAGCTATTTCCTATCTCATGATACCTTCAGGGGGTCTATTAACTATTTTCGATTATACTCTGGCCCCTTGGTATAGAGTGTAGTGTATTTTTTTTTCTTCACCCAGGCTGGGTGCAGTGATATGATTATAGCTCACTGCAGCCTCAACCTCCCAGGCTCAGGTAATCTCATCTCAGCCTCCCAAGTAGCTGGGACTACAATCACACACCACCATGCCCAGCAATTTTTTTGTATTTTTAGTAGAGATGGGGTGTTGCCATGTTGCCCAGTCTGGTCTTGAACTCCTGGGCACAAGGGATCTACCCATCTTGGCCTCCCAAAGTGGTGGGATTACAGGCATGAGCCACCTTACCCAGCTATGTATTGTTAAGGGAATGAATGTTTTCTTAAGTCAGGCGATGAAAGACGTGAAATGTAGGCATCTTAACTGTTTTCCAGAAAGATATGTTATGCAATTGATGTGTGTGTGCTGCAGTGTATATATTACAGTGAGATACTCTCAGAATGAGCCTGTTGACCGTGTGCCTTACTGACGTCCTCTTTCTGCCTTCCAGTTTTACGGGAGCCCTATACAGTCCGTGTGGAGGACCAGAAAACCATGAGAGGCAATGTTGCGGTCTTCAAGTGCATTATCCCCTCCTCGGTGGAGGCGTACATCACTGTCGTCTCATGGGAGAAAGACACTGTTTCACTTGTCTCAGGTAGGCTTTGCGTCTCCAGGGTGCAGGACACCACGCTCACCTTCTGAAAAGGTTATTTCAGAGATGGAATCGGGTCTCCGTTTATGTGTTCATCATAATTCAGAATTAGTATTCTTAAGGCTGATGCTATTTTGTAAGTAAACCTGAAATAAGTGTTTTGTATTGGCTTATAATGGCTTGATTCAGACATCCTTTGGTGGGTTGACTGATGAAGAGAGATTAGTTACCGGCACTGTAACTGTAGCCATTGTGTTAACTTTTTTGAGAAAATTGTGGTTTTACGTCTGCTTCTAAAAACAAGGTAGTAGTATTTTGCATCTGTGAGAGACCTCAGCATTGCATATATAGCTGACATTCTGAAACTAAAATCTGGAAAATGGAAGCCCTGTTTTCATGACCTTTTGGTGCTTTCCAATGTCTTGAGAGTTATGTTGTATCTCTGACCTATTTCTTGAAGATTCTACTAAGAATATATATGTAGCAATGAAATGTATATTTGCATATGAATAATTTCTTGGCTTATATTTGGTGTGTAGAAAAGACAAAATTTAAATTTAGCCTCCAAGAAACTGCAGTTCTTCATTTCTAATGGTGTTGATTTCTTGCTCTGTGCTATTTACCTGGAAAGGCGACTGTCCGCGTGATGCATGGTGCTCCTGTTCTTACATCCTTGGATAATGACTGTTGGCATATCTCAAAATGTGTTGGCTGCTTTCGGAAAAGAATTGTGAGGAGCATAGTCTGTGTTCCGATGTGGATTATAAATAGTTGCCTTTTTTAGACATGTCTGTATGCCCTCACATGCGGGTGCACACACGCACAACACACATGTTAACAGACTTCTTGACTAAGCAACATTTTATCCATTTATAGAGAGCAGAATTTGGAACTAAACCCTCACGGTGACACACCGTTTTTGTTTCTCAGCTTATTGATTAGCTAGAGAGGTTGGTTACTGTACACCACCACCAGAGGCATTTAAAAGATCCAAATCAAAGTTGAAATACATTGCCATCATAGCACATTACAGGAATCTAGGATAGAATGGAATTCTTAGTTTTTATGAAAACATTGTCTTTACAGTGAATTCAAAACCCCTCACACTTCAATGAACAGTACATTCCTTGCTGTTATGTTGATTAATTATCATAATTTAACTTAGGGTGTTGAAAAATACTAAGCTTAATAACTCAAATGCGATTGTAATAATCAGAATAGAGACTCCCTTATACATTTTTATTTGCTAATTTTCAGTGTTGAAACATCTTCATCTTCTCTCCTTAGGGGTCATGTTAGTTGTCTTAATGGCAAATGGAAGGATTTGATGACAGTCATCTGGCTAAGCTCGGAATCAAAGGGGAGAGGCCCTCCAATTTATATGGCAAGGGAGTATAGGTTCAGGGAGTGGAAGAATTGGGAGCTACCTTTTCAATCTTCCGGACTCGGTGACCTAGGATAGAGACTTCACCATCTTTTAACCCTGTCATCCAAATTTTCAGCTTCATGGTCTGCTCTGGCAGAGGAAGAGAGCATGGGAGAATTACAAACGCCTTCTTAGTGCTTCCACTTGGAGGTGACACATGTTATCTCTGTTCATATTTAATTGGCCAAAGCAAGTCTCATGGCCATGCCTGACCTCAATGGGGCATGTGCCTGAAGGAAGAGGAGAACTGGAAATCTGGGTGAGAAATTGAAATATCTACCAGGAGGATTTTTTTAACTTTTATTTTAAGTTCAGGGGTACATGTGCAGGTTTTTTACACAGGTAAACTTGTGTCATGGGGGTTTGTTGTACAGATTATTTCATCACCCAGGTGTTAAGCCTAATACCCATTAATTATTTTTCCTGATCCTCTTCCTTCTCCCACCCTCCACCCCGAAGTAGGCCCCAGTGTGTGTTGTTCTTCTCTATGTGTCCCTGTGTTCTCATCATTCAGCTCCCACTTACAAGTGAGAACATGTTCTACCAGGAGGATTTTTGAATCTCTTTGGTTATGCATAATACGTGTGTTCTTTTGTTTTTAGACATCTTTAATTAGCAGCATCCTCATTGTTCTTGTTTCACCTTTTTGCAATCTCTGTGAACAGACTTTATTTTCCTTCAAATGTGAACCTAACTAAATAAAAAAAAGGAAATGTGTATCTAGTGAGGGGATGATGCTGGCATGCAATATAGAATTTATGCCCCTCTGATAGGAACTGTTAAAGCCCATGTCCTCTCCTCAGTCAGATACTGGAGCTTCATCCTTTCATACAATTTTAAATGCAAAAGTTTTGGAGAAGTGCTTGGTTTGTACTTCACAACAGCATCTAGAAAATAAATACAACACAGGTGTTTATCTTATTAAGGAATACATCAGTAAGAAGCTTTGGTTGGTTTGTAAGTAAATCACTGAAAGAAAGGGAGAGAGAGACTTCATATCAGGTCGTTCAACCTGAGTCGAATAGACTTGTCACTAAAAATGACCTTGTAAATGACAACAAGGCCCCAAAGCAGTGGCATGATCTGCTAATAGAAAGTCTGGAAATTGAGCATTTTACCTGACTTCTGTTGCTCACTGCTACAGTCAGACCCTGTTCCCAGTGTCTGAGCTCCACCCATCAGCAATGCCCAGAAAAGGAGGTCATGAAGTCACTGGAGGTGACGCATGGTTTAAAACATTGGAGATCTTAATAAATAAACCATGCTCAGGAGGTTTAGGTGGAGAAGGGTTATATTTCTCTCTGGTTACCAGCACAAGGCACAGATAAGGACAGAGGACAGCCTCCCTCCCCCATCACCCAGGCTGTGCCGGGGTGGAGGCCGCTAAAAGGAAGACCCTCCCTCCCTCCACACTGGCTGGGGCTGAGCCACTCCAGGGAAGCACTGGGATTCTTGGCTTCAGGGAACGACCTTGCATAGCACAGAAGTCCCAGGAACAGAGGGACTTTTTCTAAATTAGCCCTGACCTTCAGGGAAGCTGTCCTGAATGCCATATGCACAGCAGATGACCTGTAAAAGGTTAATTTGTCTCTGCTTTGTATATAAACTGTAACTCCTGCGAGCTAGTTTGGATTTATTCCTTGGCATGGCCATCTCCCAGGTCCCTCTTCCCGGATTATCAAGTCATCCCAGCCTGCTGGGATCTGGCTGGGAAGTTTGTTCCAGGAAGCATTCGTACTCTGCAGAGATCACTTCCTTCAGTGGTTGATTCTTTCCATGGAGAAAAGCGATTAACTAAATCAGCCATGGAAATAAGCCTGTGTAAGTATCTTACTAAGTGAGTGAGTTAGGAGCAGGTATGGGAGTGCCAGAGAGTTGACCTAGGATAGCTGAGAGCTGATGGCAGTCAAGAGAGGGCCCAAAAGCATGATTCACAGGCCATGGCCCAACGTGCCCCACTGGGCTCAGGGCGAAGTGTGACCTGTCAGCCTGGGGGATGCTTAGCTGCTCAGCCTTGACTGTTGGGAGATCCCCTGGGAAGGTCGGAGCAGCAAAGACCTGCTTCTAACAGATGAGCTTTGGGTTTCTGTGAATCTCTAGGCCAGGGGACCTTTGGAAATCCTGGTGAAGGTAAATGGGTATTTGTCTTCTACAAATTCTTTTTTAATGAAAAGCAAAATTAAAGATGTTTGTGTATTTCCCTAAAAAGAAGCAAAATGGTTTCTATTAGTATGTCTCACTAGGTTTTGCCCTTTATTTTGGTTAAGAAAACAAATGAGTAGTTTATTTTCCTGAGAAGCACAAATGCAGTGTTTGTCAGGGTTTAATGAGTGTTGTGCATATTGTCATGGTTCCTTTTGGGAGCTTACTGCACATTAGGGCCTGCATTGATTTCTTTCCAGGACAGGCTTCGGTTGGCCTGAAGGTAGACGCAGGAATCAAGTTATGCCTCTTCATCATATGAGGCCATGAGGCTACCATTATCAAGGACATTAATGAGTTCATTGATTTGGAGTGACCTTTGGAAAGAATACCCCAACAGCTGAAAAGTAGAAATCCCATAATTCTACCAAATGGAGGAAAGATTCATAATATCTGATGTTGCTTTTCTGCCTGCCTGAGCTCTTCCCTGGGCCCTGGGGCCTTACAGGGTGACCCTTCCCTCTGGTATGATGGATGGGGGTGGGGTCGTAAATGTGCAGAGGAAAAGCATTTCAGAGACAGGCACACAAGGTGCCATCAGATGACCTCAGTTAATATGACAGATCCTGACCTATTGTGTTCTTACCTCCCTAAAATGAGCCAGGAAGAACAAGAGTCATGATGTCTATGTGGATTTTTTTAGACATCCTCATCACTTATCCTAAGCTGCAATGAAATCCTTTTAAATGCCATAATATTAATGTAGCCCAGTAAAAATATAGTAGCTTGAATAATGACATGCTTTTGGAGGTACTGCTGATGTGGAGATACATAAAACACCATCCTGGAAAAAAACAATAACACCGGCTTTATATTTGGGTTTCCCTTCACAAGCCTGTTGTGAATTTCCTCCCGATTAGGGAGGCCAGCAGTAAGAGAGCCCAGCCTTCCGTTTCTGTTTCTTCTGATAAAATTGTGAGAATCTCACCAGGGGTTTAGCTACATTAACATCAAAGACACAGCCCAGGGGTAACCGGATTTGGAAAATGGAAAAAGCAAACATTTTACTATTCCCAGAGAAACTGCCTCCCTCTTTAGCAGTGGCCCAATTTTCTGCTGTAATATTTCCTATCTGAATACCTCTATTAGTGATGATTCAAGGAGAATTTTACCTCTTAGGATCATTGAGTTCAGGTCGAAGGATGATTATCTTCTTTCTGTATTTTGGCTAAACGTGAACAATTTTCTGCCCACATGAAATATCAAAGGACATAAACCAACCACTTTACATGAAACATTGGCTGTAATTCTTCACTGCCACAACTGGGTCTGGGCATCATAGATCACGCAAGACTTGGGCTTTAAGAAGCACTCCCTCCCCAGGCCCCTGCAGAGATGGTTTCTGCTGTTGAGATGCTTGGGGAGATTCCTGCACTGTCCCTCTTGGGGTGTTAAGTGCTGCAGTAGGCGCTTAGGGCCTGAGGCTGTAGCTACACACACGGTTTTGCCTGGGGAAGTAGAGAAGGTTTCAGAAAGGAGGTTGTGATTTAAGAAAACCTTTGCATTTTAGAGAGGGGAAAAGAGATTATAGGTACAGCCAACCAAATTAGACAAGGCTGCCCTTAAGCACGTTTCAGCAAACCAGAACTAAGAGCAGATTGGATGCCGTATTCTCATGTGGGGAGGGAGGGAGAGCTAGCACAGCTGTCGGGGGGACCTGAGGGTCATGCTGTGGGGGGCCTCTGCTTTGTGCACTCTTGACTATAGAAGTTAACCTTCCCTTTCTGTGGCACTTCTATTGTGATTTTATTGCTCCTCACTGAGCATTTTCCAGACATCTGCTATGCTGTGGCTGCTATCTTGCGGAGACCTGAGTCTGCCCTCAAAGAGCTTATGAGTAAAAGGAATGAGATAAACATTAAAATAATGTGAAATTTAAAAAAAACCTAGAGTCACCTGAAAGCCTCATCTTTGATTTTAAAAGTGCCAGAGAGTTGCAGAATTAAAGAAGCATTTCTTTAACATTCACTGAAAAGAAATTCGTGGGACCAAATGAAAAGTATAAAAGGAACATTTTTCTGTCTGTTATCATCTACCTAGCTATCTGTCTTTGTATGTATCATCTAATCTTCTATTTATATTGCTTTTAGTAAATAAGAACCTCATTTTAAACACTGGAAAGTATTCTCAGCTCAGAACGTGCACATCAGACTGGAATTAGAAAGGCACAGAGATGTCATGTTTTTACCATGCTATATTTTTGGGAGTGAATTAACTGAGAAATAGGAAGAGAGGGCCCTGGTCTCTTTCTTTTTAAAAATCATTAATTATGTTATACTTTTTCCATTTAAGTCTATCGCTCACTAAATTAGGTTTTGCATGTTACCCCGCTGCCACCTGAAAGTAATTAAAAGCTGGTTGTTTACAGCTCTGGAGAGCCCCTGTGTGACACCAAGAATGGGGGTCGTGTAAGGCGAGGGGCACAGCCTGAGTCTCCAAACAGCTGCCAGCAAGGCTCCAAAGCAGCCACAATAGCAGCTAGTCTGCAGGGCCTCAGCCTGCCAGGAGGAGACCTGCACCCATTCTGAAAGCTGCAAACTGTGTATTGTGGAGTACAACCCAACACAGAGAAGTACGCTTTTGACTTTTGAACTACCAAAACAAGTAGATAGACACATAGAGATAGGTATGTTAATATTTTTTCTTTAAAAAAGAAAACAAGAAAAGAAAGCATTGGGGCAAATTTAGCCCAGAGGATATCAGGAGGGGTGTGTGTACATGTGTGTGATGTGCGTGTCCACATATGTGTGTGGTGTTTGGTGTGGTGTGTGCATACGTGTGTGTGGTGCATGATGTGTGTTTGTATGTGTGTGTAGTGTGTGTGGTGTGTGTGTGGCATGTGGGGTGTGTACTCTGTGTATATGTGGTGTGTGTGTGTGCCGTGTATGGTGTGTGAGCTCTGTATGTGTGTGGGGTGTGTGTGTGGAGTGTGTGCTGTGTGTGGTGTGTGAGCTCTGTGTGTGTGTGTGTGTGTGTGGAGTACGTGCTATGTGGTGTGTGTGCTCTGTATGTGTGTGTGTGTGATATATGCAGGGGGTGTGTGTGATGTGTGTGCTCTGTATCTGTGTGTTGTGTATGTGTGTGTAAAACCTCATTTGTTGGGCCACTCAGTCACACTAAAATCCCCCTTGATTTCCTATTTTAAGTTTCTGGAATATGACTTGATTGCAGCGCTGACTCAGGTTAGCTGGGTGGCCTAGGGAAAGGCGTTTCTATCTCTCTCTGTTTTTGTTTTTGTTTTTGTTTTTGTTTGCCTCAGTTTCCTCCCATGGATATGCAGTGATTTCTCTAGTCCTCTCCCACAATACAATGCCAGGATATTAAAATTCCAAATTGAATATTCCACTTCTTAAGCCAACTGCTGTCAAAGTTATTTTTTCACTTTCTTAGATTTAATCTTGCAGGATGTTACATGCCCATGTCAAAGGTCCCCAAGCCCACCCTCAGGTTTGGTGATCTGCCAGGAAGACTCAGCATGTAGCTGCATCCATGGCTGTGACTTAATACAGGAGAAGGCTATGGAGCAAAAGCAGCAAAGGCAAAAGGCACATGAGGTGACATTCAGAGGAAAGCAGGCCCCAGCTCTCAGGGGTCTTCTCCCTGTGGAATCACTAGGAAGCACTTAATTTCTCCAGCAATGAGTCATGATAAGAGGTGCAATGTTGTCTACCAGGGGAGCAGGAGAGCTCCTGGAGACTCAGTGGCCAAGGTTTCCTTTGGGGGCAGGTCACGTAGGCACCCTGGTATGTTTGGTATGTGCCAAAGTTCCAGACTCCCCAAGGAAGGCAGGTGCTCATCATGAACTGTATTGCTTATGCAGTTCAGGCAGTGAGCCACTCTAAGGGTGGTGGGAACGCTGCCAATATCCTAGTTCCCAGATACCAGCCAAGGGACAGTCCTGCAAGCAGCCCTTCATAAGACTGACAGTCTCAGACCTACTGTGTTAACTCTTCTCTGTGCCATGCAACTTTTTAAATGATGTTGGCTCATCTTCATTTTCATACATTCAACGATCACTTTGCATATGCTCATCATGAAATGCTGGAGAAAGCAAATGAAGAAAATCTATGCTTTATGTACTTTATTGCCTTGTACCCAAGTATTTCAAGCCTTAAGAAAGGTCTCATCCCAAATTATTTTAAGGTCTGAAAACACATTGACTCATACTCTTCCCTTGCTCCACCTAAGTGTAAATGGAGTTCATTTTATATTCTGCCATTAAGGATCTTCTGCTTTCTCTCTCTCCCCGTGATGTTTGGTTCTTTCTAGACATGGGAAACAGATGGCCAGCTAAGTCAATCAGATGTAATTTGGACACAAGCATATTCTCTGGTCTGTTGTTCATCTAAGAGTTTTCATTTCAGGAAAATTCAAGAGAATAACAGGATCATTTAGGAAAGAATATTGTGTAGTGATAACCATAATGCTGTTAGATTATTATTATTATCGACAAGCTAAAATAGATGTCACAAATCAAGATTTGCTTAGACAATGTGCCACAGTATAAGAAAACAGGATTTGAGATTGAGAAATATAATTTTTGACTCAGAATAACTTGCTAGCTACTCAAGAAGTCAGTGTGAACTCAAGGTATTGTCGAGCAGAGATAAAGGTGGGTTGGACCAGGCTTATGGTGCTGTGTCCTTTGCTCTGGGCTGGAGCAGGTGGAGGAAGGTCTCCTTAAGCAGATGGGTTGCTTGGCCTCCAGAAATCCCTCAGGCGGAGCTACCATGGCTGTCAGCCCTTTGTGGCTGTCCTTCTGAGCAGATGGGGCAGGATGGAGTAAACCATCCAGCAGCCCAGACTTCCTCTCTCCTCAGCAACCGCGTCACCTGTGGAATCCTCAGTCTAGGAGCCACCCCGCTTCCCTTCTCCACCGTCAGCCTGTGGAGCGTTCCTGCAGACTGGGCACATTGAGCATTTATGCCAGTCCGGTTTCTTTTTTCTTTTTTCTTTTTTTTTGATGGAGTCTCACTCTGTCACCCAGGCTGGAGTGCAGTGACGCGATCTCGGCTCATTGCAACCTCTTCTCCACCGAGTTCAAGTGATTCTCCTGCCTCAGCCTCCGGAGTAGCTGGGACTACAGGCACCTGCCACCACACCTGGCTATTTTTTTTTTTTTAGTAGAGACAGGGTTACACCATGTTAGCCAGGATGGTCTCGATCTCCTGACCTCGTGATCTGCCCGCCTCGGCCTCCCAAAGTGCTGGGATTATAGGTGTGAGCCACCGTGCGTGGCCCGGTCTTAACCAGCTCTTCACTGATTGTCTGGATGCTCAGGTGTTTTTGCGCCCGCGTCTGTATAGCTGAAGAGGTCTTTCCCAAGCTTTTTCTCAGCATCCTGGAGCACCCCATTCTCAACTCTGCTGCACCTACTCTCCAGTGTTCAAAGGATCGTAACTTTTCACTCTGCAGGGGCTGAGAACAGCTTTCTTCAGATGACCCTTTCTACCTCCTTCATGGCTCAGCCCCACGTTCTCTCCCACAGGAAGAGCTGTCCTCTTTCCTTCCAGCTTAGCCTCCCACCGTGCTGCCCTCCTGGTCCCCTTACCTGCTCCGGCGTTCTAGGACCTCTTTTCATCAGCTGTGCCCTCTGTTGCTTCAGACAGCTTCTCTTTAGTAATTACCGTATTTCTTGTGACACAGGTGCTCAGGTCCCCCAGTTTTAAAGAAACCTTTCCCTTTGCTAACTTCCATACTTCTTTCTTTCTCTGTCTTTACTTTCTTCCTTCCTTCTTTCTTTTTTCTTTCTCTCTCTCTGTCACACACTCCTTTCATTCTTTCTCTTTCTTCTGGCAAACTGTTTGAGATAATAGTTTATAGTAGTGAGTATTTTGGGCTTTGCCTGTTACAATCTACTGAAATTCACTACTTCAAGATCACCCATGACTTCCAAATGTTAAATCCCAAGGCTGTCTCCTGGTCCAGTTTCTCTCTGACCTCCCTGTTAGATGTACACAGTTGACCTACTTCCTCTGTTGGTTCCTGTATTTGGCAGCTCTGGACGCCAAAACAAAATATCACACACTGGGTGGCTTAAACAACAGCAATTTATTTCCTTATAGTCCTGGAGCCTAGAAGATTGAGATCAGGCTGCCAGCATGGTCAGGTTCTGATGGGGGCCTCATCCTGGCGTGCAGATGGACGCCTTCCTGCTGTCCTTACATGACTGACTTTCTCATGTTTCTTCTTGCAAGGACACTAATTCTATCCGATTAGGGGCCACCCTTATGACCCGATTTAACCTTAATTACTTTCATACTCCAAATTACTTCTCTTAGTAATTACTGTATTTCTTGTGACACAGGTGCTCAGGTCTCCCTTCCCTTCCCTTCCCTTCCCTTCCCTTCCCTTCCCTTCCCTTCCCTTCCCTTCCCTTCCCTTCCCTTCCCTCCCCTCCCCTCCCCTCTCCTTCCCTCCCCTCCCCCCCCCCTCCGCTCCCTTCCCCTCCCCTCCCCTCCCCTCCCTTCCCCTCCGCTCCCTTCCCCTCCGCTCCCTTCCCCTCCCCTCCCCTCCCCCTCCGCTCCCTTCCCTTCCCTTCCTCTTTCTTTCTCTCTCTTTCTCTTTCTCTTTCTTTCTTTCTCTCTTTCTCTCTCTCTTTCTCTCTTCTACCTTTATTTTCTTCCTTCCTTTTCTTTCTTTCTTTCTTTTTTCTTTTTCTTTCTCTCTCTTTCTCTCTTTCTTTGGGGTTAGGGCTTCATCATCTACAACTTTAGGGGACACAAGGCAGTTCATAGCAGTTGCTCTCCTTTGGTTTGTATCCAACTACACTGCCTGGTTGATCTTCTCTCTGAATATTTCGGTGCTATCTCTTTCCTTCAGTTTGCATCTTCCCCTCTCAGAAATGTATGTCAATCTAAAAGTCCAATCCCATCCACTTTCTGTATTGGTCATTTCATCATCTTCCAGGGCTTCATCCATGACTTGCACCTGTGTGACCCCAACTTCGGACCTGCCTTCTCTCCTGGTCCTGCTTATTCACTCCCCCGCATCCCTCTGGCCACCTCCAACAAAGGAAACCTTCCCCATGACCACAAAGGAATTTCCCTTTGATTTATTCATTTATTTTTCAATATCATGACTGTATTAGTTTCCTAGGACTACAAAAAAAAAATACCATGAACTGACTGGTTTCAAACAATAGAAATTTATTTCCTCACAGTTCTGAAGTCTGCAAATCCAAAGTCACAGCGTCAGCAGGGCTGTGCTGACTCAGAGGGCTGCGGGGAGGGTCTCTGTCAGTACTCTGGGGAGGGTCCCTGTCAGGCCTCCCAGCACCTGGTGTTGCCTGCGGTCCTTGGCTCCTTGGCATCCTTGACTTGCAGAAGTCTCACTCCATCCAGTCCCTCCCTCTAGCGACATGTGACTTTTGCCCTGTGTGTGTCTTTGCATTTCTTCTCCTCTTCTAATAAAGCCAACAGTCATATTGGATGAAGGGCCCACCTTATTTCAGTATGACCTCATGGTAACTTAAATGATTACATCTACCACAACCCTGTTTCCAAATAAGGTCACATTCTGAGGCTCCAGAAAGGACATTTTTGGGGGAAGCTATTTAACCCACTATGATTACAAATTCTTCCAATTCTTTATTTGCCCTCTCTCACACATTTTATATCTTTCCATCTCCTGCTGGACACACAGTAGACAACTGATAAATATATACTCAATGAGATTCTTAAAAAAAAAAAAAAAGCATTTTTAAGGGAAGGAAACAAAAAGCAGACAGCCCCATCAGGGTAGCCAGGAGTGCTGGTGTGCCAGGTCCTGTGGGTCCCTGCAGCCCTGTCCCCGGCGGCGCCAGCATCCAGCTGGCAGCCACACCACCAGCTGCCGCTGTCCCAGCTGCAAGTAGCCTGGTCTGTGTCAGAACGGGCTGGGGGCCAGTAGGGGACAGGATCCAGGCAGTCCTGGACCAAGCACAGGGGCGGCAGGCAAGCTGCTTCACCTGCATTTCAGATCCTCACTTTCGGGTGCCACGGTTTATTGGGCATCTTCAAGTCCTGTGTTTCCTTCCTCAAAAGGAAAAGGGGGAAATTTGTTAATGGACAAACGACTCATCAGTTTCCCAAGTGATTAGTAGTCTGAAAACATGTGCATGAAAAAATTGCCTCAAAAGTTACCCTTGATTACAAAATCAATTCCAAACAAACTGAATTTTTATTGGATAAACTGTCACCTGTGGTTGAAACTTCAACAACTAGATTCTATTTGCAAAGTTGTATTGACTGTCCAAGGCTCATGTATGGGGGAAGTAATGAGAGTATTTACAGAATATTTCAGTGTGTGTAGTTCCTGAAAATACAGTTATTCCAAAATTAATTCCAAACTAACTGAATTTTTATTGGCTAAATCGTCACCTGTGGTTGAAACTTCAACAACTAAATTCTATTTGCAAAGTTGCATTGACTCTCCAAGGCTCATGTATGGGAGAAGTAATGAGAGTATTTACAGAATATTTGAGTGTGTGTAGTTCCTGAAAATACAATGATGCTGCTGAAAATATTGGCTGTCCAGAATTGGACTTTATGAGCAACAGAAAATCCACAGCACACACTGCTCTGCAGTAGAGCAGAGTCAAAATGTTCTTTGAAAAGAAGCTATAAACAGATACAGTAAATAAGCAAAAATACACAGATCCTGTGTGCTCTTAGAGGTGGTTTCAGGTTTCTGCATGTCTTTCATTTTGCCAGCAGCGCACAGCAGGGCTTGGGTTTGCACTCAGAGGAGCCTGGCTTTGGGTCCCTACTGCACAGTTGTGAGACCTTCCATAGTTAAATACCTCTCTGTGGACCTGGGTACTGTGTTTTTATAAAGATGAAGAGTGCCATAACTGCAGTTTCAGGCCAAGTGAGGTGCTCCATGAATTGGAACATAGCTAAGTAATTCTGGACCTCTAGGTGTGCATTTCTCTATAGAGCCTGTAGATAGTGTGGAGCCTGAAGCCAGTGTCTAGGTCCATACCCCATATTCAACCTGGACCAAGTTACGTAACCTTGAGTTAGTCATATAACCTTGCTATGCCTCAATTTCCTCAACTGTAAAATGGAAATAGGAATAAAAATAACATTATAGTAAGATTGTTATAAGAATTAAATGAATTAATATAGGTAAAGTTCTTAGCACAGTGCTTGACATTAATGTTTGTCATTGTCCTTCTTCTTCTTATTATTATTATCATTATCTTCTGTCTAAAGTGTTTGTATCCCAGAAACCAGAAGGTCAGGACACCGTGGTTTCAAAACAAATAGGCCGTTGTTTGTGTGAGGCTTGTTAGGAAGTAAAAGAAAAGTAGTTCTATTTAAGAATTGCTAAAATGCAAGGTATGCTGAAGAAGTCATGGGGAAATAATCCAAAATCCTTCAATTTCAACATAAAAGCATTAGAATGCTATTGAACTAATAGTCTGTAGGATTTTAAAATAAACAACTCTTTACTTATTTATTAAAACGTTTATTTTTCTTAAATAGCAAAAGTATGATATAAAATGACAATAAGGCAGAATGAAAGGATCTTATATTTTGCCTTAACCATCACAGCTAAATCAGAGTATGTATTTGCAGTAAACATTAGTATTTACATTAAAATACTTGTAGCACATGTCAGTTATTGAATAGCTAACAATTCTATGGCATGCACATGTCAGGTTATACCTAAAAACTTCTCGACAACCCCATTAAGTAATTGCTTTTGTCGGCCCCACTTTACAGATGAGAAGGCTGAGGCAGAGAGAGCTTCAGTAAGTGACCCAAGGTCCTTTCTTGAAATTCTCCCTCTCTAGAAGATAGAGATTTTGCCTTTTCTTAAACTTTCTTTCAGTTTCCCATATTATGTACGTGCATAAGAGCCAACAAATATTGTCGACTGAATGATAACATTACCATTCCAGACACATAGTAGAAGCTTAATACATGTTTATGGAGTGAATCTTGAATAAGAAACTTTTCCATGAGAGTGGTGGTGTTATTTCCTTTTAAATTCTTCTTAATGCTTTAATAAGAGCTTTTGCTTTTCTATATTTTTTTCTACTACTCTAAAATCAAATTTCACATCAGCCTCTCCTCCCAAGGCAAAGAGTGCCTGTGTTGGCCAATCAGGGGCAGCCTGGGATTTCATAGCTGACATCTCCTACGTGATGCCGTTCTGAGGGAAATCGACATTTCAAATTCCCAGTATTTATTATTCCCAAAACAAAAGCTGTCTTCTTTTATTTTCATGAAATGATTTTATTGTTGGAACCACCTACAGCTTTACACTGCAGCATTTGTTAAAAAGCAGGACAGTGCAAGTCAAGGCGAGGCTGACATGCCGAGACCTTCAGAGGCGCGTTACAGCATTTCCTGATGCACTGAATCCATAGCCACACCACGAGCCTCAGACTTTACTTTCAGTTTTTTATCTAAAGGGTTATACACATTTGGTGAGCACAGAGTGTCAACCTGCCATGGATAGCTTTTGTGTGTGAGGGCATGTTGTTTCAAATAGTGATCAATATGCTTCACCAATTTATGATGATGGATCTAAGAATGGTAGAATTTCTGTGTGGAGAAGCTTCAGGGTGTCTTTTTGAGCTGGATACTGGAGCCCTGGAAAGGTTACATGGGGGAAAGGGATGGCAAAAATGACAGCTGCTGAGCCAATCAGATCACCCACACGCGCCCATATGAGGATGTAAATATCACCTAGATCAGCCTCCCATCTCTATCACTGGCTCCGATTTCTCATCGGAGAATTATTTTATAGATGAAGAAAGCACCCAGATGTGAAAAGTCACCTGAGCAGTGAATGGCGGTGCAGGGACTCCAACCTGGGATTTTGTGGTGGTTGTGTCTGCACTAGTTCTGTGTTCAGTTGAAAATTTCTCCATTACTGTCATTTAAGCACTTATTCTGGATAAGGCAATGCTTTTAAAGTTGCCATTTTAAAAATTATATGACCTGTTTTAAAAAGACACAAAAGAGATAGAAACACGCCAGATATAACCTAATTATAATCAGTAGGCTTATTATACTGAAGGAATTACAAAGACTTATTTTTCTGAAAGAAGTTCATTGAAAACTGTACTTCCCAAAATGATTCATTTTGAAATAAACTTATAACTGAGCTTTACTTCAATATCAAATATTTAAAATATACTTTAATGCAAATAATATGTTGTATATCTGAAAATGTTTACCTGTAATTTCTGAAAAAAAAGTATTATATATAAATATTGTCTTAGATTGTTTGGGCTGCATTAACAAGTTACCATGCATTGGGTGGCTTATAAACGACAGAAATTTATTTCTCAGAGCTCTGGAGGCTGGGAATTCTAAGATCAAGGAGGTGGGTAGATTTGGTGTCTGGTGAGGGTTCTCTTCCTGGTTCATAGACAGCTGTCTTCTCATTTTCTCACATGGCAGAAGAGGCGAATGGTGTCTCTGGGGTCTCTTTTTAGAAGGGCCCTAACCTCATTCATGAGGGCTCCACCCTCACGACCTAATCACCCTCCAAAGGATCCACCTCCCGATAGCATCACATTGAGGTTTAGGTTTCAACATATGAATTTTGGGAGGCAGGGAAATAGATCTTCAGTCGATATACATATTTTTTTAATAGATGGAAATATCCTTAGGCCAATGTTTCTTGACTTTTTGGGGGGATCATGGACATGTTGAGTAAGTAATAAAAGCTATGGGGCAGTGGATCTTCAGAAGAACACACCAGTATCGAAAGCTGCAACAGTCCAGGCCTTTTTTGCTTCCTTTCAACCTTGTGACTATCTGCATTCCCTCACCCCCCGGCTCCCACTTGTCCTTACCCAGATTAACCAGGGATTCATACTCCATTAAAATGCCTGATATAGATGTTGGATCGTGTCTTCCTTTTTTTCAACCTAAATTGCATTTTGAAACCTTCAGCCACACTCTTTTCTCTGATCTCTTATTTGTCCTGGTTTCCTCTGCTTCTTTTTATGCACACATTTTTTTTTATCCTCCTATGCCCATTGCATTGTACCAGTATCTTTCACTACAATTGTTCTTGTACCAGGAAAAGTAAAGGGTTTTTATAAAAAGCCTTCATCAAGTCATTTTCAAACTGCAGATGATACTAGGAAAGAAAGGCCATACTGAGATTCCCCCCCGGCTAATTAGATGGTGAAATTTTTAGTTCTCAGCATTGTTATCTGTTTGAATTGAAACCCTATCATTGAAAAAGCCAAATGAACTTGAAATTGAGGAGGGCCATTTCCCAAAACGGAACGCAGCCAGGCTGAATCCCTCGGTGGAGAGCCAGGGAGCACGAGGCCCGGATGCACGTGACTCGTTTCCACAGTTCTGATTTCCAAGCGAAGTAATTTGTTCTTTAAAAAAGTTATTCTAGGATTCAAGACTTTAAAAAAAATCTGTATTGCCAAATGCTTACCATGCATGATGAAATATTGAAGAAAGGTGTATCTCAGCCTTGCAGGTAATTTTTAAATGATCCACAAGGATTTATTCAAGGTCAGTAAATTCTGTGTTCGAACTTTCCATGTCAGTCTGTGTCCCACACTGTGTCCCCATCAAGTCAATTCCTCTGATGCTGAATCTACTCTATTCCTTGCCTCTAAGTAAAAAAATTTTTAAAAATTAAAAAACAAAACAAAACAAAAAAACAAGCAAACAAAAGAACAATACGGCAATCGAAGTCTCAAGCATTTCCTCTTTTACTGAATTCGACACAATTCCATCGCTAAGTAGAGAAAACCTGAACATCCTATTGCTGGCCGTGCCTCCCAGGGTTCTCCAGTAAACCTTTTCCATGAAAGCCTGAAGTCCATTTCAGATGCAAAACATGCAGAACCTCTGGGCTCCGCGAGGCCTGATGCATGACTTTGATAGGACTCTGCACATGCTTAGTTGATGGTCCTGAACATGTGTATTTTCCTGAATTTCTTGTGCTTTTTTTACTGGCTTTGACTTGTTGACATAAGATGAATGTTTCTCTCTTGTTTTATCAAAATATTTAAGTGTTTTTAGTTTTGTATTGAGATTTTTAAAAACAAAGCTTTTCTTGCTAGTAAGGATATGGATGATTACTTTCTTTTCAAGAAAAATGGTGAAACTGGAAAAGTAATTTCATGTATTTAAAATATACACTTGTTGCATAGTTATTGATCAGTTTATAAATTTTACACCTTTTTGGTGGTGGGAAAAATATATTCATAGTGACTTCTATCTTAAATTCTGGATCTAAGACGATGCTGCTTTTTACTAATAGTGGCTATAGAGTATATGTGTTCTTGTAAAATGGTTATGCAGAAGGAGAATAGGAAGGACTATAGATATGTGATTAAAGATATTTCTCTTTTGAAGGGTTAGTTAAATTGAGGAGGCGGCACGAGGGACAAACATTGTAAACTCTGTGTAACAGCAAGGATATTCAAGGTGACAAGGATCAGAACCTCTGTGAAGGTTCAGTAAAATTATTTGTGCACATCAGGTTATTATATAGGATGTAAAAATCCAGTTTTATGGCAAGATTTATTTGTTTATTTGTGACTAACATATACGACCTGAATTTAAAAACTAGAGGCAACACTCATAGCAATTTAGAATGCAGCTTTTCTTGTGATTTAAATTGGACTTATTTTTCTTTAGTCTCCAACCCTTTCTTAGAAGAATTATGGTGGAACAGAAGCTGTAAATTAGGGACAGTTATTTGAACCTAGTTACAGAAACGAAGTTATTGGCGTGGGGATTCTATAGGAGGGACTCTACATTGGATGGAAATGAAGGAATAACTGGAAGAAGAAAGGAGCAAATAGGCCCAAGTATACATTTCACTGTGTGAACCCATAATTCTCTCTGATAGCTGCATGATTAATTCAAAGATTTATTGATTTTTCCCTTCTCTACTCCAGCCTGCTGACCTGGTTTTGTTGACAGGTTTGTGTGGATCAAGCCAATCTGACAGATGAAAGTGTGCTACCATATTAGTCCCCGTGGTCTGGGGCAAATATTTTATACAGTGTCCTTATCAACAGTAACCGAACACATGTGAGGCATCCGTCAACACTCCTTCCCATGCCATGCCATGAAATAGACTCAGAGATGCCAGCCCCACAGCAGAAGCAGCTGGGATTATTCGTTTTAATGAACATGCATCGTGTGTACGTGTGTGCGCGTGCATGTGTGTGTGTGTGTGTTTATATAATGAGGTGGGAGTGTGGAAGTTATGGCATTTTTACTCTTAGTAACAAATATTAACTGACAGTTAGCTTTTAAAAATACCTTTATGGGCCGGGCGCGGTGGCTCACACCTGTAATCCCAGCACTTTGGGAAGCCAAGGCGGGTGGATCAGGAGGTCAAGACCATCCTGGCTAACACGGTGAAACCCCGTCTCTACTAAAATACAAAAGATTAGCCGGGCGTGGTGGCAGGCGCCTGTAGTCCCAACTACCCGGGAGGCTGAGGCAGGAGAATGCCATGAACCTGGGAGGCGGAGCTTGCAGTGAGCCGAGATCGCGCCACTGCACTCCAGCCTGGGAGACAAAGCGAGACTCCGTCTCAAAAAAAAAAAAAAAAAAGAAAAAGAAAAAGAAAAAGAAAATACCTTTAATGATACCTGAGATTTACTTCAAAACAATCCATTGCCAGGGGTGAGGTTGTAGCCTGAATTGATAATTTCTGAAGCTGGGGGATGGTACATGGAGGTTTATTATACTCGTTATATCCTTCATGTGTGTTTAAAATATTCTATAATGAAAAGTTGAGGAAAAACACCTATAAGACAAATCATATTTTTTACTTGAAACTTCAGATTACATGTTTAAACATGAGCAATTGGCACATGACCAAGCCAGGAATAGGCAGATTATAAATGTCATATTTTAAAAATTAATGCTACAACAACTGAAGCATTTTTCTGTTGGTTATGAGCTCTAAATTCTGGCCAAAGACTAGAACCACAAATAAAATGGTCCTTTAAGACTAGTGAATCATCTCCAAGTTGAGTGTATTCCTTCTCAGCTAATAAAATGAGATATTTTTGACCAACATTTCTCAAACTGTGTCCATGGAGAGATTAGGAAGATAGGGAAAAGATTATGTGGATTCTGGTTCAAAAAATTTTAGGAAATAATACATTAAGCAATAGCAACCCAGTTCCATGCAGCACGAATGTCAAAGTGATTGTGGCCACTTTTTAAAACCAATTAAATTAGTTTATTTTTATTTTTATTTTCTCTTTTTAGATGTATTAGTCCATTCTCACATTGCTGTAAAGAAATACCTGAGGCTGGGTAATTTATAAGGAAAAGAGATTTAACCGGCTCACGGTTCTGCAGGCTATAGAGGAAGCATGGTGCCAGCAGCTGCTTCTGGGGAGGCCTCAGGGAGCTTTTACTCATGGTGGAAGTCAGAGCTGGAGCAGAAAGTTCACATGGTAAAAACAGAAGCAAGAGAGAGTGAGGGAGGAGCTGCATACTTTTAAACAACCAGGTCCCATGAGAACTTACCATCTGAAAAATATTGTGGATAGTGCTAAACTATTCATGGGAAATCCACCCCCATGATCTAATCACCTCCCCAGGCCCCACTTCCAACATTAGGGATTACAGTTCTACATGACAGCTGGGCAGTGACACAGATCCAAGCCATACCACCAGACCACTCATGTTATTCTATAGAATATAATTTAGAAAAAACTACTTCCAACGTAAGGCCACTAGAGGTGATTTGCATAAAATTGAGGTTGTTTAAGGCCTTGAGTTCAACAATTCAGGGTTAAATATGAGTTAGATGTTTTCATAGGACCAAACAACATTTATAGGTCTTGAATAAATCTGAAATTTCTACTTTTATAAAGTCTAATATGTAGATACACTGGGTTTCATTGGATTCTAATTCCATTTTTTGTATTTTGGGGGGGGCATCATTTTTATCTTTACTACCGTAAAACAAGACACCATCACAGCCAACTCCAAATGGCCAGCTGTGAAGTGGAAGGAAAGATGGAACAAGAGGCAACCAACCATGTGTGGGTGCTCAGGTGGAGGGGACTGTGGTTGGTGGAAGACCCCTAAGTGGAGTGAGCTTGGATAGGGAGTCAGGATGGGAGGTGGCCAGGGAAGGGATGGGGCAGGGCCAGCCTGCATATGAAGGGCCTTCCTGGTTAAGGCAATAGCTTTGGATTTTTATGCAGGGATAATGGCAAACTGTTGAATTCTGGGCTGGGGATTGATGTGACTGCTGTTGCTGTGTGGAGAAAAGTGCGGGGGAGAGCAAACATACCATTAGATGACTAGTAGGAGGCTGGTGGAGACTGACTTGAGTGGCAGACATGGGGACAGAGAAAAAAAGGACAGATGTGAGAGATGTTTGGGGAAGCTTTGGTATGTTGGCTGATAGATTAGATGTGGGGGTGAGAGAAAGACAGTCATCAAGGATGATTCAGGTAAGGAATTTAGTGCATGTTGGTACCATCAATAGGTGTGGAAACTCTATTATTTAAGGTTATCAATCAGAAATTGAATAGCATTAATAATAGGCAAAGCCCTTTAGGCACTCTGTTCTTGGTGTATATGTGTGTGCGGAGGATGTCCTGTGAGCCACTTAGGCTCACTATAAATATCTTTCTGAAGCCTTCCTTGAATATACTACTCTGGCCTCCTACCTTTGCTCAAGCTGTTTTCTTTTTTCTGTTTCACCTTCAGCTTTATCTTACTCATGCTAGGTCAGACTTATCACTGACTTCACTGCATTTTTGTTGGCTGATTTCCAGTTAGTCAAAATAAAAGAAAGTGGATAGTTTTGGCCTTTGAAGCAAAAAGAGACACAGGGACCTCTCTTTCCAGCTTCCAACTCCGGATATAGCAGTTGATGGTCGACATCTCACAGTAATTATTAGGCACTATAATTTTGCTAAATTTACTTAAGCTAAACTAAAGACCACCAAGAGCACCTTCTACGGACTGATGTTATGTCCCTCTCTAAAAGCCATATATGTTGAAGCCCTAACCCCCAATGTGACTGTATTTGGAAGTGAGGCACTTAAGGAAGTAATTAAGATTAAATGAGGGCATCAGGGCAGTACCTAACCCAATAGGACTGGTGTCCTTATAAGAAGTGGGAGAGACACCAGAGAGCTTGCTCTTTCTCTCTCTGCCATGTGAGGACACAGAAGGTGGCTGTCTGCAAGTTTGGAAGAGAGCCTTCACCAGATACACAGTGGCTGGAAACTTGATTTCGGACTCTGGCCTCCAGAACTGTGAAAATATAACTTTCTGTTGTCTAAGCCATCCTGCCTGTGGTATTTTTTGCAGCAGCCTAAGATGACTAATACAGCACCCTTCTGCTCTTCTGTCTGACTGTGGTTTCTTGGAGAACTGCTGTCTTATATTCTTCTTACTTCCAATGGTCATTCAATTTCCATACGGTTTCCATGTAGTCTAATGTCAGTTCATTTTTATAAATTTAAACTATTTTTCCATTTTTCCCATAGTCATCCTTTTTTTTTTTTTTTTTTTGTTTAAGGAATCATCTTGCTCTGTTTCCTAGGCTGGAGTGCAGTAGTGCAATCTCGGCTCACTGCAACCTCCACCTCCCAGTTTCATGCAATTCTCTTGCCTCAGCCTCCCAAGTAGCTGGGACTACAGGCACACACCACCCACCACACCTGGCTAATTTTTGTATTTTTAATAGAGACGGTGCGGGGGGGGAGTTTCACTATGTTGACCAGGCTGGTCTCGAACTCCTGGCCTCGTGATCCACCCACCTCAGCCTCCCAAACTGCTGGGATTACAGGCATGAGCCACTGTGCCAGGCCTCTTTGTTCATGTTAGTGTATGGAGACTTTTTTATTTGTTCAGGCTAGTCTGTTCGCCTTTTCTTCCTTTGAAGAAATTATCTGTTCTCCTTATAAGTTTTACAGTGTTCAAACTTTGGATCATGTCTTTTTCTCTCTTTGATCTCTTTCTAAATATCCCTTTATTTAAAACTGTGCATGGATTTTCTCCTAAAATCATGTGGTGAGGAAAATGAACTTTTACATTTCTTCAGGAAAGTAAACCTGGTCAAAGACTACAGTTGGGAGAAATTTTAGACACTCACGTATGTGACTAGACTGTGGATGTGAATGGTGTCTCGTTAAGCTTGTCTCAGGCTTTCATATGGCAAAGTAGTATTTTTAAGTTCTTTTTAGGTCCTGCCTTTACCTCAGGATGCATTTTCTTATAATCTGATTACAATATTTTTTAATGGAGACTATTTTCTCTTGTACAAGTTATATGACAAAAGTACATTTGGCTTGTCTTCTGTTTGTTTGAGTTGATTGTGTTCTGATTAGGAATGCTAAGTCACCTATGCAAAAGCAACTGAGAACTAACTTAAAAACATGAATTATTGGGGAAATGTTTGTACACCCATGTTCATAGCAGCATTTTTTGCAATCGCCAAAAGATAGGAACAGCCCAAATATCCATCACCCAATGAATGAGTAATGCAAATGTGGTACATAACATTCCCTGGAGGATTTGTCAGTCTTGAAAAGAAAGAGAACTCTGACATATGCCACAACAATCTTGAGGGTATTACGCTAAGTGAAATAAGCGTGTCACAAAAAGACAAATACTATATGATTCCACTTATATGAGGTATCTAAAGTAGTCACTTTTTTTTTTTTTTGAGACGGAGTCTCGCTCTGTCACCAGGCTGGAGTGCAATGGCGCGATCTCGGCTCACTGCAACCTCCGCCTCCCGGGTTCAAGCGATTCCCCTGCCTCAGCCTCCTGGGTAGCTGGGACTACAGGCACACGCCACCACACCCAGCTAATTTTTTTTTTGTTTTAGTAGAGATGAGGCTTCACCATGTTGGCCAGGATGGTCTTGATAAGCAGTCAAATTTACAGAGGCAGAAAGTTAGAACGGTGGTTACCAGGGGCTGGAAGGAAAGAGAAATTGAGAAATTGTTTAATAAGTACCGAGTTAACAATACTGAACTGTCCTCTAAAAATGGGTAAGATAGTAAGTTTTATGTTACATGTACTTTACCACAAATAACTTAAAAAACGTATTGCACCTCTTCTCTTAAAATAGCTGCATGGGAAAATTGATTTTATTTGTAAGTAAAGACCTAGGTGAATTAACTTGAACTAGTACTATATTGTGACATTGTATTTTATAAACAACTTCCAAAATCATAATCATAATTATTTTGTCCTGGTATTTTTTTAAAGGATGTGTGTGATGGTATTGAATTTGGACTTTTTTTTTTATTATAGCCATATGTTGAAAAAAATCAAGCCTTAGAAAATGAAAAGTATATTGTAGGCTTAAAAATTATAATAACATGGTCGGGCGCAGTAGCTCATGCCTGTAATCTCAGCACTTTGGGAGGCCTAGGCGGGCAGATTACCTGAGTTCGAGATGAGCCCTGCCAACATGATGAAACCCCATCTCTACTAAAAATACAGAAATTAACCAGGCGTGGTGGCACACGCCTGTAATCCCAGCTACTTGGGAGGCTGAGGCAGGAGAATTGCTTGAGCCCGGGAGATGGAGGTTGCAGTGAGCCAAGATCAAGCTGCTGTACTCTGACAGAGCGAGACTCTGTCTCAAAAAAAAAAAAAAATATATATAACAACATTTGGGAAAATAGAATGATAGTAATTTTATCTGTCTTTATATTCTTTAACACTTTGGTGACTGAATTATAGACAACTAGTGTATAAGCTACAGGAAAGCAGAGATTTTGGTCTGTTCTGTTAATTTCTAGAATAGTAACTGGCACATAGGAACTCCATGACTCTTCATTTAATGAGTACACGTTGAGAGTATCCAAGTACTAATTACTCTTTGGGCACGTGGATTGTGGAAGTGTGGAGACCAGTCCACAGTTCTCCTAGATATAAGGAGCTTTCCCTGTGTCTGTTGATCACATAATTATTCATCAGTGAGCTCTTTGTTGCTTTTGTATCTTAGGGTAAATAATTTAAACAGATCATATAGATAAGACACTGAAAATCTCTCCACTGAGAGGTGGAGAGATTCGTCTAGGGTCTCAAAATAAATGACTAACAGAATTGTTCTCTGTTCAGGACACTAAGTGATGCAAGAAATATTTAGTGACCACCGACTCTGTGAAGGTCTTGAGCTTGGCTTTGTGAATATAGCTATGAATAAGAGAAATACGCAATCCCTGCACTCAAGGAATTTATTATCTGGTGTGTGTGTGTGTTTGGCACGGAGGTGATATAACTGCTTCCTGAACTCAATACAATCTTTTCATTACAGAGCCTCATTTTAGCCCCAATTTCTGTATCTTTTCTTTGTTTTTTTCCCAATCACTATCTTTTGACTGGACTATACTACTGAAAGGAAGTGGAGTCCTTAGGCATCTCTGGGTGGTCTGGAGTGATCTCATCTTCCAGGAAAGCTGTTACACAGACGTTAGTTTCTGAAAATGATATGACATGCAGCTCACTGTAATACAATCTATTAATTCAACAGATAAAGTTTTATGTTCTAATCTCCCAGAATAGTACTTAAACAGTTTAGTGCACATGAATCACCCAGGAATCCTGTTAAATAAAGCAGATTCTGATTGAGTAGCTTGGTGTGGGGCCTAGGATTCTGCATTTCTAATGAGCTCCCAGGTGTTGCTGAATCTGCTGGTCCAAGGCTGGTATTGTCAGTGACAAGGCTGCAGGTTCTTAGCCCTGGTTGTTCATTACAACCCCCTGGGTGGATTTTTACAAATACCAATGCCCTTAGAGATTTGCTTTAATTGGTCTGGGCTTGGGCTCCAGCATTCATATTTTGAAAAACTTTCCAAGTGAGTTTTATGTTCTACCAGCACTGAAGACCACTTCCCTGCACAAACACAACTGATGCTGCCTGTCATTGTGTGTAACTGAATCCACTGATGTGAGTTGGTGCATATCAGTACCTTTTATAAATGCAAGGAAGGCTGGAGGCTGGGGAAATTGTCATAAGACAGCACCCAGTGCAGGGACTAGTGTACAGCAGTGTGTTTGCTGAATAAGTGAGTGAGGCAACGAGTCATTTTCAGACACTGTAGAGGATGGCTAGTGACTGGATCCCAGTGCTGTTGCCTGGAGCTCTAGCAACTGTATTTGGTATCTCTAAACATGCTGGCTATGGGATAGCAGAGTTAATAGAATGAGACTGGGGCCTTCTACTTCCAGATAAAAATTTGGAAAGGTATTAGAAGGAAGGTACTGGGGAAATAAGTTTTGATCTATGATAGATAAGATAATTGAAAACCAAACCAAAGAAATTAAATTCAGAGTGGAGAGGTGTATTAGTCCATTCTCACACTGTTATGAAGAAATGCCTGAGACTGGGTAATTTATAAAGAAAAGAGGTTTAATTGACTCACAGTTTCACATGGCTGGGGAGGCCTCAGGAAACATAGAATCATGGCAGAAAACAAAGCAAACACATCCTTCTTCACATGGCGACAGGAGAGACAAGTGCCAAGCAAAAGCGGGGAAAAGCCCCTTATAAAACCATCAGTTATCATGAGGACTCACTCACTATCACGAGAATAGCATGGGGGTAACTGCCCCCATGATTCAATTACCTCCCACCTGGCTCCTCCCACAACATGTGGGGATTATGGGAACTACAAGATGAGATGTTGGTGAGGACACAGCCAAGCCATATCAAGAGGCATAAATCGAAGGTAGCCTTCCAGGGACTGAGGTCAGATTTGTCCCAAGTTAGACACTTTGGGCACATATTTTCAACAGACATTCCACAAAATATGCAAGTATTTATTTTTTGATAGTATGTTTAAATACAAATAGAAATCAAGCCTTAAAAATGACTCGCTGATGAAACTACATTTCTCCTGCTCGGGACTGCATTTCAGATACTGTCCATTTGCATCTGGGTCCATGATGTGCTGTTGAAATAACATGAACTCAGCTTGTAGGTGAAGGTGGGGAGGGAAACATGCATTTTTCCATCTGAACAGAAAGTGTGTTCTGGCTTTTTTCTGAGATATTATTTTTATTGAATTTTAAGACCCACACAGGAAGTGGCTTTCACTTGGTTTCATCTTCCTGATCAGTGCATGTTGGGGACAAAGGAGAGAGGAGGGAGTTAACCTGGATAAGTCTGCTGCTTCTTCGGGAGAGTGGGGCATCCCACCAACCTGCTGCCCATGTTGCTTTGTGGGGATACATGAAGCAGCTTCTAGAAAGGCTTCTCTAGGAGCTTGGTGAGGCTGTGCAATGCCTTTTTTGCAAAACGCTTGCTGTTCACTAATGGAGCAGATGAAATAATAAAGCCAACCAAGGAAGCAACTTAATGGGGAACTAACCAGCCACAGTGGCTTTTGGAACTCTTGTGCCTTGCTGCACATCACTTTGAAGTAGTCTGTGGAGTCCATGCTTCTGATCCTTGGAACATTTGGTTCATTTTTATGTCATTGTTGTCTAGCGCTAACCGCAACTGGTCCCATAGACCTGAAGTAGCCCAGGTGCAGGGGCAAAGCAGTGGCCAGGTGTGAGTGCTGAGGGCCTAAATATTTCAAGTACAAAACGCCCAGGAAAACAACCACCGGGGGCTTTACCATACTTATAAAAAGGAATCCTTCCCTCTGAAAGCCTCCAGCCTGACTGTAGGCAGAAGCAGAAGCAGCCATTGCCCATGCAAGGTGAGGAAGAACAGGTGTTGGTGAACAGAGTGGGCTCAGGTCATCATTTGTGTGGCAAAATTCTATCAGGGATGAAAGTATCAGCAATGGGACCACCTGGAACCCAAGCTCTGCCACTTTCTTGCTATGTGATCCTGGGTAAGTTATTTAGCCCTTCTGTTCCGCGGTTTTCTCCTCTGGAAAATGATGAGGATGATACTACTCTGCTCATAGGGTTGTTTTAAGGGTTAAATGAGGTACTGCATAGAAAACACTCATCTCAGGGCTGGGCATGCACAGTGCATGGGTGTAGCTATCATCATCCTCCTCATATTTAGAATGCTTTTCTGTGGCCACCCATCATCAGTATGTGCCTATCTTCATCAGCAGTGAAGAGGACAGAAGCTTCTTTCTCCCTTCCTGGCATGCTGGAGATGTGGTTGGTCTCCTCAGGTTACCATTAAATTGTTGGCAGTCCCCACTGAGAGTAGGGATGCAGCCAACTCCACAGGCACCTGAGGAGCTGGCCCTCTAGCAGGTGTCAGCCAGGAGAGACATTTACCAAACTGAAGTTGGGGAAAAGCCTGAGCTGATTCCACACTCTAAGTCACCTTAGGGCCCAAAGAACAGGTGGCATGAGATACTCAGGGAATGCTATGGCAGCGTGCCTAACCATGGTTCTGCAATCTTCACACCCGAGGTCATGGCAGCGGACAATTTCTGTCTTCTGGATAAGATGGGGGTGTATCTGTCTGTGAGCATTCATTCACTGATTCATTCAAAGTGGATGGATTGGGCATTGCCATGGACCAGACCCGGCACAGATGGGGTGCCCAGGGTGGAACGGTGAGCAGTAGTGCCAGCTGTGTCTGTGCTCATGGGCCTATGGTCTTGGGGAAGACCTCAAGTAATCATGTAAATAATGACCTGCTTACAATTGTGAGACCTGCTGGAAATGAACAACAGGAGTGGGGGCTGTACGGGGAATTTCAGGGGACCTGGCCTGTCAGAGGTCAGGGAATTTATGCCCTGGAAAGTGACAAGTTGTCCTTTAGATTGGTTAAAGAAAAATGAAAGTGCGGAGAGGACATTCCAGGCAAGGGGAACAGGTGCAGTGGGCACTCACAGAAGGCCAAGGGGACAGCCCTGTTCCACAACAGCCTGCTCAGAGTCCAGTTTGCTCCTTGCTCCTGATTGGAGATTTTTCACATACTGTCTCCCAGCAGAGGATTCTGTCCACAGGTATTGACAGGGCCTGGCTGGTCTCTTCTTGTCATTCAAGTTGTAGTTCAGGAAGGATGCACCCAGAAGGCTGCTTTTGACTACTCACTCTGAATTTGCCACCTCCCCATGCCCAGCCTGCCTCTGTGTTTTCTTTGAAATTCTGCCGTTCCTTTATTCCTTTGCTTGCTATTTATAAAGAAAAGAGGTTTAATTGGCTCCCAGTTCTGCATGCTGTAAAAGCCTGGCACCAACATGTGCTCAGCTTCTGGTGAGGGTCTCAGGAAGCTTGCAATCATGGCAGAAGGTGAAGCAGGAGCACGCACACCACACGGGGAAAGCAGGAACAAGAGGGAGAGAAGAGGAGGTTCCAGACTCTTAAACAACCAGATCTCCTGTGAACGAACTGAGTGAGAACTCACTTATCACCAAGGGGATGGGAGGTCCACCTCCAGGACCTGGTCACCTCCCACCAGACCCCACCTCCAACACTGGGAATCACATTTCCACATGAGATTTGGAGGGGACAAACATCCAAGCCCTATCACCTGTGTACCATTTGTTGCTTCTCCTCTGAACAAAAGTCCTCAAAATAGGTTCTTCGTCACATCCACTGTTGTCCCTTATTTTCAGGACACTGTCTGACAATCTGACAAGGAAGTAGTGGGCACTCCACGTCTGTGGAGCAATGGACAGTGGCTCCCAGTCTGGCCAAATTTCCCTAACATGAAAGCATGGAACACTTCCTCTCACAGGTCAAACGCGTGGAATGAATTTGCAATGCAATTCTCGGCACAGCTGACTTTCCTTGTTGCTTCTGCTGGTTTTGATCACTTTCCCTGGGGTGCTGTGCCATCAGGAGCAGGGGCCTCCTCTTTCCTCTCCTGTCGGTCCTCTCCAAGTGATCTGCAACTTCATCCCGGGGGGAAACAGGGCAGGGAACTTCCTCCTCAATTTCTGATATTGCAAGGTAGCAAACTCACACAGGCCTTGATAACAATAAATGAAGAGTCAGGTCTTTACAAATATGATGAGAAAATACAATGGAAGTCCCAGTGGGGAGTCCCCACTTACTCCTTCCATGCCAATACAGATCTCCCTACAGACTTTACCACTGGTTCTATATATATGCGATGCCAGTGGGAAGGTATTTCTCAGCCGTTAGAATAATCCATTTCCTTTATCCCGGACTATGGATAAGAGGACATTTGCAGGAGAGGGGAGACACTTAGGAAGAAAAGACTGGCTTTGTGAATAGAAATACATTATTTGTGCATATGTTGTAGCTCGACTAGACTTTGAGCAGACTGATATCTGAAAACATATTTATAAGCCTGTTATAAACTCATAATTCTAAAATATTGAATTTTATTTATTTTGCATCTATAAACTGAGTTTTGAATTTGTGCAGTAATTTGCATTATTCAGAACTCTTGATTGCAAGTGACAAACAGAAATCAAAAAAAAGTCTTATTGGCTCACAGAACTGAAAACTCCAGGAGTAACTGCCTTCAGGCCCAGAAGCATCAAGGTGTCCAGAAACTCTGACAGGAGCACCTCTCACTCTTGCTGTCAGTCTTACTGCTCTTGGAGTACTCTGGTTTAGATTGGCTCCTTGGCATACCTAGCATGGCACGTTGCACACAACCCCAGTGACAGTAGCTCAGTAGCCAGGGGGAAAGAGTCTTCTTTCTCCAAAATCCCTGAGAAGGGTCATGTCACATGCCTATCTGTGAACGAGTCACCATGTCTAGGGGCACAGAGGTGATGACCTTGGTCTCATGCCCATGAGGGATGGCTCCTCAAAGGAAAACCCAAGTGCTCTTATTCTAAGAGGGAGAATTGGATGCCCAGAGACAAAGTCTATAGATGTACGTGGTCCAGTGTTGAAGCGGTGGGAGGAGAGTGCCGGCAACACAGGCAATTCCACGTTGTGTGCGACTGGCCTGTGCATATGGAGGTGTTCAGTGACCTGGCCCTGGACACTCCTGCTAACAGGACACACACATACTCTCTTACACACATACATGTCCACACACACCACACACACACACATATACACCCCCCCCACACACACACTTTGACATACACTCACATGCTTATATTCCCCCCACACCATGCACAGACATACACTCACATGCACATATGTCATACACACACCACACACACTGACATACATACACTTAACATGCATACATGCACACACCACATGACATACACTCACACATACACACCACACACATACATACTACACATACTGGCATACACACAGGTGCGCACACACACACACTCACATGTGCACACACACACACATCATTGACAACTATGAAAAGCCCCTGCATACCTCAGAGCCCCTCAAGCTGGGCTTCTGATGACACCTCAGGCACTCTCCCCTTTTTATTTTGTTTCCCATTTACTTCCTACCTTACCCTGTTCAGGCTGCCGTAATAAAGTTTGATGGACTGCGTCGCTGAAACTACAACAGTTCATTTCTCATGGCTCTGGAGGCTGGAAGTCTGAGATCAAGATGCCCGCAGGGTGCTGGTGAGGGCCCTCTTCCTGGTGGCAGAAGCCGACTTCTCCTTCTTTCTTTGCCTGGCAGGGAGCAGGGAAGGAAGTGAGTGGTCTTGTGGCTCTCTGAGGGCACTGATTCCATTCTGCCCCACCTCCCATAGCATCATGTTGGGGAACAGGGTTCCAGCATATTAATTTAGGGGACACAAACATCCAGCCCCTAACACTTCCATTCTCATTAATTGCCTTCAAAGAGAGCTAAGCTAATCCTAATGGTAACTTTGGCATAAAGCAAAACTTTGAGAAGATGACATCTGATATCTGCTGTTCAATGCATGCTTGTTGGGAGAAGAGTGTTAAGATTTGGACTTTGCGTCACTTATGGCCAAAATAGGACGCTCCTGTATGTCTGCACTTGAATTTAAATATGCCAGTCTCAATATAAAGCACGGAACTCATGCTGTTTAAGCAAGAGCACATATTAAGGCTGGCATGTCTGTCAAGATAATAATTTTGATAGAGGATTAAAAAAAGGAAAAAAATGTAGAGAACTGAAGGTAAAAGATAGCCAGGATTAGACCTTTCAATATTAACAGTGAACTTTCTTTAGATATTTCTTACATAATCATCAATGCTTATAAATTCTAGTGCTTCTGTCTTTTCACAGTGTTGTGTTTTTGTTTGTTTGTTTGTTTGTTTTAACAACGTAATGTGCTTATTCCTCAGGCTTCAGGTAACCTCTGTAATTACACACCCAGTGCTGATGCCCACGGGCTGCCACAAGGCTGGGCATGTTACTTTATGCTCTAACCCTATGTGTTCAATAAGTACTTTGAAAAAAATAATATCTTGCTAGGCATATTTTAAATCATAAAAATCTCAATTTTAGGGTTTTCTTCCCTCAAATGTTAATTTACTATATTATTTACACTTATTTGCCAAACAGGGAACTTTTGCTCAAAGAAACAGGTGCAGTTTTAGAAGCTGAAATTAAACACCTCTCTATTCTCATATTGCCTTTTTTCCCTTTGGACACGCCCCAAAGCAGACATCCTGCTTACAAAAGAGAGCTTAATGGCCTCCCTCCTGCTCTCCCTGCCTGAAGTCTTTCTAGAATTTGGAAATATGTCCATTTTGTTAGGGCAATCTGTTAGTGTTAATGATTTTATCAATCTAAACTCCACTAAAAGAAGCAAATCAACACAATGCTAATAAATTCTGTTTGTTTTCTAATCCCAAGAAGACACAATAAATTAACATACATTTTTAATTTTAATTATAAAACCTTTCAAATAGGGATGTTGTCTCTCTTATCCTCACTGTCATTCTTGTGCCTGGTACAGAGCAGATATTTTGTGAGGGTTATTTTTGTTGTCGAATAATTGTATTTTAAATACACAGAAAAGGACAGAGAGTCACAAAAACAAAAAGCACGAAAGAAAACAAAAACCAGGTACTTAAGCCCAACATAGAGTCAGATGTTTATGCTTTGCCACATTTCATTCATTCCTTTTTTTATGAATACGAGTGTTAGATAGAATTGAGGTCCCACTCACATTTTCTATACACATCTTGAAACCTCTGCAACGTATTTGTGAATCTGTAAACCATAGAAACTAACACAGTGTATTTTTCAAATGCATATAAATGATATCGTGCATGCTAAGATTTTTCTTAGATTTCCTATAAATCATTTCAATCAAACTCTCCCTACTTTTCTGTGGAAACTATGTAACAAAATGCTCTATTTCCGGAAGCCTCCAGGCCAAGGGTGAGTGAGCCTGGGGTGTTCAAATGTAATCAGAGTCCAAAACAGGCCCTTGCTTGGGCTCAAACTAAACTGAGTTAAGAAATTAGCCTGGAAGGGAGAGAAGGTGATGTCAGATCTTAATAGGATAACATTGCCATGAGTTCTCCTTGCAATAGAGGAGGCTGCTTTTCTTCAGCAGTTATTGAGATGTATGTTTCTTTTTTCACTAAATTTCTGTTATTGTCGGTTGATTTTGACCACAGGTTGTTGTCTTATTGTCTTGACTGTCAAGGACATATAATGGCAGAGGGATTCTTAGGTCAGCAGACATGCTCTCAGCTTAGGCAAGCCTCAGGGGCTGTATGTGTTTCAGAATTTCTCACATTTTAGATAGCTATCTAAAAGTAAATGTTACCATACTCTGCATGTTTTCTACACCCTCACGGTGGAATGTGGGGCAGTAATGCTTCAAGATTTCTTCAGCAGAACTGTGGAATTTTTATTCTGTGTGTAATGAACAAGGCTCAAATAGAACCTCACGTCCATTTGGGCCATGTTTTGGCAGCAGGTGAATCATGAAAATACTTTTTCATTTTTGAGGTATTTTTGGATTGTGGGATTGCAGATAAGGGATTGTAGATGGGTGTTATTGTTGTTGTTACAATATAAATTTCTATAACTTCTGGCCAGTTGTTAGAATTATCCCTTGTTTTTCAATGTTGACTCCTATCCCTCCCTACCTCTCTCCCTCCTCCTTTGATTTCTTCTTTCCTGCTTTCCTTCCTTCCTTTCTTTCTCTTGTCATTTCTTTAGGATTTGAAGAGAGGGCACAGTATACGATCTTTAAGGACTCAGATTTTCAAGTTAAGCATATCTGTGGCCAAATTATCTTTCTGCTGCTCATTAACTGTGTGGCCATTTTTCTATGTAACTTCAGGAGTTTCAGTTTCCTGAGATAATCATATCTACCTCCTGTGGTTTTGGGAAGATGCAGTAAGGTGATGGATGTCAAAACATTTAACACAGTCTTTAGCATATAACTAGCACTTGATAGATGACCACTGCTAGTATTGCTGTTGTCGTTACCATATCACACAGCATGCACCATTTGCTATTCTCTTTTAAGCAATGAATTTATTCACATTCAATTTCTTGAACATTTTTGAAATGCATCTGGTCTTCGCTTACATGTATGTTATTTGGCAACCTGTCTGAAAATATTATTAATTATGGTTTCTATCGTTGGCTTTAGCTTTAAATGTTGCTTGAAGGCCCCTGGCACACAGCCATGCTTGACCATGTGAGGAACATGATGCTGCCCCCATCAGGTACAGCCTAATGGGGTGGATGGATGGATCGATCGATAGATACATAGATAGATAATAGATAGACAGATAGGCAGATAGACGATAGATAGGCATATACATAGATAGATAGATAATTGGTAGATATGCAGAAGAAAATTAGATGGTAGAAAGGCAGATAGATGAAAGATAGATACATAGATAAATAGATAGGCATATACATAGATGGACAGATAACTGATAGAACACAGATGATAGATAGATAGATAATAGATAAATAGTAGATAGATGGATAGTAGATAGATAATAAACAGAAAACAGAATAGATATGAGAGAGATGATAGATAACTAGAGTGATAGAGAGATGAGAGAGATGATAGATAGATAGATAGATAGATAGATAGATAGATAGATACTCATCTGATCACCAAACAGGTGTGAACAGAGGATGTTTTAAAGTGTGGGATTCTGCATTTGCTGTGAACAGGAGTACACCAGACAATCCTTCTATAGGAGGAAGGGAAGAATGCATGGGGCCAAGGTTTTATTTTGCTAAGAAATCATAGCCTTCCCAGAGTTTAATTGCCTCCATTTTTATCAAATAGTTAGAAACACGACTATTTTTTTTGACCCTTGGAGGCACATTGGTGACATCTGTGGGGGCAGCGTTACTGATGGTTGTCCGTCTGTATGTTGCTGAGCCCTGCAATCCTGGTATCCCAAGATGCCTCCCCTCTTCCAAAGAAGCACTTAAGAGCTCAAGTTGATTACCGCAGGGGCTTGAAGACGAAGCCTCATTTGCCCGATTATCAGAACAGATGAGGTGTGCACACAGCCTTTGCAACTTTCCATTCATCTCAGGAACTAAAATGAGTAATATTTTTAAGACTAATGTCTTAAATTTATGATTTTATTTGATTCTTTATTCAGCAATTTGAATATTATGGTTGATTACAAGTACATAATAAGAGCCTTTCTGTGATTGGCATTTTCATTTTTCTAGGTAAATAAAGTACCTCTTGATCTGTTTTTATTTTTCTTCCTACCCCCACTCCCCCCATCAATTTTCTTTCACTTGTGTTTCTCTACACATACTGTGGGCATCCCAAGGGGACCGTAGTCTTCTTGTTCATGTTTCAGACTTGTAAGTCGTATGCAAATGCAGCCATATTTTACAGATTGGCAATTTTGCTATAATTAAGCTTCATGAATATGAAGATTCTTGTAGAATTCCCAGGACGCCCCATGGTGAGGATTTGCAATGAAATTTCTTCTCAGCTCACTGTGACCTATTAGAGTGTCAGTTTGGCTCAGTTTCAACATGGTGTTTACTCTTATGAAGTGCAAACCACTTATTAGCTAATTTTTAAGCCATGACAGAAGCAGCCTGAGAGGCACATTTGTCCAGAGGGCTTGACAAAAAGCTAGAAGGTCAGTGTCTTCACAGACCCACTGAGGTTCAGAAATTAAATGATAATTTTGTAAACCAGGCAGGAAGTGACATTTGTGCAATTGCCTTTGATATGTTTTCTTTGGCTGTGTTTGGTTTCTTTGTCTCTGCAGAATCTCAGAATGAGCCAGCCTCTAACTAAAATGGCGCTGCTTCATCTTAAAATCTCTTTGTGACAGCTTATGACAGGAGATCCCTTGGAACCCTGGTTCTCTGTGGGACCTTTCCTGGACTCCTGTGTCTGCAATACAAATGTTAATTCTCAGCTCTATTAATACCTCAATATCACTTAAAAGATATCCAAGGGAAACTTTACCTGGCCAATTTCTTTCCACAAAGTAGCATTTCTGAATTGGAGATTGCTGGTTGGCTCATTCTTATTTTATTTACTTTTGTAAACAGGTTATCATTTATAATTCAAAACTCAAAAAGCATACAGAAAAAATTCTAGTCTCACTCCAGTCCCTTACTCTCCATTCCCTGGTATGCCTCCCCCACCCTCAGGTACTAATAGTTATTCATCGGTATCCAACCTTCCAGAAATTCTCTTGTATATACACAAAACAAATAGAAATGTATCACTTTGTACCACCAGTACTTTAGAAATCATTTCAGCATGGGTACTCCTGCGGGGTACTCCCTGATCAGATTGCCGCGTTGTGGAAGATTTCTTTCTGCCTGTCAATTTTATTTCCAGAAAATAGTGGTCACATTGCTTTAGGGTAAGTCACCAAAGGGTGTAGCTGCGCCTGTGTCTGTGCAGCCCTCTGGTATCCTGTTCTCAGCTGAAAATAAAGCCCTGGAATTGGTCCATTTCACTTTTTCTTTTTCTTGCAGTTTGAAAGGCACTTGAACTAGCCCACTAATGTTGCTTTTTACTCCTTTTACATTTTAAAAGGAGTCGTACCCTGGTTTATTTGCTTTTATTGCCTGTGAAAATGGCCTGAGTAATTAGACCAACAGAGAATTGCATCTTAAGGGCTAATTATTGATATATTCCTTGTGTCAGCTCAAAAGTAACCTCTGGGGATAGAAGATTAGGCAGAGTATGCCTGCCCATGAATATACACTGTTCATGCCTCTCTAGGCTTCAACACACACAAGGTCATGTAAGGCAACCTTACCTACCCCATTAGGGTCCAGAAAGATATCCACCTAGGAGAGAGTGTAAATATCACACCCATCAACTCACTCTTATGCCCAGTGGCTCATCCTTTCAAACATGCAAAACTTTCTATAATGGGGAATCTGAAATACTTTAACAAGTTTAAAAATCTTTATTGAGCACAGATTTTGATTTTTAAAAAATATTTTTGATAGACATACTATGGTTCAAGTCCCATACTTGCATTAAAGGGTTAAGGTGGAACAATGCTTCATGCACAGTTAGCATTTCATATTTTTTGTCCAGTGAAGAAAAGAAAACATTCTCAACTTTGATCTCCTTTAGTTTAAAATGAGATAAGATAAGATACACTCCAGCATCATGCTCTTACTTAAACTGAGCTGATTCTCTTGATTTCTATTTCTTGCTTTCCTCGCCATTGGCCTGAAATGAGTAGGCATGACAATTTTTGTCCATATGTTGTATGTAATTAAACTCCAGCCTTTACATTGCCACCATCAAAGACAGCGAGGAAGAGACATTTTATTATTGCAATTCACTGTCTTAAGGTGGAAGCTTCTGCAACGGTGACACAGAAGCGTGATGGAGAAGGCACAAAAATGATCCATCTTGCTCTTTTAAGAGAGGAGAACATACCGGACTTGTGCAGACAGAACTTTTTTTTTTTTTTCTATTGAAGCATCTTCTAGTGCATTTAAGCTTTTTTCTTGTCAACTTGAGGATGGAGTGAAGAAATAACACACACAGCTTGTTTGACAGTGTGGCTATTAATGAAGCAAGCAACAACAGCTTTCACTCATGCACAACAGGGCTTGGCTGTGTGGTTTGCAAAAAGCGATGAACATTTTCACATTAGGATTTTGAAGGGGCTGGTGAGGAAACTAAAGATCATCAGCATTTGCGTGTGAAAATAAAATGGAAACGTTAAGAAAGGTTGAATGTAGCCTTCAAAAGGGGGTAGAAAGAACAAAATGAAATAAGAGTTGCTCTGGTTTGAATGTATGTGTCCCCCCAAAATTCATATGGTGGAACCTAAAACCCAATGTGATAGGACTGAGCAGTGGGGCCACTAAGGAAATGATTACATCATGAGCACTCTGCTTCCATGGATGAGATGAGTGCTTTATTTTTGTTTTGTTTTGAGACAGTGTCTCACTCTGTCACCCAAGCTGGAGTGCAGTGGTGCAATCATGGCTCACTGCAACCTCCACCTCCTGGGCTAAGCAATCCTCCAGCCTCAGCCTCCCAGGTAGCTGTGACTGCAGGTGTGCACCACCACACCTGGCTAATTTTTGTATTTTTCGTAGAGATGGGATCTTGCTATGCTGCCACGCTGGCCTGGAGCTCCTGGACTCAAGCGATCCCCTCACCTTGGCCTCCCAAAGTGCTAGGATTATAGGCATGACCTACCATGCCAGGTGGATTAGTGGTCTTAAAAAAGAGGTTGAATAGTGGCTCATGCCTGTAATCATAGCACTTTGGAAAGTCAAAGCAGGAGGATCACTTGCATCCAGGAGTTCATGACCAGTATTGGCAACATGGCAAAATCCTGTCTCTACAAAAATTAAAAAAAAAGAAAAAAATTAGCCAGACATGGTGGTGCACACCTGTAGTCCTAGCCACTTGGGAGGCTGAGGTGGTAGGATGGCTTGATCCCAGGAGGTCAAGGCTGTAATGAGCCGTGATTGTGCCACTGTGCTCCAGCCTGGGTGACAGAGTGAGACCCTGTCTCAAAAAAAAAAAAAAGAGAGACAGATTGAAGGGAGCACAATAGCACCTTTTGCCCTTCTCCCATGTAAAGGTGCAGCTATAGGGTGACATTTTAGAAGCAGAGAGGAAGCCTTGCCTAGACACCAAATCTGTCTGTGCCTTGATGTTGGACTTCCCAGCCTTTAGAACTGAGAGAAATAATTTTATGTTATTTCTAAATGACCTGGTCTCTTGTGTTTTGTTATAGCAGCACATGTGGACTAAGACAAGCATGATATTTTAGGTTCCTTAAGCAGGGTAGAGAAGAGAGTCAGAATCCTAATATGTCTAGTTGCTGTCAAGATGGGTGCATGAGTGTGGCACGCTGTGGACTGTGCACTGCAAGAAAGCAGGCTCCATTTTCTCTCTCCTTCTCTGGCTGCTTCGGAATCTCCCTAAGCTAGCTAGTGATTACCTAGTACAAATACGCATTTCCAGACGTATCTCCCTGTCTAGACTGAGAGTATCTCCACAGCTGAGGGGGTATCCTTAACCCCTGGTGGAAAATCTGGTACTTAGTAAGTGTGGCAGGCAGAGTAATGGCCCCTAAAGATGTGCGTGTCCTAATTTCTGGAAGGTGAATATTTCACCTTACATGGCAAAAAGGATTTTGCAGATGTGATTAAGAATCTGGAGATGTGATTACCATGAATCACCTGGATGGGCCCGGTGTTGTTCAAGGGTCATTATAAGTGAAAGTCAGAGTCAGGAGAGTCAAGTTCAGCATGATGAGATGTGAGGAAAACTCCGCCAGGCACTGCTGACTTTGAGGATGGAGGAAGCAGCCATGAACCAAGAAACAGGGATGGCCTCTAAGAGCTGGAAAACACAAAACACACTTTCTCCTCGAGCCTTCAGAAGGAGCACAGTCCTGCCAACACCTTGATTTTAGTCCAGTGAGATCCATTTAGGATTTTGATCTCTAAAGCATGAGGTAACAAATTTGTGTTATTTTGTGCCACCAGGTTTGCAGTGATTTGTTACCGCAGCTGTAAAAATTTAGTGCAGTGAACAATCAAAATCGAACAGCCTCTTGCTTCACATGTGCCATGTGCTGACATCAAAGAGGT
This sequence comes from Homo sapiens, assembly GCF_000001405.40. Lineage (NCBI taxonomy): Eukaryota > Metazoa > Chordata > Mammalia > Primates > Hominidae > Homo > Homo sapiens. The sequence continues at coordinate 40,654,373 of NC_000021.9, read as the reverse complement.
GCTGAGAAAGTACTGCTATTGATTTTGTACTAGCACCAGAAAGCAGAGAGCATGCTTCTAGGACTCAACCTAGAGCTCCATTTCTATGCTCTTGATAAACAACTTCCATCTGCATATTTGGGTCCATTTCCCTGATAGCCAATATGATTTTTAAAGGAAAACAAAAATATTTTTACCAGACAGTAATATCGTATTGGTGATTGGGTTAAAAAGCTAACAGTTTTTCATGTATGTAATGGGTGTGAGGTTTTTCTTTTTTTCTTTTTTCTTTTTCTTTTTGAGATGGAATCTCAATCTGTCACCCAGGCTGGAGTGCAATAGTGTGGTCTCGGCTCACTGCAACCTCCGCCTCCTGGGTTCAAGCAATTCTCCTCCCTTAGCCTCCCGAGTAGCTGGGATTACAGGTGCCCGCCACAATGCCTGGCTAGTTTTTATAGTTTTAGTAGAGATGGGGTTTCACCATGTTGCCCAGGCTGGTCTTGAACTCCTGACCTCATGATCTGCCTGCCTTGGCCTCCCAAAGTGCTGGGATTACAGGCGTGAGCCACTGCGCCTGGCCAGGTATGAGTTTTAATCCACAAAGACGGCATGGTTAGAATTGAAGTTGTATTTTTGTATAGTTCAACTTAATTTGTAACATATACTGCATGATGCCAGGTGGTAGAATCTTAATTTCATTTAATTCACGATGATCACAGTCAACGCGGGGTCTTCTCCACTCTGTGTCTGGGTGCTTTCCTCTGTGTTTAGGAGTCTAACCTGGGGCTAAAGGATCTCAGCAGACCAAGTAGAGAGGGTGTGGCCTTCTTTCCATCACTGATACCAATTCACGGCCGGCATCTGCAGCTACCAAGTTTCCATCATTGAGTCAGATTGCCTCTGGCCTCTTGTGTCCTTAACTATTAATATAAAGCCTCTCCACAAAAGGCTCTTTCAACAACATCTATGGCCTTGTGAGACACCCTGAAAATGCCTGGCTGTGGACCACCCTCTCCAGAGGTGGAGGAACTCTCTTAGGCTGTTGTAGGACCATCCACCTGGGCACATCAAAGCAGCCATCTTTTTTCTACTGCTCCAAGACCGTGTCGTTAACAGGAACCCATGTGGAAATGTTGGACTGTGTTGGAGTTTCCTGAGACCACCCCTTGGGTTGATGATTTGCTGGAGAGACTCACAGAACTCTGAAAAGCTATTGTTGTTAAGGTTATAGTTTATGAAACAGTGAAAGGATACAGATTAAAATCAGCAAAGGAAAAAGTGCATAGGAAGGAGTCCAGGAAAGACCAGGCACAGGCTTCCAGTTGTCTTTCCCGGAGACCTATAGGGACAGGGCTTAACTCTTCCAGTAAGAAGTTGTGACAACACATACAGAGTATCATCAACCAGGGAGCTCATACAAGCCTTGGTGTCCAGGGTTTTCATTAGGGGTTAGTCACATAGAGTGCTCAGATGACTTACCTTAACACTTGAGTCTCCAACCCCTCCTCCAGAGGTTCAACTGACACAGCGTGGCCCAGGGTCCCAGAAGAATAAAAACAGACACTCGTCATAATCCAATTGTTGGCATAAACAATCTTGCCTGGCCCCAAGCCTCAGGTCTGTAATGACACTTTTATCAGGCTGGAAATTGCAACAGCTTAGAGGTTACCTCCTAGGAGTCAGTCAAGGGCAAGATCTTTCTTTAGAATGTGTGGGATTTGGACCCCCTAAGCCTGTGGGATTAACCCTTTACTGCACACAGGCCTAGATTCCCTGGGCTCTCAGCTAAGCCCAAAGCCATGTGTGGTTTCCACTGTGTCTCCTCCCATTGGATGTGCCTCCTGTGGATAGGTCCTTGACTCAGGGCTTCTCTGCTGTTAGCCATGGGCTCGTTATTCAGTCTGGGTGGAAAAAAATGGTTCTGGCTGATCACATAGCTTTTGGCATCTGTTGTTCATGTCATCAACTAAATGACATGACACAGAGATTAGGCTTTTGAAGCTCAAAGCAGGATTCTTATAGCTAGAAGTTGTTTTTTTTTTTTTTTGTTGTTGTTGTTGTTTTCAAATTTCCAACCTTAATTTTAACTTCAGGGGCACATGTGCAGGATGTGCAGGTTTGTTACATAGGTAAACAGGTACCACGGTGGTTTGCCGCACAGATCATTCCGTGACCCAGGTATTAAGCCCCACATCCATCAGCTATTCTTCCTGATCCTCTCCTTCCCTCCACCCCCACCCTTCAACAGGCCCCAGTGTGTGTTGTTCCCCTCCATGTGTCCATGTGTTCTCACCAGCTAAAAGTAACTTGACTTTCTCACTCCTTTATAATCTTTTACCTTTTCCCCTGAGAAAAGAATGCCACCAACTAAATGGGGAAGTATGGCCCTAGAGAACAGTGCTGAGGTCAGCAGGTGGGGCCAGCAGAGAAAAAGGTGGGGGGGCTGACCTCTTTTGTGCCTGTCCCTTATTAAGGAGGAAATCCTTTCCCAGAAGTCACCAACAGATTTTAAAAAATGTCTTTATCTCATTGAAGTTGGGTCCCACTTAGACTAATTCCTGGCAGAAGAAACTGATTTTGGTGTATTTGACTTAAAGCAAACATAATGTATTCCCTAAAACTGAGTATATATCCATCAGAACAAAACCAAGATATTTCTTGAGCAATCAGTCAACAGTGTTGGCTATAATATGCATGTAAGATATAAGACTCTGCAGCCTTGTAAAGCTGCGGTGAAACTGAGTTTCCAACAGGTCAGAGAGTGACGAAATTGCAGTAGCTCTACTCCAGGGACTCCACAGCACTCTTTAGGTTGGGAAAAGCAAGTGAGTTGCTTTTACAGGTGTAAATCAGAGGGATGGAAATTATTGATGAGATAATCGAGATGGGATATGAGCAGGTATTCAGAATATATACGGTTTGCAAATGAGAATGAAGACTTCCCAATCCTTGGAGCAGTTCATAAAGGTATGTCAAAGCCTGCAGGAGCCTAAGGAAGAATGTGCTAACTTTTGAACCATGTAGATGGCTCATAAGAAATATAAATATTGAATACACTTTTGCTGCTATTAGTGGCTGCCTTCATAGTTGTGCTCAGTAATTTGCCTGAAGACCCTCAAGCCTTGCGGTGTTAAACATTGTGATTCAAAACCCAAATCTAGCCAAGGCCGTCCATGTGTTAGATGCTTCTCCACCCCAGGAGACAGGGCCTGGAGTTGGTCTGTGTGCTTGGAGCTCATGAGGCAATGACCTGAGCTGCAAATCTTCAGCTGTGCACCCACAAAGCTGCCCCAGAATCCTAGCCATAGTGTTTCAGGCCAGACCTCAACTTTTCCTCGGATCATGGGTTATACTCCAGATTTTGAACTGGACAGCTGGACAACCTTTAGGAACCCTCCCCTAGAACTGGGAAAACTCCTAAACCAAGCTCCTGCCTGACCCACTCTCCAGGCTCCACCTTTCCCCTCTTCTTTATTTGTTTATGATGGAGTCTTGCTCTGTCGCCCAGGCTTGAGTGCAGTGGTGCGATCTCAGCTCTCTGCAACCTCCGCCTCCCAGGTTCAACCAATTCTTCTGCCTCAGCCTCCTGAGTAGCTGGGACTAAAGGCGCACACCACCACGCCTGGCTAATTTTTTGTATTTTAGTAGAGATGGGGTTTCATCATATTGGCCAGGCTGGTCTTGAACTACTGACCTCATGATCCGCCCGCCTTGGCCTCCCAAAGTGCTGGGATTACAGGCGTGAGCCACAGTGCCCAGCCTCCCCACTTCTTTATTAATGAAGACAGATGTCCCAGCTCAAGAAAAGAGAGTGGAAAAACTCCTCCTTCTTCTGCCTTTCTGTTCTATCCGGGCTCTGAAAGAACTGGACGACGCCAGCCCACGTGGCTGAAGACAATCTTCTTTACTCAGTTCACTGATTCAAATGTTAATCTCTTCTGAAAACACTTTCACAGACACACCCAGAAATAATGTTTAACCAGTTATCTGGGCATCTCTTAACCCAGTCAAGTTGACACATAAAATTAACCCATCACAATGTCATTGATGAAAATTGCCTAAATACCTCCACCCTTGTGAAATTGATAACTACCTTGTCTAACCACTTAGTTAATGATAAGTGGAAATGTTGCCTCTACATCATGCAAAATGTGACAGATAGGGAATAAATGCTTAGAGATGCTTGGATGAAATAAAGCCTTGTCCAGATGAAGAGGTTTTTGTTTTGGGCATTTGACCTTGGGAAGCAGTTCAATTAAAAAAAGAAAAAAAAAGTCCCCGTCAGTGATTTTATAGCACCTGGTAAAATTGCAAGTGATTGCTCACTTCTCCCCTGCTCCTTCACCCCTGCAATAAGCTTTGTTGTCGGTCACAGCCTTATGACCTCCTCTGTGCTGCTCATCTCACAGAGAGTGTGGAGCACCCTGGAAGTGAGACTCAAGGCCACCAGCCTTCTGCAATCTCCAGGTCTGTACCTGGAGCAAACTCTACTCTGTCTCTCTCTCTCTCCAAGTTTCCTTGCAGAAGGCACTGCTGACAGAATAGGTGAGACAAAATATAGTGAAAAGAGGAGCTGGTGCCATCCAATCCAGAGAGACAACTACCTGGCCTGCAGTGCCCTGGGCTTGCTGGCATAGCTGGGCTCAACTGAACCTTTCCTGCACAACATCTCTATTTTGTGACCTCACTGTGGCACACTCACCTCTCAAAGCGCTTCTGAGACCTCCCCTAATGTGAACTACCTTGGCATGTTTTTTTCCACCCCTGCATATTATTGTTTGTGTGTCACTGTTCTCATTGCCAGGGCATTGCATTGGGATTTCTTTGTCAGAGCACATAAAGAGGCGTATCCAGAATAGGTATCCAGCCAGCATAAAACAATGTGGCATAATGTGTTGCTAAAGTATATATATTTTAAATTCTTCTGTAGTAGTTGGTAATCAGAAATAGTTTACTTGAGACCACGCATTATCTAATGACGTTGGCCCATGGAGGCTGTGGTGGTGGTGTGGTCTTGGGAGTGGGGCTGTCTTGGAGGTGGACAGAGGTGGAGGTTCCAGGTGGGATGTGTGCAATGCCTCCTGCTGCTCTGGAGTGGGCCAGAGGTGGCAGGGACAACCCAACAGGGTGGGGGCTGAGGCTAACCTTGAGGAATTGGGGTTGGGACCAAGACAATGGTCTTTTAAGTTCAAGCTAGCTGAAAAGTGCTGGCTTCTGGGTGATGCCCAGCCCAGACACCTTCTTTTGTAACCAGATGTAGTGCACTGGCCTGATGACTATTAGCTTAATGGGAGGTCAATAAAGTGTGTGAGGCTAAATCACAGTGATGCAGAATTTTTCTCAGCCACTTTGCCAACAAGAGACCTCCATGGCTGGCGATATCCCCCTGCCTGGGCCTTGCTCAGCCCCGGGCCTGCCATTGGAGGCACCCCCACCCGCTGAGCTTGCTGTCCTATAGCTTGTACCCATGTTTGGCAGTTCCCGAGCTCCTGTCCCGTGTCCAAGAAGAATGAGGATACACTGACAATTCCAAGGGTGAGGATGGGCAGAGAAGAATTGTATTGAGTGATGGAACAGCTATCAGTGGAGAGGGGATACAGTGGGTGGTCCCCCAACCCCTCAGTTGGGTTGTTTATCTCCCAGTGTGGCTAGGTCTGGAGCTTTTTATGGACTCAAAATGGAGAGTGTGTGCTGATTGGTTTATGAGTGTGCAAAAAAGGTTAAAATGAAGACACCACTCAAAGGCACGACAGTGTAGAAAACTAATTAGGAAAGGATAGGTATATGTAAAATAGATGAAGGGTGGGGATCAATCAGAGAAAAGTGCACCAAAATGGAAAGACAGGTTCTCAATCCAGTCTGTGGATGTACCCAGGACTTATAGCTAGGCTTTAAACTGTCTTCGGCTTGAAGGTTGGGTTTCAATGGGGACCCACCACTGTCTGCCTAGGGATTTGTCTGTCTCCTGCCACTATCAACAGCTCAGCCACGGACGTCAGCTTGGGACATCTGCCCAAACGAGAGATCACCCTAGCAATTCCTAAAATCAGAAGTGTCAGGACAGTTGGGTAAACAATGCTATAGCTTCAGAAACTTGCTGAGCAGTGTGTGAGTGTGTGTGTGTGTGTGTGTGTGTGTGTGTGTACAGGGATATGTATGAAATTAGAGGAAAGTTTTTAATTACTAATTTATGTATTTGTGCAGGTTGTTGAATTATTTTAGTATCACCCCAGATATACATGCAGCACAGCAGTTATTGAATCTTTTCAGTTACTGAGTCTTTTATTTTACTTTTCCAAATTTTGCAAGTATGTGAACTACAACTGCTTTCTTTCTCTATTTATTTGTTTTCTTGCTACTCGGTGCATGTGCTGTTGCATGCACCAAGTTAATTCATTTTATTTCCCTAACAAATGTCAGTATCTCTCCCTCCCCCTATGCAGCACATCATTGCCCACTCAGCGTCACTGTTTGGCACATTCAATGTGGAAGACACATGGGTGAATCATTCCCAGCATCTGGACATTTAGAGTCAGCTGGATGCTGTTGGGTGTCTTATTTTTCATGCAGATGTGAGGCATTATATAAAGCAGCCACATTTGTATTAATGTTGAAAGGTCCTAGGGTTTCTGCATTATGAAATGAAAAATAGCTATTAGCTACTATTATCTGATGAGGTTTGAAGGTATGTAGTTCTAGAAGGAATATTTTGAATGGACATAATTTCTCAAATAATATATAGTTTTTATCCTAACTACACCAAAGATTTTGTCTTATAACTGTGCTAGCACTATTAAATTTTTGTCCTATCACTAGAAATTTTGCTATTTTAGACAAGAGAACCTGACTTTGGACTATGATTTATGTAATGGAATTTCGAGTGGTCCATTAAACTTATTTAATAACCATAAAAACTGGCATAAAATTAGCCATAATTCATCAAATCTTACATTATATTCTTAGTCTGGGATTGATGTTTAATCAGATTTTTTATTGTTTCATAACATTTAATGGGCTATTTATAATTATTTTCTCAACTATATCTGATGGAAAAATATATTACAGAAGAGTTTTTAATGTTCCAGAAATAAGGATATAAATATACAAACAGTGCTCACCCACACAGGAACTAAGGCAAAGATTGTTGCTGTTATAATTTCAGAGCAAATCGATTGGCCTTTGTAAGCTATGATTAGTGTAGACATCCTAATAACAGCGTGTGGTGAATGCTGGTCTTCTGAACTTTAACAACTCCTCCAATTCGGCCACCAATAAAGTGATGATAATAGGACTGAAAAACTTGTTCTCACAGTGATAAATTTGCATAGCCCCATGCATATTTGTGGCTTGAATTTTTCCTCCTTCAAAATCCCAGAGCAAAATTTGAACAACTTTGTGTCTTTATGATGTTATAAATTCTTGGCAAGAAAGTATAGAGTGATGGCAGAGAGCAAAGCGAAACTTTAGAAGAGAATATTGGCAGAAACCCTTGGAGACTGGTCCCGAGCTGTGTGTGCAAGTGGATGCATTCATGCATGCAGGGCATGGAGGCTCTCAGCTGTGATGGGACCCAAGAGATGGTCCAGGGCCCCTGGAGGGCCTGGAAGAGATTGGAAACAAGAGTCGAGAGTGTTCCCTGGCAGCTGAGCAAGGCCAGTCAGCCTCACTGAAATTCAACTGCACACCAGCTTTCTACTTAATATGTTAATTTTGTGTTCCATTTTCTCCTGCAATCCTTTCTGCCAGCCACTCTTCGCTTTTACATGCTTCATGTTGGAAGTCATTATTTCTGTCATCTCTAAATATTTCATCCAAGGAAGAAAAGCTAGGATATGTCTAGAGAACAGAAACTAAGTTTGTAGGAAGTTTGGTGGGCAACACGATGGACTCCAGATCAGTCAATGCCACGTGAGTTCTCTTTGCTAACAAGAAATCAGTGCTCATGGTATCAGGTGAACAGCCCCCCTTTTTTTTTTTTTTTTTTGACAGAGTCTCTCACTCTGTTGCCCAGGCTGGAGTGCAATGGCAAGCTCTCAGCTCACTGCAACCTCCACCTCCTGGGGTCAAGCCTCCTGCCTCAGCCTCCCAAGTAGTTGAGACTACAGGTGCATGCCACCACACCCAGCTAATTTTTGTATTTTTAGTAAAGACAGGGTTTCACCATGTTGGCCAGGATGGTCTCGATCTCTTGATCTCATGATCCACCTGCCTTGGCCTCCCAAAGTGCTAGGATTGCAGCCAGGAGCCACTTCTTTTAGTGATTTTCAGGATTAATTTCTAGGCCTTATGTTCCACCCTGTGTCTTTCTTTTCAATCCTAGTTTCACAGCCTGCTCCCTTCATCGGCTCAAACTTCATGGTGGTACTTTATCTCCTCCACCGCCTCCAAGAACGGTATCTTTTCATTTAGTGCAGTTAATTTTATAGGCTAAAGGCTCTAAGGTTCTAATACTTGTATTGTTTTTCACTCTGCACCCATTGTATTTTATAGAGGAAATATTTTTGATGTCCCAAGACAGTTTAAATAATTTATTGTTTTGGAATATTCCCTGGACACAACAAAATACTTTTTGCTCAATTTTTCCATTTTTCTAAATTGAAATGAATTTAGAAGTGAATATGGTAAAATAATTGTATAATAACCACTTGATTTTTTAGACCCATGACCTAATATCATCAAAACACATCACAGTGTTTTGTGAATTACAGGAGTATTTACCTCAGATAGAGAATTGGATTGTGCATTTCTAACATAAAACATGAAGAGGGGCACCGTGTATGCCTGCCTGATTGCTATGAGATTTAGGAATCGTCCTACCTATTCTTCTCATACTACTTATAGTTATAAGTCTTTACTAAATAGTGGATGCCTACTAAAAAAAAAACTGAATTAAAGCATCACATGATTCCACAAATATGGATCAGTTCCAATTTTCACTATTTTACCCTAATTCAATTAACAGCCTTCTACAGTCCAGCTGAATTTCATCTTTATGTATCATCATCTCTAATAAAACATTTTTACTCTTGGTTCATGATTTATACTGCTCTTTATCGGATACTTTACATTCAGTTATTGCATCTCTGTGGTTTCGGATGCCTGTGTAGCATACTCAATCATCAAAACTGTAAGAAACAGGGCTGATTGTTATTTCTATGCTCAAGAACATTTTCTTTAATTGCTGTGGCTTTCAGGACATCAAACAACCACCACAGAAGGAAGGGAAAGGAAATATTAGGGAGAAAGGATGCAAGAAGAGAGTACGTTAATTATTCTCAAAAGAGCCCATCATGCTCTTTCTAGGCTGTGCTAGGAAAGTGTCCTAGATTGGCAGCCCCCGGTATGTGTATGCTTCTGTGGCCAAAACCTGAAGCTGGAATAAAATGAAGTGTTTTTTTCTTGAATCTTTACTTGCAAAATTTGGTAGAAGGGTATGAGTGCTTGGCTTTAGTAACTTGAAAACAATTTTTAAAATTTGGCAGTTGTATTTTGAAACTGTTTTAAAAAGAAGAATGACTATATATCTCCTCAGATTTTAGGGATGGAACGTTTTGACTGTGAGTTGTCCAGGTTCTTGGTGCATTGAGCAAAGAACTAAACAAAATCCACAAAAAATGCAACAAGGAATGAAGCAATGAACGAAGTAACAAAAGTCCAGCTTTACTGAAGTGAAAGTACACTCTACAGAGTGGGAGCAGGCTCAAGCAAGCAGCTCAAGAGCCCCGAATGCAATGTTCTTTAGGGTTTCTATTAAGCTAAAAGAATTTGGTAACACCCCTAGGTGCCCTTTCGAGGCCTCCAGTTAGTCACACCCTATGAAAGATTGGCCCACCACCAATCAGAGGCTGAAGTGAAGACTTGGCCCACAGTGGACCAGAGGCTGAGGTGGAAACTACTGTTTTGCCATCACAGGAGTGAGGGCATGGCCTGTGTGCTAATCTTTCCTAGAACTGGCCGAACCTGCTGTTTTCTTGCTTATGCCTTAACCCTTGGTTACCCTAAACCCTATTCTCCTGCCTCACCATTGGTTAGCTATCCATTTTCTATTTTCACTCACTCTGATGAGGGTCCCAACTACAGATAAACCACTTGACTCACCAAACACTGCTTGCTGAAGTGAGAAATGTCATAAAGTTATCTGAGTTTGGCTTTGTACTCTTTTATTTGAAAGAGCGTGTTCATCCATTAACCCATCCATTCAGAAAGCATTTATTAAGCACCTGCTGTGTGCTGGCTTTGCTCACTCTGCCAAGCTGTGAAATCTGTTTCTCTAGGCGGAGTTCTGAAGTCACCCACATTCTGAATCTCAGTCTTGGACCAACTGAATTAGAATGTCTGGGCTGGGGCTTGGGAAGTTGGGAGTTTAACAAGATCTGCCATGGTTTTTATGCATGGTGAGCCTGCTGGTCTCAATTGAACAAATGTGGATGGAATGAAGCATGGATTAGTCTGTTCAGGCTGCCGTAACAAAATCCACAGACTGGGTAACAAAAACAACATAAATGTATTTTCACACATTCTGGAGGCTGGAAGTCCAAGACTAAGTGTTGGCAAGTTTGGCCTCTCCTTGGCTTGCAGGTAGCTGCATACTCATTGTGTGCTCACATGGTGTTTCCTCTGTGCACACATCCCTGGTATCTCTGTGTGTGGCCAACCTTCTTATGAGGACACCAGTCATTGGATTAGGGCTCACTTTAACAGCCTCATTCTAACTTGAAGACTCTGTCTACAAATCTGATTCTACTGGGACTGAGGGCTTCAATATATGAATTTTGTTGGTGAGACACCATTCAGCCAACAGCAAAGCAAAAGAGTCCACTCTTGGCCGGCATCCCAAATTAGTTGAACCTCTGCCATCTCAAGCCAGAGCTTTGCAGTCCACTCTGAAATTGGTGGGTGACCTGTGGAGGTAGTTTCTCCCCTGAGAGCTTCTCAGTGCACAGTTAAGGCTCTGAAGTCCTCCTGAGCAGCTCGCGAAACTGAATTTAAACCAAAGTTTTCTACAATAATTTCACCATGACCCTCTGATGTTTGCAAAATTTCTGTTCTCAAACAGGTTGCTCACTTGTAAAATATGTTGTTTCTCCAAGCTAGAGAAAATAAAACAAGAAGAAGTCAGGCCCCTTCCTGAAGGCCACCCAAATGTGACTTAGAGATGAGATATCAATCTGTCTTACTCAGTTCAAGACAGTAGGAAAAACATTGTGTATTTACAGGCAGTAGCCATCAGACAGATCTTATTCCTACATATCTGAGCTGCACTCTGGAATTTTATCATATTAATCTCTAGTGTCTCTTCATCTACCCACCCCGCCACTCATCCCTCTAATAGAAAACAGTTTTAGTTCACTCCAGAGACTGCAGCAGGTGCCAGGAGCCTGAAACACACAGCAGCCCCAGCCTATGTATCCCAGAGCCCTGAGTCCAGGCTCTATGCTCTTATCAAAGCAAATACAGAGCCCATCACTGGGTCTCCTGGGAGGCCCTCTGCCCTGGTGATTCTCATTCTCATCACACATCAGAATCACAGGAGGCTGTAATCTTTGAGAGGCCAAGGTGAGCCAATTGCTTGAACTCAGGAGTTCAAGACCAGCCTGGGCAACATGGCAGAACCCCCAACTCTACTAAAAAAATAAAATAAAAATTAGCTGGGCATGGTGGCAAGCACCTGTGGTCCCAGCTACTTTGGGTGGCTAGGGTGGGAGGATGGCTTGAGCCTGGGAGGTGAAGGTTGCAGTGAGTTGAAATCACACCACTGCACTCAAGCCTGGATGAAAGAGCAAGACCTTGTCTCAAAATCATTTTTAAAAAAATGAAAATAGAATTACAGGAGAGCTTGTGAAGAGGCAGATCCCTGGACTTCATTCCTCACCTCTGGAACCAAAAACTCCTGTAACTGGGGGCAGAAAAATTTCTCTTTTTGGAAGCTCTCCAGGTGATTCTAGTTCTAAACCATGGCTCTTTCCGGTGTAATTTCTCAGTACTCCTAATGGGTGCTTTTAACTATGACCTAGATCAGCTGCTCCCTCTTGCTTGTGCTGGATACATACTTATCGTGCCTCTGTTCCAGCCATGTCACCCTGCTGTGCTCTCCGCCTCCAGTGTTTCTTCATTCTTTAGACTAGCACCTGCCCCTCTTCACCAGGGAAGCCTGCATCATGAGGAACACCAGTATTGAAGTCTTCATCTCTGTGTTCCTTCAGGGCTGTGGAGTCCAACAGCCAGGGCCCAGCTGTGCCAGTACAAGATGTATCACCCTGGACAAATATTTACCCTCTCTGAGCCTTGATTTTCCCATCCCAATCCACAACAGGAATACATGAATATAATCTTTGTTTTTTTTTTTTTTTTTGAGACAGAGTCTCTGTCACCCAGGCAGAGTGCAATGGCGCAATCTCAGCTCACTGGAACCTCTGCCTCCCGGGTTCAAACAATTCTCCTGCCTCGGTCTACCGAGTAGCTGGGATTACAGGCACTGGCCACCATGCCCAGCTAATTTTTGTATTTTTAGTAGAGACGGGGTTTCACCATGTTGGCCAGGGTGGTCTCGAACTCCTGACCTCGTGATCCACCCGCCTCGGCCTCCCCGTAGTGCTGGGATTACAGGCATGATGAGTGTAAACTTTGAAATACATATTAACTTGGCTTTTATCAGTGTGTAGTAAGGCTCTCCATGTCAGAGTAAATAAATCCACCAAATAGGAGTCAAATAAATTCTTATCTGAAAATCCAAGCCTTAAGATTAGGATATTCTAGAACTTCTCTTCTAGATATTTTCAATCATGTTGAATCTCTTGTGTTACATATTTAAGAGAAGGAGAAAAGAAAGCTTCTTTTGAAAGCCTGTGACCAAAAGAAAGAACTGGAACCAGCAAAAGCAAATTGGTTTGTTTTCACTCAAATAACCGTCTGCTTGACTTAAATGTGATCTGGCAAATGGGCATTGCTACAGGAAACAAAAGGCTTCTTTTGAGCTTCTAGAGAAAGAGAAAGCATCCTGAATACTTAATCAAGATACCTTTTCCTACAATTAGTGGAAACCAGCTCATGTCTGTTTTCTCTCGCCCCGTTTCCTTGTATAACACTCATCTAGCTGCTTCCGTGAGGTAGATTTAAACGTCCACCACCCAGACCACACCCATGGGGCCACCAACATTCTAGAGCAGCTTGCTCTGTGCATCTTATCCACACTGCCATGCGCTCTGTTTATCTCATTAGAAAAACCCTTGCATATTTACTAAAGGCAAGAGGCAAAATAAACGCTGAGTTACATATGTAAAATTCCATGCAGCATCGTTCTCCTATGTATTACTAGGTTTGGTTATTTTACATGAAGACAGTTTCTTTTTACACAAACAGTAGGGCTCTTATGCAGTTGTTCTCTTTCAACATGAACACAATAGACTAGATAATGTTGTCTGTTTATATTTCTTTCCGAAAGTAGGAATAATTTCCTAAATTGCTTTCACGTACTGTGTAAAACACCGTAGAAGTTCTGAGGCTTATCTGACATCTCATTGTCCCCTGGTGTGTGTGTGCGTGTGGTGTTTTTGTGTGTGTGGGGTGTGAGTGTGGCAGAGAGGAAAGGGGAGCTGTTTGATTCTGTAGTTCCTTTTCTGCCTTCTTCCTTTCTCTGTAAACTTTGGATACTTATCCAAATTACTAACGGCAGATTGAGCCCTATGCAGATGGCATGTGTCTGTGACAACCTCTGCTCTCCACATCTCTTGGGCCTGTTTACCTGCGCTCCCAGAGCCTCCGCCAGCATCCCAGAATCTCCATCCCCATCTCTCACTTATACACACATCAGTCATCGGTTATCCATTAGCTAAACCGCCTTCCTTAATAGCTTTACACTGTTTGCTTTCTCTGGAACATTTTTAGTTAAAATTTCATAATGCAGTTGCACACAAATGAAGACACAGATGGCTGCATCCTCCGTCTCTTCCCCTCGTTTACAGGAAGCTGCGGATCAGGGAGGGGTGTTAGGGTTACCCACATGGTAAGGGCAGAGACAAGAGGGGACCCCAGTTTTCCATGCTGCACATGGTCATTGCTGGGGACTGAGGTTTGCACATCACCCTGCCCTGTTCTCCCTCCGCTGGGGAGAAAGTCAGGGATGGAGCAAGCTGCAGCATCTTCTGAAAAAGAAAAGGTGGCCTTGTCTCCAGGTCTCCCCTCAAGTCCCACCTTCCCATAGTTTTCTGCCACTTCTCTTGATTTTCCTCTCTGCCACTTCTCTTGATTTTCCTCTCTGCAGCTGCTTTGAGGTGGGTTTTCTCCAGATGCACACTTTCCCCTGCTTTGCGTCCTTATTCTGGTAGAAGCACAATCTAAAGCTCATTAAGGGAACTAATCAATTCTGTGCATGGCGCTAGCTCAGCAGATCACCACACAGGCAGCACTATTAGCAAGTCGGTGCTTAACACATGGCACTTCCATGAATCGATATGGAGCCCGTGTAGAACAAGGCATGGGTTTTTTTCTCCTCCCATTAAGAAAAACTGATGCCAAAAATAACTTCTCAGATATTTTCAAGTATGACTTTTATGGAGGGAAAAAGCATTTTTGTTTGCAAAATCATGCTTCAATGCAGGCCAGTTGTGAATTGTGATGGCTTTTATTTCTCCTGGGGCTGTAACTTTAAGGGTTTAGAATTTGGAACCACAGCCTAGCTAATCATGACACACACACACACACACACATGCACACACATACACATACACAAAGCATCACGAAGAACCATACAAATTGTACATTATTTTACACATGGAGGCTCACTCTAAAATAGATACCATTTTAAATATTAACTAAAACTTGTGCTCATTGTATGTTCATTCTATATGTACTGATTTGTTATTCACATTTCTTTCAAAATCGTTCAAATTTCTAGCCCACATCAATTAAATATTAATAGTACTTTCTACAAACATGAGCGCACAAAATAAATTCAAATCTATTTTTCCCACTGGTGTTATCAGTACTGCTCATACTTTGTCAGTATCTAAGTATCACATGATCTTAAAACTAATGTCACATACTAAAAAGCTTCTGAGGCAAATTGTAGAAAGAACTCTCAACATCATTGTTCTACTGGACAACATACATAAAATTATTTTACAGTGATGGGAGAGAAATAGGCTCCTCATCCTAAAAGCTGCGAAGACAGTAGCGGTGCCGTGTTTTGGCGTTACTCCCCTGTGGATCCCAGCGACGGGTGGATTTCTCCTGTGCTTTATCATCAGACACAAAATGGACCAAAATGGACCAAAATGGACGAGTGTGAGGGACACAGAGGCTGCTGTAAAAAAAAAAAAAATGCAGGATATTTATGGGTCTATGACGACCCAAATAATGAGCAAACATGGGAATCCCCTGCTGAAAAGCTGTCACAGAACTGAAGCCTGCCTGGAAATATCTTGAGAATGTTGATATCATTTTAATAGGATCTAAAATGAGAATTCTATCAATATAAAACAGGGAGAAGGGCCTCCTTCTATTTTTAAAAATACCCAACATTCATGTTTTTCATATTTTCCTAGCCTATAATTACTCTTAATCAAAGCACAACAAATAGTAAACAGTAAAAATGAAATAAATGTGGTGACAGTTTGCCAATAACGAGGAGAAAATGTCCCATCTGTCTAGCCGCGAGTAAAATGGGTGTAATTACCGCTCATTTTTCTCGTAATTGCTGAGTTATTAGTTTAAAGCTTACACACAACTGGTGAACAGTGAGTACTACCCATTCCGTAATTACAGCCCCAGCCTCGCCGTGCTTGAAATCAGGGAATGCAAGAGCAGAGGAAACGATCTGAATTAACCCTGACTGCTTGCACAGAATTGTGACTGTCTATCTTATATTTAAATTTTATAAACTCTGAGTTCCTTTGCTAT
This sequence comes from Homo sapiens, assembly GCF_000001405.40. Lineage (NCBI taxonomy): Eukaryota > Metazoa > Chordata > Mammalia > Primates > Hominidae > Homo > Homo sapiens. The sequence goes on along the minus strand of NC_000021.9, from coordinate 40,638,497 downwards.
CCAAATGTTAAACTGGAATGTTTGCAAATCCAGCTTGAATTCTAATTTGCTTTTAAGCTATAGTCTTGCATCTGCTTCTAATGGTGAATGCATAAATTCATTTTTGATAGAAATAATCCATGCAGACCACCACCCTTTGCATTGCATTTGTTAAAGTTATGCATGGTTCACTGATATGCAGGGGTCTGTTAGCAGTTATGTTACCATCTCGTTACCAGGGAAATTCCATTTGAAAGTTTAGGATTACACATGGGTAGTCAACACCTGACGTACACAGCAGGGCAAATACAGAAAAAAGAATCTCCCTTGATTGTTTCTGTTTATTACAAATCAAAGATTAAGACAAATAGAGCTGTGGTTTATTTCTTCTTCCAGTATGTTATTTTATCTCTGAGATTCACCTAAGAAAGACTAAGTTCTATGATGTTCTCATAGAACTATAGCTACTTTTGCCTAAAATGCTGATATCATTTTAATAGGATCTAAAATGAGAATTCTATCAATATAAAATGGGGGCCGGGCATGGTGGCTCATGCCTGTAATCCCAGCACTTTGGGAGGTCGAGGTGGGTGGATCACCTGAGGTCAGGAGTTCAAGACCTGCCTGACCAATATGGTGAAACCCCATCTCTACGGGGTTTTTTGTAAAACTACAAAAATTAGCCAGGCGTGGTGGTGCGCACCTGTAGTCCCAGCTACTTGAGAGGCTGAGACAGGAGAATTGCTTGAACCTGGGAGACAAAGGTTGCAGTGAGCCAACATCATGCCATTGCACTCCAGCCTGGCTGACAGAGTGAGACTCTGTCTCCAAAACAGAAAAAGAAAAAAATTTATATATATATATATAGATATATATTTATATATATTTATATATGTATATATTTATATATATTTATATATATATTTATATATGTATATATTTATATATATTTATATATGTATATATTTATATATATGTATATATGTATATATTTATATATATTTATATATTTATATATATTTATATATTTTTATATATTTATATATATTTATATATATTTGTATATATTTATATATATATTTATATTTATATATTTATATATATATTTATATTTATATATATTTATATATATATTTATATTTATATATATTTATATATATATTTATATTTATATATATTTTTATATATATTTATATTTATATATATTTATATATATATTTATATTTATATATATTTATATATATATATTTATATTTATATATATTTATATATATATTTATATTTATATATATATATTTATATTTATATATATTTATATATATATTTATATTTATATATATTTATATATATATTTATATTTATATATATTTATATATATATTTATATATTTATATATATATATATATATATGAATGAGAAGGGCCTCCTTCTATTTTTGAAAAATACCCAACCTTTATGTTTTTCATATTTTCACATTCTAGCAAAGGTAGATTTTCTGGGTTACCTCTCTTTGGGGTCCTGTCTTTGGTCTATACAGGGAACTGTAACTCACCACAGACAGAGATAGTGCTGAGATGACAAAGCTGGGCTTGATTCCGCTTGGATCCCTGGCTTCTCAGCCATTCCTGATGAACCTTTTATTAGCTGCCTGTCTCTGATCCGGGAACACTGATGACAGGTGCGTTTATTTTGAGGGAGCATATCCTCAAGCTATGGAGTGGTTGTTGAATGAGATGTTGTGAAAAAAAAAAAAAAAAAGTCATGAGACCCCCGGCCAAAATCCTCAGACTAGCGTGGCATTTTTTTTTTCCTAGCAAGTTATGTCATTTAATTTATAGATATAGAAGTGGAGACAATGAAAATATAGCATAGTATGTTCATTTCCTTCCTCTGAGCCTGAGTGATGCCAAGGCATATTTTTCTATGTTAGAGGGACTACCCTGGAAAAAGGAATGGTTATAGTAAAATTTGGTATGGAAGATTCACTGATACGAATCTCACATTTTCGGAAAGAGAGGAGATGAGGAAAGGACTTGGTGATGATCAAATATAACCTAAGAATCAAAGTTATTTCCATTCCTGGCTGCAGAAGCAGTGAACCACCCCCTTCCTTCTTCCCTCTCTTTCTTTCTCTCTCTCTCCCTCTCTCTCTAATATTTAACCTCTTGGTTGAGATAAGCTGGTGAAAATCATGGAAATGTATTTTTAAAATCTTCATTCTAAGCCCCCGAGAACCACAGTATGCCAGATTCCTTTGAGCTCCGCATAAATGTCTTGGCTCCGTGAACCACGTGCATCTTATGCATAATCCTTTGGTTGTGCGCGCCAGCTGGGCAGCAGAGATAGCGAGTGCTGGGGTCTTGCAGCTTTAAAACTGTGCCCAGGCCTCACTCAGAAGTAGGAAAATGAAATGAGCATTTGCATAATCTATCTCGAGTTACCCAGGTTTCTTTCAATCTTCTTATCACGTTTTTAAAAAAATCTATTAAGAGAATATTAGAACAAAATGCATTTTTCTCTTCAGAGAATTCATTTTGCCTGCGTGTTTGGGTCCTATAGGGCTTTTCATTTGTTTTAGTTTTTTAAAATGCCTTAAGAAAAATTTTTAGGAGTTTACTTTGTTCCTACTCTTCTCTATTTGAGTCAGCAACACATATTTAGATTAATTCTTTTGACTTGGAAGTGCAGTTCTGAGCGATTACAAAATTTTTATCTAAAAAGGCTCTAAATGAATTGAAGTTGTGAAAATTGTGATAATTTATTTCCTGGAATTGAAATACAGAGAGAAACTAAAATACACACCACATTTTAATTCAGTGTTAATTTCTCCCATTTGCTTATAAAAGAAAACATGGTGCAGATCTTGTGTACTTGAAATAACTGTCCACACATTCTCAATCCACAGTCACGAATCAGACACACACACATGCACACACATGCACACACACCTGCCCACGCACACACCGGCATACACTGCTAAAGTAACAAGCTTGCTCTCCAGGCCTGTGCTGCCAAGGCTGGCTGGCCAGACTGCCTGCCTCCCTCTCTCTTTCTTTCTTAACTAGATTATTTTCATTAACTCTACTTTCTAAATCTTTCTTTACCTCGGTAGCAATTTGCAGCTGCATCATTTACTGACACGTGTTTCTTGAAGTTCCCTAGCAGGCACTGAGTTTTGAAATCCAGCGGTCTCCAGTGTCTGGCCCGCACACCAGCATTTGGTACTGCTGCCCTGTCCTTTTCCCTCCTGCTGACATCCCTCCCTCCAGGCTGTCTGCTGTGTGTCTTCGCTTTCTCTTCTTTATTTTCCCCTTTCTCTCCTGTCGATGGGATTTCCCTTCTTTCTTCTGCCTTGTCTGTCCCCTCTCTGTGTCCCTTCTTCCTTGAATGGTGACCTACCTCTCTACAGGCTGTTCCCAGATGCCGTCATTCTTTCATTTAACACAGAAGTACTAAGAACTCATCTGTACCTGGTGCTATTCCAGGGGCTGGAAGACTACAGAAAATTTTAGAGAGACAAAATTCCTATCTTTGTGAAACTTATATTCCAGTGGGAGCAGGCAGACAACTACTAAAATAAACATGTAACATGCTATGTTTGATGAAAAGTGTTGTAGAGAAAAATAACTCAAGGAAGGGTGATAGTAGGTTGAGGCTGTTTAATGCTTTAAACAGGATGGTTGGTGAAGGTTTCTGAGAGGTGGACGTGGGTGCAAAGACACCCTTTCTTCTCGCTCAGTTATTACCAAAACGGAAAAATCACCACGTGCCTGTGCTGAAGACAACCTTGTAGATACACAGGCTTCAAATGAATACACTGAAGTTCACACATTTCTTTAACCTGGGATGTCCCAAATATTTCTTTTTAGATTTGTACATATTTTGTTTTACTGATAGCTTATTTGATGTATTAAGATACTATTACAGAGAACAGGAATTTCTAGGGCATATTGGGAATGAAAAGTATGGCCATCGTGTTGCATCTGAGCTGTGGGTCCCCATAGAAATGTGAAGAGATGAGGGAAAAGGATAAATCTTTGGAGGAAGAGTGTTGTAGGCAAACAGAACCGTAAGTGCACAAGTGGGAGTGTAGTACCACTGCATGCTGGTAGAAGCCTTGGTAGTGAAGAGCTGAGTGGGGAAACACGGTTCCGTCACAAAGTCCCTCTGTGTGCAGACAGAGGCTGATGCCAGCTCTATGCCTACTGCCAACCGCTGCCACCAAAAATTACGGACAGAACAAGAGGAACAAAAGCCACAGAGCTGGTCTGAATCTCATTCCTGAAACATCTTTCCTCTTATTGTTTTCAAACTTTCTGTGTTTTGAAAGTTCTTAAATGTAACTCTTGTGCTTTTACTCCTCCATTAACCGTTCATCAAGTCGTCTTTCAATAAAGAGACTTATATGTTGTGTCTTTGAGATTCCTTTATATTGGGATATAAAGGAGCATATCCCACTAAGGAATAAATAGCTGCTAGGCTTTCTCTTTCTTTCTATTTGTTAGGCTATGTTCCTGGGTCGAGAATAAGAAATAGTAAACCCTTTGTGTCCTCCCTTTGGGAGAAGACCACCTTATACAGCAACAACATGGGATCTCTGGGGCGCATCATTCCCTGGGAGGCTTCCCAATCTAATAGGAGACTGCCTCCCTTTGGGAAAAGACAACCTTGTGTTTTCTGTGTATGGTTCATTCCAAGTTACACACATCCAAGCATCTTACACCATTGAACACGCTCTCAAAATTCACTCCAGGCATTTGCGTTTTGACTCCATGCATCCCCATCAAACAGTTCTTAGCCTACAGTCCTGACGGAGGCCCATCTGAGCAGCCATCTTATTCTCAATGTCTAGCTAACCCCTCCTTTCTTCTCACTCAGTTATTGCCAAAATAGAAAAATCGCCATGTGCACGTACTGTACGTGGCTGTGGATACACAGGCTTCAAATGAATACATTGAAGTTAACACATTCTTTAATGTGGGATGTCCCAAATATTTCTTTTTAAATTTGTACATATTTTGTTTTACTAATAGTTTATTTGATTTATTAAGATGCTATTTACTGAGAACAGCAATTTCTAGGACATATTGGGAACGAAGAGTATAGCCATCTTGTTTTATCTGAGCTGTGGGTCCCTGCTCTTGCAGAGAGATGTGGAACTGGGTCTTGCTGTGAGATCTTGTGAAGTCACCGCCTTCCTCTCAGGACCACCGCCATTTGATTATACGTTGTGTGCATTCCTTCACGTGACCATGTGCCAGATGCAATAGAAAAAGTCGTTTCAGACTGCCACTCTCTGCTTCCAAAACCCAAGTATCACATTGGTTGGAATCGATGAAAGTAACTGTCACCCAGCATTTGTGTTCGCTGGTGATGATGTATTAAATAGGGAAGAACCACAGGCTGGGAGGACATCAGTAAACAACCTAAAGGGGGTTTTAAATAGCAAATCAATATGGAACAACGGATGTAGAAAATTACCAGGAAATGGATAATTAAGTTCCTGCCATGCTCTTTTACAAAATCTCTGAGAATAAATTCTCTTAGGACAAATAAAGAGGAAAAGTGATGCCCATGAAAACCTTAAGGAAATGATTGAGTGTTGGTGCTTAAAGTGATGGAGTATCGGTGGTGTCATAGTGTGCAAAGGGAACCCACAGCCTCTTGAAGGGATTCGCACATGGTCACGTCCATCTTTCCATTCCAGTGGCGCTGGGCTTCCTGTGGATGCAGCACAGTTAAGTGTAGTGGTCTTTCTAAAAGCACCGCACAGGTGCTTGTCAATCAACGTGGAATGAAAGCCACCGGCCTAGGGATGAAGAGTGAGTGAGACCTCTTGCATTTTCCGACTAAGCAATTTCAGTGCTGTCGTGTGATCTTGTTATTCCAATAAGCAAAACACGTTATTTTATTTTGGGCTCAGTGTTGGATATACTGAAAACAATGATAATAACCAGCATTTACTATGGAGCACATACTGTGTCCCAGGAACTGTCGTGTCCTTTATATGTTTTACCTCGTTACTGAGTGTGTGTGTAAAACAGCTCTTTATTATGTGAGCAGAACAACTCCCCAATATATGTGTGATAGTAGTGTGTCTTTTAATACATTTGTGTATGCATATGTATATATAAAACAACTGTCCTCTCACCCTCCCCCCACCCAATTTCCTTTTATTCTTGTAAACGACTTTCTCTACCTCTTCATTTTTTTATTTACAGAATGACAAGTATTCATAAAGCCAGGTATAGGCAGATTCTATCAGTTGGCTACAATAGCTGGATTTGTCTTGGGGGTAGTTTTATTTATTATTTTGCCCTCCTATTTCTGACAGGCTCATGAACCCCTGAGCACTGGGGTCAGCATAGACCTGGTCAGCAGCCTTGGAAGCCAGCATAGCTCTTTGGAGGCCCCATGCCCAGGGCACTACCCTTGCAAACTCAGAGCTGTAAAAGGATGCCCTCTTCAACTGCGTGGACGCGTGCTGTTCAAATGCACCTTCTCACAGAACCTGTGCAGTAGCGCAGGGAGGCAGACTTTGTCAGAATTGTACCCACATTTTACTAGGAAAGCACCAACATGCAGACAGTCTGAAGAACTTGCCCATGGTGGCGAGGATAGTGTCAAAGCCATGGCCTCTGTTGCCATCACCCTTTATTTTTCCTTCTGCACCACAAGCCCATGTCTCCTGATATGACTGGGAAGCCTCATGGGGAGTGAGGTTCCCCACAGAGATCAGATGTGTTGCTGTATAACTTCCTACTTTGGGACAGAGATAAAATGGATGACTTCTTTGGCCCTCCCAGTCCTGAGATTCTATCATCCAGATTCATTCCAGTAAACATGGAACACCACCTAAATGTGCTGGAGTGAACAGAGTGATTGTTTCCATGACTGATTTCAGTGTCTTAATTCCTTCTCACCAATTCCATGACTGTGGGGCCTGAGGGACAGGACAAAAGAGTAGACCCAATACTGGGAAGTCTTATTGGGTTGCAGGGGTGCTCTGAGTCAGCTGGAGGAAAACGGTGAATCACCCATGCAAGCCCAGAATCCCACCCAAAACCATGCCCAGAATTCAGACACATTTTATTTTAAAGAAATAACAAAAGTGGTTGAATGAGGCAAGATGTGGGAGTGAAAGACTGGACCTGATGGTGACAGCTAGGGAAAGGAATCTGAGCTGCTAGAGCAGTTCAGTAGCTGGCTCAATTATCAAGCGGTGAGATTTGCTGGCAAGAGTCAAATAAGGAACAAGAAGACAAATGACATGGGGCAGATAGAGCTGCACTGTGGCAGAGCTGATCTGCAGGCTGGTGGAGCAGAGGAGGGGAGCCACTGAGCCATGCAGAGAGGCCACGTATAAGATAATACGAAGTGACTTGGCCAAAATGTGTAAGCACAGAAGGTTCATTGCTGGCATACACAATTTCTGCTACATAACATGGTGTCCTTAATGGCCATAACTGCTGAAAAGCACAGGGAGAAAGTGGATGTTATCTAATTTATAAAATGATAATACTTTTATTATCCAGATTGATGACAGATGCTCCAACCCCCAGAGTCTTTCTCTCCTTGGCCCCTTGACCTGAATTCTTCAAGCGGGGACTTCGTTTCATAGCCTCTGAGCCCATTCTTTCTTCCCCCAACTCCCTCAAAAATCAAATTACATTGTAATGATCTGTCCACCTTTGGGTGACACTCTACCGTGTTCATCTGAGACTCTCTCCAGCGTTTTTGTTTGTGTCCAGGCTTCCAGGAAAGCTGATGGGGTCTACATGCACTTTTCCTATATCCCCCACTGACAAGTACAGTGAAGGCCGAATGCTCAGTGAACAGTAACTCTCTGCCCTAAATCCAGGTGGGTGATGGATCAACACTGAACTTTTATTTATTTATTTTTTTAGAATATATTACTTTGGCTGGGCGCAGTGGCTCACGCCTGTAATCCCAGCACACTGGGAGGCCGAGGAGGGAGAATCACTTGAGGTCAGGAGTTCAAGACCAGCCTGGCCAACATGGTGAAACCCTGTCTTTACTAAAAATACAAAAACTAGCTGGGCATGGTCACGTGCACCTGTAATCCCAGCTACTCAGAAGGCTGAGGCACGAGAATCTCTTGAACCCTGGAGACAGAGATTTTTGTTGTGGTAAAATATACATAACATAAAATCCACAATTTGAGCCATTTTTAAGTGTTGACTATACACCATTTAAAGCAACAAAAATGTTTGCAAATTCGGGTTTTATCCAACAATGCATGCATTTCCTGTAGATTTTATTCTCACCTCACCTCTGTATGAACTCTCTGCCTCTGCTTCTGTCAAATGTGTCCGTTCCCTAATATTAGACATACTTTGTGCTTTCCTGCTTAATTAATTGTTTATACAGCCCTTCTCTTTCCTTTTCACTTCTGCTTTCCTGGCCACCACACCTCTTCCTGTTGGGCTCCATGGTAGACATCCATCAGCATTTACTCCTTGCCTCCCAGGGAATCTAGGTCATAAAGGGCACCCTCTTTGTTTATAGCACTTAATAGTAATTGTAACATCTCTATGTTGTCTATATTGTCATTTACCTCTTCTATTAACTATTCACATGCTACCAGATAACTTCTTTTATTAATCTGTATGTATATGTCAGGTTCTATAGTAGATGCCAGGTCTCCAATAGTAAATATGAATATGATTATTAATATTAAATATGATTTGTCTCCTTTTCTCATGGAAGTTTTATACTCTGGACAAAGGGCAGACATTGAACAATCACTGTATCAATCAGAATAGGCTATGTTGTGGTAGGCTAACAACCTTCAGCACCTTCGAACAACAAAGGCTGATTAATTTCTTGCTTACTCCATTTGCCCTGGTGGCTCAGCTGTGACTTTCATGGTCCTTACTCATGGACCTTCCACACTGAGGGAGCATGCTGCATCTGGGGAATTTTGGATATCAGGAGCACTGAGAAAAAGAGAACACAGTAAGTCTCAAACTAGCTCTTAAAACTCCTTCCTCACTTCTCCTCTTGTTTCATTGGCAAAAACAAGTGACACGGCCAGTTCTGGCTTCAATGGTTGATAGATATGTAATCTTCCCCTGAGGAGTTTGGGTATCGTTTAACTGGATATACAGGCTATACATACAAATGCACAATTGCACATTTTTATGAGACTCAAAACCCTTCCAAAGTAAATTTGATTACTTCTGTTTGAATTTGGTTTTGAATTTTCTAGAATTAAAGGGTTCGAAGAAATGTATAAGGATAATCTTGTCCAATCCCAAATGGTTTGACCCATGACTCTCAATCTCTGGGCCTCTGCATAAGAGTAGAGACTAAATTATTTTATAGGACAAGAAGTAGAGTAAACATCCTAAGTGCTTGCCATAGAGTAAGTAATATCACACACACACACACACACACACACACACACACACACACACACCACACACACACATACTACACACACATACACACACAAAAAGATAGATATATAGGGCTGGGTGCAGTGGCCAGGGAGGCCGAGGCCGGCAGATTGCTTGAGGCCAGGAGTTTGATACCAACCTGGGCAACATGTCAAACCCCATCTCTCCAAAAAAATTACAAAAATTAGCTACATGGTGGTGCATGCCTGTAGTTGCAGCTACTCAGTAGGCTGAGTTGAGAGGATAACTTGACCCCAGGAGGCGGAGGTTGCAGTGAGCTGAGATCGCACCACTGCACTCTAGCCTGGGTGACAGATCAAGACCCTGTCTCAAAAAACACAAGAAAAGATAGATAGATAGATAGATAGATAGATAGATAGATAGATAGATAGATAGATAGATAGCAAGTGCTTATACCATGGACCATTCTAAATGTTTTTCATCTATTAACTCAAGAGTCAACAAACTTTTTCTGTAGAGTAACAGACACTAGATATTTTAGGTTTTGTGGGCCATGAGATCTAGGTTATTACTACATAACTCTGCCACTGCAGTGCAAAAGTGGCCACAGACAATACATAAACAAATGATCTTGGCTGTGTTCCAATACGGATTTATTTACAAAAACAAACAGTGAGCTGGTTTGACCTCTGTTTTAACTTAGTTTATTCTGATGACAACCCTACTGTTATCCCCATTTTATAGAAGAAGAGGCCTGTAGAGGTACAGTAATTTGTAGAAGTGCAGTTGAGGCTTGTAGAGGTTCAATCATTTGTCAAAGTTCTCTCATCTGGTAAGTGGGGGAGCCAGGCTTTCACAAAGGCAAGTTGGCTCCAGGGTTCATGATCCCAACTGTTAGGATTCATTTCTTCTCTAATAATGCTACTCTGCTGAATTCAGTTAAGCTATCGAAGTATGGATCAGAAAAGAGGGTTGGGCTTCCAATATATTTGCTCATTTTATGGATGATCTTTTCTGTCTACAAAGACAAAAGACACAAATTATTTGTGGTTTCATTGTGCTGGGGTTGTGTGATTTACTGAGCCACACTAAATACACAACAAGGTGGTATACAAAGTGGTCAAATGTACCATCTGAATCATTCTTGACATACACGGACACACAACTTTGGGGGTCTTCAAGTTTCCTTCTACCCTTCCCAGCAGGGTAGAAGAGAAGACAAAAACACAGCAGAAAAACTCTGTCCAAGAATGGGAAAGAGTAGTTATGGCATGCTTAGGTGGTGGGAAACAGCTGATTTAAAGTTAGTAAATCTGAATCCAAATAATGGTTCGATTTCTCTGTGCAACCATGCTTAAATCCCCGTGCTTCTCCAAATCGGAGCTTTCACGTCTGAATCATGGAGATAGTATATCTACTAACAGATGTGCTGTGAATGATAAAGGAGTTTAAGTAAGTGCAAGTGTTGGCTAAATTACAGCATCTTATAGATATATGTAAAGTCATCGCTATTACTGGATTGTCCTTAGAAATAAGGGTTTTGCTTTTGTTGTATTTCAAGGTGACTTAAGTATGGTTGACTGCATATAGAAAAGGAAGAATCCAAACATGTACTCGCTGTAATTGAGTCTTTAAATTGCATATTTAAAGAAAATTACTAGCTTTTAAAATCCCAAGTGATTTTAGAGAAGACTCACAGAATTGTTAAGGCTTTCCACAACATATTTACTCATATAGTGGGGGTGGAAGGAGTTGGATTTGCCCTTGTGGTTTTCATAGAGTTGACAGCTTTTCTTGCCTATTCCACAAGTTCTAATGCTACATAATTTTTAAGATTTGGTCCACTCAGCTATCACTGTGATCTCCCAACTTAAATCTGTTATCAATTTTTCAGTCCTCTCCTAGTTCTTTGCATTCACTTCTATTTGCCACAGGTTATTAGAGTTATTTGTCCATTCATTCAACTAACGTGTGGCTGTCTATTATGGAGAGGCAGTGTACTAGATGTTAGGGACACAAAGCTCATGAAGTAGATATGGCTTCTGTCCTCAGTCGGTGTATCTCTCAGTCAGAATCTGTTACTTGAGGGGGCAGCTGGAGCTCTTTCTCCCTTCCTAGTAGGCTGAGCATATGGAAACCAGATTCCCAGTTAATTTTAGTTGTTGTTTTCTTGATACGTAAAGAAAAGATCCATAAACTCAAGATGCTTTCTTATGAATCAAGTTTTCAAGTTTTATAGCATTCGCTTTGTACTACTTGTTTTGACCCCATTGAGAAGTTTTATTTCTTCTGTTCTCCTGATTCTTCGCCATTTTAGCAGCAAATATGTACTTACCATCCACTATGTGATTGATGCTTTGGAAATACAATGGAAAACTTGGTAGCAATGAACCCTCTGCCTTTAAGAAGCTTATATTCTATTTTAGATTAGGGAAGCAGGAAGGTCTCTCTATGTACAATAGAATGGGAAAGAACGAGCCACATAAGTGGTGTCAAAGAGGAATGCAAAAAGACAGCATGGCTGGAGCCAAGTGAAACTAAAAAGAAGATGAGGTTGACTAGAGACATGATTCAGATCACCAGAGGCTGGGAGGCAATGGAGAGCATTTTGATTTGATTCTAAGTTCAATGGAAAGTCACCAAAGAGTTCTAAGAAGGAGTATAACATAGGGTTTGACACAGTGGGTGGGTGAAGAAGATCACACTTGCTACTAGAGATGGGGAGTACGTTGTAGAGGGGAAAGTATGGGTGCAGAGAGATCAGATGGGGGTTATTTCAGGTGTCTACATAAGGGATGATGGTGACCTCAAATGGAAGTAGAGGTAAGTGGAGAGATGTGAGATACATTTTCAGATAGCAGGAGTAGGACCTGCTGATGGGTGTGTTGACATGGGCTGAGGGCAGGGATGAGGCAGGAAGATGGTAAAATCAAGAATATTCCTGGGTTGCGCAACACTCCTCTGTCCACTCCCTGTGATGCGATTTGGCATTTCCCAACTCTGCCTTCCCTCCTAAAAATCAGGAATCGGTCTTATATTAATTTTATTTTGGGTTCTGTATCTGTTGAATTCCATAAACATCTCTCATTTTTTTCTGGTTACTCATTCATCTATCAGAAATTGTGTAAAGTCCATATTTTTTCAAATTTAGACACCTAAATAATAAAGATTTAAACTATTAATAAACATGTACTTAATTTCAAAAAGAGCCTGCTAGACATAGGTGAATAGGGTTTCCCATTTCCCGAGAGGAGGAAGAGGTGAGGAAGATTGTGTGGGGAAAATTGAGAGGAAAATGGAGCAGTAGTAAAGGAGAATGCCAGCTAAAGGGAATTTTGTTTTGTTGTTGTTATTTGTTTATGTGTTTTTTGTAAAGATGAGATACAGTAGAGCATGTTTGCCCAGTGAGTACAGTGATCCAATAGAGAATAAGCTGTCGTGGTGCAGATACAAGAAAGATAAAAGAACAGACGTAATGACATCCTTGAGAAGGCCACAGGGTGGGGGCTTTCCAGCTCCTGCAGCAGGATCCGCCTTGAGTGGGTGATTGGGGTGGGTGCAGGGTAGAGAGAGATTCTAACTGAGCAAGTTTAGGATGAGGGCTTGCACTCCAGAAAAGGCTGGAGAAGGCACTGAGAGAGCTGTTAGGAGGGAAGCCAGAGATGAGAAACATAGAATCTCATCTCAGGGAGTGAAAAAGGAGACTCCTAGACACAGGATGGTGGGCCTTTGTTGAGCGACTCTTCCATAGAGGAAAGTGCCGGATAGCTGGTTTCTGGAGAATTTAAGTATTACTGTATTATACATTATAATGCATCTTTGTATAATGTTTTTCTCTTATTCCCCAAGATCTTTCATTTTCTTTTGGAAAATGTGGACAGTTAGTCTCCATGTATATCTCTGTGGTTTCTTACTCTTATATTAATTTTGTTTTGAGTTGAATATCAATTGAACTTCATCAACATCTCTCATTTTTTCAGGTTACTCATTCCTGTTTCAGAAATTGTTCATAAATGTTCATTATTTTCACATTTGGACACCTAAATAATAATGATTTAAACTAAACATTTATTTAACTTCAAAATGTATATACTATTTGCCTTTTTTATGGTGAGAATATATTTGTATAATACCTATTTATGTCAACACAGCAACTAACATAATAAATATACTCTTAGATTATAAAAGCTCACTTTATATAATCAAAGAATTTTCTTTATGTTATAAAATAACTGGTATGAATATGCTATTTAGATTATCATTCAATTACTTACACCTCATTTCTTTCAAAATGTATTGGAGATATTTCCCAATTTGCAGGTGCTTGGAAGGTTGGAGTGATGAGTGTGTGTTTGTGTGGATGTGCTTTTGGATGTGTATGCACACAAAGGTTTCTTCTTTCCTAATCTAATATTTCTTTTTTCTTTTTTGGCCTGACTTCTATACACAATTTTCTTAGCCCTTCTGGTAGGTTATTTAGGAACTCAAAAGTGCTGGGTATTGGCTTTCATGTCCTGCCAGCCTTCCTTCTTTTCTTTGGGAGAATGTTCTGCATTCCAGGAGACCCTGCTCCCAAGCATCATTCACATGGTCAGGCTGTCCAGGTGCCTCTCACCCCACTTGGAGATGAGGCTGCTCTGTTTTCCTACTTTGGTAATCCCTGCCTCTGTTCTAAGGGCCTGGCCAAAACATGGAAAGTCTTACTCTTTTTTCAATCCGATCTTACAGCAGTGCTGGTGACATTTTATTCTAGGTAGATGTTTGCATGAGGCAGTTCTTAAAAAAAAGTTTAAAAAAAGATCTTTCTGTCTCTGAGCTTTTTTCATCTATTTCCTCCTTCTGTCATATTTCCAGAAGGTAATTGAGAGTCAGTTATGTTTTATTTTATTTTAACCCAGTGATACAGGCAATGATGAGTTTGCATGTTAGTAAAATGGGAAAATGAGATGTGTAGAGGCTGAGGGGCAAAATGAGAATCGGCACAAAAATCTGATTGATACAACATTCTGTGAGAGGCAAGAATGTCCCTGTTAGGCAGGAAGCCCTGGGTAAGATAACCTGGAATGGGTGTATATGATCAGAACACAGGGCAAAAAAAACCATCCTCAAGACTTATCGCCATATGAAGACTGAAAGACAAACCAACCTTCTGAGTGAACTCACTGAAAAAAATCTTGTGTGCCTGGAAACATTCTGAAAGGGGCCCCTCCCTTGGGCTATAAAATCAATGGTGAATATCATTATCAAATCAGATATGGGTAAGCTTTTACAGCATCCAGTTCCCAGTGACTATCCCTTAAAGAACAAAACAAAACAAAAACACCACTATCCGTAGGCAAGTGTTTTCTCTTGACCACATATTTACATATGAAAGTCTATTCTGGGGAAGGACAGTGAGGAAGATGGAAAAATCAATGAAAAGCTCCCTCTTTGAATTTGTAGAGGCCTTTCTTTCAAAGGTGAGCCCTTCTGCACAGATTTGTTTGCAGAGACCCACACAGGCCCCATATTTATTTAGTTCCTATTTGAAAAGAAGCTTTCCTCCTGCCTTAGAAGAAGCTCATTACAGATAGACTTCACCTTTCTGTTGCAAAAGATGTTTCCTTGAAATGAAAATGTAATGAGTGTTAGATCAGTAGCATGTAGCTGCCAGGCTATCTCTTTGATCCAGTTTGGAATGCATTTGTTAAAAAGCTGCTTTATTGATTTTTTTAGCTGCTTTTTGCTGTGTTTGGATCATTTGTACATATACACATCACAATTTTTGCTACATCAAAGTGCTTAATAAGTTCACTGCACTCAGGAAATAGCATACAAAACAAAGGAACTTTGCTCTATAAAGATTTCTGCCTCTTAACCTCCAGTATGAAAGTTGTTTTTAATGTGTTTTTTTTTTTCTGAATAGCTTCAAAATATTTTATGCAGTCTTCAATGAGTCAGCCAGGGCCCCGCTTCAGATCTCCTTCTTTGAAAATGATGCATTCTGGAAAAGGAAGGATTTGATTGAACGAGTAAACACATCTCACATCCATTCTGCTGGACAGGAGTCATTTTACTTCAATTAATTATTTAATTGGCTCAATTTGTGGGTAGCGGCAGCTTCCAGGAAAGTGTTGACAATATTTGATGTATGTGAGGATAGCTACTAATTTAGTAATAAGTTGAAATTTACTAGGTAACTAATGTGATGTTTGTTTATTAGGTCCAATTATATGACAAAGAATGAGCACATTATAACCTTTAATGCTGATTTTTTTTTTTTTTGTATCATGTACATACAAATCAGTGTTAAGTGCTTTTAACTCTAAACAGGTATTTCCTGGGGGCAGACTCGGAGCCAGCTCAGTGGAAAGCACGACTGGGAAGACAGAGCTGAGTTTGCTCCACTTTTGGTCTCAGGCCAAAAGTGCTGACTGTGGTCAAGTGTGGGCTGCACAGAGGAGCTGTCCAATCCAGCTTTCCAACTAGACCCCTCGTGCTGGTATTCGGGCAGGCTATACCTCCTGCAGATGTACAAATGAACATGCATTAAAGATTTTATTTACCTCATTCAGTGAGGGAGCTAGGAAAACATTATAAACAGTTGAAATGGGGATCAAAACCAACATTTATTTGTCAGTAATAGTGAAATGAATATGCAAATGGAGTCAAAACTGGTTTTTCCATGGGAATGGTGTCGGTGGGGAGGGAAACCAATTAAACCCCTATGACAGGTGGAATTTATGGTGTTCATTAGTTACCTACAGACTATAGGTTTGTAAAATAGCTCAAAGACAATGAAAACTTAGAATGTGATAACCTCTAGAGTCTAGAAATTGTGGCGCTTCCCATTGAAGCACACCTTTTTTTGTACACCTCCAACAGTGGGGCGGACACTCAAATCCTTTTCTTTTTGTCTTTAAAGTCAGGAAAGTACGTTGACTTCAGGGGTCAGGTGAAGGTCAAGGGGTAAGAAAATAGGAGGCAGGTGATAATTGTGGGCTTCCAGTAATATTCTGGTAAGTGAAAAGGAAACATGACCTAAAATAGCAATGCATCAACTGAGTATTTAAAAGTCTTTTGTCTTTTCTAGAAATTTTGTCATCGTGGTGGTAGTTGATGTAAAAAGTGGTTTTCCTACTTTGAATTTTATCTTTTATTCTCTCTCTCTCTTTTTTCCCCTCCCTCCTTTCTTTCCTTCCTTCCTTTCTTTTTTCTTCCTTCCTTTCCTTCCCCTCCCCCCTCCCTCCCTCCCTTCTCTCTCTCTCTTTCTTTCTTTCTTTTCCATGACCTCATTCAGTGCCAGTTCACATTTTCATCTTGATCCATCCCTTTGTACATTGGACTCTCAAAAACAGCAATTCTTAACAGCTCAATTGGATTTGCCATTTGGGGCCATCTCTGTACATGGCCTCTAAATAAATTTACGAACTCCCCTTGGTGCAAAATTGAGATATAGATGAATGGGTGGCTCCCTAAGAGAGGAACGGGGACACCTGGGTCTGGTGGAACCATGTCCTGAAAGCACTATATGACTTTGGCAAACAGCACTCTTCTCTGGGTGCCATCCCATCTGGTCCCCAAGCAGAAGTCAGAGGGTGCTTAGCAGCCATGGCCTGGCCTGGCTGCAAAGGGCATCCAGTCAGCATTGCTTTGTACACTGGAGCTTTGAACCAGTGATCCTCAAGCCTCTCCAGTCAGGTCACTGGGAATTTATACTTTCCTAAAATGTCCGTTTTCTTGCTGTTTGCCTCAGAATGAAATCTCACCTCATGTGATAGTAGTCATGAAACCCAAAGACACAATGTGGAGAGGAGTTCACGAGAATGCCTGGTATGAGGAGAGCACCCCAAATCACTCTTTATGAGCTCATCTCAAATCTCGGGCTCCACTTATCCCACGGTAGTTTTTTTGTTTGTTTTTTTGTAGTTATAAAGATATAATTTACATGTAATAAAATTTATTTTTAATGTGTATTTCTTCTTTTGAACATATGCTTAGAGTCACACTACAATCAGATAATGTTTCTGTGGGACACCCAAACTTTCCTGGTGCCCCTTTTTTGTCATTTTTATCCCTGGTCTCCCAACTTTAGTAACCACTGTTGTGATTTCTGTCTCTATATTTTGCTTTTTCTAGAATGTCATATCAATGGAATCCTAGAAATGCAAACTTTTGAGTCTGGCTTCTTTCACTTATAATGCATCTGAGATCCATCAATGTCGTCACACGCATCAGTGCACGCTGAGTCGTATTCCCTTGTATAAATGGAACCCGGTTTATTGTCTCACCTACTGAAAGGGAGGTTGTTGGGTTGTTTTTAGTGATGGGACATCATGAATACAACCAGTAGAAACGTTCATTTACAGATTTTTTATATGAACACAGTGTAGTGTTTCTGAATTGGATGATAAATACGTGTTTAATTCTATAAAAAGCTGTCAAACTGTTTTCCAAAATAGCTAATCTATTTGGAATTCTCACTAGCAGTATATGAGAGTTCCAGTTGTTCCATCATATTCTCACCATCATTTGGTATTGCCTGCCTCCCTCCCTTACTCAATCTTCTTTTTTCTTTTCTTTTTTTCCATTATATTCTCACCATTATTTGGTATTGCCTGCCTGCCTGCCTGCCTGCTTGCCTTCCTCCCCTCCCTCCCTCTCTCTCCCTTCCCTTCCCTTTTTCCTTCCTTCCTTTCTTTTCCTTTCCTTTCCCTCCCTTCCCCCTCCCTCTTCTCTCCCTCCCTCCCTCCTTTCTTTCTTTCTTTCTCTTTCTTTCTTTCTTTCTTTTTCTTTTTTCTCTCTCTTTCTCTTTCTTTCTTTTTCTTTTTTCTCTCTCTTTCTCTCTCTCTTTCTTTTTCTTTTTTCTCTCTCTTTCTCTCTTTCTTTCTTTTTCTTTTTTCTCTCTCTTTCTCTCTCTTTCTTTCTTTTTCTTTTTTCTCTCTCTTTCTCTCTTTCTTTCTTTTTCTTTTTTCTCTCTCTTTCTCTCTCTCTTTCTTTCTTTTTCTTTTTTCTCTCTCTTTCTCTCTCTCTTTCTTTCTTTTTCTTTTTTCTCTCTCTTTCTCTCTCTTTCTTTTTTCTCTTTCTCTCTTTCTTTCTTTTTCTTTTTTCTCTCTCTTTCTCTCTCTCTTTCTTTCTTTTTCTTTTTTCTCTCTCTTTCTCTCTCTCTTTCTTTTTCTTTTCCTTCTTTTTCTCTTTTTCCTTTTTTCTTCCTTTCCTCCTTTCTTGCCATTCTACTAGATTTCATAGTGTTATCTCATACGGTTTAAATGATATTACCTTAATTACTAATATGTTGAGCTTTTTTTTTTTTCTTTACATGCTTAAAATCTTCTCTGTTCAAGTGTCTGTTCAAATCTTTTGACTGGGCTCTCTTTCAAAAGCTTTCCAATTCAAATTCTATCTTTCCAAAAATATGAATTCATTAAGTCTAGAAAGTATCGATCGGCGTATTTACAATGCCTGTGGATGCAATGGCGAAACAAACTCCTAGAACAGATTATTTTGTAGTACCTTAATACATAGATATTAAAGCAGTAATCAACTCAAGCCAGAGTGGATTCACTAAGAATGAATAATGTAAAGGGACCCATTTCCTTTCTTTTTCATGAATTAACTTAATTTTATATTAGAATAGTTGAATAGATATATTTTATTTCATGCTTGTGAACAAAATGGAGAAATATGAACTGCGTAACAATAGGTAAATTATATTTTGTTGAAAAACTATTACCCCAACATATTAATCTTTTTGAATCTGTCTAGCTGGAGGAATGTTCCTTAGTAATTAAATTCAAAATAATGTAATCATCAAAAATATTCCAATTAAGTCAACAATAATTGTTTTATAAATATTATTAAATGTGTATATTTTATTCTTATTTTAGAAATATCACATATTATAATAAATCTGGTATAGTTTCATGGGAGAAGGATCCTCTGACATTCATCTCAGAATGCTATACTTCACTTAAAGTTTACTTCCTTTTGTTATATTAACCCCACTTCATGAGATGCTATTTACTCTACTTTTTTTAAATGTGTATGCCTCACTTTAATGGTGTTGCTTTTGTTTTTTTTAAAATTGCTTATCTTTATATTTGAGCTTTCCTTTTACCCGGTGGGTTTAAGTGGCATACTGCTTGCTTCAGCCTATTTCGAGTAATTCTGAGGTAGAGGCAGGACAGATTGCGAGGCCTGTCATGCCAGGAGCTGCAAAGTCTCTCCCCTTCTTCCTGGGTCTTGGTAGACACTTGAGTTTCTGCCATGTTGTCCCTTCCACCTCCAGGCGCTGCTCCTGCCTGAGTTCTGCAGCCAAGTGCCCTGTGATTGCTATAAGAAGGAGGAATGAGGACTGGGGGGCGGCGATGCAGCAAACTGACCAGCTGCCACCTCTCCATTCTCCCAGTCAATCTCTCTGATCATTGTCTCTGCGCTAGCTCACAGTCTGGAAGCTTGGAGAGCCTCTTTTGTTTCTCCACTTTTTTTTTTTTCTCAGAGTTCTCTGTAAAAGCATGTTTTGGGTTGTGCTCTCCTGTTTCAATTAATTTATATCTACCCTCTGACTTTTAGGAACTTATTATATTATTTGACAAAGCACAAATGTGCAGAAAAATCCTAGGCCTAATAAACCCAGATGTTCTGGATGCAGATTCATGCTTCTCTCTCATGAAACTCCGCCTCCCAGGCCATCAGGGTGAAAGCAGGGTGGCAGCTGCTGTGAGGACAGCGCTGCCATGCAGCGCTAGAGACCATTCCCCACACCGCACCTGCTGCCACGGCAACAAGCACCCCTCCTGCCCTCCCCCTTTAGAGGATGTCATGTGGAAGTTCCATAAAGGCAAAGACCACGGAGAGCTCATCAGTGGATTTTACCCAGTAACATTTTAAAATGTATTTATTCCTTCTTCGTTTGGATTTTCTGAAAACGGAGCACACATTTCGATAGGCATCAAGCAGCCTGTTGATTTCATGTGTACTAACTAGCAATTTTCTTCTTATCAGAGATGCTTATTGAAACACGAGGCTTTCATTTCTTAATACAATGACACCTTTTTAATCAGTCCCGCACAGCTCTTAATTCAGGAGCCAGAATGTCAGTGAATAAAGTTCTCCTTAGAAAGCAGACCTGACAATTCCTATGGTTCGTGAGGCTTCACCTTCACCCAGGCAGCCATATTGACAAAAGCCCCAAGTGTGTTGCAAAGTGGGTGGGTGCCGGTGTTTTGCCTGCTTCGCGTTGGAACACCCGTCCTCTGTCTGGCATTGCTCTGCAGTAGGAATTTTGGTGGGAAGGAAGAAGTTGCAGAATCTGAGTCAGCAGAGTCTCTATTTCTAGATGTGCTTGTAGCTACTCTATGGACACCTGACCTAGCTTCTTCTAAGTCAGTGCTCCTCAACTGAGCACAAGTTTGACCCCAGAAGTCATATGGCAATGTCAGCAGACAGTTTCAACCATAACGACTGGGAGGGAGCTGCTGGCATTTAGTGTGCAAGGACCAGGGGTGCTGCTTACGCATACTATGATGCATAGAATGTTCCCACGAAAAACAATTGTCTGACTCCAAATGTCTACAGCGCCAAGCTTGAGAAACCCTAGTCTCAGTTACAGTACCTGGGAGCCAGTGGATCTCCAGTGTCCTGCTCGGGTCCTAGAAGGAGCTGGGAGGGGGTAGATTGTGGCCTCTGGTGTTCTGTGATGGCAGCAGCAACATTTACTCAAGACTCATTCTGGGCCGGGCGCGGTGGCTCACGCCTGTAATCCCAGCACTTCGGGAGGCCGAGGCGGGTGGATCACGAGGTCAGGAGATCGAGACCATCCTGGCTAACATGGTGAAACCCCGTCTCTACTAAAAATACAAAAAAATTAGCCGAGCGTGGTGGCGGGCGCCTGTAGTCCCAGCTACTCAGGAGGCTGAGGCAGGAGAATGGCGTGAACCTGGGAGGGGGAGCTTGCAGTGAGCCGAGATTGCACCACTGCACTCCAGCCTGGGCAACTGAGCAAGACTCCGTCTTAAAAAAAAAAAAAAAAAAAAAAGACTGGTTCTGTGCCTGGCCTTTGTTCTGGGTGTTGGCTTCTGCCTGGCTGTCTTAGAGTCTATTTCTGGTGTCTCATAACCATTCTTTTTTTTTTTTTTTTTGAGACGGAGTCTTGCTCTGTCGCCCAGGCTGGAGTGCAGTGGCGGGATCTCGGCTCACTGCAAGCTCCGCCTCCCGGGTTCACGCCACTCTCCTGCCTCAGCCTCCCAAGTAGCTGGGACTACAGGCGCCCGCCACTACGCCCGGCTAATTTTTTGTATTTTTAGTAGAGTCGGTGTTTCACCGTTTTAGCCGGGATTGTCTCGATCTCCTGACCTCGTGATCCGCTCGCCTCGGCCTCCCAAAGTGCTGGGATTACAGGCGTGAGCCACCGCGCCCGGCCAATAACCATTCTTAAGTTCCGTGACTCACTAGAAGGGCTCACAGGGCTCAGGGAGACTCAGGACTATGGTTCATTACAGTGAAAAAACACGCAGTGGCATCAGCAAGGAAAACAAATGCACCAGGCAGTGTCTAGAGGAGACCCAGCAGTGGCCTCCAAAGTCTTCCTGTGGATTTGCGCAAGACACACTCACTCCTCCAGCAATGAACTTCAGTGATGTAAGCCAAGTGTCTAAGCCCAGGGAGGGCAGCTTGGGTCTCAGAGGCTAGAGCTTTTATCAGGAGCTGGTCACACAGGCACCTATTTCCAGGAGGAAACGTGACCACCGTAAATCATGCTATTGACTTGGTACGAACCAACTAGATAAGCTTGGGCAGCATGTGTCAGGACCCCGGGTGTACAAAACAACCTTATTAATTAGCAGCGCAGGGAATATTGCAGGGCCAAGTTTTCAGGAGCTGGCCAAGGGTCAGTTAGGCCTTCCTGAAGAGATGTGAGACTCTGGCACTGTCAGGCAGCTAGCTCTTTCCTGCACACTGCAGTTGTCAAAAACTTCCCAGTCATTCTGTGCTTTCTTCAGTAACCTTTCAGTGAAGCCCTTTCTGCTAAAGTCAGACAAGTTCAGTTATTTCTGCTTCCAACCAAGAACAGGAGCTGACTCATACACAAGGTAATTCAAAAATAATAACCGAGGCCTCTTGTGTTGTTTGCATGGATCTTGTATGCATGTGTGTGTGTGTGTGTTTGATTTGATTTCAAAACGTTATCATTTCTATCAGAAAGGGAGCTTTCTTGAAGACTTCATGACAGCCACACATGAGTCCTTGGGCTGGTGTTCTAGGGAAGCACATTATCTGCCCGTGGCCTTTAATGATATGCATTTAAAATATTTTTTCTTTTTTTAATAGAGCCGAAGACCCAGGACACAGGCAAAGACTGCCCATATCACATTTTTGACGTTTGTTGATATAGAGCTCTCTGCCCAGGAAAGACTTTAGCTCCATCTGTCTGCATGTTATTACACATCCCAGGCCACTTAATACATCCAGCTTAGCTGTGGTCTGAGGTACCCTGCTTTTCTTAGGTTTGAAATGAATGCAGCTCATGCATGTAAGATGTGTCATAATCTCTTAGGAAGCAATATCACCACTCAAAATAATGAAAGATCTCGGAAAGAAAGGGTACGAATTTGTTGGGGAATATTTAGCCATGTTGTCTGACTTTCTTACCCACCACGTTTTTTGTTTTTCAGAGCCATTGAAGATAATGAAGAGATCACTCTTAAAGTGCTCTTTTTTTCTTTTCAGATTTTAATAGTAAAGCAGAACTTTAAAAAAAAATAAAGCTGATAAAAATTATTCATAGATTCATCATTTAGAGAAAATTGCTGTTAACATTTTGGTATATAATATTCCCATCAATTTTCTTTTCTTTTCTTTTTTTTTTTTTTTTTTGAGACAGAGTCTCTCTCTGTCGCCCAGACTGGAGTGCAATGGCATGATCTTGGCTCACTGCAACCTCCACCTCCTGGTTCAAGGCATTCTCCTGGGTTTACAGGTGTGTGCCACCATGCCTGGCTAATTTTTGTATTTTTAGTAGAGATGGGGTTTCGCCATGTTGGTCAGGCTGGTCTCAAACTTCTGACCTTAGGTGATCTGCCCGCCTCGGCCTCCCAAAGTGTTGGGATTACAGGCGTGAGCCACTACGCCTGGCCCCCATCTACTTTTAAAACGTGTGTGTGTGTGCACATGCATACATATATACATAATGTATATAAAATATATAATAAAAACATAAATATATATTTATACATGTGGCATAAGTGTGTGTATATAGAGATGCATGCACAGGTAGTCATAATTTATGCAGCAATTTATACATAATGTATATCATGTAATCCTGTTGATGTTCTTCTGAAACATGTGCCTGTTTCATTGATACCACATCGACCTGCAATATTCTTCTGCATCATGGAAGAATGTAGAATGGCCGCATGGTATTCCATCTCATCTCATACGATAGTCAGCACTTCCGTTACTGGACATACAACTGTTACCATTTATTTGCAGTCACATGTCAGGCTGTGATTAACATGTTTAATCAAATCTATGTGCATATATAATTTTACCTCCAGACTATATCTTGGTGGTAGAATTTCTGAACCAAAGAGTGAGCACATTTTTCAAACAATTGAAACTCATGGCCAGTTATCCTCCATAAAAGTTGTTCCAAATTTCACACAGTAGGTCTTTTTTCCCATGAACTTGCCAATCTTAATGATTTCTAATTTTTAAAAAATCTCAACAGTTTGGTGTTTGTAAGTAGCTTTTCATTATAATTAAAACAACCTTGATTGTTAAGGAGTAGCCAGAAACCCTTTAAACAAAACCTTACTGGTATTTTTTGTTTGTTTGTTTTAAATCAGGATGTCAGCCTGTTTAAATTTACCAAGTACATGAAAAGGAAAACAAAACAAAAATTTCTTGACTCTAAAAAACCCTTAGGGTGGTCTACAGCCTGCATCTCTCTTCCATGACTTCCATGACTGCATCTGACTTCCATGGCCTCATGACTGAGGCCTGGGGCTGCACTCAGCAGGACAGGCCACCTTAGGCTGGGCCCCCGGGGGCAGTGCCAGGATTGGGACTGGGGTGGGACTGGTTGACAGGAGTCTTCTCAAATTATCTGTGCATCTCACAGGGGAATATATGGGTGTGCTTTTTTCCTTTGATAGGATGGATTAGGAGGACTCAGAGTTTTTCTTTTGTGCAAGGATAACGATTTGCTCCCCAAATTTTGATTGTCTCATACTCATTCCTTTTCTAATTATCCCATATTTGTTAAATACAAGATAATAGATTCTGACAAGCAATCAGCAAATGGGCACCAAGTGATGTGCTTCATTTTAATTGGATTGCCTTTTTTTTTTTTCCTTCTCTGCTAAATTATAGCCCATCAGCATGAGATTCCCTGTGGTGAGCAGCTAATAATATGCCCAGGTGCAGCCAATTTTACTTCCTAAAGAAGAACTAGTAGCTACAGATCCCCCTAAAGTGAAGTGGAAAAGTGGGCTGTAATAGCTCGTCTCAGCAGTGCGGCATGCTAGGGCAACTTTTACATCCGGATCTCTATTCTAACAATTTTTTTTTAATGCAGTGGCAATTAATTTGCATTATATTGATGAATTAATGAGGCACAGGACAGAAGGTTTTCTTAGAGACTTCTGAGAAATCTCTTGTTTAATTTTGCCTTAGATGTTACAATTTTTAAAAAATCTTTTTTTTAAGAATTAGGAATATAAAACCACTATAGATAAACACAAATGAAAATATCACTGTTAAATGAACCAGTGAAACAGCATTCCATATGTATTTTCCAAAGTGGTGCTGGGATGTGGCTTTGCTTTGGTGCACAAACCATAGACAAATGTACCCAATGGAATGTCAGTTAGGTTTTTGGGAACACTTTTCCCTATTTGCCATTAATAATGTTTGTTCCTATTTAAAACATTTTAGTGACTTTTAATTAGCTACAATGAGGTGAGAGTATATGTTTTAATCTTTATCTAACTTAATTTTATTTTTAAGCCACTTGACCATGATGTGCAGTTTTCAGATAAACCCAAATATTCTTTCTGAGGCTGAATCAATAGAGATTTTCGTCATCACATACTACACACCATCTGTCACAGCCATCTATCTGTTACTCTCTTGGTCAAGTGGCCACCAATACTCTTGAGCCAACTTGAAAACATATGGGAAAGACAGTAAAGGGACAAGGATTAAAGATTCCTGTCTTAATTCTTGAACCTGGAAAGAAAAAATGAAGGAGGAGAAAACAGAAATGGAGAAAACAACAATCTCCCCTCCCTACCAAGACAGGGAGGGTTTTCAGGGTGACCTCTCAGTGTGTCTTCACTCAGCCACTGCCTTCCATATTCCTGCCACATTCTGGTTCAGTTACTATTGTCCACACATGTCCTTCTTCCCTTGCAGTTTGTCCATCTCCACACTTCAGCCAGAGGGATTATCAAAACCCTTTGATAACATATAACAGACATCCTCATGCTGTATAACAAACATCCCCTTAAAACTGCCATTGGCTATGTTTGTAAACATGAGATTTGGACAGGACTCAGTGGAGCAACTCCCGTCTGCTCCAGGATGCCTAGGACCTCTGCTGGGTAGACACCAATGGCCAGTAGACAGAAATCTCTTTCTCCTCGCGGCAAATCTGACTTGGGGATTTGTAGAGGTCATTGTCATTCATGAGCTGATATTTGCTTCTCTTCAGCTCATTGCCAAGTGTCCCATCCACATGCTATCTCTAGCATGGTGCTTTCTGGGTAGTCACACTTCAGGGCTTCAAGAGAATGTTCTCCCAAAGACTGGGGTGGACTGCAAGGCTTCTAAGGACCCGAACTTGGAGATCTCAGGACCTCACATCCACCAGATTCTCTTGGTCAAGCAAGTCAGTAGGACCAGTCAGAATTCAAAGAGAGAGGGGAATTAAATTATAAATCTCAATGAGCAGAGCAGCAAAGAACTTGAAGACATATTTAATTTCTATAAAATCGTGTTGGATCATGTCACCCTCTAAGCGTACAACCTTCCAAGGCTTCCCATTGCTTTTCAGATAGAATCCAGCACTCACCCCAAACAGCCTGTATGTTCCTGCTGACCAGACTCATCTCACAATGTGCTCTCTGAGTCCTGCTCTGTGTATTTCAAATCCACTGATCCTTTATTTCTCTAACTATGGTGGTTGTCCCACCTCATGTTCCTCTCTTTGCACACTGTTTAGCTAAAGCCAAGCTATCTTCCAAGTCTCTGTTTAAATGTCACTTAGTAGGGGCAACCTCCACTGACCCATGGGTGCAGTCAAGCTTCCCTGTCTTAGCATCCAGAATTATCAAATAATTAGTTGTGTGATTTAGTATATGCTTCACTGAAGTCCCATGAGGGCAAGGGCATAGTGTGTGGTTCAGAGCTATTTGCATAGCACCTAGAAAACTGTCCTGCACACAGTTGGCACTTACTAAATATTTACTAATGAGTCAACATTACATTAGCCAACCTTAGGAAAGAGTGCTTACCTGTGCATCTCAAATGACACCAACTTTGTGAAATAATAGTCTCCTGAGACATGCTGGATCTGCACCATCCAGTAGGGTAGCCCTGGCCACACACAGTGTTGGGCAGTCAAAGTATGGCTGGTCTGAATTGAGGGTGCCATAAAATACATACCCTTTTTCAAAGACATGGTGTCACATCAAAGGGTATCAATTGTCTCATTGATATTTCATATGAATTACATGTGGAAATGATAATAGTTTTGATACGCTGTGTTACCTAACAGTATTATTAAAATTGAAAACTAGGCCGGGCACAGTGGCTCGCACCTGTAATCCCAACACTTTGTGAGGCCAAGGCAGGCAAATCATGAAGTCAAGAGATTGAGCCCATCCTGGCCAGCATGGTAAAACCCAGTCTCTACTAAAATTACAAAAATTAGCTGTGGGTGGAGGCGTGCACCTGTAGTCCCAGCTACCCGGGAGGCTGAGGCAGGAGAATCGCTTGAACCCGGGAGGCAGAGGTTGCAGTGAGCCGAGATCGCGCCACTGTACTCCAGCCTGGACGACACGGTGAGTCTCCATCCCAAAAAAAAAAAAAAAAAAATTGAAAACTAATTTCACCTGTTTCTTTTTACATTTTTATATGACTTTTTGAAAATCTGAAACCACATATGCAGTTCACATTTATGTCTCATGTTATATTTTGTGGGACAAAGCTGCTCTGAAGAGAAGGTTCTAGGGTGAAATGTACTTGGAGAAATTCTGCAAGCACTCTCACTCTTTAGAGGGTTTGCAATGAACATATCAAAAGCCCTGAGAAGTCCTGCAGCAAAACTGCTGTTAACTCTAAGCCAGTGCATTTCAAAGCTGACTGGACCTTGCATAGGTCTCATCTTTTTAAGACCTTGGATATTCACCTCCCATGAAACACACTTAGGGAAACATGATTAGGTGACGGCCACCCTGATGCCTGGCCCTGAGGTCGTGGACATGGTTCATGTAAAACTGAATCTTATTATGCAGATTAGAGGCAGAGCCTATGGAAGTGCATTTTTATTGGGGGAGGGGAGGGGATGGAATCAGACACAGGAGAAGTGCCAAATTCAAGCACTTTGGCAGAATCACACAGCCCCACACATAAAGTCGTATAAGCACATATGTTCCCACCGGAAGCTGGAAGCCGCTTCTACTCTGATGGAGGGGATGGGGCCTTGCCAGCCCCAGGGTCATGGGCAGCCCGTGCTGGGCTCTTTACAGACATCTAGGGCTGTTCCTTGGTTTGCCTTATTTCTCTAGTTTGCTCAGTTTGCTGAAGGGGCAAACCAAAGGTAGGACACAAGTTCAGGTCCACAACGGCTGGGTGCAGTGTCCGAGATGGAGGGGAGAAATGTACACCGAGTGGCCGTCAGGGCAGCAGATGGTCTGCAATTTCCTCCCAGAAATGTGGGCATTTTTTTCTTTCTACAGTAAAGAGTGGATATTGTCTCGCTGGGCTTTCTGAATTTCATTTTTGATGAGAGATTTAAATATGCTGTTTCTCAGCCCAGAATCCTCGAGATGTTCGTGTGGACTATGTCCCAAGCCCCGTGCTTGTTTTAAAGGTGTTTGGTTGTCAAGAAAGGTATCCTGTGAACCTAAGAAATAGTCCGTCTCCCTATGAGGCAGGATTGTGGCCTCTTTTAAATTAATCCCACGTGAACTGTGACCTCTTTGTTGGACTGTCACCAGAATCATCTTGATATAAGAGCACTGAGTAATAAGAATCTAACCAGAGCTTGAGGCAGCCGTGATAGTCTCACCACCATCTGCCCATCCTGGAGCTAGACTTTCCCAGGCAAGGCCTGCCTGTCCTCTGTCAAAGCAAATGCTGGCCTCCCATTAGCTCCTAATTCTAATAAGGGTTTCTATTTTATCCACTTACCTCTCCTCCAGTTGATATTTCCCAACATCTTTTTTACCATCTTCCCCAACAATTCAGTCCTAACAATGCTCTCCCCTTCCTGAGTCATCTTTCCTTTTCTCACAGAAGTTCATCCCTTCCACACTGCAGGATTAGAAAGATCACTACCTTGTGTTATTCTCACAGAGCAGAGATGCCAAGCATTTCCCCACAAGCATAAATCTTAATTGCCGTCCTTGCTACAAATCATAAATAACCCTAGCCCAGGTATCATTGCACAGAAAGCCAGGCAAAGGAGACAGAAAGCCAGGCAAAACATAATGAAAAGGTATTAATTGATAACTAAACAGGTGTTCTATCTTGCTCCAGTACAAATTTTATGGCAACAATTTTGTTGAATTGCTTCTTCTGGCATTGAAAATTTCATATGATGTGCATAGTTTCACTCTTTCTAAACCCATCTGGGGAAACAACAACGGCAAAATCGTGATTTAAAAATCTGAAGCAGGCTGGGCGCGGTGGCTCATGCCTGTAGTACCAGCACTTTGTGAGGCCAAGGCAGGTAGATGACTTGAGTCCAGGAGTTCCAGTCCAGCCTGGGCAACATGGCAAAATCCCATCTTTTCTAAAAATACAAAAAATAGCTGGTCATGGTGTCACATACCTGCAGTCCAAGCTATGCAGGGGCCTGAGGATGGAGGACTGCTTGAGCCCAGGAGCTCGAGGCTGCAGTGAGCCATGATTGTGCCACTGCACTCCAGCCTGGGTGACAGAGTGAGACCCTGTCCCAAAATTAATTAATTAATTAATAACAATCTGAAGCAATTCAACTTATTCAAAACACTTTACCCAGAAAGAACTTGCAAATTACCCAGGGTGAAAACGAGTGGTAGCTCCTGGAATTAATAACCTTAAATTTAAAGAAGAGAAGAGGTCCCTGGTACACTTCAAACCAAAATTGTTGTATCCTTTAAGAGTATTGCAAAGTTAACTTTCTAAATATGTGAATTTATTTAAATTTCCCAACAATTAAAATGAATCAATGTTTCCCAAATTGTGTTCCATTAAATACTTCTCAGGGAGAGTTTGAAAGTTCTGCATTTGAATATGGGCTTTGATGGTCAATAGACTTGAAAAATACCTCATAGTAGAGATCTACTAAGAATACAACGCATACAAGCACACTAAAAGTGCTGAGATATTCTGTTGTCAACACACCTGTTTCACTTCAGCTAACCTTTTCCAGAGCTTATCTGGGCACAAAACAGTTTATTTTGAGCTGTATCTCTTATTTTTCCTTAGAACACCGTTTAGGAAATGAGAAAATATACAATGTTACCTGGTATACAATGGCACGGTTTCTTTTTTGTTACTCTGCTCAACACACCTAACCATTTCTCCCTAATTTTAATTTTGCATATAATCACAGGATATTTTGCTGTTCTTTGCAGTTTCAAATATATTTTCAAAATATTAATTTTTATCCCTAATGCCAGAAAAATACACTGCTATGGCATTTCAAAATTGTAGCCATGAAATAGAATGAGATGTGATGTCATCACGTTTTTAGGATAATTTCTCACTGCCACTAGAAAAATACTTCAGCAGAATTCATGAGGATTATGTATATTTTATAATCAGTCTCCTCCTACCATTTATGGTGCTCTTTAGAGGTGATAATTCTGTCTTTTGAAGATCTCTGGATCACAGGAACAAGAGTGATGGCAACACCAAGAGCAAGCCAGGGCCCTCCTGAAACTCCCCCCTTCCTCACTCACTCTTCACTGCAGCCTCTGAGAAGGGACCTTGGCCCTGTACCAACTTCCTTCTCCATCCAAAGTGGCACCTATGGAATGGCGCCTCTCAATGTGGGAATATTCTAACCAATTGCTTTGTATTAGTTCATTACCTTGCTGCTGATAAAGACATACCCGAGACAGGGTAATTTATAAAGAAAAAGAGGTTTAATGGACTCACAGTTCCACGTGGCTGGGGAGGCCTCACACTCATGGCAGAAGGTGAAAGGCACGTCTTACATGGCAGCAGGCAAGAGAGAATGAGAGCCAAGTGAATGGGGAAACCCCTTATAAAAACATCAGATCTCATGAGACTTATTCAGTAGCATGAGAACAGTGTGAGGGAAACCCCCACCCGCCCATGTTTCCATTACCTCCCACCGGGCCCCTCCCATGACACGTGGGAATTATGGCAGTACAATTCACGATGAGATTTGGGTGGGGACACAGCCAAACCATATCATGCTTCTTTTCATTTTTCCCCTAAAGAAAGAATATCGCTTTCTAAAAAGATGAAATCCCTGAAAAGATGGAATTTATTTCCTAAAAAAAAAAAAAAAAAAAATCAGAATTAAAGGGAGAATGAGGCATATGAAATTTGGATCCAAATAACTTGAAGCACATTTCTTATATATGATGTTCTTTGTAGAATTCCTTTGACTGATTGGAACCATTTATCTTGCTGTGATTTCACAGCACAGGCATAATTGTGATTGTTTTATTAGTTCTTTTTGCTGATTAACTGAAACATAATTGTGCTTTTTGAAAAAAGAGTGTGAAGTTAGTTGATTTCTGAAAAGGTATGTAAGAATGTAAACACGAGGATTCTTAATATCAGTGGAAGAAAATGACTCAGTGGTGGGACTGTGTTTTCACACTGCTAATAAAGACATACCCAAGACTGGGTAATTTATACAGGAAAAAGGTTTAATGGACTCAGAGTTCCACGTGGCTGGCAAGGCCTCACAAACATGGTGGAAGGCAAGGAGGACCAAGTCATGTTTTACAAGGATGGCAGCAGGCAAAGACAGAGCTTGTTCAGGGAAACTCGCCCTTTATAAAACCATAAGATCTTGTGAGACTTATTCATTGTCACAAGAACAGCACAGGAAAGACCTGCCCCCATGATTCAATTACCTCCCAGCAGGTCTCTCCCAAAATATGTGGGAATTCAAGATAAGTTTTGGGTGATGACACAGCCAAACCATATCAGACTGAAAACAGAGCAGAGAGATGTTCATTCCATGGAAGCTAAAAGGTACATTTGCTCTGAGCTGTGAGCTCGCATACAGAAGTGGGCTGCTCAGCTACTACAGCCCAGGTCACACTCTGCTGTCTCCTGGCTGTGTGACCTTGGGCACCTTCTTTAACTCCCATGCACCCGTTTGGTAAAACTTGGGGCTGGCCTGGGTTGGAGGCCAAATTCAACCACAAGCCAGCCAATGTTAGCCAGCTAGAGGATTTGTACTTGACAAATATTTGTGTTTGACTGTTGACCTGGGCAATGTTTAAAAATTTATTTTGAATAGTTGCCAACACTAAACATTTTAAAGGTAACATAAAATCTGGATTTCCAGCTCCTCTGGAAGAATTATAAATCTGGCAA
Source organism: Homo sapiens (assembly GCF_000001405.40). Taxonomy (NCBI): domain Eukaryota; kingdom Metazoa; phylum Chordata; class Mammalia; order Primates; family Hominidae; genus Homo; species Homo sapiens. Next base: position 40,606,359 of record NC_000021.9, on the reverse strand, counting down.
TGCAGGCTCTCATTCCCACCTGGCAGCTCCAGCAGTGGCTTTGGTGCTCTTCACTCCAGCTCATCAATGTCCCCATCACCCCCTCGTGGCCCCAACACCAACACTGAGACAGAGTACCAGCTGCCAATTGTGTGGCTGTCTCTTTATTATAATTCAGAAGCATTAAATGATTTATGATATTCATATTCCTATCTAAAGTAGAGTATTTGTTTAAAGAAAAATGAAATATAACATTTTTATGGAAATAAGAATGTGCATTGGCTGGGCACAGTGGCTCACATCTGTAATCCCAGCACTTTGGGAGGCCAGGGTGGGTGGTTCGCCTGAGTTCAGGAGTTTGACTCCAGCCTGGCCAGCATGGTGAAACCCTGTCTCTACTAAAAATACAAAAATTAGCTGGGCGTGGTGGCACATGCCTGTAATCCCAGCTACTCGGGAGGCTGAGGCAGAAGAATAGCTTGAACCTGGGAGGTGGAGGTTGCAGTGAGCTGAGACTGCACCACTGCATTCCAGCCTGGGCAATACAGTGAGACTGTCTTAAAAAAAAAAAAAAAAAAAAAAAAAAAAAGAATGTGCATTAAGCACATATATAAGTGAAGAACATATTTTTTGTTTAAAACCCATTCACCTTTGCTCATGTTTACTAATGTCTTGGCCCCTGATGGCCTTTCATTCTGTAGCCTGTATAGAGCAGGGATCAGCAAAATGGGGCTCACAGGCCAAATGTGGCCCAACCCCTTTTTTTGTAAATGAAGCTGTATTGGGACGCAGCCATGTTCACTTATTCGCATTTTGTTTATGGCTACTTTCATATTACAATAGGACACTTCAGGAGCTGCAATAGAGACTCTGTATCTCTCAAAGCCAAAAATATTTATCATTTGGCCCTTCGTAAGAAAAAGTTTGCTGACTTTGATTTTCAGCGAGGGCACCCAGAGAGCTTGGAAGTGATTACTCCTGGGCTCATAACATGAAAAAAAGCTGAACAGAATGAAAATCTATGACTTTTCTGGATTCATCAGAGGATTGAGGTCACAGGGCAAACCACTGGTCTGCAATCTGGAGAGACAGGTCAACACAGAGAATGAGAGCCAAGGTCAGCTTACAGGGGGCAGAAGCTTGCGGAGCCAGTGATTGGTAGGAACACGTAAATGGTAAGTTCAATGAATTGCTGGAGACTAAGTATGTGAGGCTTGAGAGTTAATATTTCCTAGGAGCCCCTACAGCTTTCTTGAGTTTTTCCTCCAGGAAGCTCACCAGATTCTCACATGAAGGTCAGAGAAAAATCCCCTCCAGTTCTGAGCATGGGAAGTGAGAAGGTAAGTATTTGAAGCAAGCCCATTGCATTCTCTATAAGAAAACCATGTCCTTCAAGGAAGGCTACCTTACCAGAACATTGTCCAACTTGAGGAAAGGAAAATTAGCCACTGGTGCCCCCTTCTATCCTGCCTGCCTCACATAGGAGGAGGAAGAAAAGCTAAAAAACAAACAAACAAATAAACACAACCACAAAGCACATCTGAAAGTCACAATCCAGGGACTTGGGTATACTGCAAGCTGAGATTTTATCTTAAGAGTATGGAGAGCTTCCTCTCCCTAACACCTCAGCATCACATCAACAAGGCTCCAAAATAATACCAGTGAATTACAGCTAAGAGAGCTGCAAGATGCAGCCTCTATTCAAGAATGAGTTCCTAGGGAAACACAAAGACAACAAGAGAGAAAAGTGAGATAAAGAAACTAAAGGCTGTGTCACCTGCAGCTACATCAAACATTAAATACAGCCCAGATTCATGTAAAACCTCATGCTAAAAGTCTAATTATATTAGCTTTCATTACCCAAATACTGTGTCTGACTCTCAACAAATAATGACAAGAAATGAAAGGCAAGAAAAAATACATATGAAGAGACAGAATAAGCATCAGAACCAGACTCATATATGGCAGTGATTTTGGAATTATTGGATATGGAATTTAACTATGATTAACAGAATTAGGGTTCTAATAGGAAAAGTAGATGACAAGCAAGAACAGATGGATAATGTCAGCACAGAAATGGAAACTCTAAGGAAGAATTTAAAGGAGGTGCTAGAACTCAAAAGCAATGTAGCAGAAATAAAAAGTGCCTTTGATGAGCTCATTAATAGACTAGATATAAACAAGAAAGAATCAATGAGCTTGAAGATACGTCAGGAGAAACTTTTTAAACCAAAATGCAAAGAGAAAAAAAATGAATGGAAAAATAGAAACAGACTGTTCAAGTACTCTGGGACAATTACAAAAGGTATAACACATGCAGAATGAGAATCCCAGAAAAAGGAGAAAAGGGAGCAGAAGATATATTTGAAATAACAATAGCTGACAGCTTTCCAAAATTAATGATAGACACTAAACCACATATCCAAGAGGCTCAGAAAAAAAAAAAAAAAAAAAAGAAATGCAAAAAAGTCTACACCTAGGCATGTCATATCCAAACTGCAGAAATCTAAAGAAAAAGAGACAATATTGAAACAAGCCAGAGAAAAACACCTTACCTGTAGAGAGACAAAGCTAAGAATTATACTGGACTTTTTGCCACAAGCTACACAAGTAAGAGAGTGGAGTGAAATGTACAGTATTGAACAACAACAACAGTAACAACAGCAACAAAAAACCCACCAAGATAGAATTCTCTGTCTACATAATGTTTCTTCAAAAGTGAAGGAGAAATAAAGATTTTTGTCAGACACAAAAAAATTGAGGGAATTTGTTACCAGTAAACCTGCCTTTAACATTTAAGAAAGGTTAAAAGAATGTATTCAGAAAGAAGAAAATAGCATGGGTCAGAAATTCAGATTTACATAACAAAAGGAGGAGCTTCGTAGGAATAAATGACAGTAAAATAAAATGCATAAGCAGAATTAGAAAAACTTGCTGTTATAGTTAGGGGCTTCAGCACCCCTCTGTCAGTAGTTAACAGAGCCAGCAGACAGAAAATCAGTAAGGTTATAGTTGACCTATGTAACAATGCCATCAAACAACTGAATCTAATTTACATTCATAGAATACTTCATGAACAACAGCAGAATGCACATTCTTTACAAATTCACATGGTCTATTCACCAAGACTATATTCTGGACTATAAAAGACATCTCAAGAAAATTAAAATCATAGACATCATATAAAATATGGTCTTGATTATAATGAAATTAAACTTCAATGGAATTAAATTTAATAACATAAAGACAGCTGCAAATCTCTAAATATTTGGAGAATAAAAATACACTTCCAAATAACACATAAGTCAAAGCAGAAATCTCAAGGGAAATTTAAATTATTTGTAACTAAATGAAAATATAACCTATCAAAATGTGGGATGCAATGAAATCACTGCTTCACAGAAAACTTATAACATTGAATGCATAGATTAGAAAAGAAAAAAGATTTGAAATCAATAGTCGAAGCTTCCACCTTAGAAAACTGGAGTAAGAAGTGCAATATCAGCCTAAAACAAGCAGAAGAAAGAAAATAATAAAACTTAGACCAGAAATCAGCTACATTGAGACCAGGAAACCAGTAGAGAAAATCAGCAAAACTAAAATCTGGTTCTTTAAAAATGTCAATAAAATTGGTAAACCTCTAACCTGGCTATCAAGCAAAAAGAAGACATGAATTATTAATATTGGAAATAAAAGAGAACTCATCAGGAATGCTTTCATAGATGTTAAAAGGATAATAATTAAAGGGATAATAGGGTTATGAAAAGCCCTGTAGCCATAAATTTGAATACTTGGATGAAATAAACTAATTTCTTGAAGGACACAGACTATCAAGATTTGTATAAGGAGAAACAGATATTCTGAATGGGCCTATATCAATGAAAGAAATTGACTCAATAATTAATAACCTTCCAAAAAAGATAGCATCAGGCACCAGTGTTTGCACTAGTGAAATCTACCAACTCTTAAAGAAAAAAAATGATACCAATTCTTTGCAATCTCTTCCTAAAAATAAAAGCTGAGCTGACGTTATGTCTCATGACTATGATCTCAGCACTTTGAGAAGCCGCAGCGGGCGGATTGCTTGAGCTCAGGATTTCCAGACCAGCCTGGGCAACATGACAAACCCTGTCTCTACAAAAAATACAAATAATTATCTGAGCATGGAGGCACATGGCTATAGTCCCAGCTACTTGGGAGGCTGAGGTGGGAGAATTACTTCAGCCTGGGAGACAGAGGTTGTAGTGAGCAGAGATCTAGCCACTGCACTCCAGACTAAGTGACAGAGTGAGACCCAATCTCAAAAAAAAAAAAAAAAAAAAAAAAAGTAGAAGCAGAGGGAACATTTGCTAACTCATTTGATGAGGCCAGTATTATCCTAAAACCAAAACAGATAAAGACATCACAAGAAAACTACAGATCAATAGCTCTAATGAATTTAGATACAAAATTACTCAATAAAATACTAGCAGATTAAATCCAACAATGTATAAAAAGAATAATGTACCATGATGCATTTGGATTTATTCCAGGTATTGAAGGATGCTTTAACATTAGAAAATGAGGAAATGTAACCTATCGCATTATAATAGGCTGAAGAATGAAAATCATATGATCATAACAACAGATGCAAAAAAGAATTTGGTAAAACCGGCACTTATTTATGATAAAAATGTCTCAGCAAACTAGGAATAGAGGGGAACTTCCTCATCTTGGAAAAAAGAATCTACATAAAACCTATAACAGACATCATACTTAATAATGAGAAAATAAGTTTCTTCCCTCTAAGATTGGAACAAGTAAAAGATTTTCCTTTTCATCACTCCTTTTCAACATTGTGCTGGAAGTCTGAGCTAATCCAGGAAGGCAAGAAAAGGAAATAAAATATATACAGATTGAGAAGAAATAAATAAAATTGTCCTTGTTCACAGATGACATGGTAGTCTATTTGAAAATCTGAAACAGTTAACAAAAAAATTTCTGGAATTAATAAGTAGTCATAGAGGGTTGCAGGATACAAGACTAATATATGAAAGTCAATTGCTTTCCAATGTACCAGCAATAAACAATTGGAATTTGAAATGAAAAACCAATATAATTTCTATTAGCACCAAAAAACCCACTTAAATATTAATCTAACTACATCTGGACAGTATTTACATGAAGAAAACTACAAAACTCTAATGAAATAGACAAGATATATAGAAATGGAGAGAGATTCTATTGTCATGGACAGGACTCAATTTTGTTACGATGTCAGTTTTTCTCAACTTGATTTATAGATTCAGAGTCATCCCAATCAAAATCTCAGCAAGCCAATTTTTACACATTGAAAAACTGATTCTAAAGCTTACATGGAAAGCTAAAAGACCTAGAATAGGCAAGGAGATACTGTAGAAGAACCATGAGAGAACTGACATTACCTGACTTCAAGACTTTTGGTAATCACTAGCTTCTGGTGTTGGTGGAAGAACAGGCAAGTAGGTCAATGGAACAGAATGAGGGCTCAGAAACAGATGCACACAAATATATTCAACTGAATATTGACAAAGGAACAAAGACAATTCAATGGGGAAAGGATAGTCTTTTCAACAAATAATGCTGGAACACCTGAAAATCCATGTGTGAAAGAAACTAGACACAAAATTTAGCAAATATTTTACAATACGTGCTTTAACAACAACAACAAAAAAACTCAAAATTGATTAGAGACCCACATATAAAGTGCAAAACAATACAACTACTAAAAGATAATATAGGAGGAAGTCTAGGTAACCTTGGGTTTGGTTTTGACTTTTTAGATACAACCGCAAAAGTATGACGAATGAAAGGACAAATTAATAAGTTGGTGCTATGGTCTGGATGTATGTGTCTCCCCAAAATTCATATGTTGTGATAGTCTTAGGAGGTGGGGCCTTTGAGAGGTGATTAAATCATGAGGTCTCTGCCCTCGTGAATGAGATTAGTGCCCATATAATAAAGACCCCAGAGAGCTGCCTTGTCTCTTCCACCATGTGAGGACGTAGCAAGAATCACCATCTATGAACCAGAAAGCAGCTCCACACAAGACAGCAAATCTGCTGGTGCCCTGATCTTGGACTATCCAGTCTCCAGCACTGTGAGAAATGTCAGTTGTTCATAAATTACCCAGTTGATGGTATTTTCTTATAGCAACCCAAGCTAGCTAAGATAGTTTGACTTCCTTCAATTTAAAAACTTCTGCTCTTTTTATTGTTGTATCTCTGCCAGGTTTTGGTATCAGGAGATGATGGCCTCATAAAATGAGTTAGGGAGGAGTCCCTCCTTTTCAATTATTTGAAATAGTTTCAGAAGGATGGTACCAGCTCCTCTTTGTAACTCTGTAGAATTCAGCTGTGAATCCATCTGATTCTGGGCTTTTTTTGGTTGGTAGGCTATTAATGACTGCCTCAATTTCAGAACTTGTTATTGGTCTATCCAGAGATTTGACTTCTTCCTGGTTTCATCTTGGGAGGGTGTATGTGTCCAGGAATTTATCCATTTCTTCTAGATTTTCTAGTTTATTTGCATAGAGGTGTTTATAGTATTCTCTGATGGTAGTTTGTATTTCTGTGGGGTCAGTGGTGATATCCCCTTTATCGTGTTTTATTGTGTCTATTCTTCTCTCTTTTCTTCTTTACTAGTCTATCTAGCAATCTATCTATTTTGTTAACATTTTCAAAAAACCAGCTCCTGGATTCATTGATTTTTTTGAAGGATTTTTTGTGTCTCTATCTCCTTCAGTTCTACTCTGATCTTAGTTATTTATTGTTTTCTGCTAGCTTTTGGATTTGTTTGCTCTTGCTTCTCTAGCTCTTTTAATTGTGATGTTAGGGTGTCGATTTGAGATCTTTCTGGCTTTCTGATGTGGGCATTTAGTGCTATAAATTTCCCTCTTAACACTGCTTTAGCTGTGTCCCAGAACAATGATAACACATGGACACAGGGAGGAGAACAACACATACTGAGGCCAGCCAGGGGGTTGGGGGCCAAGGGAGGGAGAGCATTAGGATAAATAGCTAATGCATGTGGGGCTTAAAACCTAGATGACAGGTTGATAGGTACAGCAAACCACCATGGTACATGTACACCTATGTAACAAACCTGCATGTTCTGCACTTGTATCCCAGAACTTAAAGTAAAATAATAATAATAAAAAAAAGCCTTCTGCTCAGCAAAAGACACAATTGAACAATTGAGAACGTTAAAAGACAAGCCAAAGATGGAGAGAAAATCTTTGTGAAACACATATTGGAAAAAGACTTGTATCCAAATATATAAAGCAGCCTTAAAGCTCAACAATGTGAAAACAAATGATCCAATGTTAAAAAAGAACAAAAGATCTGGAAGATCACCTCACCTAAGAAGACACAGAAGTGGAAGATAAAGATATGAAAAGATGATCAGCATTATATGTCGTTAAATAATTTTAAATTAAAACAATAACGAGATACTACTCTATAGCTACTAAACTGGCTAAAATTCAAAAAACTTACAATATCAAATGCTGATGAGATGTGGAGTAACAGAGACGGCAGAGTCACTTTAAAAGACAGTTTGGGCCAGTCGCGGTGGCTCACGCCTGTAATCCCAGCACTTTGGGAGGCCGAGGTGGGCAGATCACAAGGTCAAGAGATCAAGTCCATCCTGGCCAACATGATGACAACCTGTCTCTACTAAAAATACAAAAATTAGCCGGGTGTCATGGCGTGCACCTGTAATCCCAGCTACTTGGGAGGCTGAGGCAGGAGAATCACTTGAACCCAGGAGGCGGAGGTTTCAGTGAGCCAAGATCGTGCCACTGCACTGTAGCCTGGGTGACAGAGTGAGACTCCATCTCAAAAAAAAAAAAAAAAAAAAAAAAACAGTTTGGCAGTTTCTTACAAACTAAACATAGTCTTACCATAGGATCCAGCAATCACGCTTCTTGGCATTCATGCAAATAATTTGAAAACTTATTTCCCCGTAAAAATCTGCACATGAATGTTTACTAAAGGCAACCGAACTAAAATCAACCGAAGTGTTCTTCAGCAACTGAGTGAGTGAACTGTGGACTTTTACTCAGTGATGAGAAGAATGATCCATCAAGCTACAAAAAGATCAGGAAGCACCTTAAATGCATACAGCCACACAAGGAAAGCAAGTCTGAAAAAGCCACATCGTATGTGGATCCAACCATATGACATTCTGGAAAAGGCAAATGCTGAGACAATAAAAATGTCAGTGACTGCCAGGGATGTGAAGGTGGCAGGTGGGGAAAGATGAACAGGACAAACCCCAGGGATTTGTGAGGCAGTAAAACTATTCTGCATGGCACTAGCATGGTGAATACATGACATTATACATTTGTCAGAAGGCACAGAACGTACAACACACAGAGTACAGCTTAATGTAAATCGCGGCCTTTAGTTAACAGCAAATTCCTCACACTGTTGCAAGATGTTCATAATATAGGAAGTTGAGTATAGGGGAGTGGCAGGGGACAGTGCATGGGAGCTCTCTCTACTATCGCCTCAATTTTTCTATACATCTGTAACTGTTCTAAGAAATAGGCCGGGCACTGTGGCTCACGCCTGTAATCCCAGCACTTTGGGAGACTGAGGCGGATGGATCACCTGAGGTCAGGAGTTTGAGACCAGCCTGCCTGGTCATCATGGCAAAACCCTGTCTCTATTAAAAACACAAAAAATTAGCTGGGCGTGGTGGTGGGCACCTGTAGTCCCAGCTACTTGGGAGGCTGAGGGGGAAGAATAGCTAGAACCCAGGAGGTGGAGGCTGCAGTGAGCCGAGATCATGTCACTGCATTCCAGGCTGGGAGGCAGAGTAAAACTCTGTCTCCAAAAAAAAAAAAAAAAAAAAAAAGCCTATTACTGTAAAAAAGATAGGTTAAAAAAAAAAAAAAAACCGGCTTGCAAACTTTGATTTAGAACCATGAACCTTTTTATCCTAAAACTCTGTGAAATACTTAGTACCCCATTTCTGTCATTAAACCAACAAAGGAGACATTTCGTTTGAAGAAGATATTTTCCCAAGAAATAAAACATAAATATGAAATACACAAGGTCATGTAGGAAAAGTAGATTATTTTTCTTTACCCTGTGAATATTGCTCTCAGGGTGTAGCAGTGCCCTCCAGTCAGGCAAAAATTAGTTGAAGCTAGTAATAGCCAACCTGGCTTAGAAATAACGGCTAAATATATGCATTATGTTGTGAGTGCTTACTATTTATTGAGAGTGTGTTTTATTAGATTTGGGTTTCTGAAAATGTGATAAATTAATTGGGTTGGTAAAATTAACTAGCAAAAATATTTGTAAACAGCTATAATCTTAATTACAAATGAGTTTATAAACTTTCATTTTTTCATTTTAAGGGAAAAGACAAGTGTAGAAGATGATGCTGTTTATTTTATTTTTAATATAACATCATGCTGCCTTACCTATTATCTTTTGATGAATTCTGGAATACTGAGGAACATGAGCATATATATATATATGAAATATTTGTAAAATGAGGAAACTGGGAGCTATTTTATTTTTCCCCAAGAGTGATTTTCAGCTATAAAACTGTAATGTGGTCAGGTCGTAGATCACATAAAAATCATTCTATGTTTCCCTTAAAATTATCTAAATAGAGTTCACTAGTTTTTCTTAATGTGCACATTTCGTATCACCCAGTATGGTCAGGGGTGCAGGAGGTAGGTCATCTTCAAGACATTTTCTTGTTGCAAGAAATTACCACAATTCTGTGTTCTGTTGTTCTTGTTTTTAAGATATTTACCTGCCAAGCATACGGCATAATTATACTTTCCAACCTCTCCAATTAAGAAAGAACTTTTGGTTCTTTGTGCTGTGGAACTCTGAGTAGATAAGATGTTTTTTCTTTTAGCTAACTGAATAATACCCACAAAATTCAATAAGCTCTTTGACAAAAATGGCCATTGAGGGCCTCTGAGTCACCTTACGCTCATCAACTCCCACCCGTCAATGAATATCAGAATATGGGCTCTAATATGCTTTAAAATTAGTCCTTCCTTAAAAAGGTGTCATGTAGGGGAAGCACTCTTATATTTGAAAGCAAGTATCAGAAAGCTGGAGAGTGGTACCGATCCTGCAGATATAAAAATATCTTTAGTGTTTTTCTAAAACATCTACTTTTCTAGGTAGTACCTGTCTATTATTAGGGGACAAGTGAGTCAGCCGTGTTGATGTGACGATATTAGGGTCCTTCTTGCTACAAGCTCATGTGCCATTTTAAGGCTTACCCCCAGAGCATGGGCTCAGCAAACCACTGCAGAGAAAACAGGCTGGTCCTAGTGCTCTGCCTTGTGCTAGTTCTTGCGCAAAGGAAAACCACAGGCCAGCAGGGCCTAAGAATCAGTCCAGACACGCACATGCACTCACACAGAGCACAGAGGCCACAGTTTGCCGCCTGTGGATCCCATTACCAACAGGGATGACTTTAGGTACCAGGATACTTCGTCTCATTCAGGTCAAAACTTTTACTTTGCCTAAAGCATTTCTCATTCGCGATGTTTGGATCCAAAGACTGTAGTAATGCTACAACTTGCTTGCTTCTTTGCTATTTTCCTTTCTTTTAAAAATGGATTCTCATCAGAACATCCCTTTCAATGTAATAAACTATATTTGGATCTGATCCTCTTATAAATTGGAACCAGAGTATGTGGTTAGGTTGTGCCTCATCTTTTCTGTTGATAAGTGTTTTATGTGAGGAGGTTCAGAAGAGCTGACTTTCAGCTACAAAGGTTGTGTTCCCGTTCCTGAGGCAAACAGCACCCTGGCCTTCAGGGCAGAGCTTGGCTGGGCCTTTAAGCACTGGGAGTCTTTTGCACACCTTCGAATAGAGATGGCTCTTGGAAACCCAGTATGTGCCTTTCCCTAGCAATTTCTCTTTTCTTTTCTTTTTTCTCTTCTCTCCCTTCCCTTCTCTTTTCCTTCCTTCCTTCCTCTTTTCTTTTCTTTTTTTTTGAGACAGGATCTCACTTTGTCACCCAGGCTGGAGTGCAGTGGTGTGATCAGGGCTCACTGCAGCCTTGATCTCCTGGGCGCAAGTGATCCTCCCACCTCAGCCTCCTGAGTAGCTGGGACTGCAGGTGTGCACCACCATGCCTGGCTAATTTTTGTATTTTTTGGAGAGACGGGGTTTCACCATGTTGCCTAGGCTAGTCTCAAACTCCTGGGCTCAAGCAATTCACCTACCTCAGCCTCCCAAACTCATGGAATTATAGGCATGGATATGGAAAGAAATGCATAGCAGATGGTAAAATAAGAAGGAAACACAATTGCACTTGGTGGCACCAAAGAAGGCCTGCCCTGTGCTGCCTGGGCTAGGGGGACTTCAGAAGGTGTCCTATTTGAAGGTGCACCCAGTAAGTGTTGGTTGCTCACCTCACCCAATACCTACCTGTCCTTCCATCAGGGAGCACATAGAATTGGGCTCAAGAGCATGAAACATTCTCAAGCGATATCTCTTTAGCATATGGGGTTCCCTCTACAAAGACTGAGGTTACTGTCTTGGCATCAGCCTCCCCTCCCCTGAGTAACACCAAAAACACAATCATTTGTTCCATTTGCTGGACCCAGTTGAGAGCCCACATCTGTTACTGTAGACAGTCAAGTTTTTATCTACATACAAGTTATTGATTATCTACAAGTTATTGATTATGATTATGGCATGCGACCCTCTGTTCACACCTAACTGTGCTCCAGCATCCTCTTTAGGCCATCATCCCAACATTATCTCTATGGCTACTCTTTATTACCCCCTACCCTGTGCCAAATATTGTGCTAACTAATGGCCTGACAGCTGTTATTTTATTGAATACTCACAGCAGTCTTGAGACAGTCGTTAGTGTTTTTATTTTTCAGATGATAAGAGTGAGATTCAAAGAATACAAGTATCTTGCCCAAGGTCATATTCCTGAAACGACAGGCCAGGATTACTGCCCAAGTGAGTCCTCTTTAAACCCAGGTTCCTGTCCGCTATTGTGATAAGCTATGTCACACTGTAAAATTAGTCTGCTGGTTACCTTCCAGGGACTCATGGCTTTGCAGAATCTCCACCCACCAGCCACACATGTCCAGACTCTATTGCACAGTGTATTATTGTTCCAAATCTAGGATTGATTAATATTTTCCTGTTTTACCTTTAAGAGGATGACCCTTTTTTGACTTTATCCCAATAAGTTTTGAGGTAGGGGCATCTTCCTACAGGCCTTATGGATGAAAATAATTCTCCACAATTTTAAGTATGATAGCCACCTGAGATTAACTGAAAAGGGGCTTGTAAGAAAGCAGAATTTTGTTTCAAATATAGGGGGATAAATGAATGGACCTAAGTAACTTTCTGAAAAAGCATAAACGAAAACAACAACAACAAAATATGCTATTTAACCTGTGTTCATAGGAGTCGATTAAAACCTTCTATTTTGGAACATGAGATTTAGCGGAAAACATCTGTAGATAGGTAGCAAATGTTAGCAGCTATTTAAGATGTAAGTCTGACTTACTGATGAACATCAGAAATGGATCACTCGGTCGCTTGGAAATTCAACCTCCATTTCCTGTGTGTAAAGTAAGCTGAACTGGCTCAGACTGAGCATTCTAGCTCTGAATAGTAAAATAACAGTGAGGAACTCATGACCATGATACATGATGCTTTCAGATAATTTTAAATAGTTTTATAATATTGAAACATCATAGCCTGGTATAGTGGCTCATGCCTGTAGTCCCAGCACTTTGGGAGGCCAAGGTGGGTGGATCACTTGAGGTCAGGAGCTCAAGACCAGCTTGGCCAACTGGTTTCACCAGTAAAGATGGTGAAACCCCATCTCTACTAAAAATACAAAGAAAACTAACCAGTTGTGGTGGAGCATGCCTGTAGACCCAGCTACTCGAGAGGCTGAGGTGGGAGAATCTCTTGGACCCAGGAGGCAGAGGTTGCAGTGAGCTGAGATCATGCCACTGCCTGCCAGCCTGTGCGACAGAGCAAGACTCCATCTCAAAAACAGAGGAAAAAAAAAAAAGAGAAACATCATGAAAAGGTGAAGGATTGGAATGCTGATAGTTGAGGCTACAAAACCATGACATAAGTCTAGGAGTTTGGCCTTTATTCCAAGGACCAACAATTTCAAGAATTATTAATAGCACAGACTTAATAAAAAAAAATTAAAAAATCCTTTTTTGTGAAGTTCCAATATATAAAACATATGCTTTAACTCTTAAATAGTGTAGTTTAAGTTAACAGGTTTCTAAGGCAGTACCACACTTCAGTTTAGGGCAGAAAATACTTTTAGTACTAATTTTGAACTCTAATCCAGAAACTATTTTGGCTCTTCAAACATTTAACTTCGTCAAATGTATTTTGTTTTGCATCTTTTAAAACCTCGTTTCCATTTAATCACTGGTACAATATCTGCAATTCATTAGCTCAACAAATATGTGCGTGCTTGTGAGTTCTTCTGAACTCTTAAGGGCTGGGGACAGCAATAAGTTAGAATTCGATCTGTGTCTTCATGGGGCTTATATTCTGTGAGAGGGAAGGACAATAAACATATAATCCATGGTGATACAAGTGCGGTGAAGAAAATAACCCAGAGTGATGCTGTAGAGATGACATGGGGTGAGGGTGATGGATGAGATGGTCAGGAAGGGTTCTCCAAGGTCTCCCTTGGCAAGTGACATCTAAGTCAAGACTTGAATGTGAAGGAAGAAGCCAGAAGGAACAGCATGGGCAAGCACACAGAGGCAAGAAAGAGTTTGGTGTATTGGAAGAACAGGAAGAAGGGGTGTTTCGGAGTGGACAGTTAAGGAAGTGGTCAGTGAAGTGGGAGAGACAGGGAGGGGTGAAACCACTACACCTTAAAAATGATAGCGAGGTCTTTACATTTTATTTCAATTGGAGCAGGAAGCCATTGTCCAAAACCAAATAATAACTTGACCTTTTGCTTCCTATTTGAGTCTCTTTAACTTATTAAAAATAAGACATACAAGCTCATATGAGTATGTGATATTTGATAGATATTGAGTTAATATAGTTTATCAGATATTTCAAGTATTTGAAGTATCCTTACTGTTACCTTGCCTTAGGATAACTACCTAAACTCCTTACAGACTAATTGCATTATCAGAGTAATTTCTCACCTGAAAAATTTAACATTTTATATATGCAAAAGTCAGATTGAAAAAGAAAACAAAATTGTACTTAGCTCTAAAACTTTAATGGGGTATTACTGCCTTCCTGGATGTTGTAGACCACCTTCTTAAATGTGACACATTTAGCAATTCTGAATGCCAGCAGGATGTTGTAGACTACCTTCTTAAATGTGACACATTTAGCAATTCTGAATGCCAGAAGGCAGCTGGGCCATGGGGGAGAGTCCTGGCTAAGGTCAAAGTAAGACCCTGTCCCTTTCTTGCTCTTTAATTCTTGGGCAGATAATGTAGTTTCTATGACACATAATTCCTTCATTTGTAAAATGGGTCCAACAAGCTAATACATATTATTGGTAAGCTATTAGAAATCGAATGCATTTTCTCCAAATAGCCTGGGCCATTTGTATTGCCAACGTATACTTGGCATATGGTTAAGGGATTGAAGTGAAAAATATTAAATTAGAATTCAGTTTGTCCCTATTATAACTATGACCACTTCTTGGGAACAACCCTAGAGTTTATGTATATTTATACCTTGTTACCTCACTTTGTTCTTTCCAAACTCATTTTTAATAGAATTATTCCAAGAAATTTAACCCTAGTGGACACTTTCTATTCCACACAATATAACATACCCTCACAAGTACACTCCTTTTATCTGTTTCAAATGTCTGTCATACTGGGATAGAAAACAAGTTAACATACAATTTTCCTCTTTACTTATATCGAATGGTAAGGAGGCTTTTAACAAATGGCTTTATATAACAACTAGTATTGCGTGTTTAGGTAACAGGTGGATACTCAGTACTTTATTGGCAATGGTGATGAGGGAATTTTGATCTTGGAATTCCCAGCCTCCTGAACTATGAGGAAAAATATTTATGTTGTTTATAAGTGTATTATTCTGTTTCCAGACTGGGTAATTAATAAAGGAAAAAGTCTTAATTGACTCACAGTTCTTCATGGCTAGGGAAGCCCCAGGAAACTTACAATCATGATGGAAGGCAAAGGGGAAGTAAGGCACCTTCTTCACAAGGTGGCAGGAAGGAGATTGAATGCAGGAAGTTCTACCAAACACCTAAAAAAAATGTGATCTCGTGAGAACTCCTTCACTATCACGAGAACAGCATGGGGCAACTGCCCCCATGATTCCATTATCTCCACCTGGTCTCTCCCTTGACACATGGGGATTATGGGGATAATGGGGATTACAATTCAAGATGAGATTTTGGGTGGGGACACGGCCAAACCATATCAATAAGCCATGGCATTTTGTTATAGCAGCCTGGACAAACTAAGGCAGTTGGTTAGAATACATGTTTTTAAGGCAAAGATGAGGAAAGGGAAGAATCCTGGACCTCACCATGATAACCAGATGGTTTAGACAGGGCAATACCCCTCTAAGATGCTGCTTCACCTGAGAAATGAGGAGGATAATATTGGTACAGGACTTTCAGAAGTGAGATAATGTTCAAAAGTTACAAAAGGGAGACCCAAGTATAGTCTCTTGTTAGTTTCTTAGTATTTTTGACTTTGAGATTTATTTTTTAAAGTAATAGTAAGTGACATTATTATTGCTATTACTAGCTATATCATCTATTGGCTGGTTACTGTCACCAGCACTATACAAAATCCTTTAAATATGTTACCTCATTTACTCCTCACAGTGACACCATTAAGTCAGAGCTGTTTCCCCACATTTTACATGAGGAATCTGAAGTCAGAGAGTTTAATCAACTTTCCCCATGTTCACACTGGGAGCAGAGTGGTGGAGATGGGATTTAATTCCAGCTGTAAATGCATGGGGCAGAACCCCTGCAGGGGCTCCATGGCTCATTAATGTGCCCCTCTGGCCCAAGCATGGGTTAAGAAAGTGGACCTAATGATAGAGCACTAAATAGGGGATATTCGAATCTTGCATTTATCAAAGTGCCATTGTCCATATCATGTTAATATTTTATATTTACATACTTCCATGTAAGTCGCAGACCTGGGATATGAATCTAGGCCTTTGAGCCTAGGCTTGGTCTTCCCTGTGGGTAAAAATCCTGTTGCACTTTGGGTCTATTTCTTAGTTACATTGGAGATTCATATTCAGTGTTTGGAATTTCTTACAAAATGACGGAAACTGCCTACTAATTCCCATTGATTGAAGACACAATATCTACCAATTCAGTTCTCAGGAAGAGGAGTTATTAGGTTTAAATTTATTTTTACATCTTAAAAGAAACTGCTGAGTGATAGGAGAGGAGAGTGTTAACTTGGAGTGACAGATTAAAAAAAGTGAGCCAGTTCATTTGTACATAATTTTTGGCTATGTTATCCAGACATAAGCTACCAGAGGACAAAGCAGTGTAATAAATCTAATATTCTCAAATAGTTTGTGTGCAGAAGTTTAGCAGTGAGGATGGTTTTGTAATGACCGCACATGCTAGATTGCAAACTCCATTCTTCACTATTCATGTACATTTGATGTCATATACATTGCCAAAGATGATTTCAAAAATGCCAAGCTTCTAGTCTCACTTTCCTTAGTTATGATACCTTATATCTTAAAAGGGTGGTAATTTATTAGTTGGTTTTTTGTTTTTTGTGTGTTTTTTTCTTTTCTTTTTGGAGATGGAGTCTTGCTTTGTTGCCCAGGCTGGAGTGCAGTGGTGTGATCTCGGCTCACTGCAACCTCCACCTCCTGGGTTCAAGCAATTCTCCTGCTTCAGCCTCCCAAGTAGCTGGGATTACAGGCACATGCCACCACACCCAGCTAATGTTTGTATTTTTAGTAGGGACGGGGTTTCACCATATTGGCCAGGCTGGTCTCAAATTCCTAACCTCGTGATCCACCCACCTCGGCCTCCCAAAGTGCCGGGATTACAGGCATGAGCCACTGTGCCCGAACTAATTTATTAGTTTTTATTATTTCATTTTGTTTAGATAGAAAGCATGGAGTTAAACATTAATTGTACTGTATTGGCTGCCAAAGCATAGAAATTGTATTTTGGAGGTGAGAGCTGCAGGGTGGGTTGCTGTTTCTTCACTGATTATTCCCCATGAGAAAAAAGTGACTTGTTGATTGCAATTTCGTTGTGAATAATAGTTATTTTCATGGTCTTTGGAAAACAAGACAGAGAAGTGGAGAGGGATATGGTAGCACGGCTGGGATTGTCACAGGAAATAACTTGCCCCAGTCTACTTTTTTTCATACACATACAGTTTGAGTTCCTAATTAATCAGTTGAAAAATCCAGCTCCTGAAAATATGGCTACAGAATACTGATCATTGATTGTGATTCATTTTGCTTCACATAAATGGTTGCATTTTCTTTTCAATGAGAATAAAGTTTTTCTTTTTCTTCCTCTGTCAACATAATTCCCTTTGTTCTTATTCAGTTTTCTTGTTAAATGTTTTTCCACATGTAGAATTTTACAAATTGAATAATACATGCAGAAAAAAAGAAAAACAACAACCTGTCTTTTTTTCTTTCGTCTAGGTCATGGGAGAATGAAAAACTAGAATCTTCATGAGCATTCCATACTAAATATTTGTATTAGATTATCATTATTTATTACTTTGCTAAACAACCATTTTTATCCATCACTTTTTATGAATCTATAGTAAAACAAAAGTAAACAGCCTCCATGCTTTCAACAAGGAGAGTCTGTTGCTCTAAAAATGTCCATTTCACCACAGTTTTTCCTCATCACCACTTGCTGAAACTTACTGCATTTGTTCATGTTTATTATAAAGACTTTTGCCATCCTGCTCGGTATTTAAGATTCATCACAAGGGTATTCCCCCTTTAGATGTTCTGACTAATGTTGATATTAACCATGTGACATTCACAAAGTAATTTTTTCCTGAATATATGACAGTATATATTAGGTTGGTGCAAAAGTAATTGTGATGTTTGCCATTACCTTTTAATGCCAAAATCCATGATTTTGAGCCAACCTAATATCAGAGGGGTAGGTAATGCAATTGTAAGTGAGTGTTCTTTGGAGTCAGGTAGATCCTGCCTCTTCTCAGAGCAGCTGAGGGGCCCGCCAAGGTCTGTGGCTGTAATCCTGAGTCATGTGGATCAGGAACGCCTTTAAGTCCATGCCTGGCAGCTGAAGGCATCTGCAGTTTAGATTCTCCTTGTACCAATTTTGCAAATCTCTGCAATATTGGAAGCCATGCACCCAGCTGAATGGAAGCAGGTGAAAACAAGGCCGCATGAAGTCATAGCACTGTGGGCAGCAGTGCACCAGTAGTAGCTCTTTGTGCTCAAGAATCAAATGATGACTGTTGGCAGGGATTAAAACTGGGGCTGACTGAGTGCTGGGCTTTGATCTTGCCAAATCCACTGAGACAGCTGAAATTTCATGAAAAGGTGACAAGGATTTCCTAAACCAAATGCAAATTGATGTTTAACTTTCAACTCCAGCTCACACCCAAAGGCTTTGCAAGTGCTTGAAAAAAGAATATCTGGCTTGTACATCAGAAAATGACCTTTACAATATATTTTATTTGGGCTAAAACTTGTGCTGCAGCATCACTGAAAAAAATTACTCTTACTATTTAAATGATTATACTTTTCATAAAATTTCAATGACAGAGATGCTAAGTAGAGATGATGTTTATTGAAAGGCATTCTTAAAATTTGAGAAGGATTTATCAAATGATAAACAACATTTTGTGATAAAGACTATGCATTCCCACTTATTTGGTAATGCAGCCAGTTACGGGGTACACACCATTTTTTTCTTTAACTGATGTGATAAAAAATTGTATAAAACTTAATAAACATTTTCCAACATGAATGGATGCTGTAATTAACCTATACTCACTAAAATCAGTGTGTGGATTAGCATTGTATTGGGAAAAATATGTGATTATGTGAGTTATAACCCAGATTTTGTCATGAAAATTAGATGCTTAAAGCTAAGACATGACCCTAGTGTTCTCATCAGAAATACGGGTAGATACAAATTAGATGATTTTGAGGTAATTTTCAGTTAAAAGTCTCTGATACATATCCTTTTTCATATCCTCTCCAATGGACCCTTGTTTCATTGATGAGATTATTACACGTATTAATTCGCTCCCAAAGCCTTTTTTGTATGTTTGTTGATCACAAGATTATTTTAAGTATAATAATTTTACTAGATTTAAAAATTATTTTTGAAAAGGTTGTGTCCTCTAATGTACTCCTTGAATTACTCATCTGCTCTTCTTTATTTTTGTATCTGGAATTAGTGCCTTGTTTTCCTTTTTAGATGCTGTGTGATGTGGTTACTGCCCCAAATGTTCATATTTGCTACCACTTAGAGTCCAGCCTTCTTCTGTTGTCTAATTATATGCTATTAAGACTGTCATATTGTGTTGTTAGGTACAGAAATTTGCTTTAGAAACAAACTGAGGATTGCGTAAGTATTGACATGGCAGGGTAGTGTTCCATGTGTTTCTTGGGCAAGTTGGGTTTCAAGCATGGATCTTTGTCCACACCTCTCGCACCTTCTTGGAAATATATACAGCAATGTCACCAGAAATATCTTGCACCTTAAGGCTGTCTGTCACTGTCAGCATCACTTGGAAGCTGGTCAGGAATGCAAAATCTCAGGCTCTACCCAGATCTCCTGAATCGGAATTGAACTTTAACAAATCCTCTAGTGATTATTATGCAAATGAAGTTTGAGGAGCGCTGGGCTGAAACATCCTTCTCCTTCATAACAGCTTTGGGTGGGGTGCTTCTGAACACTCTTTCCCAAGATGCAGTGTTGTCATTTTCCTTAATCAACTCTGTCTCTGGGACACAGAACAGTCAAACAAGATTTTCTGTGTTAGTCTGCTTTTATGTTGCTGTAAAGGATTACGTGAGACTGGGTAATTTATAAAGAAATAGGTTCATTTGGCTTATGGTTCTGCAGGTTGTACAAGAAGCATGGTGCCAGCATCTGCTTTTGGTGTGGGCTTCAGGCTGCTTCTGTTCACAGTGGAAGGCAAAGGGGAGCCACTGCACAGAGATCCCATGGCAAGAACAGAAACAAAAGAGCACGGACCAGGCATGTTGGCTCATGTCTATAATCCCAGCAGTTTGGGAGGCTGAGGTGGATGGATCATTTGAGGTCAGGAGTTTGAGACCAGCCTGTCCAACATGGTGAAACCCTGTCTCTACTAAAAATACAAAAATTAGCTGGGTGTGGTGGTGGGCACCTGTAATCCCAGCTACGCAGGAGACTGAGGCAGGCGAATCGCTTGAACTTGCGAGGCAGAGGTTGCAGTGAGCTGAGATAGTGCCATTGCACTCCAGCCTGAGTGACAAGAGTGAAATTCCATCTCAAAAACAAAAACAAACAAAATGAGCACAGGGAAGGTGCCAGGCTCTTTTTAACAACCAACTCTCAGGGGCACTCTCATGGGAACTAGTAGATAAATAATTCATTCTTTACTGCAAAAACACCACCAAGCCATTCATGAGGGATCCACTCCCATGACCAAAACACCTCTCACTAGGCCCCACCTCCAACACTGGGAATCAAATTTCGACCTACAACTTGGTGAGGCCAAACTATATCCAAACCGTAACACCCTCTTATTTGGTCAGTCACTACTGCTGAGAGGTGGGTGGAATAATTCTTCATTCAGCATTAAACAAGAAAAAATAGATCCTCTCTGAAATTGCCCATGTATTTTGCTGTGCTTTAAAAAAGACTTGTAGATCTATTACCACTTGTAAACTTTTGCATATGTGTTCTTTTAAGCATTTTTCTTTTTTTTTTTTTTTTTTTTTTTTGAGACGGAGTCTTGCTCTGTCGCCCAGGCTGGAGTGCAGTGGCGGGATCTCGGCTCACTGCAAGCTCCGCCTCCCGGGTTCACGCAGCATTTTTCTTTAACACTCAATAGAGTATCTTCATGGATCTAATGAGCTCCAATATTTCCCATCTCTCCAACCCTTTTTGTGCTTGTGTTAGTCCATTTTACATTGCTGTAAAGAAATACCTGACACTGGGTAAGTTGTAAAAAAAAAAAAAAAGAAGTTGATTTGTCTCGCGGTTCTACAGGCTGCACAAGAAGCATTGCCCCAGCATCTGCTTGGCTTCTGGTGAGCCCTCAGGAAGCTTCTACTTGTGGTGAAAGGCAAGGTGACATGGCCTCCCACATGACAAGAGAGGAAGCAAGAGCGAGAGGAGGGTGGTGCCAGGCTCTTTTTAACAACCAGCTCTTGGGAGCACTCTCTCTGGAATTAATAGAGCTGAAACTCACTCATTACCGTGAAGACGGCACCAAGCCATTTATAAGGATCCACGCTTATGACCCAAACACCTCCCACTGGGCCCCACTTTCAACACTGAGGGTCACACTTCAACATGAGATTTGGAGAGGACAGACATCCAAACTGTATCAGTGTTCTTGTATCTGTGGAGCATCAGAATCACCAAGATGGATTTTTGACAATTTCAGGTTCATAGCTCCCACCTACAGCGCTTCCTGGACCGAGAGAACCCCCTCCGCAGGACCTGGTAACTGTGCAGAGCTCTTCAGGGCTTCCAGGGAGCTGCCATGTTTGGGCCCTGCTGACCTGACTTTGCAGAGTCCCTGCTGCTTCTTTGAGGGAGGGAGGTGTGATGAGAACAGTGATGTTGATGAATGTAAAAGCACTTCGCAGACTGCAGCTCTCCGCACATCGCCATGGGCACCCTCTGCTTTCATTCTTCCATTCTGCGATTCTTCCTGATTTCTATGCTTTTTCTAGCACCTCACTGCCCTGCTGCCGACGCTTCTGAGATGAAAGTTGATCTCAATCCTTGTCATTCTGATAACACTCCAGCTTCACATCTTGAGATAATTCCAAGGTTCCTTTTATCTGACTTGCAGATGGATTTGCAAAATATATGTAATTCATTTATCACCTAGGCTTGACCTGGTTACTTCTACCATGAGGTAACTAGGGCTCTGAAACTGGAGTTACTGGTGCTTCAGGTGAGCTATGCCTGTGCCCCTGTGTAACACCAAGGAGCGGAACCTGACCCCAACAGGCAAGTTCATGGGAGGAATATCAGCTTCTCTGTGCTTCTTTTCTTATGGATTTTTCCATGGCACATATGGGAAGTGGGGATCAAATGAGGTCTTTTCTGACTGATACAGAATTGTTTTCCCCTACAGGTTTTTGGGGGCATAGTTCCAAGCACACTGGCAATTTTGCCTCATTCCTTAATGCAGAGGTATCATGCTTTTCAAAATACAGAAAAACGCCACTGAATTTTACTCACTTTGATCCTTTACTATCTGGGCTTTTTTTTTTTTTTAATAGACTTTATTTTTTAAAGTAGGTTTCATTTCACAGCAAAACCGAGTGGAAGGTACAGAGGTTTCCTGTACACCCCTGATCCCACACATGCACAGCCTCCCTTGTTATCAGCATCCCCCGCAAGAGTGGTACATTTGTTATCAATGAACCTGCCTTGAAAGATCATTATTACCCAGTGGACATAGTGTATATTAAGGTTCACTCTGGGTGTTTATTAGTTTCCTTGAATATTTGAAAGACTCAAGGAATTTCCTTCTGAACCAGTTTTCCAGCCAAAAGGAAACTGGCATTTTTTAAAAACTAGGACATTTTCTCTCCCTTTATCCTCTTCTCTTTTTTCCTTCCCACTCCCCTGGTAGGTCTGAGGTCCCTTAAAGTTGAGGTGAGGGTGGGAAGAGACAGGTGGGGACAGCAGAGTCAGGTGTGGTGGAAGAAGGGAGGGCAGAGGACCAGCTCGTGTTCCATGTACCAGGCCGAGAAGCATATTCGTGTCTGTGGGTTCGTTTGTGGGTTATAGTTCCGAAAGTTGATATACCACAAATACAACTCTCTGGAAATTGAACAGCCAGATACGAAATCAATGGAAATCAAACCCAGTCTGGAATTGTTAATATAATCTGTCCTCAACCCAGAAAAAGCAGTGAGTGCTTCAGATGGTACAATGTGTACTGGCCCCTGGTAACCTTTGCGTTGCTGGCTGTGCCCAGGATGTTTATTTCTTTTGCCTTACATTTATAAAATGGATCTCTTGGAAACTTCAGTACTGGTTTTCTAAACATCCTTTTGTGATTCTACTTTGTACTTGCCTGAATTCTGAAGTGATCTTTCTTCAATAGTTCATTCATAGTCAGTCATCCTTGATCTATATATATTTTTTTACTGATTCCTAAAATTTTTTGGTAAGTTTAATTCATCTCTCATCTAGTAATGACTTTAATAGTCTGTTGCAAATATCGGATTGCTTTTCCATTGCTCAAATATCAGTGTGCAGTACATATAAAGGCAATTCCTTTGTTTACCAAAGGACAGTTCCCACTAGGTTAAATCTATTGCTCCATCTGGCCCAGGGGATGGGTTCTGTTCACTTAGTGTTTCCAAATATAGGGCACTGTGTTCTAGACACTCTTGCTTCTAGTAAGGCAATGTTCAAAATATCATCTCAACTTCTAGTAAGTACTTATTAGTAAAACGCAGATGCTCTCTAACCAGAGCTCATTTTCTCCAGGTCTTATCTTTATGTACATAGTATATGTACAGAATCCCAGTGACTGCAAATTCCTGGAATATGTATTATGTGTGTTTATGTCTCTAATTTGCTATCTCTCCTTGTATGCTTAATGTTGAACTTTAAAACCACTTTTTGGGAATTGTTACAAAAGCTATGTTTACTACATACTATGTGTATATATTTATAATACATAACCTAAGAATGTGTTGCTCTTGATCCTTTCGGCTGGGACTGTTAGTTATCTTGGTCTCTGAATCTGGTTTCTGTGTATGTGAGTATGTGTTTATTTGTATATTTTGTCCCATTTTTGGACTCACAGAAAATTAAAAACCTGCAAACCGAAACTCACCGTGAAAATATTTGATATAGGTGTTTTTGGATGCATTTTAAAAATAATAAGTATTCTCATTATTTAAACACTATTGTAACACTTCAGCAAGATGCAGATTTAGGCCTGAAATCAACCACTGGAATATATGAAGAAGAACTGATTTATGGATGTTACTTTATAGAGTTTTATTATACACAGTCCCCAGGACTATATAGCCAATCCCAGTAGGGCTTAATCAGGTACCGTTAAATACTGGGCTTTAGGACCATAATCCTAAACTGCAGAATGACATTTATCTAAAGTAATTACCTTGTGACTCAACCACATTTCACTAGTATTTGCTAATCTCCCTAGCATATGGGATCTGGGAATTAAAAATAAGCAGATCAAATAAATTACATTTTATGGTATCCTTAGAGGATACAATTTGACTTTGGAATTGAAAATATGTTTGATTGCGTTACTTTGTTAATTTTTTTTACAAGGAAAAATTAAAAGAAAGAAATTCTTCTATATGAAAATGTTACTGTATAGCTTTAAAGGCAGTAAGAATAAACTCGTAGCCATGAATTACCAAACTCAATGCCTTTTTGTCTGTTTCCAGCTAACACCTGTGTCCCCTGGAAGGCTTGGGTAGCAAATGTGCCCACCTAACAGTGGGAAAAATAGCTTCTGCTGGGCTGGCAAAAGCAGAAAGTCGTATTTTGGAAAGAGTGAAGAAAAATGTCAATGCTGACCTCACACTTTCTCCCAGTTTCTGTCCCCATCCCCACTCCCCTCCTCTCACACCTGGGAGGAAGTGAGAAAGTTGCTACAGTTTAGGATTATGAACTTTGGAATAAGACAAACCTGGGTTTGAAACCTGGCTTGCCCACTAACTGGCTAAGCAAACCTGGCTCTGCTGTTTGACATTCCTGAGCCCCTATTTCTTCGCCTGTAAAACAGGGATGAGAGTGTATACCTCACCAGTTTCAGAGATAAGATTTATAAAAGGTCCTAGGTGAACACTTCTGGCTCAGAGATTGACACAAAGTGCCATAAACAGCTGCTCAGCCCATGGAACTAGCAAAAGGTGGTCTCAGTCCTGAGGGTGGGGACTAAAACTAGGTTTCCCGCCACCTCCTTGAGGCTGCAGCGCATTCCCCAGCTTCTGCCAGAGGACCACATATGCTTCTTCGTTTAAAGGATTCTCTTACGATTTAAAAGGACCTGCTTTATCCAGAGTCCTGTCTTCTTTTTCATTCCCATTGATCATTTGTGTTTTGCTGAGATGTTTTTCTATACTATATTATTCGTCTTTTTAAAAACAAAACACAGCTTTCATTTTCAATTCCTTGTTGTTTTGTATTTTATCATCTTTCTTCGAAGTCCTTTCAGTTTACTGCATTCTTCTCGCTTCTTAAATTGAATATTGAGCTAATTTGTTTCCAGTCTTTCTTTTTCAAAAAAGAAATGCATTTAAACCTATACACTTCTTTCTAATAAACACCATAGCTATGCTCCACAAGATACTTTTCAAAATCTGTTATTGTTTTTCTTTAGTTAGTCATGTAGGTACATATATTTTTCCTTTGGCTTCTGGTACATTGGGTGTTTTCCACTTACTGCATTTGGTCTTGGATTGTCTTCCAGCCCACCCGCCTTTCCTGTCCCCATTAGATGATTCTCTATTTCCTTTATTTCTTCTACTGGTGTGGAAGTTTATATAAGTTCTATTGATTTTTTTCTACTTTCCATGCTCTTTTAATTACAATTTTAAAATCTACCTTCTTTTTAACGTTCTCAGTAGTCTGTTTTGTTTTTTTTTGAGACAGAGTCTCCCTCTGTCACCCAAGCTATAGCTGTAGTGCAGTGGCACCATCTTGGCACACTGCAACCTCTGCCTCTTGAGTTCAAGCAATTCCCCTGCCTCAGCCTCCCAAGTAGCTGGGATTATGGGCGCCCGCCACCACGCCTGGCTAATTTTTGTATTTTTAGTAGAGACGGGGTTTCACCATGTTGGCCAGGCTGGTCTTCAACTCATGACCTCAGGTGATCCACCCACCTCGGCCTCCCAAAGTGCTGGGACTACAGACGTGAGCCACCCCGACCAGGCCTCAGTAGTCTTTAAAAGTTAATTTAATGTAGTCCCAGCTACTCGAGAGGCTGAGGCAGGAGAATGGCTTGAACTCGGGAGGCAGAGCTTGCAGTGAGCCGAGATCGCGCCACTGCACTCCAGCTTGGGCAACAGAGCGAGACTCTGTCTCAGGAAAAAAAAAAAAAAAATTAAACATGGTAAAGTTGGATTCTCCAAGGTAGATCTAGAATCTGTTATTCACCATTGGTTCTGGTGGATGATCTGAAGTGAAGATCCGTGTAGCACGGACCCTAGCCAATCAGGAGAGAGGCCTGACCATCAGCTGAGTACCCTGGGCCACCACGTGGCTCACAATGGCTGAATGCCCACCTTCTACGTGACATCCCACATGTGAGTGTGACACCCTCTTAGTACCAAAGAAAAATCTTCACTTTTTTTTGTGGTGAAGGTCTGATAGTAGTACATTCTTTTATTCTTATATCTGAAAACATCTTTGTTTTGCTTAATTTTTGACTAATAACATAAATGGAGATGGAATCCTATATTGACATTTATTTTCCTTCAGAATTTTTGTAATGATTTTCTAGCGACGATCTTAACTTTGTCAGTAATCTTTTTCTCTCTGATAGGTTGGAATATATTTCTCTGGCTCTGTAATAGTCTGTAGTTTCATATAGGCAAGACATGGGTTTCTTTCCTGCTTGGCTTGTAATCTTTCTAGAATCCAAGGATTCTGGCTGTTTGTCAGTTCTAGAATCTCCTTCAGATTTTAGCTCTTCAAATATTGTCTCTTCTTTCGTCTTCTTCCAGGTCTCCTATTAAAGAGACATTGGAATTTATCATTCTTTTCTCTATATCTCCTAACTTTTCTTTCATATTGCCTACCTCTACCCCTCTGTGTTATGCTTTGGGTGATTTCATCAAATCAGCTTTTTTTCCTCACTGCTTCTTTTTCTTCTGTGTCTACTCTGAAGTTTTATTGAGGTTTTTTTTTGGATCTGCTTTCAGAATCCAAATTAATTTATTATAATTTAATTATGTACCTCTGAACTTCATATGTATTGTTGCTTTCAGATGATCCAAAAAAACACAGACCCATCAGGTCTTTTGCTTGCTTTCTGTGGTGGGCTGTGGTCTGTGTGAGAATTGTTCCCCTTTGGTTATGTTGATTTCCTTTGATCCCTATAGCCCATTCCCTCTACCTCCCTCTGTCGTTACAAATGTGCTAATGTGCATCTTTCTGTGTTTTGCACAATGCATATTGTTGTTTTGTTTGCATGTGGGTTTCAATTTACATCATCAAGTTGTATTATACATCTTTCATCTTCATCCACACTATGTTTCTGGAACTCTTCCATGTCACTTGAAAATTAAATTCCTGACACCTAACTGCTGCACTGTACTCTATGGTCTCTATACTGCACATTTTATGTATCCCCATTCCCAGGGATGGATTCTAAAACTGACCAACAACCCCATCATACATCTTGCTGTGTCCATAATTTATTCCTTCCTATGGGTTCTTGTTCTCGCTGACTTCAGGAGTGAAGCCGCAGACCCTCACAGTGAGTGTTACAGCTCATAAAGGTAGTGTGGACCCAAAAAGTGAGTGGCAGCAAGATTTATTGTGAAGAGCAAAAGAACAAAGGTACCACAGTGCAAAAGGGGTCCCACGCTGGGTGCTGCTGCTGGCTCCAGTGGCCAGCTTTTATTCTCTTATTTGGCCCTGCCCACATCCTGCTGATTGGTCCATTTTACAGAGCACTGATTGGTCCATTTTACAGAGTGCTGATTGGTCCGTTTTACAGAGTGCTGATTGGTCTGTTTTACAGAGTGCTGATTGGTGCGTTTTTACAGAGTGCTGACTGGTGCATTTACAATCCTTTAGCTAGACACAGAGCGCTGATTGGTGCATTTACAATCCTTTAGCTAGATGCAAAAGTTCTCCAAGTCCCCACCCTACCCAGAAGCCCAACTGACTTCACCTCCTATTGCTACAGTGAACATCCTTGAACTTGTCCCTTTCTGAAGGTGTGTAAGAGTGTCTCTGGGCTATTCACAGAAGGGTTTAACTAGATACTGCCGGATACCTCTAGGCTGTGACGGTGTTAGCCTGCACTCTATTTTTCTCAGTGCATGAGGGTTCTTCTGTTCCTATATACTCACCAATCCTTGCAAATACCTGGTTTTCTAATGTAATGCCCAACTTTGTTTTTACTAACTCTGTTTTTAGGCTTGTTTCCACCTGAATTGATTCTCCCTTAGCTAAGAGAGCCAGATAGACTCCATCTTGGCTCTTTGACTGGCAGCCCCTTCCTCAAGGACTTAACTTGTGCAAGCTGACTCCCAGCACATCCAAGAATGCAATTAACTGATAAGATACTGTGGCGAGCTGTATCCGCAGTTCCCAGGATTTCGTCTGATTGATAACGCCCAAAGCCCCGAGTCTATCACCTTGTAGTAGTCTTAAAGCCCTTGCACCTGGAACTGTTTACTTTCCTGTAATCATTTATCCTTTTAACTTTTTGCCTACTTAACTTCTGTAAAATTGTTCTAACTAGACCCCCCTCCCCTTTCTAAACCAAAGTATAAAAGAAAATCTACCCCCTTCTTCAGGGCCGAGAGAATTTTGAGCGTTAGCCGTCTCTCGTCGCCGGCTAATAAAGGACTCTTAATTCATCCCAAAGTGTGGCGTTTTCTCTGACTTGCCTGGATACAACATAATGGAGGCCCCAGCAAGATATTAACGCCACTGGGCGAGAGCCAGTCTCGCTCCGGGCTCCCCCGGAAGGACAGCCGGCTCGGAGGGGGGCGCCACCTGAGGAAACAATTTTCAGGTCCCCAAAGAGTGACCGTCTTCCGGAGGAGAGCGGATCGACTACCGTGTCAGTGCCCTAAAATTCAACATCTGAGTCCTCAGCTTCTCACCCCGGGGTCAGGTAGGTCAGATTTGACTTTGTTCTGGTTCTGGTAAGAGGGAAGCGGCCTGGTCGCCGGCTAATAAAGGACTCTTTTTTTTTTTTTTTTAATAAAGCTTTTGAGTAAATAATTTTATATTTTCAAATTTCTCCATAATAAGGGATGGTGAATGAATATATAATACATAAATAAATGAATATTCATTTATATATCATTACATATATTTTGTTCATAATATATGAATGAATGGATGAATTAATTTATAAATTTATGATATATAAATTCACATAGAATTTTCACTAAGATACCCTCTCGTGCCCTTTCCAATTTGCATCTTATTTTTTTTTTTATTTTATTGTTATTATACTTTTAGGGTACATGTGCATGACGTGCATGTTTGTTACATATGTATACTCGTCTCAAAGTGTGGCGTTTTCTCTAACTCGCCTGGGTGCAACGCTAATTGTTGATAGATGCAAAGGTATAAAAAGATATTTCGTGATCTTAGCCCTTTTTATGATTATTAGTTAATTCTAGGAGTTTTGAAATAATTTATTTGAACCTTACGTAAAAATTGCGCATTTATATCTTTTCATTGTGCTCCTATGGGGCTTCCTGTCTTCTTCTGTTGGATTTTTCAGGAGTTCTATATATATATTATAAGTATTAAATTTTGTTGATTTTAGATGTTGCAGGTGTCTTCTCCCATTCTGCCACTATCTTAACTTGTCTCTGTTCTCCTGTGTTAAACAGAAACTCATGGTTTCTCTTAAATGATTTTTTGAATTATAATTTATATACAATAAAAGGCACTGATCATTTTTTAGCTTAATATGTTTTGTCATTGGAAGACACCCAAGTTGACACCACCTAAAACAAGATGTAGAACATTCAGTTAACTGTCCCCAAAGAAGATTCCCTTGCTCCCATAATTATCAGTGTCCCAGCCTGCACCCAACCCAGATGCAATCCTTTCTGATTTGAACACAAATTAGTTTTACCTGTTATGTAAATAGAAGCAAGTGGTATGTATTCTTAGGTATCTGATTTCTTCTTTTAAATTATAATACTTCTGAAATTCACACATGTTGTTGCTGATTTCAGAACTTTGTTTCTTTTCTAAACATTTTTCCTATTCTGTTGCCAGACTTTTGGGCTGTTTCCAGGGATTGACTAATAGGAGAAAGGCTGGTATGAATATTTTTGTAGAAGCCTTTTTGTGAACATATGTTAGGATTTCTCTTGGGGAAATACTAAGTGGGATGGCATGTTTAACTTTATAAAACTTCTAAAAGGTACCACTTAAACTCTTGCCAGAAATGTATGATAGTTCTTGTTGCTCCATATTCTCTCCAACTTTTCATCCCAACAGTATTTTAAATTTTAACCAATATAGTGTGTATGAGATGGTATTGTATTATTGTTTAAATTTGTCTTTATCTAATTACTAATGATGCTGTTACATGTGCTCATTGGACGTGATATGTCTTCTTCTGGGAAGTGACAATTCAGGTCATTTGCCTAATTTTTCTTGGGTTGCCTTCTTACTACTGAGTTGCAAGAGTTTTTTTTTTTAATATATTTTGGGTATGAATCTTTTGTCAAGTATAATATTTTGTTTTTAATTTGTAGCCTGCCTACCTATTTATTAGTGATGCCTTTCAATTAGCAAATTTAAAAAATTGATGAAGCCTAATTCTTTTATTTTTCTCTAGTTAATTTTAACATAAGGAGTTGAGTCGGACTCAAGGTTTATTTCCCTCCATCTATTTATCTGATTCTTACAATATTATTTATGAAACAGGCTTTCATCCCCTGTCACCTAATTGGCTTTGCACCTTGATTTTTAAAAAGAGCCGTATATGTGTAGATCTCTATTCTATTCCCGTAATCTAATTGTCTGTCTTATGCCAAAACTACACTGTCTTAATTATATATGTTTCATTCGCGTCCGTGTGAAGAGATCACCAAACAGGCTTTGTGTGAGCAATAAAGCTTTTTAATCACCTGGGTGCAGGTGGGCTGAGTCCAAAAAGAGTCAGCGAACAGAGATGGGGTGGGACTGTTTTATAAGATTTGGGTAGGTAAAGGAAAATTACAGTCAAAGGGGGGTTGTTCTCTGGAGGGCCGGAGTGGGGGTCACAGGGTGCTCAGTGGGGGAGCTTTTTGAGCCAGGATGAGCCAGGAGAAGGAATTTCACAAGGTAATGTCATCAGTTAAGGCAAGGACTGGCCATTTTCACTTCTTTTGTGGTGGAATGTCATCAGTTAAGGCAGGAACAGGCCATTTTCACTTTTGTGATTCTTCAGTAACTTCAGGACATCTGAGTGTGTATGTGAAGGTCACAGGGGATGCGATGGCTTAGCTTGGGCTCAGAGGCCTGACAATATGGTTGTTCTAGAAATCAAATTGTATAATTGTTTTGAGATGGTAGTGATTACTAATGTTTTATTGCAGTCTTAAAAATCAGGTACCTTAGCCAGGTGCAGGGGCGGGCACCTGTAATCCCAGCTACTTGGGAGGCTGAGGCAGGAGAATCCCTTGAACCCAGGAAGTGGAGGTTGCAGTGAGCCAAGACCCTGCCATTGCACCCAGCCTAGGCGACAGAGCAAGTCTCCGTCTCAAAAAAAAAAAAAAAAAAAATCAGGCACCTTATGTGATTCTCTTTTTTGACATTGTTTGGCTTTTGAAATGTATTATCTTGCCCTACTGCACTACCTAAGACTTCTTG
Organism: Homo sapiens; assembly: GCF_000001405.40. Taxonomy (NCBI): domain Eukaryota; kingdom Metazoa; phylum Chordata; class Mammalia; order Primates; family Hominidae; genus Homo; species Homo sapiens. The sequence continues at coordinate 40,574,618 of NC_000021.9, read as the reverse complement.
AACAATGTTGAATATTGATTAGAAGTGACTAAAAGTGATGAGTGAATACCTTTGCCTTGTTCCTAACCCTAAGGGGAATGTTTCCAATAATTCAGTGTTAGATATCATGTTATTTGTATATCTTCTGTAAATGCCCTTTATCAGATTGTGAAAGTTCTCTTTTATTCTTAGTTTTTTGAGTATTTCTCATAAAAGAAGCTGAATGTTGTCAAATGCTTTTTCTACATGTATTGAGATAGTTATATAATTTTTCTTCTTTAATCTGTTAATGAAATGAATTATTTTGACTGATTTTTAATGTTAAGCCAATTTTGTATTAGAAAATAAACTTGACATGGTCATGACCTGTTATTCTTTTTAAGTTTATAGCATCCAATTGCTAATATTTTAATAGATCTTTGTGTATTGGACCATAAGGGATATTTTTCTTTTTTCTTAAACTTATAATGTTTTTTGTAGGTTTAATATCTGGGTCGTGCAGTCTCAGAAAGTCATTTGGGAAGTGTTCCCTCCTCCTCTATTAAAAAAAAAATTGTGAAGGATTGGTAATTGGTATTACGCCTTCCTTAGATATTGACATCTAGTCAGGAGTTTTTTCTTTTATGTTTTTGTTTTATTTTATGGGAAGGCTTCTGATTACAAATTCCATTTCTGTAACAGGTATTAGGCTATTTAGATGTTCTATTTTTTCTTGCATCAGTTGTGATAAGATGCGTTTTTAAAGGAATCTGTTTTATATAAGTGGCTGTATCTTTAATGGCATAAAGTTGTTTATGATATTCCCTTATTTTTAATATCTGTAGAACCTGGAGAGATGCTACTACTTTTATTACTGATATAGATTCTTTTCATTTTTTCTTGACAATTTTTCTAGAAGTATACCAATTTTATTAAACTGTCTTAAACAAATTTCTCACATTGTTAATTTTCTTTTATGTGTTTTCATTTTATTTCTGCTGTTTTTATTATTTCCTTTCTTATATTTTAGTTGTTTTTCTTAGCTTATTAAAAGCTAAAACTTTTTGTTTTACAACTTATTATTTTCAATTCAAATAGGGAATTAAAGCTATGAATCTCCCTCTATGCACCACCTTCACTGCCTTTCACATTTTGATATGTTGTGTTTTCATTTTCATTCAATTCAAAATATATTTTATTTTTCCCTGTGGTTTTTCTATAGGTCATCATCTGTTTAGAAACATGTTGTTTAATTTTCAAATATTTGAGTAGTTTTAAAGCTATTTATTTTCATTTATTTCAAGTTTATTTATTTATTTATTTGAGACAGAGTCTTGCTCTGTCGCCCAGGCTGGAGTGCAGTGGCGCCATCTCAGCTCACTGCAAGCTCCACCTCCCGGGTTCACGCCATTCTCCTGCCTCAGCCTCCTGAGTAGCTGGGACTACAGTCACCCGCCACCGCGCCCGGCTAATTTTTTTGTATTTTTAGTAGAGACGGGGTTTCAATGTGTTAGCCAGGATGGTCTCGATCTCCTGACCTCATGATCTGCCCGCCTCGGCCTCTCAAAGTGCTGGGATCGATTTTAATATTATTGTTTTCAGCTATCATACTTTATATGAATTTTATCATTATGATTTGCTGGGGAATTTTTCATGTTGCAGAATGTGATTCATCTTAGCAAGTGTTTCATGTGATCTTCTCAAGAAATTGTAGTGTATAGTTGTTGAGTGGAGTATTCTATTAGAGATAATTATGTAAATTTTGTTGACAGTATTAAAATCTCCTATGTTCTTTGATTTTTGGTCTACTTGTTTTATCAGTTATAATGAGAGGCATATTAAAATCTTCCATGGTGAATGTGAGCTTTTCAAAAGCAACATTCTTCCTTTAGTGCTGTCAAGTTTTGTATCATGCATTTTGAATCTCTTTATTAGGTTCATACACATTTAAGATAATTACTTCTTCTTGATGGAGTGACTCTTAGCATTAGAATATACTCCTTTTTCTCTCTGGGTTACTATTTGTCTTGAATTGTACTCGGTCAGATATAAACATAGCCGTCGAGATTTATGATGCATAGTGGTTGGATAGTATGTCAGTTTTCAACATTTTATTTTCAAATATCTATCTCTTTATGCTCTAAGTGTTTCTTGTAAAAGTCATTTATTTGAATCTTATTTTTAATTAGTATGTAAGTGGTATTTCATTTATATTTAATGTAATTATCAATACAATTGTATTTAAGTATTTTACCAGTATTTGTTTCTCTTTCTTATTTCCTGCCTTATTTTGCATAATCCAGCAATTAACTTTTTAAATATACTTTGTGTTATTTTTTAGGAGTTTGCTAGAAATTACAGTATGTATACTTAACTATCATAGTCTAATTTTCAATTATACTAAACTTTAAAAAAATCTAAGACTATCACAATTATATAATTCTATTCTCTCATTCTTTGTATTCTTTTGTTTCACTGTATTCTATAAAACTTATAACACATTGCTACTGGTTGTGCTGAAATGCATATATATGTACACACAAACACACACACACACACACACACACACACACACCCACACACACACATGTTGAGTATCCCTTATCCCAAGTGCTTGGTACCAGAAATGTTTTAGATTTCAGATCTTTTAGGATTTGAATTTGCATTTGCATTATATACTTAGTAGTTGAACATCCCTAATGAAATGTGCAATTCTCCAATGAGGATTTCTTTGGAATGCCATGTTGGATCTCAAAAAGCTTCAGATTTTGGGCCAGGTGCAGTGGCTCACACCTGTAAACCCAGCACTTTGGGAGGCTGAGGTGGGCAGATCACCTGAGGTCAGGAGTTTGAGACCAGCCTGGCCAACATGGCAAAACCTCATCTCTACTAAAATGGGAATATTTCAGATTTTGGATATTTGGACTGGGGATGCTCAACCTTTAATATGTGCTTAATATATTATGCAACATGTATGTCTGTATACAAACAAACACACATGTATATTAAATATAATAAGTAGGTCCTTTATTTTTACCTATATGTTATACTACCTATGTTTTCATTCTTTCCTGCAGATTTGAGCTTCTATCATGTATGATATTCTTTCAGCCTGCATTTCTTTAAGCATTTCTTGGAGCACAGGTTTTTTGGCTAAAAAAATCTCTGAGTTCTTCTCTAGCTGAAAATGTCTTTACTTAGCTTTCATTTTCTTAAACTGATACATATTAGATGTCCATATCTTCAGGATACATGTGATTTTTTGAAGCATTCATATCAAGTGTAAAGATCAAATCAAGGTAATTGAGATATCTATCACCTTGAATATTCATATTTTATTTATGAGAAGAATATTTGAATTGCTCTCTTCTATAGCTTTTATTTTTTTATTTATACTTTGACTAAATGTAGAATTCAATGTAGAATTCTATGTTGACAGTTTTTTTTCAGCATTTTGAATTTTTTTTCCATTGTGAGGAACTCATCCATCATTCTTTTCATACTTCCCCTAAATATAACATGGGCTATTTTTTCTTGCTACTTTTAAGATTTCTTTTCAATTTTTTTTTCTTTTAAGGTTCACCTCTGATGTACCTAGGTGTGATTTTGAAATAACTTTTTAAAATCTTATGTTGTGGTTTGCTAATCTTCTTGGGTATGTACCTTGCTGTATTTCCTTAACTTAAAAAATATTGGCTATTGTCTCTTAAAATATTTTTTCTCCTGTATCTCTCTTCTTCTTCTGGGATTCCAATTGTTTATATTGATTGATATTTTTACACAGGTCTTGGATGCTTTGTTTTATTTTTTTCATGTTTAATTTCTTTGTGTTTTATTTTAGATATTGTCTATTGGCCTGCCTTTGATTCTTTTCTCTTCTATGTCCAGTCTGCTATTAAGCCCATCAAATGAATTCTTCCTACCTAGTATCATACAGTTACGTCCTGATAGTTCCATCTGAGTTTTGCTTTCACCGTTTGCTTCCCATGCTGTAGTTCTTCACCTGTTCACACGTGTCAGTATTTTCCTCTAGAGCCTTCATCGCAGCTACAAAGTTCCTGAGTGATAAATCAAACATCTGGGCCATTTCCATATTTGTTTCTGTTAATGAGTTATCTTTTAAACATGGGCCTTGTTTTGTTGTTTCTTTGTGTGTCTTGTGACTTTCTGTTTTATGCTAAACATTGTGTGCAGATTGAAGTAAGGAATGTTTACCTTGCCCTTGCAGGAAGGACATGCTCCTTCTGTCCTTCTGTCGGGCTGGTGATGTGGGGCTGAGTCAATCTGACATGTGGCTGGGCTGTGCTGGGCTCTGTTGCAGAGTTAGGATCCTGAGCTAGATTCTCTTTACCTTGGGTTCACATGGTGTGAAGGTGGGGTCAGCACTTTGCCTTCAGAAGGGCTTGGGATCTGAGCACCAGCCAGACTCTTTGAATCTTTGTGCTTTACTGACCAGTAACCAGCTTTCCAAACTGTGGGAGATCTCTTTCTGCTTTACAGCTTGCCTGCCAGCTCTTTGAGTTTCTGGGGCATTCTCTTTGCTCTCTAGACCTGTTCTTGACTTTCTGTACCTGGGGAGATCTCTTTTTGCATCAATGGACTGCCCTCAGCCTTTGAAGGCCACTGCAGGGTACTTGGGGAATGCAGAGATCCACCTCAGTTCTCCTGCACTCATCCCAGCTTTTGGCATTCATTTTGTTCACTACATTTGTCCTTGCTTCCTTACGTTCATACCACAAATTTTTTTTTCTGCTGTTTGCTAATTCTATGTTCTATATATTATTTTTATATTTTAAATTTATATTTTGCTCTCTTGACATCTGAAATCCAGTGTGAACACACAAAAAATAAGTAGGAAAAACTCCAAGTTTCATAAACCTTACCTAAAGAAGTCATTTCTAATTTATTCATAATTGAAGCTCCTGAAAGGTCTGATACAGCTCTGGTACAAGGGAGGTATGTCAGTCAGGGTCCACCACAGGCACAGAACCAGTAAGTTATATAGGGGACAGATAGAAATCTGAAGAGGAAGCGCTTGAAGTGTTTTTAGGAATTGGCAATTGCTGTAGCAACTATGGGGCGGGGCTGAGAGTGTCTGAAATCCGTAGGGCAGGCTGTCAGAAAGGGCTGGCTAGAACTCCCAGGCAGGAGCTGATGCCGCAGTTCACAGGAGCAATTTTCTTCTTTCTCAGGGAAGCTTCAGTTTTCCTCTTAAATCTTTTCGACTGATTGAATGAGGGCCACGTAAACGATCAAAGACAATCTCCTTTACTTAAAGTAAATTGATTACAGCTGTTAACCACACCTACACAATAACCTTCATAGCAACACCTAGATAAGGGTTTCATCAAATAACTGGAAACTATAGCCTGACCCAGTTGATACATAAAACTGTTTATCACAAGAGTAAGGGTCTATTCCACAGTGTGGCACAGTATGTGTTAAAGAATAAACTGTAAGGAAGAAAATAAATGGAAGCAAGAAAATGAAAGGGCTGTGAATCCTGACATCATCCAACAGCAAGGCACCCTGGGGCCAGCTCTCCTGCACAGTGGGTAGGTCTGTGTCCAGTTGAGGGACCCTCCTGCACCCAGTGACTCTCCCTTCTTGTAAGCCCCAAAGAAATGCTACTAGGCAGGGGGATAAACAGCCTATCTGGGATTAGGCATCAGCTGTTACTGGAGTTGTCTGGGACAGCCAGCTGCCCAGCACCTGGAGATGCTGAGGCCCATGGGAATATGTGGGCCCTGCTGCCAAGGGAAGAGGCCTCCTGCTACAGCCCTCGTGGTAACAGAAAGGAGGACCCCCTTCTTCCAGTTGGCTCATTGTCTAGCCTGCCCTGAGTGAGCTCCTGGGGCCTCTCTCACATCATTCTGCCCACTGCACAAAATTGTCTGCTTATAGGGCAGACATTAAAATGCTGGTATTTTATTCTCAAAGTGTAAGATTATTATTTATTTTTATTTTGCCTTTCTACCCATCTGTATTTACTAAAACTTTTACTATGTGACTATATTAATTCTATAATAAAAATCAATATAACTTCCAGCATTTTAAATAAAAATGGAGACAAGTTTATATTCCCCGAGGAAGAAAATATCATTTTAATATTTTGTATTTTCCATAAGTCTCCACATATAAATACCTTAAGCATCTCCTTGAATGTACAGCCTGGAGTGTTTCTGTGCCTGCAGTGGTCTGTGGGAAGGACAAAAAACACCCTAAGACCTGGGAGAACTCCTTTTTGGAGGCAATGGGGTAGCTTGTATAATCAGAATATTGGAAATGATTAATCCAAATTCATTGTCTTTTTTCAACTAGACCAGCAATCTTAAAGAAAAAAAATATATATATTTGAACCATACTAACACACTGTGCTTTAATAAGGATAGACAAGTAACTTTGCTAATATGCTCTCTTTCTCCTTGCTTCTTGGGAAACTGTCAGAATGGTATAAAATTTAGATAAGATGTTGTGACTTAGAAAAGAATTTGATACAGGAAGAAGGGGGTGGTACACATGCATTCCCCATTCATTGCTAAATGCTTCAATCAAACATAGTTTACGTATCAGAAATGGAAAGAAGAAGAGACAGGAAAACATACTGATTATCTACACTATCAAGAACACTAGAGGCGGAGGTTGCAGTGAGCGGAGATCGCGCCACTGCACTCCTGCCTGGGCAATAGAATGAGAGTCAGTCTCAAAAAAAAAACCAAACAAAAAAACACTAGATCAAGAGTGGTAGTTTTGTAGAGAATAAATTCTTATAGAAAGGAACAAAATATCCTAAAGACTGAATTTTAATGTTTTTGAAACTAGTGTTTCTGATAATTTTCAAATCCATGCCATTTAACGAGGAATAGGCAGAGTGCTTATGTTATGCCTGATGCTAATCTAAGTTTGGGAATGCTAACACATTAGCAAACAAAACATCCCAGCCCTTGACCTTGTGGAGCTGGCATTCCCGTGAGGGGAGACAGATGTTGGGCCTGATGAGTAAGTCCATTGTAGAATATGTTCAGAGTGATAAGTAGGGGGAATGAGATGAGGAGGGGCATTTGGGGCGTATGGATAATTATAGAGACAGATGTTTGTCTGTGTTCCTTGAAGTGGGGCTTCTTTGGTTTAGTGCATTTACTAGTGGATAACTAATAAAAAACGGCTGCAGTCCCTTGAGCCTTATTTCACTTGGATGTCCATTGTCTTCTAGAGCAAATTGTTATTATTTGGTGTGGAGAGGAGATGCGGAAACGCAGAGCTCTGGCTGTGTCCTGAGCACTAAACCAGGCACTTTCATTTCCATTTCCTTCGTCTTAGCAAGGAAGACAAGGAGGCATTAAGCAGCTAGCTACCTTGCACAAAGGCCGTTCAATTAATGGGTGGTGGAAGACCGGGAGGCCCCAAAGCCGGGGCCAACTATTTGCTAGGCACAGTAAGTTCAGTGTCTGAAACCAGGATACGTTTTGGAGCCCATGACAATTGTTTTAATTTCTTTTAAAATCAGAAGGAAAAACATATGTAATCCAGCCTGATTGTATTTGTCTTTATACTTACAGAGTCATAAAATGTAACACTGATTTTTGGGGAGGGAGGACCCATGAGCATCTTAACATGGCCCTGCTTATGTGTCTTTAATAATTCTGTTGCCTACACCCCTTCTGCTTGTTGTTTCTTGGCATTTCTCCTTCGCACTGAAAGGATGCTTGTGCTTACGGACTTGGGTCATCTTCAACCTGTGTCCATCCCCACTTTCCTGTGTCTCACAGAGGGCCAATGAAGCCAAGGCTGTTGTCAGCAAGTATGATGCTCAGCATTTGGTAGGGTGCAACACATATTTGTTCAATGAGTGAATGAATGAGCAAATACATGAATACATGAGTGGAGGAACCTGGCAATAGCAGTAGTGGTGGGTGGGGGGATATTTACTTCTCTTCCTAGCAGACTTTTTTTCAAAGAAATGTGGCATCAGCCCACTGAATGTTCCAGCCAATGAAATTATTTTCAAAGCATTCTGTGTCACAAAGCCCATATGGCTCTGAACTAAAGGGAGAATTAGAAATAATCTGAAACTCAGTTAAAGATAAGTTTGCTAAATCCAGTGCATGATGAATTCAAATTACTTTTGCATAATGAATAATGTGTTGGGTGGTGAGTAGCGGTGTGAAAAGCTAAATTGTGATAAACGCAAGCTTGCAAGAGTCAATGAATGTCTGGAGAGTCTTAAACTACTTAGGTGCAGTTGAAGGTCAAAAGTTCAGCAATGTCTGGCAGAGTAGATCACATGGGATTCTCTTGATTATGTTAGTAAGATTTTATGATATTACTTTCAGTGTCTTGTCTTCTCTGGATGATGGCTGGTAAGCATGTTTCAGGCCATGGCATTCTTGTTATGATGTCTCCAGAGAGACTCCCCAGCATCACTAGCCATCTAGGGTGGCCGTTTCTGAGCGTCAACAGTGCCAAAGCTTCTGCCCTGTCTCCCAAAGCACATGCTTACAGCAGGCTAAGGAGAAAACCCTGAAACATGAAATGTAGGACAATAATAATATATGTGAAAGAGGAAAAAGGATGACATCTTAATGACTGATTTAGCAGAGAGGGTTTACAGAGTTTGGCTTACGTCTAGACTTAAACCCTTTTGGTTTGAGAAGTCATGTTTTAGTTATCTTTATGTGCCGTTTTTCATGAAGCTTCTCTTGGCTGGGGTGTAAAGTTGATATAAAAGGGTACATGTTGTTGGTTCATGCGTTCATGCTGGGGGACCTGCATGTGTGGAAATGACAGGAGTGACAAGAGTCCAATTTTACAAAATAAACTGGGACTCTGAAGTTTTGGAGGCAGACATTTGTGATTCCTTCTGTGTAGTTGAAAGTGATTCACCTGGCGGTATTTTCCCTCTGTTGAAGTTGAATCCCCCTTTCCATGTGATGTTAAGGATGCATGTGGACAGGCAATATGGCCCTTCTTCAGATAAGACACTCTGGGCTGCTGGCTGCGGTTCTGGGACATCTTGAAGCCCCCGAGGCACTGAGTGTGAACATGTGGGTGCTGATGATAATTCAGAAGCTATTTAGAAGGTAGGGACAGCAATGGAATTTTGTGGAAATTAATTCCAATGTAAGTGTGATATGTCACTTATCCAAGGGTGTTCCTTATGTGTGACCTATTTCTATGACATCAGTGGCATGAGGCTTCTCTGTGAACATATTAATATCTTGGCATTCTTTGGTTGAGATTAGCATCAGTCAGAAGCTGTGGATAGGCTAGAGTCAGCTCAAAAACCCCTGATCACCTACCCTGACCCCTGAGAGTTTATTACGTAGTCACAGATGGCTTCTCTGTTCTATAAGAGTAGAACTTCCTCTTCATGGTCTTCTTCGAGCTACAGTGTCTCTAATTTCCCTAAATGGCTGCTCAACTGTCAAGAGATGTAAGCCCTATTAGCCGCATTGGCCATTCAGCTATAGACACCCAGTAGCCATGGTGGGTAGCAGAGCAGGTCTGGCTGGAGAGGAGAAGCCAGTACCTCGGCTACTGGAAGGCAGCAGGCATACAAAGGCTGCACTTCTTGGCTCCTGTCTTATGTCTTTACTTTGTTGTCTTCACAACATGGCCTTAAAGTATTTTGGAAATGGCACCGTGTTGGGTCATGTGTGTCAGGGGAGCAGTATCCTCCCCTCCACCTCTGCCCATCCCACCTGGGCCTCTTCCCTTCCAATCTCCAGGTGCTCACCTTGGAGGCACAGGGAGCAACTAGGTCTGTACAGCACACCTTGCTGGCACACCAGTTCTCCTTATTGCCAAGCAGCTTCTCACCCTAATTAGGTATTAAAATAAACTTGCATTTGTTATGGAAAGAATGTGGCTTTGTGTGTTTTTAAGGCAAGACACAAAATTTTAGGAAATTTTATTTCTTGACTGGCAGAATAGGACACAGAAGGGTCTAGCCTTGGCAGGTTCCCGTTTCACGTGCTCATTCCATTTAGTCTTGAAAACAATCCCATGAGTAGAGACAGACCTAGAGAAAGGAACAAAGTGGCTCAAAGTGACCTTTTTGTAGGAGGCAGGGTTGGCAGGATCCAGGCGAGATACTTGGTGCTGTCCTCAGCCCTAAGTCCATGCCCCAAAACAGGTCAAAGGAAGGCCAGAAGTATTGATAGAGAAGTAGAGGAAGGAGGAGGGTGGTGGGAGGTCAACGCTGAGTAAATAAAGCAACACTGCCTCTTCCCTCTAGCTTCTTTGTGTGCATAGTCAGAACAATTTCTCCAAATTTACTCTGAAGATTAGTTACTGGCATCCGTGAAGAACTTGGAAGGGACAAACGTACCATTGTTTTCATTTTTGTTCCTCACAGGAAAATTCATACTCTCAAAATCATTGTTTTTTCCCCTGCAGTGGTCTGTTTTGTAGAGTTCCCTAACCACTTTGTTTCCAGTGGTAACTGTGTACTTTCCTCTGACACAAGATTTTAAGGAAAAGAAACTACCAAAGATGTTTTATGTTGATTTCTTTTTCCATATTTAGGACTGCTGACCAAGCACATTTATTGTGGTTATCATTAAATGTTTGACATTTACAAACAGCAGGGCACAGAGTACGCATCTCTCAGATGGGCGGGAAGCCTGAGAACCAAGGGCTTTCAGCCGCGTGCCTTTTGCATGGCTGGCCTTGCTCACAGCTCTGCTCTCACTCTGCCTCCCTTCTCCCCTGAAATGTGCTTTTTCATAGGAGGCTCTTTCTGTTTTGGTTTTCCTGTTTTTATGGCTCTGCTTCTAAACATATAACTATATATAAACATATAAACATATATAAACATATAAACATATATAAACATATAACTATATATACACATATAACTATATATAAACATATAAACATATATATAAACATACAAACATATATAAACATATAACTATATATAAACATATAAACATATATAAACATAACTATATACACACATATAACTATATATAAACATATAAACATATATATAAACAAACATAAACATATAACTATATATACACATATAACTATATATAAACATGTAAACATATATATAACATATAAACATATAAACATATAACTATATATAAACATATAAACATATATAAACATATAACTATAAACAAATAGATATATTTTGTTTTACAAATTTTTATTTTGTTTTATACATATATAAACAAATATATATATATATTTCAAAATATAGATAGTATTATCATTGATCTGGTGGAACTCTGAGAATTTCTGGATTGAAGTTCTCAGAGTTCCACCAGATCAATGATAATACTACCTGTATTTCAAAATATAGGTAGTATTTCTGCTGCTTCTCTATGATGTGTTAGTAGTAGATCTCTTGATCTCAGGTGACTTCAAGCTGGGAGACAAACTATCTTTGTTTAGCAAGGACAGAGAAGTTAACCAGTTGCATGACTTTCAGTAAAAAAAATGAGAGAGTCCTGGACAAACCAAGACAGTTGGTTGACCTGTGAGTGGTTTCAGTGTGCAAGAACACACTGGCAGTTTTGACATTTTGAGATGTGGTGGCTCTCCTAGATAATAAACTGTCTTCCACTTCTGTGTAAGCTTTTCTTAGGGATAACTCACCCTGCTTCAGCAAATCCGGGCGATTGTCTCTATCAGCCAAATTCTGCACATGTAGCCTCTGAATCTAAAATAAAAATTGAAATAAAAAGAAAAATATAAGATGCTTTGTTTTTGCGTCTCTCTCTCCTAGCCGTTGACTTTTAGTGCATGTCGTGCAGGCGACAGACGTATTGCTGCCCTTTCTGTCTCTGGTCCTTTTTCTAGGGCAGGATCCAAGTAGTTTTTGTGAGCATTGCAGCCAGGGATCATTTCCTCTTTCCCTTTTAGGGCCACAATAGTGACCTCCAGCAGCACTGGGTACTGAAATACAGGGCTTTGGCTTTCCCAGGCTCATACACATAGCAGAGCGTCTGGTTTAAGGTCTGTATAATTTTGTGTAATTATATTCAATTGCTCACTCAATCTCTGATCACTTTCTAATGAGCTGTTATTTTCAGAGGTAGTAGAAAAATCAGTTCAGGAAGAGATGATGATGTGAGAGAAATAAATAGCAAATGACTAGTGAGGAGAAATTACACAGTAAACATGATGCTGAGCTTTCTCTGAGTGAGTGGTGTGTCTAGGGAGGTGTATTATGAAGTACATTGCTATGAAGAACGGCCTGAGACTGGGTAATTTATAAAGAAAAGAGGTTAATTAGCTCACAGTTCCACATGGCTAGGGAGGCCCCAGGAAACTTAACAATCATGGCGGAAGGGGAGGCAGGCACATCTTACATGGCCTGAGAGAGAAGGTGAGAGAGCATGTGAGAGTCTGGGAAAAACTAACATTTATAAAACCATCAGATCTCGTGAGAATTCACTCACTATCATGAGAACCGCATGGGGGAAACTACTGCATTGATCCAGTCACCTCCCACCAGCTCTATCCCTCAACACCTGGGGATTACAGTCAAGATGAGATTTAGGTGGGGACACAAAGCCTAACCATATCAGGAGGGGTGTGTTAGTTGAGCAGACACAGAAAAGCAAAACATTTGAGCCCAAGAGTGGAACCCATCCCTTATAAGGAGAGACCACGATGTGGGGAAAGTCAGTGAAATGGACATATGGCTAAGTTTGTTTAGTGTTTGAAAATGTCACCGAAGTCACTTTTTAATAATGAAAAATATGTGGATTGAAGAGTTTAAAAGAGAAGTATGCCCAGATGTTATTTTAAAAATTGGAGTGTATACAAAGGGCCCCCAAATCTAGGCTGCCTTAGTATTTTTGCCCCTAGCTTTGTTTTCCCTTAAGTGATGTCAGGAACTGCCAGTGTTGGCCTCTGCATCTCCAAAACTGAAGACAGCTTAGTTCACTCGGTCTCGTCATTATTGTTTCATGAAAGCATGTCGTTGGGAGATCTGGGCTCAGACCTAAGATTGAAACAAAAAAGGAAAGAGAAAGATAAGAAAACCGTCTCATTTTCAAAAACCTTCACAAACCCCACGTTTTATTAAAATATAAACCATTTGAAGAAAAGCCAGAGGAAAATAGAGGAAATGGGGTATCACTGAATGAAGCAGAAGCTAAAGGATGATCATATAAATTGTCTCAAATAGCAGGTCAGGAACCAGTGGCCTGTCACCATGAAAACAAAGTTAGGGGAAATAGACAAATGAAAACAAGTGAGTTTACATTATTCCTAAGAACTTTCTGCCGGTGAGAAAATAATGGAACGACGTGTAGTCAGCATACACACAGGAATCTATATTTTGTAGGTTATATTTCAAAGGATTCATGTACCCTGAAAAGAACTGTTGACTGTAGGGTAAGTTAACACCAGGGGGTGCTGGGTGCAGGCACATTGAATCTGAACTACTGGGTTGCCATTTTAGACTGTTACCATCATCACTGTTACCACACCTGTAGTTTAGGTCATTAGATAGGTGTGGAAATGAAGCCTGGCTCCTTATCAATCGAAAGCCTATGCTCTTACCAAATACACTATGCTATTTAATATTGGTAATATTAGTGAAATTTAGCCGTTTCAGAGTTTTCCTTCTTTCCCCAAAGCATCATTTGTCAATGTTTGTTAACATACGACACTTAATGTAATCCTCATAAACAAAGTGGACACCCTCAAGTTGTTTTCTGGGATTTTTACATAAGCATATGGTCCTTGAGCAATGATGGTTTGACTTTACTATGACAATATTTGGCTTTACCGTGGTGTGAAAGTGATATGCATTCAGTAGAAACCATACTTCAGATTTCAAACTAGATCTTTACCCGGGCTAGCAATATGTGGTTCCATACTCTCTTTTGATGCTGGGCAGAGGCAGCAAGCTGCAATCCCCAGTCAGCTACACTGTCACGGGGGCAAACAACCGGTACTCTACAATGCATTGTGTTGCCAGCTTTTTTTGGATGTGATTTTGCCCAACTGTAGGCTAATGTGAGTGTTCTGAGCACATTTCAAGTAGGCTAGGCTAAGCTATGATGTTCAGTATGTTAGAGGTATTAAATGCCTTTTGACTTGTGATATTTTCAACTTACAATGAGTTTCTCCAGACATAATCCCACTGTAAGTCGAGGAGTCGCTGTATTAACAACGGGTAGACTGAAAACACCGATGTGCAAACCTGGTTCAGTACGGATGGGGTGGACATCGGCATCAGGGTTCTTGTGAATATTCCCCGGGAACATGGGGAACGTGGTGTTGTGAAATCTAGAGCTGGCCAGGAATTTCCGGATCCTTACCTCCAGCTTTCCACCCCACACAGGGGGTCCCCCTGGAGCCACCTGCCTACCTGACTGCTTATCTTCCAGCCTCTGTCTGAGCTTCTCTAGGTAACTCCTACATCCAGGGCAACTAATTTCCTGGAGCAACAGAAGAGCCTTCCTTGTATTGAGACAACATGCATGGTCTCCCTGCAAATGCTGCCTCTCTGCTCCTACATCTTCACATTTTAGTGTAGAAAGAGCAATCGTGGGTGAGAATTTAAGCACAAGTGTTTAGTTCAAAAGACAGAAAATTGGCCACGCATGGTGGCTCAAGCCTATAATCCCAGCACTTTGGGAGGCCAAGGCGGGCGGATCACGAGGTCAGGAGATCGAGACCATCCTGGCTAACACGGTGAAACCCCGTCTCTACTAAAAATACAAAAAATTAGCCGGGCATGGTAGTTGGGCGCCTGTAGCCCCAGCTACTCGGGAGGCTGAGGCAGGAGAATGGCGTGAACTCGGGAGGCGGAGCTTGCAGTGAGCCGAGATCGCGCCACTGCACTCCAGCCTGGGAGACAGAGCGAGACTCCATCTCAAAGAAAAAAAAAAAAAAAAAAAAGACAGAAAATTTTAAAAGCATCAAAACAGCCGTTACAGAGAGGGAAAAAAAGTTCTTAAGTATCTTAGAACTGCTTCATTTCAATAGATGTTGCAATAAGCTGACTTCTATATGACTTATAGGTCCCGAATCATTGATATTTATGTTTGCAAATTTGTGTGTTTTGTGTAAATGAGATCCCAGAACTACAACATAAACTTCTAATGAACTCTGTTTCTATACCTATGTGGATCCTGAGAGGTGCTCAAATATGAGAGGCTGTTTCTCTTAACCTCCTATTCTGCTTAAAATCATTTGTCTTTACTTGTACTTTTTTTTTTTTTTTTTTGAGACGGGGTCTCGCTCTTTTCGCCCGGGCCAGAGTGCAGTGGTGCGATCTCAGCGCACTGCAAGCTCCACCCCCCGGGTTTACGCTATTCTTCTGCCTCAGCCTCCCCAGTAGCTGGGACTACAGGCGCCCGCCACCGCGCCCGGCTAATTTTTTGTATTTTTAGTAGAGACGGGGTTTCACCGTGTTGACCAGGATGGTCTCAATCTCCTGCCCTCGTGATCCTCCCGCCTCAGCCTCCCAAAGGTCTGGGATTACAGGCTTGAGCCACCGTGCCCGGCCTACTTTAACTGGAGAATTCATTCTTCCAAATGTGCTCATTCATGGTTTTATTTTATTTTATTGCATTGGATTGTATCATTGCATCTCCTACCTGTGCATTTTAAGAGTTTCCACTTCAAACTTTGTTTCATTATGAGGTAAACCTTAAAAAATAAAGCCTGTTTTCTGGAGTGCCACAGACATTTTGTCAGAAGAAAATGTGACTGTCCTTTAATCGGGCACTGTTTTATGCACATAATACAAATGATTTCTGCATGCTTATCAGATCTACTTGTGGGCTTATAAATTCACTTCATCCTGGCATACGTAGTGAAGGACATTCCTCTGTGCCCTGTCAAGAATAATCAAGCTTTTAAAATCAATTCCAGTGGTGATAAAAATAACGAGGATGGTTTGTGAAAAGGGACAAAAACTTGGTAAAAATAACATTGAAGGATTTACAATATACAGAGAGAAAGTGAACCATCTCTTTGAAAATAAGTGTAAAAAAGAAAAGTGTATCTAATATTTTTATTGATGCATAAGCTATGAAGAGAACTATCAATGTTTCTGTCTTGCTCTAAATGAGATATGACTGGTGGGATCCCAGATCATTTGATTATCCGTTTGCAGACTGCTCTGTTTATTTAAAACATAATTCACTCTCTCATTCTATAGATGGACTTACTAGATAGGAGTCTGTGCTTTATAAGTGAAATTAACTTAGATAATTTTTTTTTTTTTCTTTTTGAGATGGAGTCTTGCTCTGTCGCCCAGGCTGGAGTGCAGTGGTGCGATCTTGGCTCACTGCAAGCTCCGCCTCCCAGGTTCATGCCATTCTCCTGCCTCAGCCTGCTGAGTAGCTGGGACTACAGGTGCCCGCCGCCATGCCCAGCTAATTTTTTTGTATTTTTTAGTAGAGACGGGGTTTCACCGTGTTAACCAGGATGGTCTCGATCTCCTGACCTCGTAATCTGCCCATCTCGGCCTCTAGATCATTTTAATGACAACTGATAAAGAGATAATCAAATGATAACCTGTTTTTCTCAGTGATAGAAATATGTGATGGAAAGTATCTGAGACTAATGAAAGACATGGAAACTAATTTACCGATGATCCTTGGATACTAGTTATGGAAGTATACTTATATTATCTATGCAAATATACAAGGTCTTTTGAAAACCTTTTACATGCCCAACGCCAAATATATTAAGTGAAGCTACACAATAAGATACTGTAGGATCAGTAAACAGGTATTGCTAACGTTTGTAGCAAAATCCTGTTGATCCACATTGTTGGGTCTTTCTTGGTATGGTCTAGTGAGATATCAGTGCGTGTGTATATATGTATCAGTGCATTTTAGTTCATTTTGTGTTGCTATAACATAATACTGGAGGCTGACAAATTAAGAAGAGGTGTTTGCTTGGCTCACAATTCTGATGGCTGGAAAGTTTAAGATTGAGCATCTGCATCCAGTGAGGGCCTCAGGTTGCTTCCACTCATGACAAAAAGCAGAAGAGAAGTGCGCATGTACAGGGAGATTACATGGTGAAAAAAGGAAGCAGCTGGGCATGGTGGCTCACGCCTGTCATCTCAACACTTTGGGAAGACGAGGTGGGCAGATCACGAGGTCAGGAGATCGAGACCATCTTGGTCTCTACTAAAAATACAAAAAATTAGCCGGGCCCGGTGTTGGGCGCCTGTAGTCCCAGCTACTTGGGAGGCTGAGGCAGGAGAATGGCATGAACCCGGGAGGCAGAGCTTGCAGTGAGCTGAGATCGCACCACTGCACTCCAGCCTGGGGGACAGAGTGAGACTCCGTCTAAAAAAGAAAAAAAGAAGCAAGAGACAAAAGCCAAATAAGCCAGACTCTTTTTAACAACATACTCTCTCAGGAATTAATTCCCGAGAGAAGGGGAATGCACACCTGAGGGAGGGCATTAATCTATTCATGAAGTATTTTACCCCGTAACCAGAAAAACTTCCACTTGGCCCCACCTCCCAACACTGCCACACTGGGGATAAAATTTTAGTATGGGTTTTGGCAGGGACAAACCACATCCACACCATAGCAGTAAATATTGATATACAGTTGACCCTTCAACAACATGGGTTTGAACCGTGCAGGTCCACTTACATGTGGATATTTTTCAGTAAAACTTACACTGGGTGTGCCTGCCTCTCCTGCCTCCCCTTCCACCTTCTCCACCTCTCCCACCTCTGCCACCCCAGAGACAGCAAGACCAACCCCTCCTCTTCCTCAGCCTACTCAATGAGAAGATGATGAGGATGGAGAACTTTGTGATGATCCACCTCCATTTAATGAATAGTGCTATGATATGGATATTTATTCCCTTCAAACCTCATGTTGAGATTTGACCCCTGATGTTGGAGGTGGGGCCTAGTAGGAGGTATTGCGTCATGGGGGTGGATCCATCATAAATAGGTTAATGCCATCCCTCAGGGGTGAGTGAGTTCTCACTCTGTGAGCTCCCTCCAGAGCTGATATTTAAAAAGATTCTGGTACCTCCCCTCTCTCTCTCTGACTTCCTCTGTCTCCATGTGATCTTCACACAGTTGGTTCCCCTTTGCCTTCCACCATGAGTGGAAGCTGTCTGGGGTTTTCACCAGATGCCTAATCTTGAACCTTCCAGCTATCAGAATTGTGAGCCAAATAAACCTTTTTTCTTTATGAATTATTACCCAGACCTCTGTATACTGTCATAGCAATACAAAATAGACTAAGACATATAGTAGTATATTTTCTCTTCCTTACAATTTTCTTAATAACGTTTTTTTCTCTAGCTTGCTTTATTGTAAGAACACTGTATTTAATACAGATAACATACAAAATATGTGTTAATTGCCTGTTTTTGTTATCAGTAAGGCTTCCAGTCAATAGCAAACTATTAGTAGTTAAGTTTTGAGGGAGTCAAAATTTATACATATATTTTTAACTGTGTGGGGACTGGACACTGTGGCTTTGTTCAAGAGTAAACTAAATACATAGAATCTCATCTTCTGAATATTATAAACATTATTAGACGTGTCTTTCCTCAAAGGTGATTATTCTATATAGTGATTTGGTTTGGAGGTAGAAAAAGTGCAGAGAAAATTTAAGCAAATATTAAACATCACTTTTTCTTCTATACACTCTATTTTTCTTACTGACAGAATTTTTCTGGAACATTTAACAGTATCTTCTAACAGGTACCTCTCTCACCCAACTTGTCCTCAAGTAATCCCCCTACCTCAGTTGAGCTGTATATGGTGGCTCACACACCTGTAATCCCAGCACTTTGGGAGGCCGAGGAAGGGGGATTACTTAAGGATAAGACTTCAAGACCAGTCAGGACAACATAGCAAGACCCCATCGCTGCAAAAAATTAAAAAAAATATTAGCCAAGCATGGTGGTGGACACCTGTAGTGCCAGCTACTCAGAAGGCTAAGGCAAGTTGATCACTTGGGAGCAGAAATTTGAGGTTATAGTGAGCTATGATTGCACTAATGAACTCCAGCCTGGGTGACAGAATCAGATGCTGTGTCTTAAAAAACAAACAACAACAAAAAACGTTGGTTTGAAATTTGACAAAATGTTCTGCATTCACATTTAGAATAAACGTTTTATATGAGGAAGTTAATATGTCATTTTCTATAATTAAATACAATATAATGTGGGTTTAAAATTTCATTCTGATTCTTATTTTGGCATCATTAAATATCATTACTCGATCTTGATATTTAGAAGGTTTCAGAAGCCAATTACTAGTGCCTCAAAAACTCAGTACTGTGGAAATGACATATCATTGGGTTCTGGTAATGAGGAATGACTATTTTTCTTTGGATGTTACTATCAAAACATTTTTATAGGCATCTGGAAAATATCTGCCTGATTAAAGAGCTGTGTTTTAAATGCTCAAGATCACGTGTGCTTTTTTCTTCCCTGTGTTCCCCAAGCAAATGGAATGCCATCTGGATTCTAGATTTGGCTTTCTCATGTAATGGATGTGAGACCCTGAGCTAGTTACTTAACATCATCAGGCTTTCTGGAAAGTGAGGATAGGAATGCCTGAATATTGAATTTAAAATATTCAAGTTAATCATGTATAAACTATAAAGATTTTTGAAATATAAAATATGCATCATTTCATTCACTCACTCACTCATTCTTTTATTTGTTAATTCATCCACCATTTACTGAATGCCTTCTGTGCACTAGGTACTGGGCTTGGTGCTACCTACTGGAAAATTAATAAAACATTGTCTTTAAGGGGCTCACAATGTAATGGGGGAAATCACCAAGAAAATAAACAATTTCAATACCATGTGTCAAGTGTTAAATTCCAGTACAACATGTTGGTGGTTACAAAAACGTAAAAACAAAAATGAAATATTATGGGAGCAGAGATTACACTTAGTATCCTCCAGAAGGTTACCAAAATCCATTTTATATTTTACATATAGTTTGTTCTGTCATCTTCTAAGAATACCTAAAAATAGGAATTACCTCTATAATTTTAAAAAATAATTTAGTGCAATACAGCATAGGAGGAGAGTATGTCTCCCTCTATGTGAGTGGATAACCGTCTCTGTAATATATACTTTTCTGAGATTTGTTACTCATATTCTTTACTCAGTACTATATTCAGTACACAATGGAATTCCTGTTACTGTTGACTAGATGACTGTCGAAATTGGCTCATTTCCCCAAAATTGTCCACAAGGTGAAGGACTTGAGGGGTCCCTGAAAGGCTAGGTCCACAGAAGAACTTTCCCCATGGTACTGGCCAGGGGAAAACATTCCTAGTCAGAGACAAGTATTTCCAGGATTTAAACTATCTTTCCATTTTTGTAAGAATGATAGCTGCCCTTTCCCCTGGATCTTGCACCTAAGTAAGACTTAGCAGAAGCAGTCTAATTTTATTGTTTGCAGTTATGTTCTAAAATGTTTTTAATTCGTTTAATCCAACAATTTGTCGCATTAAAAAAAAAAAAAAAAACTAACAATCAAAACAAACAGCCAGGCATGGTGATGCATGCCTGTAGTCCCAGCTACTGGCTACTAAGGACACTGAGGCAGGAGGATTGTTTAAGCCCAGGAGTTTGAGGTTGTAGTAAGCGTTATGACATCTGTAAATAGCCACTGCATTCCAGCCTGGACATCTAGCATGACCCTGTCTTAAACAATACCTCTACAAATGACAACAATGACAAGCACCCTGATTCAAGATCTGGGATTTTTTGTTTCCTCCTCCGCTTGGCTTTGCTCTGAGGAGGATAAGTCACGTAACCTGTTGGGCCTCAGTTTTGTCATATGATAAATGAGAAAATGGAACTAGGTGATCTTTCATGAACCTTTTATTTTTAACAGTCTTGTTTTAGTGATCCTATGACTCTGTCACAGAATGTTAAAAAAAATAATTCAGAAGAAAAATTTACAGGTTGAAATGGATTTGAGAATTGAAGCATGAATTGCTGGCAGGTGTTTGCAATATACTTTTGGGTGCAAACGGATGTGTTATCTTGGGAATGAAGAGTGAGAAGCATTTAGATATCACAGTTGTTGGCTAGAAGAGGAAGGATTGGTTAAAAAATTAAAGGTATATTTGGTTAATGATATATATGTAAAAATCTTATTTGTTTGCAAAGAGTTAGACACATCTGAATTTTCTTACATTATACATTGTAATGCAGGGGCCTTCTTGCAGGGCCTTGGGATGTGTCCTGTACACAAATAACTGATACCTCCTGAAACCTTGCATCAGGGGAATCCTGGTGGATTTCCACATTATCACCACAGGCCTTTCAATATAAAATGCTGATTTGAATGACATACTGTCATTGAGTTGATCTCTAAAAGTTGCTGGAAATTTTCAGAAGAACTTGATCCTCAGATACTACATATGCCCTTTCCAAGGCATAAAAGGTAAGTCCAGTGGTACTTTCATAAAAGCACTGCTTAAATATATAAACAAAAACATTTTGTGGAGTTCTACAATCTAGAAAGAAATGTGACTTGTGCTGTTTCTTCTTTTATTTTTAAAATCCACCAATAGAAACTGTCCCTAAGAGGCTTTGTCCTTTAATCCTAGCTGATTGTTAAACGGTTTGTTATTAATATCTTACAATTCAGTGCAGATGGTTTTGAGCAGTGATCAGATGAACAAAGATGCTTAGTGATGGTTCAATTTCCGGGTTGGATTTGCATCCTAATCTTAGTCTTAAAAAAATTAGAAAGCTGTTTCCACATGAGCTGTATAATGTTTTACTTTTTTACTACAATTGCTGTAATACTTCAGTCCTTAAGCATAGAAAATAATGCCCATTATTATATTGGGTGAAATGAAAGCTTTTTAAGTGTAAAACATGTAATTGTAGTCTCAAAACTATTTATGTGGCATCAATTATGGTGAAATTAGTTCATGAAGGTAGGTGAAAATACATAAACATTGTGTATATGCTAATTCATCTAGATAAGAATTTTCATGTAGATTTGGTCAGCTGTGTTAGATTTAAATGTAGTTTCAGATCTGGTTCAGATGG
This sequence comes from Homo sapiens, assembly GCF_000001405.40. Lineage (NCBI taxonomy): Eukaryota > Metazoa > Chordata > Mammalia > Primates > Hominidae > Homo > Homo sapiens. The sequence goes on along the minus strand of NC_000021.9, from coordinate 40,552,653 downwards.
AAAGTAGATGAAGCTGCCAACCTTTGGCAGCAGCACACAGGTGGAATAGCTGAGATAGAATAGGTGATTGGTGAAGAAGATAGAAACATTTCTAACACATAGAAGATTTCAGGACAGTGAGTGTGGCACATTCTAGATGTTTCCCACACTGCAGCAATGGGAGATATACAGATCTTCCTCAGTAAACCCCTATTTCTAGACTACGTGAGTTTCCAGTTGAATCAGATTTGAGAAATGCAGTGTGCTAAAGGCAGCTCTTCTTAACTCCCTCTGTGAACCCAAGGAATCTGTCTCATTCATTGGAAGGGTCTAGGAAGGGAAGAGAACTCTTTTTTTTTTTGAGACGAAGTGTCACTCTGTTGCCCAAGCTGGAGTATAGTGGTGTGATCTTGGCTCACTGCAACCTCCAATGCCCAGGTTCAAGCAATTCTTCTGCCTCAGCCTCCTGAGTAGCTGGGACTACAGGCACACGCCACCATGCCTGGCTAATTTTTGTATTTTTAGTAGAGACGGGGTTTCACTATGTTGGCCAGGCTGGTCTTGAACCCCTGACCTCATGATCCGCCCACCTCGGCCTCCCAAAGTGCTGGGATTACAGGTGTGAGCCACCATGCCCAGCTGGAAATAGAACTCTTACAATTTTTCTGAGTTTATCTCTTTACATCAGCTGCCTCCTTACTGTAAACCAAAAAATACAAGTCTAAGCCCCCCAGCTGACTGAATGGACACACCCTCTTGGCCAAAGGGACCCAAGGAAACCTGAAAAGGTAGTTCAGGCCATGACAGGAACAGAGGCCATCAGACATGTCTCATTATACACTCTGCCTTTTGGAGTTTAGACACGACTGAGCAGCATTAACATTAAAATAGAGATCCTAAGATGGACAGAAAGATTCTTCATAGCAATAAGATACCAAATTCCAACCTAACTTTAGTATAATATCACATAACAGATAAAGAAGGAAATCAAAATATTTTACCCCAAAATATCTTTCCTTGCCATATTTTGGAAATGGTTCTGCAAAGCTGTCTTTTGTGGGGGAAATTTTGCACCTGTAAGGAATCCCTATTAACATAACTAGATCTTTCATCTTCCAGGCCCTCCCAATCCTGAAGAGATTAACAGAGAGTCTAGCACCTTTTAAAAGTCTGAATGGGAAACATTTGCTATCTATTGTCTCTAAGGGCAGCCACCTATGAGACTTCATCTACATAATAAGAACCTCAGTCTCCACAACCCCTTATCTTAATCCAGACAGTTTCTTTCTACTGATTCCAGGTCTTTAGATAATAATTGGTTGGAATAATTGACAATTCCAACCAATTGTCAATCAGAAACTCTTTGAATCCACCTATAACCTGTGAGCAACACCCCCAACCACTTCAAGATGTCCTGCCTTTCTGGACTGAACCAATGTATACCTCGCATGTATTGATTGATGTCTTATGTTTCCCTAAGACGTGTAAAACCAAGCTGTAACCCAACCACCTGCAGCTCATGTACTCAGGACTTCTTGAGGCTATGCCTCAGGCCATGGTCATTGGTATTTGGCTCAGAATAAACCTCTTTAAATATTTCAGTTTGGCTTTTTTCATTAACACTACACTTTTTAAGTTTGACCTAAAGGTTTCTCTGTACATAGTGAACTGTCATCTAACTGGACGTGTAAAGGGACTGTAATCTACACTGTAACAAGTAGCTGAGTCTCAGCCAATCACAGCATCCCAGTTTCAGCCAATCACTTGCATCCAACTATTCAAACTGAGCTCAAATAAGCCTGTAAGCAGCCCTGCTGTTTCTGTGCCTCTCGTCCCTTTTGTCTACCTCACTTTCCTTTTTCTGTCCATAAATGTTATCCCAACCATGTGACAGTCCCTCAGTTACTCTGAACATATTATGGTTCTGGAGGCTGCCCAATTCTCAAATCATTCTTTGCTCAATTAAACTCTGTTAAATTTGTCTAAAGTTTTTCTTTTAATAGCTACTACTACTCTAGAGAAATATCCACAAAGACGTAATGTGTTTGTTCGGAATACCTTGTTGAATGGAAAGAAGGGTCTGTCCTAAGGGACAATTGCAAGGATTGAGACACTTGGTGGCAATTTTGAGGAAAAAGCAATTTTTTTTTGAGATGGATTCTTGCTCTGTCACTCATTCTGGAGTGCAATGGCGTGATCTCGGCTCACTGCAGCCCCTGCCTCCCAGGTTCCAGTGATTCTCCTGCCTCAGCCTCCTGGGTAGCTGGGATTACAGGCGCGTGCCACCATGCCTGAGTAATTTTTGTATTTTTAGTAGAGACGGGATTTTGCCATGTTGGCCAGGATGGTCTCAAACTTCTGACCTCAGGTGATCCGCCCACCTCCGCCTCCCAAAGTGCTAGGATTACAGGCATGAGCCACTGCGCCCGACTAGTAAAATATTTTTGAGTAGATGGCTAAACAGCAGAAAGCCCTGGGAGGCAGGACGGCCCAGAGAAAGGATATTGGTTGAGCTGAGTGTCAGGCCTGGGGCTCGGTGTTGGTGTGGATCTGGGATCCAGATACCAATGACTAGCTGGGTGATATCGGACATTTCCTATAGGTAGGACTAGTATTTTGGTAGGGTTCTTTTCATTTGTAAATAACGTCAAGAACTCAAAATACCAAGCGTAGGGCTTGATGCTCCATGGATCCTCCATAAAGCAAGACTCTTTGCTTAGCTTTTCATTATTTCATTCATTTCAGCATTTATGTCAGTGTGTAAAGGATACAGCAACCTGTTGACTTAGCCAGCACATTTTCTCAGCTTAGATACTGGTAGTTAACAGTATTATTTATCTCGTCTTGCATGATGTACCTCTAAGAGGTTTGTTCATCACCACCATTTCACCACAGCCCTTCTCCCTGTTAGCTTAGCTGGGGTTTCCAAACGTCAATATAACAGATTAAATTTCTTTGTTAAATATGAAGGTGAGTGAGCTGAAGTATGACTTGTCCCAAAATGTAACACCTTATGAGACAGGCCTAGAACCTAGGTCTTCCATACCCTTTCATGCTGCCTGAGTATCTCAGTGTGGTTGGCAGCCTATTAAAACACAGACATAACTGATTCAACTCAGGGTCACAAATGTACATATCAGGGAACTTTGTTTTATTTCGTTTGGTCATATGGATGCTGAGAGAAGGTAGTGTAAGGACCACTGCTTACCGTTCTCAGCTGTTCTCTTCCTAAGCGCAAGTAGTGGGACCCTCACAGCCCTGGATGCATTGTTGTTTTTTTTTATCTCGAAGTAAATGACTGAAGAATCAGCAGGAGTTTTCCAGAATGAAAATGTAATACCTTGGTCTGTTTGGAACTCAGTCAACACCTTAGGAATGTTCTGCCAAGCTTGTTTATGTTACAAATTAAATGTATGTATCTTTAATATTTTTGTTGTTGGTATTCTCTCAAAACAAGAAGATAAATGACATTTTTAATGTTTTTTTTGAGACAGGGTCACACTGTGTTGCCCAAGCTGAAGTGCCATGGTGCAATCTCGGCTCCCAGGCTCAGGTGATCCTCACGCCTCAGCCTCCAGAGTAGCTGGGACCTCGGGCGCACACCACCACACCCAGTTAATTTTTTGTATTTTTGGTAGAGATGGGGTTTCACCATGTTGCTCAGGCTGGTCTCGAACTCCTGAGCTTAAGTGGTTTGCCCATCTTGGTCTCCCAAAGGCTGGGATTACAGGCATGAGCCACCGTGCCCGGCCTTGTTTTACCCTATTTTGATTCTTCCATGGCTTTTGGAAAATGCACTAGATTTTTAATTCTTTGGGCCACTCTCAGATAAAATATCGCTGTGTACTACTATTGACATGTTAATTTGTCTTCTAACGGACAATTATATATCCCAAAGTCATGCCTACCTAATGGTACTTTAAAAGGACTAATTTGATGATCACTGTTGAGGATGTAGAAAGGCTGTGACCCTGGCCTTTCAAACACATTCTATTCAATTTTGCAAATTGAGAAGGAAAGTAAGAGGAGAAAGAAAAAAACTGCTGTAATAAAATTGGAAATTGTTTCAGGAAATTGCACGTGCTATTGAGATCTTTCTCTGATAATTTAGAAAAGGAAATACAAATTCTATTATATATTTTATATTGTACATATATATATTTTTTTTTTTACTGGTTTATTTTCAGTTGAAGATTAATTACATCCAGGATTGTAAATTGCTCACGGGTCATTACCAGTCACCTACTGTCTTGCAGCAGAGCAGGAAATCAGATGTGGGCGCTTTAAGATGAGCTGGTTTAGCGTTCACTTACTTAAAGATCAGTACCAAGCCGAACCCCCTTGGGAGGAGTCGATGGCTCATTTGGCCCCATGGGGAGGGCGGTAATTAAACTCTGAAGGCAGCCCTGATGTTCAGCTAAAAGCTGGTCTTTAAATAGTAATACACTCGCCTTGTAAAGTGCTAGGCCCTCGGGTGGCTGTTGACACAGTGCGAGGAGCTGGCGCTTTTTTCTATAAAAGCCAAATTGAAGAAACTGTTATGAACTCATCTGCATAAAGCAATATGATTTTGCCTGAGGGTGCAGGCAATGGGGAGTGATTAACCAACCGGCTCTCTCCCCGCTCCTCCGCAGCTCTGCTAACATGCCACTTGTCACTAAAAAATTGGAGACACCATATGCCAGGCTGCCTCTGCTGAGCGCCCCTTACTGATGCCACGCGAGGAATCCCTCCCCAATTTGGGGGGCTGCGGGACACTGCGCAGTGTCTGTCTGTAGAGGAAATGCTGCCTGCCTGCCTTCGTCTTGCTCCCTGCCTTTCTCAGCAAGGACATTCCATTGTTCCAGGGAACGTGGCAGAGACGTTCTGAGTTTGCTTGAACAATTTGAGGCACATTTGAAGGACAGTGGAAGCATTGCTCCAGAAACCCAGTGTCCAGACATCTTGTTTCCTCTCCTCCCTGTGCTGAAGGCTGGAAGAGGTCCCCTGTGGCTGGTTCTCATGACCTGCCTTTTGATTCCACCGGTGTCTTTGTACTTGTGCAGGAAACTCAGGAGGGCATGCCTTCCTCCTGCAAGCCTTTTATTTCTCCTAAAACCTACTTTGCGTTCTGTCTCCCGATTTTTCTGTGCTCCATTAATTATGCAAACCTCTTTTGATTCAATGTGCAAACAGTGCATTAAGGTTTTAACCTTGAGGAGAATGGTTTTCATGAGGCCTGACAGCTGAATCCCAGGACTTGGAAAAGGAGACGACTGTGTTTGGCTTTTGAAGAATTAGCTTTCACGTCCCTCCGGGTGATAGGTTTGGGTGCAGAGTGGCTTCTGGGCTGATTTGATTATAAGCCACCATTTTGTGTTTCCCTCAGTCACCAGAATTAAGATCTTTCTAACAGCAGGCGTGTAAGAAGCAAGAAAGGAAGGCCGTGGTGTGGGAGTGTGGAGAAAAATGGATTCTAGAAAGGTTAGCAGGCTGTCTTCCTTGCTGCTATTGTGTCTACACCGGGGGACAGTGGGGTCATGTCTGCCTCTGGGCTGTCTTCCCCAGGATAGACAGGGTTGGGGACAGAGAGGACGGTGAGGATTCCCCATGACCAAGGTTGGGCTGCTCTTGGCTCTGTCTTAGTTGCTCTGCTTGATGTTATGAGGGGATTTGGATGGGGTTGACATGGGCCTCAAGAAGAAATGCTTCTCAGCCCCCTTGCCCCCAATAACTGGGGGGTATCAGCCTTTAGAAAGGATCCTCCAGGCTCCCACCCCAGCCCCAGCCCCTGGAGCAAAACCACATTCTCACTAGGCCTCTCCTGAAAAGGGGAAGTGTAAGACGTGACTTCCCTTAGAAAGACCTGAGCTTCTCTTTTTCTATGGGTTTTGGGGTGAGGCCAGCAGTGACTTAATCCCAATAAATATTAAATGAGACATAAATCCAACTTTAGCAAATGTCACCCACAGATTTTTGCTAAATCAAACTTATTTGTATTTTATTTTTTTAAATGGATGAACTTCATCTCGAAGGAATATAAAAAAACTGACAAACCAAAGGCCACTGAGGTCCATGCATGGACTAGGGAGGAAAACCCCATGTATTTACTGCCAGATCCATGCCAGGAGCTGTGCTTGGGCGAAGCCATAGCTGGTGGCATAGGTATTGTCACCCCCTACTCCTCACATGGAAACTGAGGTGGCTCAGAGAAGTCTACATGATTTGCCTAAGGTCAAAAGGCAGGGAAGTGGCTGTTATTTGAATCCAGATCTGTCAGACCCAAAGCCCATGATCTGTTGGCCACTTTGCCGTTTGCTTTGGGCCAGAGTCTGCCTGAGGCCCTGGCAGAGATGTCACTGACTGGGCGGTGGCCCTTTTCCAGATACATATCCCCATGACCCAAGGAAATGCTGCTCACAGCTACCCTGAGTGTGTGGACCCCCAGCTCTCCTGCACAGCTTCCTACTGAAAATATCTCCCCATAGATGCCTTGTGAATCATTTTCCCAAGAAAAGGACTTCTCTACACCTTAACCCTCTTTAAAAATGCTTGTGTCCTAGGAGGGGAGAATGTACCCGCTGAGTTTCATGCAGGGGTCTTGTCAGGGAAGACAGAATGAGTGCCTATGCACTGCCAGGTCCTGGTACCAGATCACATCATTTAAGTATTACGACCAGGTTACTAGGGATTATTTGGATCTTCTTTTGTGGAGGAGGGAACAAAGGCTCGCCAAGGCTGGAAACCCACCAAGGTTTCCCACTGGTAGAGAAAGCCCAGACTGGACCTGACTTTCTGTTCCCAAAGCCCTTGACACGTGGCCACTCCAGTCACTGGTTTTCTCAGTGACAGACTGGCTGGGCTACACACAAGGGGGCTAGGGGCTGAAGCCACTTTTTGAGGTGACTCTTTGTTCTCCCCTCATTCAGTAAGTGTTGGAGGCTGGTGCTCGGAGCCATAGCCAGACCATTGCTGGTGCCAGCTCAATGCCTGCAGTGTGCTGGGATGGTGTGCATATTTCACACATCATCTCACACAATTCTTACCCCTGCCAAGTGTCCCAGGACACCTGTTTTAGAGATGAGGAAACTGAGGTTCCCAGAAAGTCAGTGGCAGGTGCAAAGGTCATGCCTCTTTGTGTGACTTCTCTGTGGTCTGTCTGGTTTCCCATGACATTTCTGGCTTTTATAAACTATTAAAGCACAGACTGAAAGAAAAAGTGGGACTTTGCAGGTGAGGCTGTTTAACGTGCTGGAAGAGTGAATATATGTAAAATTTCGGATATTACAGGGCTGCCTATCCCCAGTGGAGGTTGTCTGGGCAGAAATGATTTCCCTGATTTGTGAAGATTAATAAATATTTTGTAGGTCCTTGGTCAACTCAGGCTGCTGTCACAGAATACCATCGTCTGGGTGGCTTAAACAACAGACATTGATTTCTCAATTTTAGGGGCTGGACATCCACAATCAAAGCACCAGTAGATGCTGTGTCTGCTGATGTCCATGTGGCTTTCAGATGGTGGCCTTCTTACTGTGTCCTTGTATCCCTACATGGCACAGAGCAGAAGGACAGAACACAAGCTCTCATGTCTTTTCATAAGGGCACTAATCTCATTCTTGAGGGCTTCATCCTCATGACCTAATCACCTCTCAAAAGTCCTACCTCCTAATACCCTCACCTACTGGGGTTTATAATTTCGACAAATGAATTTTGGAGAAACATAAACAATAGGTTCCTAAATTTTGAATTCTGGCGCCTATTCTACCTTTTTTTTTTTTTGGAAACTTTTAATTAAATAAAAGTGAATACATGACCCAGTTTTCTTATTTGGAAAAAAGTGACGCAAGTTCAATTTGACTATCAAATGCAAATTGAAAGATAATTTTCATTTGGAAAGGTTCAATTGATAAATATATAACAACAATAAAAATGGCTAAAGTACATTTCCTAGGGTTGTCATAACACATTAACATAAACTGTGTGGCTTAAAAAAATTATTCTCACAGTTCCAGAGGTGGGAAGTTCAAAATCAAGGTGTCAGCAGGGTCGAGCTCTTTCTGAAAGCTCTAGAGGAGGATTATTTTTGCCTCTTCCAGTTTCTGGTGGCCCCAGGCATTCTTCAGCATTCCTTGGCTTGTGGCCGTATCACTTGAATCTGTGCCTTCATCTTCGCAGGGGGTTCTTCTCTATGTCTCTGTGTGGCCTCTCCTCTTCTTACGAAGACACTAATTATTGGGTTTAGGGCTCACCCTAAATTCAGGATGATTTCATCTGAAGGTCCTTAACTAATTACATCTGCAAATACCCTATTTTCAAATAAGGTCACATTCTGAGGTTCCAGAGGACTTTCTTAATTTTGGGGTGACACCGCTCAACTTAGTACAGCTGCTATTCATGTGAAGTTTCCGATGTGACAGACTCTTCCAAGTGATTTGCATATACTTTGCATAGACTGCCTCCCATAATTCCTGTTCTACTCCGTGACCAAGGCTTATTCCTCAATTTCTAGAACCCTGCATGGTGAGTTATTTTCAGCCCACCTGCCTGTATTATGAAGCTTCTCCCCTGCCCTCCTGACTCCTGCTGATGCTGCAGGAAATTTCACCAGTGCGATGGCTCACCCCTCACTTCCAGGTATCCTCTTGGTTAAACCCAACTCACACTGACTAAGAGTTCAACTTGGCACTTACTGTCTATGGAACAGGCATTTTCAAAGTTAAAAAGTTAGCTTTTGAAAGAACAGTGAAAGAAGTGTTCCCCTTGGGTAGGTAGATGAGACAAATAATGAACACAACCGAGAGCAGCAATATTTTATTTACAAATATTTTTAATTATGTAAATTTATATGAAATAAAACTTTTAAACAGGAGATTATGAATAATAATAGTTGTCATTTAATACTTTCGTTGCCTGGGGACAGTCCTAAAATTACTAAAGTAATGCTTGGCGGCTAGGTGACCAGAGACTCATGAGAAGTACTAATTTGATATCCCTTTAGAGGTAAAGGTGGAAGACTGATACCAAGTAGACAGGGTTTGGAGGCTTCCTCAAGCTGGGACTTAGTTTCCCTTGTAGATTTGGGATCCCTGCCCCCCCATTCCTTTCCTCCACAGACTCACTGTGGCTCCCCCTTCCCATGAGGTATGAATAAAGGTGTGAAGAAGGGATGTGTGATTTCCATTCAACCTGACATTCTGCTTAATGCATTCCCCTAGAGGGTCGCTTGTGATAGGACATGACCTACCCCAGATTCTGGTTCTGGGTCATGAGGCCAATGCTCTGTGACCTGGCTGCCCATGTCCTCTTCATCACTTAGCTAAAGGCCACCTGGATGCCAAATGGTGGATCCCAGTGGCCATCATAACATTTCTTGTCCCCATCCCTATAATTGATTGCTGGAATCAGGGAAATGGCAGGACTTCCTAGGACTAAAATGTTTAGGCCTTTGGGGTGTTGGAGGTGAATACATCAGGTTTTAAAAATTTATGGCATTTAGACACACACTGTCAGAGGGAAGAGGAATCTTACTTGTCTGACCTTTCCAGCCTATCAAATATTTTAAATACTTAAACATATTTTGTATGTGAGATGTATTCTGTATTCTTTTTTGAAATGAGCCAGATACATTTTATTTAATGCATTGATTGTTTCCCCTTAAAAATGAATCAGATAAATATCTCAAGGAGCATATATTGTCTTCAGGGAAATGCCACACAGTGTGATCAGCACCACCGCAGAGGCCCGGGTGAGGGGCCAGTATTCAGAAGAGGACACCTACCTGGAGCTCTTTCCTGGGGTCGTTTCTAATATTGTGACATGATGCTGGACTAGGAAGACCTGGAGTCTGGTTAATGGTGCAAATATTTAATAACTAGGATTTTAAGCACTTTGCTCCAAGCCTTCATTTCCTTATTGACAAAATGAGCACCTTAGCCCATTTTGGGTTGCAATCATAAAGTTCAAAAGACTGGGTGGCTTAGAAACAGCAGACAATTATTCCTCACTGTTTTGGGGGCTGGAAGTCTGAGATCAGGTTGTCAGCAGATCTGTCATCTGGGGAAGCCTTGCTTCCTGCTTCCCAGACAGTGCCTTCTCTTTGACTCCTCAGATGGCAGAGAGCAGAGCTGAAGAATAAGCTAACTCTTGCGTCTTTTCTAAGGGCACTAATCCAATTCTTGAGGGTCCCACCCTCACGACCTCACTACCTTCCAAAGGCCCCACCTCCTAATACAATCACAGTGGGAGTTAGGATTTCAACATATGAATTTTTGGGGAGCACAAACTTTCAGTCCATAGCAATGAGCAATTAGAACAATTTGAAAACCATTAATCTAACTTCCACAACATTTGAGAGTAGATGCTGGGCATCCAAATGTGTTTCTTGTGACATCGTTACCCCTAAAAATGTTCTCTTATTACAGTTTCAAATTCATGTTGAATAGGTCATTCCCAACGATATGTATAGATAGCACTGAACATTCATTTTTTGAGATTGAGTATTTATTTTTTGAAACATTCTATATATTTTGAATAATCTTCTTCTGAAATCAGTCAGTTAGAGAACATGTAGGCAGATAGTCTCAATGAAGAAGTGGATCAAAAATGCCATGTGTTTTCAGAAAACAAGTTTCTTTTGTTAAAACTTTGAGTTCCTATTTCTTTTTCTCCATGCTCTTTTGTGTATTTTGCTTGGTTCTTTCTTTGCTTTCAGCCACTGATCTATGCAAGTGACATTCTTTTTGATCATCAGGACTGCAAGTTATCCCAAAATAATGCCTTTTGTTTTAGAGGCGTTGCCACATCTACCAGGTCCAAAACAAATAGAAATTTAAATTTATTCCAAATACTTGTCTTCTACTACTTTCAGTGCAATACATTTTGCTGAATTTGGTTGGATTTCTTCCAAGTCTTCCTAAACATCAATATACTGAAAAATCATTCTTCCTTAAGTATAATATTATTACTTTATTAAAGTTCATTTTAATACATGTAATGACATCACAACTTGTAAAATGTTGACCTTAGGTCTTATATATACTTACGCACTTATATGCATTTATGTGTGTGTATAGACCACACACACACACAAATATACACATATATGTGATATATTAAACATTTTAAAATTCTTGACTCTGAGAAAGGCCTCTATTCTTTTAATAAGGAAATAACTTTCAATTTATGAAGTAAACTAAACCAGAATAAATGGTACAGACAACTATTTATGAAGAGCATTATGTTTAGGATTCTTCTCTTAAAATACTTAAATTTAAGCTTTGCTGTTTATTCTCGTGTGTTTCAAATATGTATTATCTGATGCTTACTAGCACGCACTTTATTTTATTTGTAAACTTACTTTCCACATAGGTCTTGTTTCAGAGAAGCATTTAAATATAGTCTGTTACTAAAGGCTGGCATAAAATAAGTATTGAAATAGAGGCAATTGCAGAAAGTTCTGGACTAGTTATAGTAATGTGAATGCTTTTTTATTGAAAATTTTTATGTTATCTAATATGCAGAAAACAAATGAACAAAAATAAAAATAACAATGGCCTGTAAAATGACATTCATTAGTATTTTGATGTATAAAAAGACTTCCCCTGTATCAAGATTATATTGATATGCAACTGGATTTTCTTCTAACACTTTTATTGTTTTATTTATAACATTTAGTTTTGTAATATGCACCTGTAGTCCCAGCTACTCAGAAGGATGAAAGCAGGGTAATCACTTGAGCTCATTAACTTTGAGACATGCCTGGGCCACACAGCGAAACCCCATCTTTAAAAAAAAAATACCCCAAACAAAAAACCTTTAAAAGTAATATATATGGGATTCCTTTTAATAAAATATTTTCTCTCAGTTGTTAGTTGGTTGGCTCAATATTTGTTGGTGGAGTAATGGCATTAAAAACGGATTGAAGTTGATCGAAGAGGGATCAGGGTTGCACAGAAAGGCTGGGAGGGATGGGGGAGCTCTTTTAGGGCATTTTGGCAGAAAGCAAAGGAGATGCGGGACCCAGTAGCCTAAGCAGCACCCCCTCTCTTTTGTTCATGTTTGTTTATTACCGATCTTTTTCTGATTTATATTTTTAAAGCTCTTATATCCTAGGAAGTTTTGTTTGTTGCCTCCTTCACTAAGCTTCCTACAATGTGGAAGAATTAAGGCCATATTTAGTGACATTAGAACACAGGAAGCAAATAAAACCTGCTTCTCATCCTCCAGAGATTCACAGCGCAGTGTGAGGAGGGGCATGGAGGGACGTAGATGTGGGTAATTAACATCGACAGAGAGATTACGCTGTGTGTGAAAATAGAATCTCTGAGTCCTGTGGGAGCGGAGGGGAGAGAGGAATTGGTTCTATCTGGGAAATCAATGGAGGCTTCTTAGAGGAATTGTTGTTTGATCTGAACTTTTGCCTTCAGAATCTAGACGGACCTTAATTAATGTTTAGTGAATGGATTAATGAATAGAGTGTTTTTTTGCTTTCTGCTTTTGGGTTGTGTGTGCGAAGGGGAGGTGAGCGGGCATCAAATGTAGGAGGAACGGCCCAGAAGCATGACAGTTGATAATTAGTCATTGTGTGTTAAGAGCTCATTAATTCTAATAAAGATATTGGAGATGGATCATACGTGAAAATAAAGCACCCCAAATGCATAATGCAACTCAATAGAAACAAACTGCTAAAGGCTATCGACACTAACATTATAGTACTATGCAAGTAAGGACAGGTTTTTTGGCCATATTTTTCCATAGCATCTAGGAAAAAATAGAAACGTGAAAATATTTGTGAGTACATGGGAAAATGATTTTATGTTAATAAAGCCATTAGGTAAAACGAGACACACCAGGAATGCCCTGGGTCTTATCTGCATATAGAGACTATGCTTTCATCTTAATGAAGGTATCTGGTCCATATTTTCCCTTTTCAAAAATCTCAGGAATTGTCTTTTTTTCAATTAATAACATCATAATATCCCTTCTCATCTTATAAGAAACAGAGATACACAGGACCAACAACAAAAAACATCCTTGCTCTTGATCTGTCCCTGATTATAAGTGATTTTAGCTGTATTTCATTTCACTGATTCTGTTTGCAAACAGGCTTTCACACTTGTTTTTAAGAAATAAACTCCTTTTCTCAAATAAAATTTCACTGGAAATCCCAATTTTTCTTTTTTTTTTCTTTTTCTTTTTTTTGAGATGGAGTCTCGCTCTGTCGCCCAGGCTGGAGTGCAGTGACACAATCTGGGGTCACTGCAAGCTCTGCCTCCCGGGTTCACGCCATTCTCCTGCCTCAGCCTCTCCGAGTAGCTGGGACTACAGGCGCCTGCCACCATGCCCGGCTAATTTTTTGTATTTTTAGTAGAGACGACGGCGTTGCACCATGGTCTCAATCTCCTGACCTCGTGATCCGCCCGCCTCAGCCTCCCAAAGTGCTGGGATTACCAGCGTGAGCCACCGCGCCCAGCCATGGAAATCCCAATTTTTCTAACAAATCTCAGCGATGCTCTGGTGGACCCGGTGTGGACATCTGGGGTCTGGGCCCTCTCGGCCTCCCCAACCACAAGCTTGTCCCATGGAGACCCCTAAAGCTTGTCTGTAAAACATGGGACTCCCTTAAGTAATCACTGGGCTGTGGTCAGCGAGGTTCCATCCTAGTCCCAAGTTTTGTTCTATGAAAGTCTCTGTCTGGGTTTCTTTTCATCCTCTAAAGGACACGTTTTTCTCTTCATTTTACGAGTTGATTTTCCTTTGTGCTGTTTCATCCTCTACTACTTGACCTCATGAAGGAAAGACGGAACCCAGAGAACTAGGTATTGCCCTTCATTGTGTCTGAGACCCCGAATAATAAATTAGAGCAGAAATGTATCATTGTCTTTCTTCTCTCCTCCTTCCCCTCCCTTGTGCTCCATGTTCCCCAGTCTCATCAAGCAATTCTACCTGAGAGGCCTTAAGATCTGATTTGAACACCACGGCCTTGATGACTTTATTAGCAGGCGGTTCAAGGACCACACTGGGAGGAAAGAAAAACAAAACACAACAGAAAATTAAAATAAAGTAAAATAATACCATTGCTCCAGAATTCATTGTATGGCAAACACAGAAAGCACAATATCAAGGCAAATTTTGATTTCATACTTAAAAGTTGCTCGCTTTTAGTTTTGGGCCAAATTCTGCTTGGTGTCAAAATGGGGAAACCAGAATTGTTTTCAAAAGATGAAATATTTCCCAATAATAATTTAAAACTTGGACATTTCACAGCTTTGTGATTGTTAGAGGAAAGTACTTGGGGGAGTGGCGCATTTTGGTTGAAGCCAACAGCTCCGGGTCCTACAGGACAGCGTGATGGGCCTGCTTAGCTTCCTGCTGTGCTTGGCGTGCTGCTGTGCACGGGGTTAGCTTTGGATTCATACAGATGCTGTCATCTCTTTCAACTGGAAATGAAGGAGCACTAACACCCCATCTCTTGATCAAACACGTGACCTCTGAGTGGAGAGGGCAGAAGGGCTCTCAGGAGTGAGTGACCGATGGGAGAGAGGCTATCCCCAAATTATTTGGCTGTCAAGCAGACCTTTACCCAACTGAGTGGCCCCTGCTCTGCCTCTGTGTCAGACAAACACTACATCCATCCCTTTACTCATTCTCTTGCTCCACTGCTCACTCACTCACCTACCACTTAGCATTTATTGAGCGCTCTCTCTGAGATCCAGAGATGAATTCCACCTGGGTCCCACTTCAGGGCCCTCCAAAACCACATGGAAGGAGGAGGACTACTTCATATAATGCGAAAGGTGCTTGGGAAGCGTTGGTTTGTTGGGGCTGCTGTAAGGAAGTACAGCCAGTGACAGAAATGTATTGTCTTACAGCTCTGGAGGCTGCAATTCTGAGATCAAGGAGTCAGCAGGGCTGGTTCCCTCTGAGGCTGAGAGAGAGTCAATTCCAGGTCTCTCCCAGCTTCTGGGAGTCTTTGGTGTTTGGTGATTTCATCTCTGCCTTCATCATCTCAGGGCATTCTCTCTGTGTGTCTGTCTGTGTCCAAATTTCTCCTATTTATAAAGACACCAGGCATATAGGATTAAGGACCCGTCCTACTCTACTATAATTTTGTTTTGTTTAATTACATCTGTGACAACCCTATTTCCAAATAAGGACAGAGGTACTAGGGATTAGTACTTAAGCATGTGAGTTTTTTGGTGGGGGTGGGGAATATAATTCCTATAAAAGGTAGCATTCTCTCCCAGTAATTTCTTCTTGAGGCATTAGATGTCACAAATAAACAATGTTAGTTTTCTCAGAGTTTAGTTACTCAAGAGTGCTGTCCATTTGTGGACATGTTTGCAAGAGGAGAAGGCAGCACCGATCTATGTCATAAATCAGCCTGCTGTCTGTCTGTCTCTCTCTCGACCTACCTCCCTTCCTCACCACATATTGAATAAATTATACTGAGTGATATGATATTTCAGTAGGCCTCCAGGAACTTTGTTCAGTGAAAAGAGGGTTTGATAAGTTGTTAAACAATAAATTAATCAAAGTGCTCAATGCTAAGGGACTTTCATGGGTATCTCTGTGGCCCATGAGAATGTTCTGGAAAGCCAGGGAGAGAAAAAGATGTTTCTCAAGTCATGAGCTGGAGTCTGAGACCTGAAATGGGAGTAGAAAATCCTCTGCCTTTTCATCCGGAAAGTTTGGAATAAGTTAGGTGTTTTGCAGTTCTAGGAGCATTTATTAAGGGGCATTTCCTAAGTGAGGCAGTCCTGTTCTGGGGATGCACAAGGAGGCACCATGCCTCTGGCCTTCAAAGCTGTCACGGCTGGACTTGTTTTTAAAATTCGAGAGCTTTAAATCAAGTTCAGAAATCATTGCCAAAATTTTCTGTGTCCTCTTTACGCATCCCAAAACTGTATTTCTGTGTCAGCCGTTATATTATGTCCTTACAAAAATTAATAAGACCAAATCTTCACCCTGAATTAGATTAGAATCTACCGGGACCGGGTGCAGTGGCTCACGCCTGTAATCCCTGCACTTTGGGAGGCCAAGGCGGGCGGATCACGAGGTCAGGAGATCGAGACCATCCTGGCTAACATGGTGAAACCCTGTCTCTACTAAAAATAAAAAAATAAAAATTAGCCAGGCGTGGTGGTGGGCGCCTGTAGTCCCAGCTACTAGGGAGGCTGAGGCAGGAGAATGGCGTGAACCCGGGAGGCGGAGCTTGCAGTGAGCCGAGATGGCGCCACTGCACTCCAGCCTGGGGGACACAGCGAGACTCCGTCTCAAAAAAAAAAAAAAAAAAAGACTCTACCGGTCAGCTTTGGTTTTCAAAATCCATTGGTAGAGTATTGGAAAACCTTTGAATCTTAGATGGTTTCACATCACCTCTGTAATGACCTGACCTCTAAATATAAGGTCATATTCTGAGGTTCTTGGGGTTAGGACTTCAACATAGGAATTTAGGGGGTCACAACTCAACCCTTAACAGTGTCCCAGTCGGCATCACAGGAAATCAGTTTCCGCTTCTTCTCCAACCATAAAATCGAACATGCTGATGCCCACTTTCATTGTTTTTCGCACATTTGCTGGCTGAATGTTGGACACTTACGTTTATTAAAGGCATGAGGTTCACCATTCAGAGATGTGATGTAAAGTAACGTCTCAGGCTCAACACTGCACTGCAGTGGGTGTCCTTGTAGGGGCTTCTTTATTTGCCTTGAGAATTGGCCACAGCACTTACCTCCAGCTTCTTGCCTATAAATACTTCTCAACCAAGTAGGTGTTTTTTTCTCCCAAATCATGATCCATGTTGACCTTGCAAGGAGACAAAGTCCTGCTTTAAATACTTTCAGGTGTGGTTGGACCTAGACATCTCTCACTATCTTTGAACCAGTTGGTCACCTTGCTCCATTTAGGTGTATCTGAGGTGCCGCGTCTCTCTACAGTCTCACAACCACCAACCTTTAGCATGTTATGTATTTATCTGCCTGTCATTCCCACCTGACTTTGAGCTTCTCAAGGGCAAGGATTGGCTCTTATCCATCCTGTCTCCTCTGCACGTAGCACAGTGCTTGCTACATATCTGATACTCAACTAATAATGTACATTAAGAAATGAGATGAATATATTTTTGAAAAATGTGCTTGCATATCTACAGTTAGTTGAGTCTCTACAGTAGGAATGATGCTGATAATTTATTTTTTAACTTCGACAAACACTGTGACTCTTACATCCTGATTGGTAAAGGCTGAATGAAAGTTAAGGAAACTAAGGCTTATTGAGATACAATGTGGCAGGCATTTGCCAGGATCTGAACACACGCCATCACATTTAAACCACACCCTAACTCTGTTTGCATTTTTGTCTGACATTATGGTTGAGGATATAAGTCTAGGGAAATTATTTGCTCAAGTTATTATATGTTATAATAAGGAGAAAATGAACATTTTGTTTTTAGTGCTTATTCACATGAAGCACTGTTCTAAGACTTTAAATATGTATTATCTTATTTAATTCTCCCCTACACCTTTAAGATAGAGAGTGTCATTGTATCCATTTTAAGAATGAGGATACTTAGACACAGGGAATGTAAGTAAATATGCAGATCAGATAGGGAGCAGGTGGCCAGCCAGCATGAAAACCTAGTGACTTGGTATCAAAGGTTACAGTCTTAACTGTGACCACCTCTTGGGGAACCAAGTCAGACCCAGGTATGTCTATCAGAAAAGTCCATCCTCTTGCCCCAAGCTGGAACCCCCTATTTTTCTTATTCACTACTAGATGATACCACGTAAGTTTAGAGATTACAGAGGTAATATTGGGAGAAATCATTACAACCGCCCATGATTTGATGTCATTCTGTACTTTATTTCTAAATCAGAGGATAATTGATAATAGATTAAATTAAAATAAGTAATATAGAAGATTATTTTGGGGTAATTACCTTACATAAAATTATTGAGTAACATAATAGATTACTTTTTAAAAATATATCACTCTATATCATTGCCCTGGATAGCAAGCAAGATACCTGCTCTTCAAATGTAAAGAATGTTTTTCAAGGCAGAGCTCAAGAAATATGTTCATAAAAATGAACACTTGGTGATAAATGTCATCATCCTGCAGAGTGAAGCAAGAGTTCTGGGGACATGCCTGTGGAGTCTCCAGGTCCACATCAAGGCGGGGTACACACATGGATCACCCCAAGTCTACCCTTTGTGCAGGAAGACTCCCTTCAGCTACCCTGGAGATGTGCACATTTTCTAGTCGAATTTCCTATTTTTCCCTTTCTTACATACAAGAGGAAGTAAAACCTTGACTTGCTTCTGAACTGTCACAAATGACATTTACTTTTTTCCCTGTGGAAACTACTTGAAATAATTAATATCCAAGAATATAATCTTTATGCAACTACTTTACTCCTAGAGAAATTCCAAGGTTAGAAAATGTCAAAAGGAATCTGAATTGATTTTGCCACCTGGGGTCAAATTTTCTATTCTAGTTATGAAAGTCAATTTTCATAAAAAAATTTCACATACTCTAACCTGGGAATATCCTAATTTCAATGAATAAAAAACATATGGCTGCCTGTTTAAATTTTGACTTTTAATGCAGAATGGTGGTATTTAGCTTTTACCTTCTATTTTATAAAATTCTGTTATTCCATAGGAATAAAGTAGATGCAGATTTATCAAGTAAATTTTAAAATATGTGGCCATTTTAAAATGAGATCATACTTGCAGCACATCAGGTATTAGTAACAGAAGATTTATTTAAAAGAAAATCAAATGGATTTCCTTTCAGGGAAACCACTTGAAGAAGCTAGAATATTGAGAGTGATGACATGTTCCAATCACCTAAATAGGTTTTGAAGCTTCATTTTCAAACCTAGATGGAGGAAGGAAGAGATAGAAAAACAGAGGGTTAGATGGAAGGATGGATGGATGGATGGATGGGTGGATGGATGGATAGATGGGTGGGTGGGTGGGTGGATGGATGGATGGATGAATGGATGGATGGATGGATGGACAGATGGATGAATGGATGGATGGATGGATGGACAGATGGATGGAGGGTTGGATGGATGGATGGATGGATGGACAGACAGGTGGATGGATGGTTGGATGGATGGATGGATGGATGGATGAATGGATGGATGAATGGATGGATGGATGGACAGATGGATGGATGGATGGCTGGTTGGATGGATGGATGGATGGATGGACGGACGGATGGATGGACGATGGGTGGATGGATGGATAGATGTTTGGATGGGGAAATAGATAGGTGGATTCATTTCCTTTAACAATGCTTATATGTTGGTTTTGTGCATCAGATCTTGAATTAGGAAATCAGAGAAAGAAACAATTTTCACATATATCCTGGAATATGCAAAATATTTTGTACATATATAGAGCAATGAAAAGGAAATTATTCTTACATGCATTCACACATGCCTGGATTCATCACACACATTGGCAGGAGGTAAGGATAGTTTTGATTATTTTTAAGCCAAGACAATGAGGTAGCGTTTATTCTCTTTACAGTATCCTGAAACAATCTTAGGACCTACAGAATCCCTTTTCACTCAGATTCCCTGCTTTTGCTGACTAACTGCAAGTGAAACATTTTTCCATTGAACTTGTAAAGTTAATTCAATTAAGTGACTTTATTTTAACCCACGTCTGTCCAGGCTTCGGATGACTGTGCCATCCCTCACTGAGGCTGTCACGGTGGTCCCTGGGGCCCTGTGAAATGCCCAAAAGCACATATGCGCACATGCGCGTGCGTGTGCACACACACACACACACACACACACACACACACACACACACAGAGCCTTGTGGCTGTTTTGAAGCACCACCCCCGCCAAAGTCCTACCCAGGGCCATTCCATTTGCAGGTTTCTCTAACCCCAAGTTCTCTCTTCTCCAGGTCACCCCATGCTCTCTCTCCCCCAGGTTACCCCAGGCTCTCTTGCTCTTTCCTTTGAGTCTCTGTACTTATGTCCCCTCATCAGGATGCCCTTGGCCATCTTATATCAGCAGCATGCCCCCATCACCCATGATCTTCTTTCCCTGCTTGCTTTCTTGTTCCGGACCACTGAGCTAAAGCCCTCGGCAAGAACTGTCTGAACACTACATATAAATCATGACCTGCATGAGACATTTCTGACCACCTTTCCTTTATGTTTCCCTATAGCTTTCATTACCGCTGCACATACCCCATGCTTGCTTATTTATGTGTTGTTTTTTGCTTGCCTTCCATGTGTCTAGAACATTCATGTTGTCTGCTCATTCAGTGAGGCATCTCAGACACCTAGACTTGAAGTGATTCTGTCACAAAATAGTTCAGGGAAATCAATCTGCAAGGAGGAAAAAGATGGATCTTTTATTTATTTTTTTAACTTGACGTCAGCAACTGTCTTATCTGATATTTATTAGTATTTCAGATTCATTGTTCTTTTTTTGTTTTCCCCAGTGGTTTGAATTTTAAAGGAATTTCTTTGTATAAAGTATTTTAAGCACCCTCTTTTATATAAAGTATTAAATCATAACATTGATTTAAAGCCATTTAATTTGTATGACCTTTTAAGCAGCCGTGAGAGCATAAAAGAAGAGTGTATCAAAGCAAAAAGTAAGAACTCTTGAGTCTTTTGAAAATATTTACTTTGAACAGATTGCAGCTCCTTAAATGATGAGGCTTTGGAATCTGGGAGGTGGTCAGACCCCAGCTCTGCCTACTTGAGGCCACCCACATGTCGCTGGACCCACTGTGTGTCCTCCCCAAGCCCAGCACCTCATCTTCAAAGTGACACCCACAATAGACAGCTGTGCAGAGCATTGAGTGGGATGCTGGATGCAGAACCTGCCAAATATCACTGGTTGCTGATTTATCAGTTTAATTGAATTTCTGCTGCAAAAGAAGGAAAGGAATGGGGGCAAGACCTGCATTTTCCATGACAAGATTTGTGTTTTGATGGCAGGGAATGTGCTGCATGCCACCCACCTGTGATGCAACCACTCAGGAATGGGGACCAAACCTTTTTGCCCATCTCTCCTCCTTCCTTAAGGCTGAGCTGAGAGCTCTGGGTTGGAATTTCCTGTTGGAATCTGCTCTGTTCTTCCTTCACCCTTGCCCTGAGCAAGCTCACTGAGCAGCTGCCTCTCTGAGCCGGGAGCTGGGCCCAGTGGTGGAAATACTGACGTGGTCCCTGCCCATCAGTCTGCAGTGCAGAGGGGAAACACACCCAAGGCTACTGTGGGACCCTGGGGTGTGCTGGGTGCTGGAGAAGGACCGTGCAGGAGCTTGGGCATGTGGCTATAAGAAAGGACAGGTAAACGGAGACAGGGGTGAATGAAGAATGAGACAGGTGTGGTGGCTGGAACGGTGTACCCAGCAGAGGGAACCTGATCCCAGAGGGTGCATAATGCGCCTGAGACCGGCAGCAGCCTTGGGGAGAGGGAGGCAGATTCCAGGCAAAAGGCAAGCTGCAGGTGCCAGCAGGAACTGTAAACCACCATGTCCTGCAAGCCTTGGTGGTTTTGGCTCTGCTGGTGTTGACGAGACGCCAAGAAGGAGATTGTAGCTGGAGAGAGACAATCACGTTTTCAGTGTAAACTCTTATTCTGCCTGAGGTGTGGAAAATAGTCGTGGGAACGAGGCTGACCAACACCAGAAGCAGGGCACTCCTTGTACATAGTTCAGTCGAGGGGAGTCTAGGGAAGCCTGAATGGATGGTTGGATGGATGGATGGATGGATGGATGGATGGATGGATGGATGGTTGAATGGATGGATGGATGGATGGATGGATGGATGGATGGACAGGCAGGGCTGAGAGATGTTATGGCAAAGAGGCATGTAGCTTTGATGGACACCACGGATGTGGACAGAGTGAAGAAAACAGGGAGGATGTTGTGACTCCCTTATCGAGCGATGGGGTGGGTGGTGGAAACTGTGGCTCTAGGAGGGGCCTGAGGAAATGTGGGTTTAGGGTGGAGAAAGGGTGGTTTGGTATTCCATAGGTGGATTCTGAAGTGTCCTGGGATTTCCAAGTGAGAGGAAAACTGTCTCTATAGATGAGAAAAAATATTTTCTTAGAGCATTTTAATGTCAAATAGAACTTATTTTAGGTTATTTGTCATTTTAAATTAGCCAAGCACTTGAGTCTTTCTATAGGGTGGATATGCAATTGCTCAGAATTGTCTTATCATGACACAGAATGGGATAGAGCATTTACTTTCAGTGTAAACTCAGTTCAAGACACCACCTGTTATCAGAGCTCCCAAAAGACAACTTGTAGACAACCAGTCAACTGAAGGGCTGAAAATTATTTTTTGTGAATATTTAAAAACTTTTTTTAACCTGTAGTTTTGTTTATCAACAAAAGTCAAATTGAGAAAAGAGAGCTTATCAAATCTGTATGTGACTTAAACAATAAATGGAGTTTCAGTTCCTGGGTAAGAAAATTATTCTAAAAAGAAAACCAAATCAGGAGGAGTCAATGGTGTTTCTTTGTACTGAGTTTGTGTCTGTCGTACAATGACCATGGAATGGTGCACTTGGTTTGGACAAGTCACTTCTGGGGGCAGTGTGGAGCTACAGCAGAGAGCAACTGAGATGTGAGCCCAGGGCAATTGTATAAGGTGTTCAGTTCTTATTATTTCATCATGTTAAGGCATCTCTTGAAATAAACAGCACCCTTAGAGTTAAAGCAATATATCTGTGACATAGAAATTGTTTCTCCAAAGTATTGCTGGGGTCAATGGGAAATAAGCAACGACAAGCCTGTTCCCATAAACTTTATTGCCTCCTGTAACTGACTTTCTAAGTAAATAAAGGTTCTTAGTTTTGCTTTTCTTGCAGAAAGGAAAGAAAGAGGGATACCCGAGGGATAGATAGCCAAGAGTTATGCTAATTCTCTGATATTTTATAATAAAAGAGATTTCATCTAAAAAGAAAAGGAGGTTCTGAAGGTGGTTATGTACATTCTTCCAAACTCAAAGTCACGTCTGGAACATTCTTATATGGAAAGAGCTAAAAATACTTAAAAATTTACCTTGAACATTTCTCATCCAATCATATTATGGTCCAGGCAGGTGCTGATATGAGGGACATGATGGTGCAATATCCTTTGACAAGCAGAAGGGACTGTGAGTCTCTGAGGATGGGATGCAGACCTTTGATCTGCTCCATACCAACTATGAAGGAGGTCCATGTGCTTTTGAAACACATTGTAAGGATCCAAGACTTTGCAGTTAAGGTTGCTCCTAATAAACACAAGCTAATAGTGCAAATATGATTCCTGTGCAAAGGTAAAACTATTTAACGGCCACTAAGAAACAGCACCCTGTTTTGTAATAGTAACATGTAAAACCAATGGCAGATGCATGCCAGCGCCTCTTAGCACTGGAGAGCACAGTGATCACTGCCTTACTGGAGAAACTTCCCAGAGGGGAGTGCCATGGAATGCTTTGAGGAAGAGGAGGGGCTAAAAATGGAAAGCCTAGGCCAGAAGCAGTGGCTTATGTCTGTAATTTTGGGAGGCTGAGGAGGGCGGATCACGAGGTCAGGAGATCGAGACCATCCTGGCTAATACAGTGAAATCCCATCTCTACTAAAAATACAAAAAAATTAGCCGGGGGTGGTGGCACGCGCCTGTAGTCCCAGCTACTCAGGAGGCTGAGGCAGGAGAATTGATTGAACCCAGGAGGCAGAGGTTGCAGTGAGCCGAGATTGCACCACTGCACTCCAGCCTGGGCGACAGAGTGAGACTCCATCTCAAAAAAAAAAAAAAAAAAAAAAAGTGGAAAGCCTGGACATTGCCAAAGACAAAATGTGTCTTTCATCCTGTCCATGAGGAGGCTCTGACTGCTGCTCACCTCGCTGGCTGCTGCTCTGTCTTTTATCCTCTAGGATTCTGAAAGCAGAGACAATGACTTAGCAGGTGAGTTACTGAGGCCAACTGAGCAAAAACAAAGGACAGATGGAGTACCTGGCAGTGGAGGAGTAGGGACGTATAAAGCCATCCCTCAAGGCTTGTGACCTTAAGGAATAGACCAGTTAGTTAGAAAGACAAGATGCACTTGTACAAAATTTACCAACAGTATGAGACTATGGTGCTAGCAAATGTCACAGACATGACGATTGAAGTAGAAGAAATTCTTGGCTCAAGGAAGAGCAATATCCAGTATTTACTGGAAGGAATATTTTAAATTAGTGCTGTTCTAGAAAATTCAGGGCAATGGCTATGCATTATTCTATTTATAAAACATTTCTACACACTCTATGTATAATAATGTATAACAAAATAACAGGCCAGTAATTACTATAATGGAGTATAATATAGTATATTATGAGAACTGGAGGCCAAGTTCTCAGAGGAAGCCACTTTATTCCTTAAGTTAATATGATGAATCTCGCTTTGTGTCTCTTATGCCTTATTTGAGCCACACAGAGGAGGAAAGAGGAGAATCCCAACACATAGTAGATTCTTGAATTTCACCATTAAATATGGGTCAGGACTGTGGCTATGGCTGTGCTTATGTCATGGAGAGCTTTGTGAAATTAAATCAATGATGATTTATGAAGTCATCATCAGAACATGGTAGAAATACTATGGTTTTGGGCACTGAACCACCCCAGTGTTGAAAGGTTTGCTTTTTGGCTTTGAGGTTTAAAAAGGAGCTGTGATATTTTGAGACACAGAGATGATGGATGGCAGCCAGACCAGGTTACCTTACATGGCAGAACTCCTGGAGATGACTAGTGGCATGATTAGAGCATCCGCTCCTGTTTCCACAGCTATGAGGCGGGTGGTCTTCAGATAAAAGGAGAGCCGCATACAGGGTTTCTGTCTCAGGATTTCACCCACGGTTCTTCCTCCAGAGGCAAGGGTGAGCTTCATGTTTCCTTTGCACCAGTAGCAATGACAGCAGAAACAGGCACTGCAATATAATTATACTGGATTTATTCCAGGGTGTATCTGTTATTTATTACTGTATAACAAACTACTTCAAAACTTAGTGGCTTAGAACAATGGCTATTTGTCTAGTTCATGATTGTGTGAACTGGCAATTTAGGCTGAGCTCAGTTGGGTGGTTCTTCTGCTGTCAGCTAGGTTCAGTCATGAGTTTATGAGCAGCTGCCTGTCAGAGAGGTGGCTCTTCTCCTGGGGTTGGTTGCCAGCTATGTGTTAGGAAGATAAGGAGAACTGGATCATTGTTTCCTGTTGTCCAGCAGGCAACCCTAGACTACCTCACATGGTAGCTCAGTAGGTTTCAGAGAGAGAGTGTGCAGAAGCTTAGACTCAGTGCTGGTACACAGCAACTTCTTTCACATTCTGTGGGCCAATGTGAAATACAAAGATGCCCCATGTGGCTAGAGTGGAGAAGAAGACTATGGGACTTGATAGGAGGAGTTGTGAAGATCATTGTAAAGGCTATGATACTTGGAGACATGGAGGATTATGGCTATTTTTGGCATCTACCATACATGGGGTAGATTTTGTCTGAAGGCAGTGTGGCTGGAAGCATTTAGGAAGTGAGAGCTTCACCTGTATGTCCATATAGGGACACTATCAGGAATAGGAAGGTCAGAGAAAAATGGAGCTTAACAGAGCAAATGCCCTAAAGAGACACAGAGGCCAGAGCCACCTGCTTGGAAAGATCAGAGGGATGGAACAGCAGGGCAGGGACTTTAAGCCACACCAGGCAGTGCAAATGCTGCTAACTTTGCAGGGGCTCAGGAACACAGGCCAGGGAAGCACCTTGACCTCCTGGCTCCAAAGCTCTGAGCATCATTCTTAGAAATAGCTCCCCTGCCAGCATATTTTGTACCACTGAGAAAGTGACTCAGGATCAAATCCAGAGCTCTGTTTTTTTTTTCTTAATTAACTAATTGATTTTGACAAATAAAAGTGCTCTGTATTTAAATTATATAACACAATGTTTTGATATATGTATATACTGTGAACTGAGTGCCACAATCAAGCTAACTAATGTATTCAGGCCTCTGTTGAAGTGCCCTAATGGTTCTCTTCAAACTGCTGCAAAAATCTGATAAGCAAAGTTCCTGGCCAGCCCGAAGTTACCTCGAGGGCTCTCATTATCTCCCTGAATCCCACCCCCCGGCCTCACCTACCATGCCATCTCTCACCCCATCCTCTTTTGGCAGATGTCCTTGTCTTCTACACACCTGAAAAGGGGAAGGCATCCAGTTTCATATTCTCATTGCAGCACCTGTGTCAGTTAAGGCTTGGATGGAGCCCTCTGAGTAGCCTTCACCCCCTTCTCCCTGAATAAGCCAAATAAAAGTGGGTTTCATTTGAGGGAGTGACATGTCCCTGAAAGGCTTGGCCTTGTGGTAAGTCACAAACAAGGCATGAACAATATTCCCACCTTCTCCTCTCTGCTAAGTACTTGCCCTGAAAAAAACTAAGTTCTGCAAAGTGCTCAGAGGGTTTAGGTGTGAACCACCCAGCTGGAGGCAGAGTTATAGCTCTGCCTCTGGGGGCCAGCTCCAGCTGGGAGGTTGATGGGAGCCTCTGACGCTGGGCTCCCCGAGAAGCAAGATCCTAGACAAGAATTTGAGTGTAAGGAACTTCTTTCAGAGGCAGGCCCAGAAAGTATCCTAGGAAATTGGGGAACGGACATGGGAAAGAAAAGAAGTCAGTAGAGAGGGTGTTGTCCAGCAGTTTATTGGTGTGGGAAACTGGGGTTCAGTCCCACCTGGGGCCCCCGAGAGATTTGGTACAGTACACTTCAAATGATCATGTCTGAGATACCAGGAGCCCACCTTATCTATGGCTGAGGTCTGTTCATGCTCTGTCTTGTTTGCTGGCCAAGAGAAGGTTCTCAGATGGAAGGCCACAGGGGTTTTCAGTAGGAGCCCTCTTGGCTGAGACTGAAATGAGGGTACCTCAAAACATTAAGTGAATTTTCTGAGACCATATAGCTGGGAGCTGAGTCTGTCTAATTTTAAAGTCCTTGTTCTTTAACAGGAGAAAAGAGAAAATGGTGACAAATAAGTAGTTTCTTGGATCCAAGACATTGAGAGTGGCTATTTCCTCCTTGCACAGAAGGCTTCTTGATGGAAACCAAATTACTCTGAAAAGTTACTAGTTTTAATATCTTAGCAAATCATTTGATACATTCACGGAAGTGTTTATCAGCAATGTATAATTGTTCTTCTCACTTAAAGAATGTTTGTTTCATGACATTGGAGATCTGTAACACAAAGACCCACTTTGTATGATGAACCCCCGTGGTGTAGCTGCTTACAGGGCCCTCACACACACTCTTTTGGTCCCTGACCACATCTGTTTTAACCTGGTTCTGACTATACCACTGTCCACTGCTAGACAGAAAAGAGGAAGACATGCCTCATTCTCCAAAAACTGGAGGAATGGCATCATTTTCAAGTTTAGTTTTTGTTGTTTCCAAGTATATTTATGTAATGCTGTATTATATGTATATACTTGCCATGAATTAAATACGTCACAAATAAAATCCACTTTTGGGACTCAACAGTATGTAAAAACACAAGTAGTATGAACAGATTTATTTATAAAGTTATGATGAGCCTTTCTGAAATCTTTCTAGCATATCACTGGTGTAAATGTCATGGGAATTGAAAATAATGTATTTGAATTTCACAGTCTTCTGTGAATGGATTTTTTTTTTTTTTTTTTTTTTGAGACTGAGTCTCACTCTGTTGCCCAGGCTGGAATGCAGTGGCATGACCTTGGCTCACTGCAACCTCCACCTCCCGGGTTCAAGCAATTCTCCTGCCTCAGTCTCCTGAGTAGCTGGGATTATAGGTGCATGCCACCACGCCTGGCTAATTTTTGTATTTTTTAGTAGAGACAGGGTTTCACCATGTTGGTCAGGCTTGTCTTGAACTCCTGACCTCATGATCCGCCCACCTCGTCCTCCCAAAATGCTGGGATTACAGCTATGAGCCACCACACCTGGCCCTGTGAATTTTTTAATACTGCATTTCCCAAAAAGAATTTGTCTTTCTCTACTTTTTAAAAAAAGTTTTCCCTGAGTCTATTATAAAGTCATTCTTGACCAGAAAACTCAAGCAAAAAAAGAATGAATTAGTTGACTTGTCCAGATTCTATGTTTAGCAGACATGTGTACCAAGAGTTTGTATTGATTGTTAATACATGATAACACAGAAAGCGCTGAAAAATCTTAACTCTATGTAAAGTGTTTATATATGTATATAAGCACTTAAGATTTTATGTAATATAACTTTTTCTATTCAACCTTTTAAGGAATATCTAATATTTTAAATTACTTTATCAAGCAAAGAAAAAGGACAAGTTTAAAAATAAAAACATAGAAAAGGAAAAAAAAGAGAATTATCCTGTGGTGTTCTCTCATTAACGAAAAATAAAGGTTTCGGAAAATCTGTTAATTTTCCAAATTTTAGATTTTTATGTGCTATTAGATTGGAAAATGACAGATTAAAATTTTGAAAAATTTGTTCATGAAAATTCTAACTTTAAGTTGCTCATGATCTAAATTTTCTTAGCTCTCATGAGATCTGGTTGTTTAAAATAAATAAATAAATAAATTTTCTTAAGGACCCAACTGCCACTAAGATTGTTTAAATGGTAGCTACTGGCATTTTTTGTTATAAGCCGAATTTCTTTCATCAAATCAAGCTCACACATTCACTCAAGTTCTTAAGATACTGTTGAAATGGGAAAAGTCCCTTTGTCCCCCTCTCAGGGTGTGTGATGGGGGTGTGGCTCGTGTTTTCGGTGCCTCACTGCTCAAACTTTCAGGAGAGGGCATACAGACAGGCAGGCTGTGGTGACTCCGACCCCATGGCAGCGTCTAGAGGTGAATGTTTACAGCTCCTGAGGCCCCAGTGTGTGTGTGTGTGTGTGTTTGTGTGTTACTGTGTGCTCTATTGGTTTAGCATGTGCAGGTGGCTTGTGCGTATCAGATCAATTAGACTCCTGCCTTATCACAAAGACAGAGGGCTTTTCTGTATCCCAGGATTTCTTGCTTTGCTGTACCAGAAGAATCAGATCACACCTGGGCTTGGAGAATGAGTGCAAGGTTTTGTTGAGTGGAAGAAGCTCTCAGCAGATGGGGGAGCCAGAAGGGAGATGGAGTGGTAAGGTGGTTTTCCCCTGGAGTTGGGCCGCTCAGCCACCAGGGCTCTCCTCCCTCTGCCTCCCCGAAACTCTGCGGCATTCACCGGTCAATGGCCTGCTGGCCTGCTGGCTTCTGTCGGTGTGCTCTTAGGCCGGTGCATTCCTCCCGAAGTCCAGCCACTTGTGTCTTTTTCCACTGATGTGTTCCTCTCAACATCCAGCTGCTTGTGTGCGTGCCCGCTAGAGTCTCGGGGTTTTTATAGGCACAGGATGGGGGCATGGCAGGCCAGGGTGGTCTTGGGAATTGCAATATTTGGGCACAAAAACAGAAATGTCTGCCTTCACCTAGGTCCGTGGGCACAGGCCTGGGAGTAGAGCCCTAGTCAGGGACCACAACCTCCTCTACCCAACACTTCCCTGCCCGCTTCTGTATCACTATTCCTTCATTAATTAGAAAGTATGCATTTTTTAAAATTATGAAGTGTCTAGGTGTCTGCCAGCATTACTCAATAGGAAACTCCAATAGAGGAGTAAAGTTATTTCTCCAAGGTCAACAAAATTAATAAATACAAAGCCTTCATCACCAGAGCCGTGGTGAAGAGCTCTTTGCACTATGTGTAAGCGAAACATGAAATCAACAATTTATTTACCTTCAGTGTAAATTGTTCATTGAATGTCATTATGTTGTCGATTATTGATTCCTACCGCATGTGACAATTACATGTGCTTCTGCCTTCCCTGCCCTGAGTACCAGGCTGCTTTCAACTCTGGGCAGCAAGGTGGCAAGATAGAGTTGATGGAGTTGCGAATGGAAACAGGAAGATTTGGCATCTGAATCTCGAAAACTCTTGACGAAAATTCTCTTTAGATACAGAGATTTGATAACTTCTTAAAGCGAAGTTTGTTTTGCTCATGACGATCACACCTATCAGCTGATCAATTCTGTTTCCCTTTCAAGGAAAAAAATATGTATCCTGCATCAGCAAGGATTCATGAACTAAAGGACTCACAGAGTAGAACTCTCCACTTTTGAAACTGAGGAGCCAAGGCCCAAAGAGAAAACGTGACCTAGATTTAGTCATTATTTATTGTTTTAAAGGGGGGACAATCAAATTAATGAAGGCAGTTAAAAATACATTGCATTCTTATTAAATACATTTTGTAGGATTTATGCCTGATGATCATGAACATCAAATCTGACTTTCCTGTTGAGCAAAATGAACTATAATCAAGTGGAACGAATTGCTTTGCTATTATCCCTTGTTGTGGATTTGTGTCAGCACATGGTAACTGAGCTGAAATGGGCTTTGTTTGCTTAGCTCTTCTCCTAAGGAGAACAACACCATTTACTCTGAGTTTGTACTGGGTTTCTGTCTACTAACTGCTTATATTGGCCTTACTTTAATAAAGATTTCTATCTCACTCCTTAATACGGCACATGCCAATGGGAAACACATACCTTATGCCTAGCTTTGTTCTATAGCAGAGTTTCTCAACCTCAACCCATTGACATTTTGGGCAAAATAATTCTTTTTCTCGGGGAGGGAGTGGCGAACTGTCCTATGCATTTTTAAATATATTTTTTAAAAAGTTTAATTGACACACAATTATTGTACCTATTTATGGGGCACAACGTAATGTTTTGAAACGTGTATACGTTGTTTAATGATCAAATCAGGATAATTAGCATATCCATCACCTCAGACATTTATCATTTCTTTCTGGGGAACATACAAAATCCTCTATGACAGCTATTTTGAGATGTGCGTACCTTGTTGTTGACTGTAGTTGCCAGACTGTGCAACAGAACGCCAGCACTTCTCCTTTCTCATCGTTAACTTTGTACCCATTGACCCTCCACTCCCCATCTCCCTATTCCTACTCCTTACCCCATTCTATTCACTATTTTTATAAGATTGACTTTAGATTTCACATATGAGTGAAAACGTGGTATTTGAGGGGTTAATATTCAGAATACATAAGGAACTCAAACAGGTCAACAGCAAAAAGACAGCAAAAAAAATTAAAAAGAAGATATACAAATGGACAACAGGTATATGAAAACATTCTCAGCATCACTAATCATCAGATAAATGCAAATCCAAACCACAATGAGGTATCACCTCACTTCAGTTAGAATGGCTATTATCCAAAAGACATAATAAGATAACAAGGGTTGCTGAGGATGTGGAGAAAGGAAACCCTTACACACTGTGGGTGGGAATAAAAATTAGTAAAGCCATTACGGAAAAAAGTATAGCGGTTTCTCAAAAAACTAAAAGTGGACCTACCATATGATCCAGTACTTTCACTCCTGAGTGTACATCCAAAGGAAATGTCCTGTGTATTTTAAGATGTTTAGCATTATCCCTGGCCTCCACCCACTAGATGTCAGTACCACCCACCCTCTCACTCCCAGTTGTGACAACAAAGAATGTCTCCAGGCATTACCAAATGTCATCAGAAGGTCAAAAATGACCCCGGTTGAGAAACACTGTTCTACATACAGTAGGGATTCTTGAATTATTGTAAAACACAGAAAGAGTGCTTTTAAGTTGTTTGAAATTTTATTTTATTAGAATCTATGAAAGTATTTTTAAATTTTTAGCAATACATAATATTTGTACATACTTACAGGGTACATGTGATATTTTTAAGCAAACAAGCAAAGGCCATTTAAGCTCAATTCTCATGTGCTAACTCAAATACAATGATTTGCAATTCCTTATATACACACTACATCACACTACATATATTTTCTATTTATTTATTTATTTTTAGAGAGAGAGAGTCTTGTTCTGTCACCCAGGCTGGAGTGCAGTGGCACAATCTCGGCTCACTGCAACCTCCACCTTCCAGGTTCAAGCGATTCTCCTGCCTCAGCCTCCTGAGTAGCTGGGACTACAGGCACACACCACCATGCCCGGCTAATTTTTTTATTTTTAATAGAGATGGGGTTTCACCATGTTGGCCAGGCTGGTCTCGAACTCCTGATCTCGTGATCTGCCCGCCTCGGCCTCCCAAAGTGCTGGGATTACAGGTGTGAGCCACCGTGCCCGGCCACACACTACATAACTTTTCATCCATTCTCACGTTAGTGTTTGTGTTTTATTTCCTCCTCAAGAATCTATAAAATATAAAAATATTTAATGCATTTAAATTGTTGACAGCAATCTTTGATTTTGAAATACTTTCATGAAAAGCATATTTTCTGGAAGATAATAGCATTGCATTGAATCCTGCTCCTCTTAACTGACTTGCTATAATTATTGCAGAGAATTATTTTCTCTTGAAGAAAGATGGTATTTAAAGTAAGGTATAACTACTGACCTGTGTGCCTCTAGAATGAGAGCAAGTAAGTATACCACCAAAATTCAACTGGAAGTTTGTAGTTTTATGGCTCCTAGAATTTATTCTAGGAGCAATTTATTCCACTATTGCAAGCTAATCTACTTCACATATAATTTAGGGCAAATGAATTATGTCATTAAGGAAACATATTCATTTAGAGTTGTTAAATGCCTTCTAATAGATGCAAGATCTGAAATAATATAAATATGTGCTTATATTAAGAGTCAGGGGCAACAAATTTTAGAGTCTAGAATGTTATAAGAAGGAAGGTCATGTGTTTTATGATTTGATTTAAACTACCCTAGTGATTCAAGTTACCTAGAACCAATAATCAACAGGGTATTTTATATGTGTATGGACACACACACACACGCATACACACACACAGAGAGAGAGAGAGAGTGAGAGAGACAGAGACTTAAAGAAATTGGCCCACACAATTGTCGAGCTGGCATGTCTGTAATCTGTAGGGCAAAGCAAGAGGCTGGAAGCTCAAGAATGATTTCTATTTTTATGTTATGGTCTTGAGTCACAATTTCTCCTCTGGGTGTCTTAGTCTATTTGGGCTGTCACAGCAAAAATACCATAAACTGGGTGGCTTGTAAACAATAGAAATTTCTTCCTCACACTACTGGAGGCTGAAAAATCCAAGAATAAGGCACCAGCACATCCAGTATCTGTTGAGGACCCACTCCCTGGTTCATAGACAGCGCCTTCTTGCTTTATCCTCAGATGGCCAAAGGGGCAAGGGGTCTCTCTCAGGTGTCTTTTAAGAGTGCACAATACCGTTCATGAGGGCTCTCAAATCCCCACCTCCTAATACCATTACCTTGTGGGTAAGAATTTCAACACAAATTTTGGGCAGATACAATAATTCAGACCATAGCACTGAGACTTTTTTTCATAAGGTTCTCAATTGACTGGATTGTAGATGTTAACCATATCTACAAAACACCTTCACAGCAATACCCAGATTCGTGTTTGATGAAATAACTGGGTATTATTACAGCCTAGCCAAGCTCACACATAACACTCACCGTCATATATTTACACATGCCTAGGAAGAGTAAAATAAAGGGCTATCTGGACATTTTCTTGAATTACCAGATTCATAAATACAGTTATGTACCACATAGTGACATTTCAGTCAACATCGGACTACATGTATGACAGTAGTCCCATAAGATTATAATACCGCATTTTATTGTACCACTTTTATGCTTGGTATATTTAGAAATGAAGTACTTAACATTATGTTCCAATTACCTACAATATTTATGCAGTAACATGCTGTATGGGTTAGTAGCTTAGGAGCAATAGGCTACACAGTAAAGCCTAGGTGTGTAGTAGGTTATGCCATCTAGGTTTGCATTAAGCACACTCTGTGGTGTTTGCATGATAATGAAATTGCCTAATGACATACTTATCAGAACATATCCCACTGTTAAGCCATGCACAGTTGTATCATGATGGATGGATGTTCTTCCTATAACTCAATGAAGTAAAATTTTAAGGTTTTAGGTGGTGTGTGTGTATATATATATACATATATATACATACACACACATACACATATATATACACATATATACATGTATATATGTGTGTGTATGTATATATATGTGTGTGTATGTATATATGTGTGTGTGTATATGTGTGTGTATGTATATATGTGTGTGTGTATATGTGTGTGTACATATATATATATAAAATATATATTATATATATTATATATATAATATATAATATATATATAAAATATATATTATATATATTATATATAATATATAATATATATAATTTATATAATATATATAATATATATAATATATATTACATAATATATATAATATATTATATATATATTATATATATATATGGGCAAACTGCATTGAAAATATGTGCAGATGGTCTGCGAGGCTCTTTGACAGACTGGCTGCCACATGTCAGCAGATGACTGGGCTTGTGCCTCACCCAGCAAGACAGGACGCATCTCAGGCCTTCAGGGTCTCTTGCAAATGGTCAGAACTCAAGGGTCCATTGGAATGCACACACAGATTCCTATTGAATTGGAATATCGGCTATTCACTCTGTGTTTAGGAATACTCAGTATCGAGGTTCACTAATACCCATCATGGAGGTTCTATGTGCCCTCCTTGGTCCCCTGTGTCCCTGGACCCAAGGTGTGCCCACCCTCTGCATGAAGCACCCATGTCTCTGTGAACCAAGAGTCTGCAGAGGCCAGAAAAGCATGGGACCCAGAGGTTGGCATTTGGGCTAAAGCTCATACTCAGAGCCATGTGCAGGGCCAAACAGGTGATGAAAAATGAGAGCACTGGGCTGGACCCAGGCTGAACTCAGGAACAGGCAGCAGCAACAAATTTCCAGTAATGAGAGTCTGCCAGGGACACAGCACTGTCACTTTCCTCCTGCCACCTCAAGAGTTAAGCCTAGGGACAGCTGCAGGTCTCAGTGCCCACAGCAGCACCCCAGAACTACATTCCAAAGAGGGGATCAGAGAGGAAGCACTTTGGTTTTTTACACAGCTCCTATTTATGTGTTCTTATGACATGCACTGTCCTGTTTTCATGGTTTTGTTGAAGTTCCAGGTAGAATGGGCTAAATGCACATTAAGACTGAAAACAGAATGTTAAATGGCATCATAGACATATTAGAAAAGGAGGGCTTAGAGATTACCTGAGTCAACCTTGTGTGAAAACTGAGAAAAATGAGACCCTAACAATGTTATATGGTAGGCTGCAAAGGCTGGCTTTGGGTCCCAGAAGAAAATATGCGTGTCTGTGTGTGTGTGTGTGTGTGTGTGTGTGTGTGTTGCTTGTGTGTGTGTATAGATGTGTGTATGTGGGTATATGTGTGTGTGTATATATATATGTATATACAGAGAGAGTATATAAGGTGAATATGTACATTTGCATTTATATATAAATATATAAATACACAAATATAAATATATAAGGTATATATATACACACATAAGGTGTGTGTGTGGATGCATATATATGTGTGCATATATATGTATATGCAGAGAGAGCGTATATGAGGTGAATAGGTACATTTGTATTTATATGTAAATATATAAGGTATATATATATACACATAAGGTATGTGTGGGGGTATATATGTGAGTGCATATATATGTAACATATGTATATATATACACAGAGTATATAAGGTATATATATATATACATATGTTAGTATGTAAGGTATATATATGGTGTATATATATGTATATATATAATATATGTATATTTACAGAGAGTAAGGTGAATATGTATATATAAATATATAAGGTATATGTGTGTGTGTGTATATATATATATATATATGGTGTGTGTGTGCGCATGTGTGTGTATCCGGATTTGCTACTGTCTAATGAATAAACAAGATCCAGATTTGAAACACAATAGTGTATATGAATGTTATCAGAAAAAGCCCATCAAATTTCTCCCACACTGGGGCACTGCAGAGTCCTTCCCTTCTCGAATGTTCTCCCTGGCACTTGTGTTTCTCTCCTTCCTGACCTCTGCCTAGTCGCAGATAGAGATGCATTTTGACAGAACCGGGAAGAGTTGTTCTATTTCCATGGCAACGTCAATTCACATTCTGCAGGTACATTGGCCGCCACTGCCTAAATGAAGGCTCCTCAAGGCTCTGTGTGTTGCCGTGCCTGGCCAAAAATAACTGGGCATGCCACCGTTCCTCACAGCCCCATGGAGAGAGGCATTAAACTGACTGGATGCCAACTGTCAACTCTGTTCCTGTCTTCCTGCTAAAGAGGAAGAAACAGGAACTGCCAGTGTTTTGGGGGAGGGGAGCCAGGGAGGCTGCTACATTGTTTCCATGGTCTGAGAAACATCGCATTTCCTCTGTTGAATGGAACATGAAATACATTCTTACTTGTTCACCCCAGGGGCACCAGATAATTTGTATTTCAGCAGAAGTATTATAATTACATAGTTTAGAGTTAGAATTAATTAGCATTTGGGGAAGTAGTGATAAAACCAAGCAGTTATTAAAAAAATTAATTTTAATAGAGGTCAGTTTGGAGAGAGTGCTTGGTTTTCTTTTGAAAGATTTGTGTGTGTGTGTGTGTATGGTGGGGGAGATAAAAGAATAAAATTATTAAATGATCCTTTAATCAGTCTGAAATGTGAACTACCTTATCATTAGACGCTACCACTGGATGTTAAAATCCAAATTAGTGGCACACATGCAGAACATATTTCAAAATTAGTCAAGAGTTAGGTGAATCTTTGAGGGTTATCTATGAAAAAAAAAGAAAGTTTTGTAGAGTCCTTTAAAAAGTATATCATGTTCCCAAGAATGTGGGTCATAACAACCTTCTTGACGTTAAACATAGTCAAGAATGATTTCATGTATTATACTAGACACATGAGATACTTCATAATAATTAAATATTGTTTGAAGAATAATTTTTGAAATCAGTTAACATTGCCTACGAGTGCGCTGAGTGTGAAGCTCTCCTGGGAGGGCTTGTGCACCCGGGAATAAAGTTGAATCTTTGCCCTCATGAGGCTTTTACTTTGTTTTGAGTGAGGAGTCAGAAAAGACTGCAATTTTTAAGAGTATTTTTACCTTCAATTGGAGTTTTACAACACTCCTCTAAGTTCTTAAAATCAAAGACCATCACAGTTAAATTTTAATTTTTTTCTGAAATTGATCACCGTTCCGTGGTTGTATAAAAGACTGTCCTTGTTCTCAGAAGATAATGTTGAAACCTTTGGGGAGAAAGAGACATCATGTATGCAGTTTACTCTCCAATTGTTCAGCAGTAACAATAAGTGTTTTCATTAGAATGAGAGAAAGGGAAAGCAGTGGAGAAAATGAGGCAACTTGTTATCAAGTGGTGAGTGGAAGTGGAAGGTATGCTACAGTTACTGTACTATTCGTATAACTGTTCCTTCGTTTATATATTTTTTTCAAAACAATAAGTTAATGTAGTCTATAGCTTTAGGCAAAAACTCTTTTTCAAGGAAAAGGAGCAGTGTGCAAAAGTTATTTTTATTTTTTCTTAAATGAATTCGCAGTCTTTTTGAAAATCTGGAACGTCAACACTTGTAAATGTATACTTCTTTAGTTTTCAGATTATAGTAGGAATTACCCTACTAATATTCTGAAATAAGAAGTAGCCTTTACTGATGTACCAATATTTTTAAGCAGTGCCAGTTTCTAAGTAATCTTTTCTTAACTTCGCTTCTGAAAATTTGAAAAATGTCCTTTCGTCACAAGCTATAGGCTGCATTAGTTTAGCTTTTCCTTTTCCTTCCAAGACAACACCCTTGCCGCAGTTTGGGGCCAGAATGATCAGCTGACCCATTCCACATCTTTATACTCTAAATCAAAGTTGTTCCCTTTAAAGAGCTCATTGGAGAGGAATATGTGGGATTTGATAAGCTCCGTTGATGGTTTAATAATTATGAATGTTTAACAGACATTATACATTTATCCCACATTTACTAGTATAAGAGCGAAAATAAGGAATGAAAGCAAATTGTTCTGCAGGGTCCATTTGTGCATGCTATTATGCCCCATAAAGAAAAAAAATCTTTCATAAAGGATCGTTAGTTTTTTCATCTTATTTACACCATTAGATGTTGCTGCAGAACATTAGAATATGCACTGGTGCAACGTGAATAGTCTGTCTGCTATTTATTGCATAATCCATTTTATGCAATGTCAAAAAGGAAAACAACCAAAAATACAGGGTTTATTTTAAATTAGGAGTTAAGCTCTGACTTTCTGATGTGCTAAGTTGAAGCCTGGAGCATTTTCTCGCTAATCCAGTGTGAGTTTCTAACAGTGAGCCCTGTTTTAAGAGGAAAAAGGGTGATGTAGTCCAATTAATAAGATGGCCTTGTTCATTTTCCCTGGGATGATGAAGCATTGGATGGCTCCCTGGCTCAGTGAAAACAGGGTGGAAAAACGTTGATCCAGGAATTGTAAATTGAGCATGCAGGGCTCTGCAACAGCTTTCCTATACTTCTTTGGGAATAAGGAGTAGGGTTCACCATACCTGTCCAGTTTTCTTTGCACTTGCCACTGTTTCTCTTAAATTGTTTTGGGAGGTTGCTTTCATTTTGGCACATTTTTGACGAAAAATGTGTGCCTTCAAGTTCATGCCCAGGTTGTCTGTCCTGATCACACAAATGGCCTTGGAGGTTCCTTATGAATTCTGTATGCAATCTGTCACTGCATTGCTTATGTAGCAGTTTTGAGTGCAAAGCCTTGAAAATTAATGAAGTGCCTTTCTGTTTTCTGTCCCAATCTGTGATCTGGTGCCTGGAGGGTATTTTGACTATTTTTGACTTCACTTGTTTTTGTTGTTGTTGTTGTTGTTACATACAGTTTTTTTATTTTTAAATTCTCTCTCTAATATGTTATTTTGCTTTTATTCTGTCCATTCATTCAACACCATGTTGACATAGTTTGGATATTTGTCCCTACAAATCTCATATTGAAATTTGGCCCCTAATGTTGAAGGTGGGGCATAGTGGAAGGTGTTTGGGTCATGGGGAAAGATTCCTCATGTATAGCTTGGTGCCGTCCCTGTGATAATGAGCGAGTTCTTTTTCTACTAGTTTATGCAAGAGCTGGCTATTTAAGAGAGCCTGACACTTCCTGCCATCACTCTTGCTCCTTCTCTGGTTGGGTGACCCACCTGCTCCCTTTTCACCTTCCACCATGATTTGAAGCTCCCTGAGGCACTCACCAGAAGCAGATGTTGGTGCCATGCTTCTTGTACAACCTACAGAACCATAAGCCAAATCAATCTTTTCTTTGTAAATTATCCAGCCTCATGTATTCCCTTACAGCAGCACCAAACAGACTAAGACATATATGCATAGTTGTGTTCTTAGATTTTGTTGTTGTTGTTCCCAAGATAGATTTTCCTTTCTTTTTTTCTTTTCTGTTCTCCATGTCTCTTCATTCATATTACAGATGAGGCACAGGACCTGGGCTGAAGTATGTACGGGGTAGGTAGGTTATGTTCTCTCCTCTTTCTATGCAGTCGATGTAAGAATCCCAGCACTTTGGGAGGCCAAGGCGGGCGGATTACCCGAGGTCGGGAGTTCAAGACCAGCCTGACCAACATGGAGAAACACCGTCTCTACTAAAAATACAACAAATTAGCAGGGCGTGGTGGCACGTGCCTGTAATACCAGCTACACGGGAGGCTGAGGTAGGAGAATCGCTTGAATACGGGAGGCGGAGGTTGCGGTGAGCAGAGATTGCACCATTGCACTCCAGCCTGGGCAACAAGAGTGAAACTCTGTCTCAAAAAATAAATAAATAAATAAAAATAAAAATTAGTGGAGGAAATGGGCAAGCGTCGAAGCTGAGAATTTTCTATGGTCCCTTCCCTCCCCTGCAGTTCTGGGAATGGCCACTAGGGACGCAGTTGTGCCGTTAATGGGTCTCGGGGGAGGCCTTGCCCAGGTGTGAACGAGGGAGGTCAGAGCACTGTTACTCTTATGGCGCATAACTATACAGTACTATAACTTTACTATGATAACTTCACTGAGCAACGGTACAAATCGACAAATGGACAACAGTTTCTATCATTGATTAATCAAATAATCAGAAGTCAATAATCTGCTAAGAATATTCTGACCTCTACTGGCCCTTGGCAATAGATGGAGACAGAACAATGCCGCAAACGTGAAGACAGCCTCCCACTCTCTCCTCTCCCACTTCTCCTACAGGCTTTGAGGATCACCACGTTTCGCTCCTTCATTCACATGTCTCTGACATTTTAGAGTCCAGAACATCACAAGATACCCATAATTTCCAATGACGTGAAGTAATAGAGATAAGATTTAGTAGGAGAGTAAACCTACCTCTGTCCTTGCTGTTGTATCCCCAGTGTGCAGTGGGGTGACTTCCCAGAGTAGGTGTGAAGTCAGTGTTTGTGGAATAACAGATATGAAAGAAAATAGACTCAGTTTTGTAAGAAAGAACAAGGTTCACTCAGGATAAGATGGGCAAGGGAATTTCTTCTTATGTGTAATCGCTGAATCATGCATAATTGGAAGGGAAAGATCACTGCTACGTTAATTTCCTCCTGCAAACACACACACTCTCTTCTTGCAAAACAGTGTAACCTATCTCCCTTGCCTTTCTCATTGGAGAAAGCTTTTTGCATGCAAGTGTTTCCCCCAAAAGCAAGACCTCAAATAGAATACTTTTTTTTTTTTTTTTTTTTGAGACAGAGTCTCACTCTGTCGCCCAGGCTGGAGTGCAGTGGCGCGATCTCGGCTCACTGCAAGCTCCAGCTCCCGGATTCGCGCCATTCTCCTGCCTCAGCCTCCCTAGTAGCTGGGACTACAGGCGCCTGCCACCACGCCCGGCTAATTTTTTGTATTTTTAATAGAGACGGGGTTTCACTGGGTTAGCCAGAATGGTCTCGATCTCCTGACCTCATGATCCACCCGCCTCGGCCTCCCAAAGTGCTGGGATTACAGGCGTGAGCCACCGCGCCCGGCCGAGAATACTTTTTGTAGGTTGGTGAAAGAGTGACTTATGTATAGGCAGAGGTGCAAAGAGAGTGTTTTACTGGAAGTGCAGGGTTGTAACTTTACTCTATAAAGAATTATAAAATTTGTAGACTCATGAATATTAGAACTGAAAACAACATTAGTGATTCTAGTTTCATCTTTTCCATGTTTGTAGTCAAGGAAACCTTTTCTTTGGAGAAATGATAAAGTTAACCACAATCACATTCATTTTGAATATTTTTGTTATTAAGTAACATATGCTAAATTTATGACATTTGTTTTCAATAAGAGCTGTGACATGGATACTCTAATCAAGAAATTAATGTAATAACTTACATTAAGCTGAATTTCTTGTATTTAAAATTTTATCTATATGTGAATATATTTTTAATGTCACTTTTTATCAGCCCTGTTAACTTGAGGGCTGTGGCAAAATTCCTATTTCTTTATCTATAAAATAAGGATAGTATCATATCTGTTCTGCTTTCCTCTTTTCTCAAAAGTAACTGAGAAAATGTGAAAGCATTTTATGAACTATAAAGCAACATACCATGAAGAGAATTAAACAAATGAATATAATTTTATTATTCTCCCAAATAAATCCAACCTTTATTATTAACACATATGTGAACAGTGCAAAAACAAGTCTGATACATTTTTTAAAGGTCAGGAATTTTGTAGAATTTTTAAACTATAAAAGAAACATGACATGATTTTCTCAAACATAAATTTCTTGCTTTTATTCTAATACGTAAATAAGCACAATACTGATAACCTATGGGTCAGATCTGGCAGGCTTCCAAATTAACCCATCTGGCAGAAGTCTTGTGATTCATGGCAACATGCGGTCCCTGGGTAGGGTCTTATCAGGAGTTCTCCAATTGTTGGCATACTGTTTACTATGTAACTTACAGACACTGAAAAGGATCCTGATTTGTTTCAGAATGGGAAGAAAGTCTGGCTGATGGTCTTGCACATGGACACTTTAACCTGTATGTTGCCATCTGTAGCCAATGATTGTAACTTCTGTAATGTACCCTCCAATGAAAAAGGACAGCTCTGGTGTGAGGAGTTCTCTTCCTTCTAAACTTTCTTATAGAGGCCTTCCAACTCCTAGCTGACTCTGGAACACACCCAACTTCTGTTGACTTCCTGAGTCAATCTTCACATTTAGTTTTCAATAAACCTTTGTCAATCGTCACGTTTGATTTCGAACAAATGTTTATCAAACCATTATCAAACCTCAACAGTCTTAATTTTGGTCAACAATACTAACATTTTGAGCAACTTATTATTTAAAAATTGATGTATATTAATTCCTAAAAGGTGGACTTATTACAATGTAACAACCAGTCATATCTAAAATGCCACTAGAAAATTCCTCATAAAAATGCTATCTCTGTTGAATTAATAAATTTTCCCTTCAATTTCATAGTCTTTTTTTTAGAAGCCTAGCCTATATAGTGTTTATTTCTATATTGGACCTGGCTATACTCATTAGTGATTTTATAGTGCTTTCTTTGTTATTTATTTTAGAGTGCTTTGGGGGGGGACAATTTTAGATTCTTTTTTTATGAGATGGAGTCTCGCTCTGTCACCAGGCTGGAGTGCAGTGGGGCGATCTCAGCTGACTGCAAACCTGTGCCTCCTGGGTTCAAGTGATTCTCCTGCCTCAGCCTCCTGAGTAGCTGGGACTACAGTTGTGTGCCACCACGCCTGGCTAATTTTTTGTATATTTAGTAGAGACGGGGTTTCACTGTGTTAGCCAGGATGATCTCCATCTCTTGAACTCGTGATCCGCCTGCCTCGGCCTCCCAAAATGCTGGGATTATAGCCA
The DNA here is from genome assembly GCF_000001405.40 of Homo sapiens. Classification (NCBI taxonomy): domain Eukaryota; kingdom Metazoa; phylum Chordata; class Mammalia; order Primates; family Hominidae; genus Homo; species Homo sapiens. The sequence continues at coordinate 40,509,861 of NC_000021.9, read as the reverse complement.
TGAGCCACCTCACCCAGCCTAGATTCTTTTAGAGAAAGATCAAAGCATGTGTAATAAAGTTTGCTTTCTGTTCTAGTTTTGTTTGGTTTCAGAATGCATGTATAAAATTTTTATAACTTCACAGAGTAGGATGGCATTGTGCTTGGGCCTCGTTCCTGTTTTTTAATGTGATTACATATGAGTTCTTTCATAGAAATTTTACTAGCTAGTGGTCACTGTGTGTGAAATGCTGCTTATTGACTGGGTCCATGTCTGTGTCTGGTTTTCCTCATCATTCTGAACCCACTGCATATTGGCATTTGCCAGTGGGGTGAAAGTACTGTACAGGCCTTTTGGAAAACCAGGCTCAGGCCCCAGGCTCTGAGTGAGAGGAACAATGGGGAGCTGTCATCCCCTCACCTCCTCCCAGTGAAAAATAGAAAATCAAATCTCCTTTGGCCACTTGGCAAGGATCTAGCCGTTATTTCTCCAGTGTAAAAGAAAAGGGTCTTGGAAAAAGACCCTTTGCTAATCAATATACGAGTAGGAAAGATTAGAGAGGTTTGACATCTTGGGCATTAGGATTCACTGCCTGAACTCCTTTTGAATTCTACTTTGTTTTATTTTCTTGGAATTTATGGCTGCAAATGACTGTGCTCTTGGAAACTGAGGGCCTGATGAAAGTTCTTCCCTTGCTTGTGTAACAAGTGACACTCACGGACTGACATCAACTTCCAAAAATATGCAGAATTTTAGAGAAAAAAACCAACTGCACAAGTTGCAATTTTGTACAAAGAGGAAACAACAATAACTTTGTGTTTTAGGTATTAGGGAGCTCATCCATGTTCAGGCCATTTTACCAAATTTAAAATTTTTAATAACCAAAATTTTACCTTAGAAATGTAGCATTTTGCCATCATTCCTTTTGTCAAAATGTTGTTTTTCTGGCTGGACACAATGGCTCATGCCTGTAATCCCAGCACTTTGGGAGGCTAGGCAGGAGGATTACTTGAGGCCAGAAGTTTGAGACCAGCCTGGGCAACATAAAGAGACCTTGTCTCTATAAAAAAGTAAAAAAAAAAAAAAAAAAAAAAAAAAATATATATATATATATATATATATATATATATATATATATATATATATATTTGCCGGGTGTGGTGGTTTGCACCTGTGGTCTGAGTGACTCAAGAGGCTGAGGTAGGTGGTTCCCTTGAGCCCAGGAGTTTGAGGCTACTGAGAGCGATGACTGCACCGCTGCATTCCAGTCTGGTCGACAGGGCAAGACTCTATCTTTAAATAATAATAATGATGATAACAACAACAGCAATACTAATTTTAAAATGTTGTTTGTCTCCATATTTAAATGCCAAACTGTTTAGTTAACATTTTTAATTTGATTTCAATTAACCTATGCTTGGGATCTTTTTACCATTACAATTTGCATTTGAAATACATAATAGAGTTATTCTAATAATCCAAAAACAGACTTTTGAGATCTTTTCCCTTCTCTTTTTGATTTATAAATAGCATATTGATTCCCATTTAAAGTGTGGGTGCAGTGTGGCTGTCAGCATATTCCATTTTAGTAATTTCATTATTGATTTATTTCTTTTCTAAAAGTTACAAAAGCAATGGTGATTTGCTTTCGCAAATAGAAGTGACTCAGAATGGTAAATACTCACAGTTCATGGTTTCTTCCCTGCCTGACAGTGTGAGTCAGAAATTAAATAAATCAGTGTTGAAATTCCTAGAATGGAATCTGCTGGGACCCACACTGCGTCCATACTCCATCCCCTTCTCTACAACCAGATTAAACATACTCTCTCCATGTAGGGTGGCTCCACTTAGGAAAATAAAAGTGACTCAACTGTACCCATTTTTCCACAGGTACATTTAGCAAATACCGGTGGGTTTTGGTTACAAAGGTCCAGGGATTGGTGCTCTAGGAGAGCAGTTCAGGAAAAGGGTCTGTATGCAGGAGTGGAGGGGCGAGGGGGTACAGAGAAAGCTGCTCTGTGATAGGCTGTCCAGAGGGCAGCTCCAACAGTCTCCTGTGAATGTAAGTTATTTTTATTTATACATTTATTTTTTTGAGACAGAGTCTTGCTGTGCTCTGTCACCCAGGCTGTAGTGCAGTGGCATGATCACTGCAACCTCCACCTTCCAGGCTCAAGAGATCCTCCTGCCTCAGCCTCCCGAGTAGCTGGGACTACAGGTGCACAACACCGTGCCCAGCTAACTTTTGTGTTTTTTGTAGAGAGGGGTTTCACCATGTTCCCCAGGCTGGTCTCAAACTCCTGAGCTCGAGTGATCCGCCCACCTCAGCCTCCTAAAGTGCAGAGATTACAGGTGTGAGTCACCACATCCAGCTGTAGATGCAAGTTATATTCACAAATGTAAGATGGACATTAGAGTACGTGATTTGCCTGCTATAGAAATACAGCAGTGTGTATGTAAAGTTGTAAATGCCGTATTTTTTACCCGTAAGACAAATAGAAGAGCTATATGCTTTAATGATGCATAGGACTATTTTCTGAAATCTGCTACTGGTGTTGAATAGTTGCGGCTGTTTTTTTAAATTTATTTTTATTATTATTATTTTTGAGATGTATTCTAGCTCTGCCACCCAGGCTGGAGTACAGTGACGTGATCTCGGCTCACTGCAACCTCTGCCTCCAGGGTTTAAGCAATTCTCCTGCCTCAGCTTCCCGAGTAGCTGGGATTACAGGTGTGTGCCACCATGCCTGGCTAATTTTTGTATTTTTAGTAGAGATGGGTTTTCACCATGTTGGTCAGGCTGGTCTCTAACTCCTCACCTTGCGATCTGCCTGCCTCGGCCTCCCACAGTGCTGGGATTACAGGCGTGAGCCGCTGGGCCTGGCCAAGTTGTGGCTGTTATTTTAACATAGAAAGTTTTTTTCCAATCAAAGTGTAACTTCTCTGATAATATGCTTTGTATTTGTGATTTATGTTTTAGTAATAGTAGGGCAAAATATTTTTTTCCTCTTTTGATTACCACTAGACCAATATTTTTTGTATTATATTTAAAGTTGATATTTTGGTAACACAATAAGATAAAATATATCTTTTTCCCTTTATAACCACCAATCTGATGTTTCCAATGTAACAGTTTTAAAAACGCTTCTTCCTGGATATACCTAGTGATTCCTGAATTCTCTTACTGCAGCCTAACGACTGTTACTCGCTCTTTGCTTTAAATAATCTTGACACATAGTCCTCATCACAGATCCACATTTTCTTTGGCCATATATACAAACTCGACAGTGTGGTGTTGGAAATGTGAAAGGGCTGCTAACTCTCCTGAATCTGGGGTCACTGGTTATCAAATACCATTTAAGCACTTTATATCTGAATTAAGCCGATTTTGTTTGAGCCACTTGATTTTTCCAATGAAGCAAGAAGGAGCAAATAAGTGGTAAAAACAACCTTGGCTTGTTTTACTTTTCCTCCGTGAAGTCAGTGAGTCCGGGGCTCCCACTGGTATTTTTCATGTTCATCATGGACGTCCCAGGCAGTAGCACATTCTGAGAAATGGCATCTAACCTTTCAAATTGAAGATTTTATTTGCTAGAATATTCACTCTTTATTGCTTATCTCAAAATCAGGTGGGATGAGTGTCATTACTGTCCCCTCGTGCATGGGCTTCAGATCAGTTGATAGCTAAGCCTAGCCGATGCTCATTCATCTTTGAGATTAACAGAGTAGCTTATAAAATGCGTTACACATTTTTGAAATGCAAGCATGAAGTGCGTTAGTAAAAAAGTTCCTTCAGTAAATCTTTAAGAATCTGGAAAAAAGCACAAGTCAGTTTAAGAGTATCATATCCGTGGTTCACTTTGCAGCAGTGACTTTATATCTTGTTTTGTGTGTGTGTGGTTCTTTGCATCATTTTGAACATTTTCTTGAATGAAAATGAGTCAGATACAGCTACTTTGCTTGTCTCCTGTAGACACACACTTTGATTAATAGAGTTGTTGGCGAAGTGTTAAAAGTCAAGAATGTTGTTATCACCACACACAGAGGGACTGGATATGGGGAGTGTAGTGGGATTTTAAATGAGAAGCACTGCATATCACAATCATAGAGTAACTCCTCGAGTGATTTTACGTGATGAGCCGAGCTTCCCCAAAGAGTAATTTAATTGGCATATTTGAAGCTAGAAGTTTCTGACAGCCACCCTGTACCTTAGCAACAGCCTGTTCTCTTAGTAAGAGTCCCTGTAAACAGGTGGGAAAATTAAGGCACTCCAAATGTTTATCAAGTGTAGGACATTCATTATAGTATTTACCTTTTAGAGATATGTCTGAAATTCCATAAGACAGTTTAAGCAAGCCACCAGCTGTTGTAAAGGGACTGAGAAAGCTCTGACTAGTAGACTTCTTCTTAGAATTTACCAGACTTTTTTTTTTTCTCAGAATGCTGTGAATCATAAGACTTTCACTAAACTTTCCTATTCTTATCAAACAGCAAATAAACTGGCTAAAAATAACTGGAAGAAATCTTTTAGCATGTAACAATACTCAACTACATGGAAATAACTCTATCCTGTTTTCCTTTGTAAAACTGCAACAACAAAAAAATTGTCATTTTCAAACTGTGCTGAATCTCTGGCAGTTTTTGAACCCAGCTGCCTGTCACGGTTTGAGTCTCTGTACTGTGTGAGTGATGATAGGCTAAATCCACTTCCACTGATTTTTCTAACTCATTCTCAAAGTTGTCTTAAGGCTTTCCCATTATTTCCAATTACCTGTGAAAAATGGGCAACCAGGAGGTGGGACACAGTACCACAAAACCAAGTCATTGATAGGCTCTTACCTTCCACCTGGTGGTGGCCTCAGTCTTCCTTTGAATCTTCTGAGTAACATAGCACCAGAGAACCATATAAACAGCCCTTGATTTCCAGCCTCAGAGGCAGACATGAGAGCTGGTATGACAGTCAACTCTTACTATATCTTATCTGTATACTATACAAATAAGGGAATAAATACAAATAAAAAGATTTTTTTCTGATAATAAAGTAATGCATGTTTCCACTGGATAGTCTTAAAACTGCAAATAGTTACTGAGAAAATAAATAAAATGCACTTGCAGTTTCACCCCCAGAGATCCATAATCAGGTCCTCTGTATTGAACCATTCAAGGGGGAGTCCAGGTTCCATTGGAACACAGGATGGATAGCGGCCCCAGAAGTTGCACAGCTCGGGTCTTAAACAGCTGTTAACATCTTGTGTCACGCATTATTTGAGCCTTTCGCATCGCCTATGTAGTTTTTCTGTTGTTCTTCTTTTTTTATTTTGCTTTCTAAAACGAGTGTCATGCCATGCTGACAGGTTAAAGCTTGTTGTATCCTGTATATTTTAATGTAATGCCCGCTAACCACAGTATTCCACATCGAGAATTCTGTTCTCAGTGACAGGTGGACTGTTCTCCCGAGGGAGGGCTGAGGCAGGAGGAAGTACTCAGACTTAGAGAAGGCATGGAGAACAGGGAAGGCAGGGACAGCTGTGTGCCCCGTGGCCATCACCATTGCTGGGACCTGATTCTTGATGCCCTCCTGGCTGAGGAGTCGGCCAACATCCCTGGTACAGACTTGGTGTTATTGAGTGATAAACAAATCCTCTTCCTCCTCTCTCCTCGCCCCACTCTTTTCTTCCTCTTTTCTCTTCTTTTCTCCTCCCCTCTTCTTTCCTCTTCTCTTCTCTTTCCTTTCCTTCAATGTTCTAAGCCTCAGACTGTTCATTTCTAGAGCTGGCCAGATAGAACAGTGAGTCACGGTGAGATATTGTGTCCCATGGATTTGTTCTACCAGAAACGTTTATGAGCCACTGTTGGGGAGCTCTGGTGCTCTTTTGAAATATCCAATAGCATCTTTCTGATGAAAGCCTGGAAGAGAGGTTCCACTAGTCAGTGAACTAGCAGAAATGACCAACTACAATGATAACCCATGACCATCAATTCACAGTGGCTGTAAATCAGTGCCAATTCAGACCTGAATTACCAGGTCAAATACGGTTCCAAGTTGCACAGTGAAGATACTATCCAGCCAAAACTAAAACCAAAACCAAATCAAACAAATACATGAAAATCAGAGCTAGATCTTAATCTTTGTGGCTTGAGAAATCCAGAGAAAATAGGACCCTGGGTAAGCCCTGAAATTAAAGAGACGAATGTTAATGACTTAAAGATTTGTGTTCCAGATCTTCAGTGTATTTTTGTTTGAGAGTTCTTGTAGCTACCTGAGGTAAGGTAACCCACTGAAAATCAGCGGATGTGCAGCGTGAAGTTGGCATCTGACAGCTCCTTGATAGCACTGCCACCTGCTCACTTGCTCATTCTAGCTACAACAGTTGGTGGGAGAAACATGTGCTAGTCTTGTTATAAGTGCATGTTAATAAAGTTTTCTCTGATAATGCAGGAAAGCTGGGGACAGAGGTAGCTAGAGTTTGTTTTTCAAAGATAACATTTCTAGTCTGGTCAGATGCATCCATAAGAGGGGGAATAAACAGTGTAGGCTGATACTCATCTGGTACTAATATCCTCTTGGTCGAAGCATATCAGGCGGTGAGTGAATACAGGGCAATGCTCGAAGAAGACTTGAAGCATGGGAGCCTCAGCTCCAAGGTCGGTGGAGCGCTCTTTGAATTTAGCCCTGCAACCCATCAGCAGTGTGGCCTTTGGCAGATCACTCTCCAAACCCTGGTTTCTTCTTCTGTAAAAGTAGCATAATAGATATTCTTAATGCGTAACGTTGGGAAGTAGGAAGTAAAGAGAACATATGCAAGTGACTTTGTAGCAGATATTTCCTTAAAGGAATGCTATGGTTCTAATTGTCAGCATCACTGTCGCAAATGAGACGTTCTTAACCTGCTGTGTGCCGTAGAGCTCTCTGGCAAACTCATGGAGCCCATGGAACTCTCCTCAGGATAGTTTTGTTAAATAAAAAAAATTATACATAATATTATAAAGGAAATCATTTAGCAAATTATTACTAATATATATGTTAGGCAGAATTATGACTCCCCAAAAATGCCTGTGGCTTAGTTGCCAGACCTGTGAATATGTTATGTCCTATGGCAAGGGGAAATTAAAGGTGGAGATAGAATTAAGTTTGCTACTCAGCTGTCCTTGACATAAGAAAATTATTGTGGATTATCTGGGTGAGTCCAATGTCATGACAAGAGTCCTTAAAAGTAGAAGGAAGAGACGGGAGAACCCGTGTCAGAGTGATGCAATGGGAAACTCGATGGGCCATTGCTGGCTTTGAAGATGGAAGGAGACCATGAACCGAGGGGTTTGGGCAGCCTCTAGACATTGGAAAAAATAAGAAAATAGATTCTCCCCTTGAGCCTGTAGAAAGAAGACGGCCTGCCAACCCCTTGCTTTTAGCCCAGCTTGACCCATTTTGGATTTATGGCCTACAGAACTATAGATAATACCTTGGTATTCTTTTATGTCATCAAGTTTGTGGCGATTTGTTACAGCAGCAATAGTAAACTAATACAGTTATCAAATTAGATAAAATCCATGATGTATGATATGTTCTTCTTGATTAATTTATTAAATGACACACTAGATTTGTGTCCATAGCAAATTTTAAGAAGTTATTAGTGTCAATAAAAATGTATAGAGAGCTATATCTGAAATGTGATTTTGAAAATATTAGTAATTTTTATTGATGATGAAGTCACAGTACTAATACTACTGTGGTTTGTTGCCTATATTAATAATTTTAAAACATGATAAATTTCAGTTAGAGGTTAGTGAAAAATAGAACAAATGTTTTCCTATACCCAGCTTCAGGGAGCTTCCTGAATTTTATGCATAGAGGGTATGCAGGCCCCAGATTAAGAGTCCCTGGTTTAGATATATGAAAGAATGAGAAACCTTCTAAGTTCTTCAAGATATATACAATTCAAAAGCAAAATTAGAAAATCACTGCAGCCGGAAAGAACATTAATAATCCATTAGCCGGCGCTGTGGCTCACGCCTATAATCCCAGCACTTTGGGAGGCCAAGGTGGGGGTGGATCACCTGAGGTCGGGAGTTCCGGACCAGCCTGACCAACATGGTGAAACCCTGTCTCTACTAAAAATACAAAAATTAGCTGGGCATGGTGGTGCATGCCTGTAATCTCAGCTACTCTGGAGGCTGAGACAGGAGAATCGCTTGAACCCGGGAGGCGGAGGTTGCTGTGAGCAGAGATCGTGCCATTGCACTTCAGCCTGGGCAACAAGAGCAAAACTCCATCTCAAAACAAAAAATAAAAGAATACGAAGCTTAATGCCTTTAAAAATTTATTCTCATGAGAAAAGAGGCAGCTCATGGATGACCTCAGTGAAATCAGTACATTCTCTGTGGAGACAGTCTTTATATATCACAATGAATAAAAGTAGGGAGCATAATTTTTAAAAATGGAGGACTCAAGACACAGATTGAAAAGGGGAGCACAAATATAAAGCTCACAGGAATAATACTAAATATAACACACCTGGGTAGAAACGCATCATTTCCTCTAGTGTTTGGGACAGAAGTAATAACAATACTTCAAATATGTATTTGAAGAATATATATTTTAATATACAAAGAGGTGAGGTTGTCACATAAAATAGAGGATGCCCAGTTCAATTTGAATTCCTGATAAACAAAACATAATATTTAGTGTGAGTATATTCCAAATATTGTGTGGAGCATACTTATCCTAAAAATTATGCATTATGTAACTAACATTTAGATTGAAATGGTGTCCTGTATTAGCTAAATATGGTAACCCTGCTGAGAAGAGACTACTAATTCTACCTTTAGGCTGTATGAAGTAATATTTGCAGTAATAGATATTGTTTGGAGTATCTCTGCAATGAAATTCTCTTTGAGCTTGCTCTCTTTAAAAAGAGAAGCCTCGTGCTGCATACCTACCATATTGCCTCTCCAAGCCCACTCTTTCCCTGTCTTCACCCTGCTCTGAGCCCCAGGAGGCTGGCTGCCTCAATGGGCTCCCAGGTCATGGGCTTCCTACCAGGTTCCACAATGGGAGGCATCAGCAGGAGACTATAGGGCAGAAGAGCAGTATCGTTAGAGAGTTGATTTTGTTTCACCTGCTCCTTCCCATTCAGGTTGCTCTGAAACCACTCCTGCCCACTAACCCTCCATGCCTAGGGAAGATGACAGTTTTGAGCTGCTCTTAGCCCCTGGGTACTGCACTGGCTTTGTAAATTGCCCCTTTATTAATGATTGAGCTTGAAGGTGCCATCTCTTCCCTTCTGGAGCTTTAATATGCTGAAGAATATGATGTAGATCTCCAAGGTCAAGAGTACCGTCTGCATCCATGAAGCTGTGAATTAGAAAAAGAAAAGTAAGATTTGGAAAGAAAATAGTTAAGTTGACATTCAATAGTGAGGTCTTGCTGGTCACTTAATCTCTCTTTTAAAACAGATATTTATTCCTGGAAGGTTTCTGGAAAAATTAATAGAAGCAGGAGTCTTAATCAGTTGAAAGACATAAAGACATAGACTACAGAAATAAGCAGTTTATTACTAGAATGTCTATGTTACTCATAAAACAAGACATAAATCCTGTATTTATGAAATATATGTATTTAAAGGGCTTTCTTCAGAAAACTTAAAAAACAAAATATTTAGAAACTATTTCATAAATATTTAGGAAAAAGGCAAAAAGAAGCAAATCATGTGTTGTCCTGAGACTTTTTTCCTGCAATCTCCCTTTTCTCCTCCTCCCTCCCAGTACTGCTGAAGTTTTCTTCCTAAAGAAGGGTACTCAGCCGGGCGCAGTGGCTCACGCCTGACGCCTGTAATCTCAGCACTTTGGGAGACCGAGGCAGGTGGATCGTGAGGTCAGGAGATCGAGACCATCCTAGCCAACATGGTGAAACCCTGTCTCTACTAAAAATACAAAAATTAGCCAGGTGTGGTGGTGGGTGTCTGTAGTCCCAGCTACTCAGGAGGCTGAGGCAAGAGAATCACTTGAACCCAGGAGGCAAAGATTGCAGTGAGCCGAGATCGCATCACTACACTCCATCCTGGGTGACAGAGTGAGACACTGTCTCCAAAAGAAAAAGAAAAAGAAAAAAAGAAGGGTGCTCAGATCTTCACCTCCAGCACAGACACTTGGATGACTTCCTTCTATGCATCTGAGAAGTTTTCAAAAAATATTTGCTAAATTTAATTGCATTTCTGCTTCTTTAACCCAACTGTCTTAGATATGGTTTGGAAAAGAGCAAGAGAAAAGTAAAGTTAAATTCCCTAATTATTTCTTAAACTTTCCCCAGAAACTTAATGGGCACGTTGGATCATAGTTTGTCCCACATAGTAAATGAGACACATGCGTTGCTGGTGAGTGCCTTCTTAAATAAGAACAGAGATCTTTCATCTAGAGGCTGGCACAGATTGGAAGGTTCTGGCTGCTATCATCCTATATGTAGTAGAGTTTTGGTTTTTTTGTTTGCTTTAATCTGAATGTCTGATTGAGGTATTCAAAGAGCAAGAGAGAAACCTGTGAAGAGATGGACTATTTGTGTCAGAACTGTTTAATCTTGTGGCTAGGATCACTTGTATTGTTGAGCTAGATTCCTCAATAGCTGTCTAGATATTTGACATATGGTGTTTTACTCTATTGTGGTATATGACCACATAAACAGATAAAATAGTAGTAATCTTTTCAATCTTTTATAGTCTGCAAGTATTCATACACTTATTTCAAAGTAGTCTGTTTCTAGCTTAGGTAAATTTAGATGATTTCATTGAATACTGTATTAAAAACCTGCTTCATTCCAGTTAATTTTTTTCAGGAATTATTACTCATACTACAAGGCATTATTTATAGCTCCAGCTCTCTTACATGATAAAGAATGAGCTGCGTATTACATTGCTATAATGAGAAATTCTCTTGTGTTTAAATTAATCTCCCTTCTTAGCATTGAGAAATTCTGTGGATTCTAAAATTCTATTTGAGAATTGTAAGAATGTTTTATTACTCTCTTATAATATGTACCATATTTTTTCTCTCATATATCTGTCAGTGATGGGTATATATATATATATATATATATATATATATATATATACACACCCATATATATATATACACCCATATATATATATATATATATACACACACCCATATATATATACACCCATATATATATATCTATATATATATATATATATATATATATATGGGTATATATATACACACACACTATATATATATATATACATAGTGCATATATACATATTATATATATATACACATACTGTATATATATTCATGTTTACATAGGTATATGTGAAATACATGTGCTTATAAATCCTGAACAATGCCAGGCAGCTGTTTTTATAATCTTGCTGGTTTATACAGAAGTCAGTTTCTACCACCTTTCTTCCAATCCTAGGGAAGTTGTCTCTAAAACACCCATCTACAGCAGAAAGGGAAGCCCATGGGCCAGCCACTGTGTGGTTTTTTATACGCATTGCTTTGTTTAGTCCTCACAGCAGTCTTGCAGAGCAGGTGTGGCGTATTCCCATTTTTAGATAATCAAACTGAGGCTCACTGAAATACAGTGAGCTCTTTAAGGTTACTCAGCTCGTAATGGTGGGTCATTGTTGCCTTCATATACAATTGACAATAGTAATTCCTCCTGGCAACAAAATGAGATATGTCCTGAACTCTCATTGTGAAGGAGGCACTGTGCCAAACATTTAAGCAGCCCAATGACACAGAGTTATTATTCCCGTTTTATAAATGAGGAAAACCGAGACACAGAAAGGTTATGACATGTGCAGATTTTGAAACCCAGATCTAATGCCAAAATCCATACTCTTAACACTTTACTATGCAACCTACCATGTGCTAGACTTTGATGAGTCTGTTGGATTATACTCGAAATCCAGTACTTCATATTTCATAATTTTAGTGGTTTCAAAATCCACGTTATTTTGACCAATTCCAACATAGCAGTTCTCATAGCTGGAAATACAAGTTAGAAATCAGCTTCCATTTAGTGATGCAAAACTCTGCAAAGGCAAATGTATGCAAGCTGATCTTTATGAAAAGCAATCCCAATTAACTTTATTTTTTAAACAATTTATTTGTATATTGACAAATAAATGTATATATATTTATTGTGTACAACAGGATGTTTTCTTATATGTATACATTGGGGAATGGCTAAATTGAGCTAATTAACCTATGCATTACTGAATATACTTATTTTTATGCTCAGAACACTTCAAATTTACTCTAAGGGCTTTTCAGGAATACAATATGTTGTTATTAATTGCAGTCACCGTGTTGTAGGATAGATTTCTTGAACTTATTCTTTCTGTCTGACTGAAATTTTGTCGTCTTTGACCAACATCTCCCCAACTCCCCACCCCTGCCCCCACCCCTGGAAACCACCATTCTACTCACTACTTCTATGAATTTAATTCTTTTAGATTTCACATATGAGATCAAGCAGTGTTTGTCATTTGTGTCTGGCTTATTTTACTTAACATAATGTCCTTCAAGCTTAGCCATGTTTCAAATGACAGAATTTCCTTTTTTATAAAGCTGAATATTATTTACTTGTGTAAATTTTCTTTATTCTTCTGTTGACACTTAGGTTGATTCTAATTTTTGTCTATTGTGAATAATGCTGCAATGAACATGGAGGTGGAGATATCTCTTCGATACGCTGATTTAATTCACAGCCTTTGGATATAGATCCAACAGTGGAATTACTGGATAATATGGTAGTTCTATTTTTGATTTTTTGAAGAACCTCTATACTGTTTCCAAAAATGGCTGTACCAGTGTAAATTTCCACCAATAGAGTACTAGGGTTCTCTTTGATACACATCCTCACCAATACTTATTATCTTTTGTCTTTTTGATAACAGCCATCTGATAAGTGTGAGGTGACATCTCATTGTGGTTTTAATTTCCATTTTGCTGATGATTAATGATGTTGAGCATTTTTTCATGTATCGATTGGCCTTTTGAATGTCCTATTTTGAGAAATGTCTATTCAGGTTCTTTGGCCATTTTTTAATTAGGCTATTTGTTTCTTTGCTATTGAGCTGTTTGCATTCCTTATATCTTTTAGATATTAATCCCTTATCAGACATATGGCTTGAAAATATATTCTCTTATTCCATAGGTTCTCTTTGCTGATTGTCTTCATTGCTGTGCAGAAGCTTTTTAAGTTGATATAATCCTAGTTGTCTACGTTTGTTGCCTGTGCTTTTAGGGTCACATACTAAATTCATTGCCAAGATCAATATTATGGAGCCTTTCCCCTGTATTTACTTCAAGTCTTATGTTTAAGTGTTTAATCCATTTTGAGTTGATTTTTGTATATGGTGTGAGATAAGGGTCTAATTTCATTCTTCTGCATGTGGATATTGTTTTCCCAGAACCATTTATTTAAGATTGTTCTTTCCTCAATGTGTGTTCCTGGCACCTTTGTTGAAAATCTATTGACTGTAAATGTGTGGATTTGTTTCTGGGCTCTTTATTCTGTATTCTGTGCAACTGGTCTGTGTGTCTGTTTCTATGCCAGTACCATCTGTTTTGGTTACTGTAGCTTTGTATATATTTTGGAGGCAAGTAGTGTGATGCTTCCAACTTGTTCTTTTGCTCAAGATTGCTTTGGCTATTTGGGGGTCTTATGGGGTTTCATATACATTTTATGCTAATTTTTTTCTATTTCTTTGAAAAATGCCATTTTGATAGGGAGTGCATTGAATTTGTAGATCACTTTGGGTAATATGGACATCTTAACAACATTAATTATTCCAATCCATAAACATAGAATATTTTTCAATTTGTATTTTCTTAAATTTCTTTTAACAATGTCGTAGTTTTTAGTGTACAGATTTTTCACTTCCTTGGTTAAACTTATTCCTAGATATTTTACTATTTTTTGGCAGCTGTAAAAAATGAGACTATTTTCTTGATAACTTTTTTGGATAGTTCATTGTTAGAGTATAAATATTCTACTACTTTTTATGTGTTGATTTTGTATTCTGTAATTTTTTTGTATTTATCTATTAGTTCTAATAGTTTTATGGTGGAGTATTTAGAATTTTCTACATAAAAGATATGTAGCCTGCAAACAGTGACAATTTAACTTCTTTTTTTTCCAATTTGGATGTTTTTAATTCCTTTCTTTTTCCTAATTTCTCCAGTTAGGACTTCCAGAGAAGTAGAACAGAAAGGACAAGAGTGGGCATAGTTATTTTCTTCCTGATATTAGAGGAAAACTTTCAATTTTTCATCATTGTGTACAATGTTAGCTTTGGGTTTGTCACATATGCCCTTTATTGTATTGAGCAACATTCTTTCTATACCTAATTTGTTGAGAATTTTATCATGAAATAATTTTGAATTTTCTCAAAAGCCTTTTCTGCATCTATTGAGATGCACGTGGTTTTCCCCTTCATTGTGGTAATGTGGTGCATCCCATGTATTGATTTGCATGTATTGAACCATTCTTCCATTCTAGGGACCAATCGTACTGATCAAGGTGAATAGCCTTTGTAGTGCGCTGTTGAATTTGGTTTGCTAGGATACGGGCCTGCAATTTTCTTAGAGTGTTCTTGTCTGGCTTTGGTATCAGGGTAATGCTGACCTTGTTAAATGAGTTGCAAGCTTCACCTCTTAGACTTTTTAAAATAATTTGGGGAAGATTAGGATTAGTTCTTCAATATTTCATAGAATTTATCAATGAAGCCATCAGGTCCTGGATTTTTCCTTGATTAGAGTCTTTTTACTATTGACTCAATCTTGTTACTCATCTCTGATCTATTCAGATTGTTATATTCATGATTCAGTCTTGGTAAGTTGTATGTGTCTAGATATTTATCTGTTTTTTTATGTTATCCAGTTTGTTGGTGTATAACTGTTCATATTAGCTTTTTATAATCCTTCGTATTTCTGTTGTATCAGGTGTAATGTTTCTCCTTTTATTTCTGATTTTGTCTTCTTTTTTTCTTAGTCTAGCTAACGATTTGTTGGTTCTATTTTTGAAAAAAAAAAACCCAACTTTAGTTTTGTTGATCTTTTCTATTGTTTTTCTAGTTCTATTTTATTTGTGTTTGTACTGACCTTTATTATTTCCTCCCTTCTACCAATTATGGGCTTAGTTTGTTCTCCTTTTTCTTGTTCCTTGAAGTGTAACTTTAGGTTATTTGAAATCATCTTTTTTTTTTAATTTAAAAGTTTTTTTGTTAAAAACTTCTTTATTAGAACTACTTTTGCTACATCCTATAAGTTTTGGCACACTGTCTCTGTTTTCATTAGTCTCAATGATATTTTAGTACTTAAAATTTAGACGTAAAAAATGACCTATTAATTTCTTCTTTGACCCATTGATCATTCAGGAACATGTTTAATTTCCATGTATGTGTGAATCTTCCAAAATTTCTCCTGTTATTGATTTCTAGTTTCATACCATTGTGGTTGGAAAAGATACCTGATGTGATTTCAATCTCCCTAGATTTGTTAAGACTTATGGCCTTTCAGTCTATGCATGTCCTTAAATCTGAAGTGACTGTCTTACAAGCAGCACATAGTTGGGTCATGTTGTGTTCTTTTTAAATCCACTTATCCACTCTTTGTCTTTTTGTTGTAAAATTTAATCCATTTACATTCAAGGTAATTGTAAATAGGTAAGGACTTATTAGTGTCACTTTGTTACTGGCTTTCTGGTTGTTTTGTAGATCCTTTGTTTCTTTCTTCCTCTCTTGCTGTCTTCCTTTGTGATTAGGTGATTTTGTTTAGTGGTGTGCTTTGATCCTTTACTTTTTATCTTTGTGTGTCTACTATAGGTTTTTGCTTTATGATTACCATGAGGATTACATAGGTGGCTTATATTTATAACAGGCTATTTTAAGCTACTAATGACATAACTTTAATTGCATACAAAGGCTACACTTTCACTTCGCCCAACAGTTTATATATATATGTATATATATGTATATATTTTTTTTTTTTTTTTTGAGATGGAGTTTTGCTCTTGTTGCCCAAGCTGGAGTGCAATGGCACGATCTTGACTCACTGCAACCTTTGCCTCTCGGGTTCAAGTGATTCTCCTGCCTCAGCTTCCCGAGTAGCTGGGATTACAGGCACGTGCCACCATGCCCAGCTAATTTTTTGTATTTTTAGTAGAAACAGGGTTTCACCATGTTAGCCAGGCTGGTCTCGAACTCCTGACCTCAGGGGATCCACCTGCCTCGGCCTCCTAAAGTGCTGGGATTACAGGTGTGAGCCACCATGCCCAGCCAGTTTTCTATTTTTGATGTCACAATTTGGATCTTTTAATATTGCATATTTCTTAACAAATTGTTGTAGCTAATATTATTTTTAATGGTTTTGTCTTTGAACCTTCATACTAAAGATATAAGCAATTTACATACTACCATTACAGTATTAGAGTATACTTAATTTGACCATTTACTTACTTAGACTGAGTTTTAACTTTCATATATTTTCGTGTTGTTTATTAATGTTCTTTCAGCCTGTAGAGCTCCCTTTAGTGTTTCTTGTAAAAGGGGTCTGCTGGTGATGAACTACTTCAGCTTTATGTTTTCCTGGGACAATTTTTATTCTTCCTTTATTTCTCCTAATAATAAGCTAATATTTAAAAATGTAAAATTTTGACATTAAAAATATAAGTGTTGGCAAGAGTAAAAGTATA
The DNA here is from genome assembly GCF_000001405.40 of Homo sapiens. Lineage (NCBI taxonomy): Eukaryota > Metazoa > Chordata > Mammalia > Primates > Hominidae > Homo > Homo sapiens. The sequence continues at coordinate 40,493,165 of NC_000021.9, read as the reverse complement.
GAGATTTTGTATACAATTAAAGTTATGTCCTTTTCTGAAGGACAGGTTTGTTGAATTGGCAGTTTTTTCTTTCAGCATTCTGCATGTATCATCCCACCTCCTCCTGGTTTGTAAGGTTTCTTCTGAGGAATCTGCTGCTAGCTTTATTGGAACCCCTTTATTTTTGATTCACTTATTTTCTCTTGCTGTTTTCAGGCTCCTCTCTTTGTCTTTGATTTTTGATAGTTTGATTATAGCATGTCTTGGTGTAGTCTTGCTTGCATTGAATCTGATTGAAAATTTTGACTTTTCTGTACCTGTATATTTATACCTTTCCCTAGATTTGGAAAGTTTTATACTATTAGTTTTTTAAGTAAGTGTTCTACCTCTTAGTCTTCCTCTTCTTTGCCTCAAACTCCTGTAATGCAAAGATTTGCTTTCTTGAATTGGTCATATAATTCCATGTATACTTTCTTCAAATTTTCTCATTCTTTCTTTTTTTCTGTTCTAATTATATAATTTCTTCTTTAAGTTCACAGATTCTTTCTTCTGCCTTATCAGGTCTACTGTTGATGACCTTTATTGCATTTTTCTGCTCCTCGATTGTATTTTCTAGCTCCAGAATTTGCTTTTAAAAAAAAATGTCAATCTCACTGCTAAATTTCTAATATTGATCATTTATTGTTTCCTGATCTCAGTGAATTGTTTCTCTGTATTTTTTGAAGAGTTCTGAGGTTTCTTAAAAATTTTTTGAATTATTTGTGAGAAAGATCATAAATTTCTAGTTCCTTTAGAGTTTTATTTTATTTCTTTGGTCTTGGAATCTGCTCTGGGAGTGTGGTGGGAAGTCAGCCTGTTCTCAATTAGTTCTTTTTTCTTATTTTTATATAACTGGCTACCAATGACCTATATTCAAATAGAAAGCAAGCCAATTTCTTAATTTAAGTGGAACTTATCCTCATTATCTATAATCTATACCTAATAACACATGCATTATAAAGTAGAATTTATCAAAGGCTCTGAAGCACTAGAATAGGATTTTTTTTTTCTAAAGCAATGGAAAAATCACTTGATTTATTTGAAAGATATTTATTGGTTACTTATTATACTCTGGTCATTATTCTAGGTGTCTTAGATATTTGAGTGAACATAACAGACAAAAGTTTTCCTTTATGGGATTTCTGTTGTGGGAAGAAGGGTACTACATCAAACCTAATAAATATGTAAATTACATAGTATGATCAAATGTTATGTGTAGCATGTGTGAAAGAAATGAGACCCCCGGGAAGGGGGGTTGGGAGTGATGGCATAGGGGTTGGCAATAGTCAGTGGGGGCAAAATGCTTCAAACAGGGCTTGCTGAGAAAGTGGCATCCGAGGAAATGCTTAAAGGAAGGGAAGTTGCTGGTGAAATGTATTTAGAGGAAGAGCTTTTCAGGCAGAGAGAGAAGCTAGGCAAAGGTCTTAGGGCAGGAGTGTGACTAGCATGTTGCAGAAACAGCACAAAGGCCAGTGTGCCTGGGTTGAATGAATTGGGTGTGGGGGTGTTTATAGAAGGAGGGTAGGTAGGACAGAGAGGAAATGGGAGACAGGTTACCTGGGGTATTGCAGCCCTTGGAATACCCTTGAATGGTACAGGGTACTTTTGCATGGATTTGAACAGAGAATCTAATTTCTGTTTTAGCAACTGCAGCAGTTGCTGAACTGAGAAAAGACAGAGGTGACTGGAGGGTGGGGGTGGCGTGCAACACTAGAAAGAGGCAGGCCTGCAAGGGAAAATTGCCAGAGTCCCAGCAATGCTTGACAATAAGAGAATCGTGGCAAAAAGGTTAGGCAGAAGCAATCACTCTCTGGTCATATTTTGCAGGTAGAATAAGTAGGATTTGTTGACAATGTGAACAGGAGATATGAGATAAAAAAAGAGAGCAATTACCAATAACCTCCCAGAATTTTGCCTTATTACCTGTCAAAGAGAAAAATAGATTTTTCACTAGAAAGCATTTATTTTTAAAAAAGAATAAGAGAACACATTTGAAGTGTTCGTAATTAAATTAATTTTAGACTCTAAAATTGCACTTTCTTTTATGATATCGTAAGACAAAATACTTTGAAATTTTACAAACATCTTAAAACACGGGGGCAGAGACTCACAGATTTTATAAGCTGGTGAAGTTTTATGTTTGAATTCCTCATGTGCCCAAGTCACGTAAAAGAATAATGGAGCTCATCCATGTCATCTGTAGTTTAAAAAGTGACCTTAAATCTGTTTTAATTAATTATTTTGCCAAAGTTTGGCAATTTTAGAGAAAGTTGAAGAATGATTTTTACACTAATAGAAGTCAGCAAAAATCCCCAGTGACAAGGAATCCTTGTGTGAATAGAGAATGCTGGTGTTTATACTGACACATTTTCATGTCCATGAGACAGAAACCTTGCAGGACAGTGGGAGAGAATGTGGGGATAAAAACTAAGCAAAGAAAGCACATTAACAATTGGTCCTCATCCTACCAAGTGCCAGAAGCTCCTGCCTGCACTGCCAAATGGCTCTAGACAACCTCTTTGTGACGTCAGGGTGGGGGTACTCCAGCCAGACCTCTCTCAAATCTTTTCTCAAGAATGAGGTGGAAGTTAAACAAAGACTTCCCAACCCTAACCTCCTTCCTCTCACATACCCTTACCTGATTCCTGCATGGAGAGGAGGATGGTATGTGATCCATCAGCCACACAGTGGGAAAGTAATATTTCAACATCCATGTAATGAAAATATACTGTGTGAACCTACATAGTAAGTAAAAGAAATTAAAATGTCTAGAATCCAATTATAGATTCCATTTTTTTAAAAAAATACTGTATTTATTGTGTATAACACTGTCCTTAGCAAATCACATAGACCTACTGATATGGTTTGGTTCTGTCCCCACCCAAATCTCATTTTGCATTTTATCTCCCATAATTCCCACGTGTCATGGGAGGGGCCCGGCAGGAGGTAATTGAATCATGGGGGTGGGTCTTTCCTGGGCTGTTCTCATGATAATGAATAAGTCTCAGGAAATCTGATGGTTTTATAAAGGGGAGTTCCCCTGCACACGCACTCTCTTGCCTGCTGCCATGTAGGACATGATTCTGCTTCTCATCCACCTTCTGCCATGATTGTGTGGCCTCCCTAGCCATGTGGAACAGTGAGTCAGTTAAACCTCTTGCCTTTATAAATTACCCAGTCTCTGATATGTCTTTATTAGCAGCATAAGAGCAGACTAACACACCTACAAAATCTTACGTTGTATCCTAACTGAATAATATATCTTTGATTTTTATTTCCATTTCCAAAATTTAGGGGATGGAAGATGTCTTAGGGTTCTCTGGAGAAACAGAACCAATGGTACTTATTTTTTTTTTTTTTTTTTTTTTTTTTTGAGACGGAGTCTCGCCCTGTCGCCCAGGCTGGAGTGCAGTGGCGGGATCTCGGCTCACTGCAAGCTCCGCCTCCCGGGTTCACGCCATTCTCCTGCCTCAGCCTCCCGAGTAGCTGGGACTACAGGCGCCTGCCACTACGCCCGGCTAATTTTTTTGTATTTTTAGTAGAGACGGGGTTTCACCGTTTTAGCCGGGATGGTCTCGATCTCCTGACCTCGTGATCCGCCCGCCTCGGCCTCCCAAAGTGCTGGGATTACAGGCGTGAGCCACCGCGCCCGGCCCTTATTTATATATAGAAGATATTTATTTTAAGGAATTGGCCAACGTGATTACGGAGGCTGATAAATCCAGAATCTGCAGGGTGGGCCAAGAGGTTGGAGACCTTGAGAAGAGCAAATGTTGCAGTTTAAGTTCAAAGTCAGCAGGGGACCCAGGAAGGAACTGATGTTCCAGTTTGAAGGCCATCAGCAGAAGAATTATTTTGCTTGAGGGAGCTCAGTTTCCTGTTCCATTTAGGCCTTTAACTGATTGGATGAGGTCACCCGCATTAGGGAGGGCAGTCTGCTTTGCTCAGAGTCCACTGACTAAAATATCAATCTCATCCAAACACACCCTCACAGAAACACCCAGAATAATGCTTGACTAAATGCCTGGGCCCCCTGTGGCCTAGCTGATTTGACATCAAATTAACCATCACAAAATTTTCTTTTCTTTATGCAAATTTTATAGCATTACTTTTGTGTTGTGGTTTTTTAGAAGCATAGACCTAGAGAATAGTGCCCATGACCTCTGACTATCCTATTATACATGAGGATTGCATAGTATGGTAGAATCTCCTATAATATTCTTTCCACGTGGCTGCAGAATCTCTGTGAATTCTCTTTGAAATCGCTGTGAACTCTCTTGAACTCATTTTTGTTGGCTTTTGGTGGGGAAATAACTAGAATTTAAATTGTGTCCAGTAAAGGTGATTCTGGAAATGAAGCCAAGGAAAAATAAACCATTTGCTTAATCTTTCAAGGGGCACAATAATTGGAAAAGACAATAGTGAAATAAAGCTTTTTCTTTTCACTGTTCGAGCTATAATATCCCTCCCAGGTGAGAGGTATTCTGGCTGTAATTCCCAAGGGAACCCTTGTCACAGTGGCGTCTTTAGTGAGATGATTTGATTTTTACCTTTTTTCCTTTGGGTGGATGCCTTTCTCCTCTTCTTGACTGTGCATGTGTCACTCTGTGCCCACGGAGACAGAAAAGAATAAAAAGCTTACCTCTCCCCCTGAAATGCAGCAGAGTCAAACTTCAGAGTTCAGCAGTTTCTCATTGAAACTATCAGGCAATCTGATGCAGAAAGACAACCTCAGACATGACTGAGCCTTCAAATAGAAGTTTCCAGAGACCAAACGTCTCTTTTCCTGGATCCCCGATATGGAGAGAAGCCGTGATCTCCACAGAGACTTCCAAGCTCTCTGGCATCACTTTAGCAGAGCAGCCCTTGCTGCGGAAGCAGAAACTCAGAGAGGAAGGGCTTTGCTGCTGGGGCTCAACAAAGGTGTCCGTCTCCAGCCAGCCACTGTTCCAGGTGCGGAGTACAGAGAGGGCGACACACTCATAGAGTTGGTAAGTTCATTGAGAATGGGTGCATAACAGGAAAAGTTTTGATTAATGTGGAGCCTTAATTCAAAATGTGGTCCCTGACCAGCAAGATGAGCATCAACTGTTAGAAAGACAGAAACATCAACCCCTCTCTGGATCTCCTGAACCAGTGCCTGTGTTTTCATAAGATACCCCAGGGATTTGAATGTGCCTTAGTTTGCGAAGTGCCATCTAGAGTGTACAAGAACCAGAATGTACATAAATTTGACTCTAATCAACTGGCAATGGCCTCTTCACTATGCTGGCTACAACTCTCTTCTCTCTCCTGTGCTCCTTATCTCAGTGAATAGCAGAACCATCTATGAAAACTCATGCCAAAAACCTGGATGTCTCCCTGGAAACAGCCCTCACCCTCAAGCAGCTTCATAGGTTCTCTCTAGAATGTTTCTAGAAGCTGCCCATCTTCACTGCCTCTCCCCTGGTTCCGTCTCTAAGATTATTAACTTTCTCACGGGCTTCCTTGCCTTCACCCTCAGCCCTTCCAATGGATTCCCCACCCTGCAGTTATGCTGATTTTGCTAAAATTCAAATCTTCTCATGTATCCCTCTGCTGGAAATGGTTGAGTAGCTCTGATTACTCTCAGCATGAACCCACATGACTTGGTGTGACTTCTACCTCTCTAAGGATGTGGCTCCAGCAGCCCCCTCCAGCCTCACCTCATGCAACACCCAAGCCTGCCTGAGAGACAATAGCAGTATGCTTCACTGGTGAAATGTTTTATAGCTACCTGGAGTGCTTACCCTCTACGTGTGAGCAGGCAGTCTCTCTCTCTCTCTCTCTCTCTCTCTCTCTCACACACACACACACACACACACGCACGCACACACGCACACATGCACACACACAGAGAGAGAGAGAGAGAGGGAGAGAAAGAGAGAGAGAGAGAGTTACAGGTTATAGAGAGAGGGAGAAAGTGCTTTCTCACCCTGAGATTATTCCATGAACCCATAGATAAGTCAGAACCAGGAATTACATAAAAGGCCCATGAAAGGTTAAATTTAAAGGATCAAACCTTTGTGCTAAAGACCCTGCTTCAAACATGTGGAGTTCCTCATGGTCTTATTCTCTGAGTCTGCATGTTGTTGTTACCACCTGCTTACCTGGTGCTCCCAGACTGTTAGAAGCAGAAAGTGAGACCAAGCAGAGTTGCTAAAGGCAGGCACTGATGACCCCATGCCAGCAGGACTGGCACCCAGGAAGGAGCAGAAGTACTCTAGGGAGCCAAGCAGGAGCTCAGCGGAGGCCAGGGTGAGGGCAGGTGTCCTACAAATGTCAACTCCGATGGTAGCTGATTTCAAGCTCTGTTTGATGACAGATGTTGATCCCAGTGGTTTCAAGCTTGAGCCATTCAAGGAACATTAGAAACTAGAAAGGAAATATTGCATAGGTTCTTCAAATATCAGTTTACCCCGTGAAAATTCAAGCTTTAGTCCTAATGCTTAAACAGTGCTGTATTAAGGTCTGTGTGCACTTCAAGGTTAAAACCTGAACTGTAAAATATCATTTTTTACAGTTATGGGCCCTTTTATGCTACAACCCCAGACCCCCTGAGGGCCTTCTCATTCCTTCCTTCTCCTTCCCCCTCCCTCCCCTGCCATCCCCTCCTCTCCTCTCCTCTCTCCTTCCCTTTCCTCTTTTCTTTCTCTTTTTCTTCTTTCCTTCCTTCCTGCCTGCCTGCCTGCCTCTTTTACTTGACATTTATTGGTGAGTAAATACTCCATGCCAGGATCTGAGTTTACAATGGTTGGTGGCTAGGATGGACAGTCTGGAGTCATCTGAAAAAGGACAGTCAAGAGGGGAAGGACCAGCCAGTATAAAGGCTGTGAGTTGAAAGTCATAGAGAGAGTAGTGGAAAGAAAGGCCCAGGATAAACCATGCCGGGTGATTATCCCAAGTCCTGGTGAATGCATTTCATGTGCTTTGTTGACTGTGTTACTGTATATTCACTAGCAACTGAGTGGATAGGGGTCTCTCCTTATAGTTGGGTGATCTGTTAGCCATCTATGGCTGACCTCTAGGAATCAGGGAGGGTCTTTTGATGTGTAATTTGAATATTAGCTATATCTCAGGCTTTATTTTTGCTGCCCTCAGTTTATAGTACGTAGTTTTGTAAGCTGCCTTAAAAACTTTTAGACACAAGCAAGTTAAAAGAATATGCAGTAGATTTAAATGAGGCTCCTATTTAAAAACATTTAATAAAAGTAATGGTGTAATAATTGTGTTGGTAGTCAAAAGGTAAATTTCAGACTGTGTGTATATGTGTGAAAAGTCAGTGTGTATGTATGTGTATGTATATATGTGTGTATATAAATATATAATAACATACAATATAAAATATACATTTGACACACAATTTAAGTATACAGGTTTAAGATATTTTAAAGTTAAATAACAAATAGAAATAACATATGCATGTAAGTAACATCTAAATTGTTCTATTTAAGTATGTAATTTATAAAATAAAATTATTTAAACTTAAATACATTTTATTTATTTATTTGTTATTGGTGGATTCAAAAACTACTGATGATTAGCCTTCTGTATTAGTTCCTTCTGTGTCTGGTAGAAAGTCAGTGTGGGCCGGGCGCGGTGGCTCACGCCTGTAATCCCAGCACTTTGGGAGGCCGAGGCGGGCGGATCACGAGGTCAGGAGATGGAGACCATCCTGGCTAACACGGTGAAACCCCGTCTCTACTAAAAATACAAAAAATTAGCCGGGCGCGGTGGCGGGCGCCTGTAGTCCCAGCTACTCGGGAGGCTGAGGCAGGAGAATGGCGTGAACCTGGGAGGCGGAGCTTGCAGTGAGCCGAGATCGCGCCACTGCACTCACTCCAGCCTGGGCGACAGCGAGGCTCCGTCTCAAAAAAAAAAAAAAAAAAAAAGAAAGAAAGTCAGTGTGATATTGAAATATGTAGAGTGGCTGACTGTGTTTTATTTTTGGAGGGTGGATGCAAAGGGGGTAGCAGGGAGCTTAGTAGCAAGGGACCTCAGTGAGTCTTGTGTTGTCAGTGAGGCCAGAAATTGATGTAGGCGGAGGAACTAAAACCTAGTTCTTCAATTCCTCTGTATAATAACATAATGAGACTCTGGAAGCGTCTCTAAAAGCTGCTGGAGGAAGCTTCAAGGACATGCAGATGAGTGGAAATGAAGGAGCAGGAGCAAAGAAAGGTGACCTCCATGACAGAGCAGGAAGCTACAGGCTGGGACTGTTGGCGTCACCAAAACATTCTCTGCAGGAGGGATAGACAAGAACTTATAGATGACAGCATCTACCATTTGATTTTAGGATTTTTTCAGTCTTTGCGCTGTGTGGCAATTGTCCTCATCCTACATCTCCCTGTATAAAACAGGTAACCACAGCAGACTTATGTCAGCAGCACTTTGGGGAATGAGGGAGAGAGAGTTGCATTTTATGCTTGGCCTCATGCAAGCTGGAGAAAGAACAGCAGCTTCAGGAGATGACGCAGTGGCAGGAACCAGAGGAAAAAAAACCACCCATGAACATTATCCAAGAGTTTCTTTTTTAGGTGATAAAATCATGAGTTTCATACAAATAGCAGATGAACATTGAGTCAAATATTTTATTTAACTCATTCATGAATGAGGGAATTGCTAAGATGTTGCAACTGGTTCCATTGAAGATTCTATCCACAGAGATTTGTTTTCTATGGGGCAAAATGTATTTGCAGCACTGAGAACAGGAGTCCTTTGCCTTGCTATGGACAGGAAGTGTTTTCATTGCTTTATGTTTTCTATCAGTTAACCTCTATCTCTGCAGAGTTGTAAACAGTCAAGTCAAAGACAAGCTAAGGTATAGATAGGATGGATGGATGAACTGGATAGGGCATTTAATGCCCACTTACTCAATTTCTGCCCACTTCCACCTTTCACAATTCTGCCGGACAATATATTTGAGACGGTGAAATATTCGGGAAGCCTCTGGACAGACCCATAAATCGTAGTCTTTGGATGTGGACTTTGTTTATAGGTGGGGAACCTGCTGAAGATTAGATGAGTTTGGGTGGGTTGAGACATTCTCGAAAGCAAGAACCTTGTCTAACATCTTTTGTTGCCGAGGACCTACATCCTGCCCCGTAGAATTAACAGTTCGTAATTATTGGCCAATAGCCAAAATGTCAGGATTAAAATTGCTTACCTCTCAGAAAAATTAAAAATACTTCCTCAGCCTTGGTAAGGAAAGAAGTGATTAAACATCTAGAGTTTTAACTTTCTATTAAAATTTTAAATTGGAAAGAACCATAGTCATAGAAAGCATTCACAGCAAACTTTAGGAACACACAAAAGACACGTGTGTACCAGGGAGCCCACGCACGTCTGGGTACTATTGTTAAAATGAGAAGAACTAGGCACACTAATCTATTCCAGGGATAGGATGCTTGAAATGGACAAATAGTAATCTAGGTTTATTAATGGGTATTCATAGTTGTTAAAGGAATTATATATAAATAATTTCCAACAAACAGCTTAAGAAATTTTAACTTATGTTTAATTATAACATGCCTCCGTTATACAGGAAAATAAAAAGAAAAAAATTATCATTGTGTAATCAGGCAAAAACATCATGGCTTGTTGATCCTCACAATAATATTGTTAGGAGAAATAGCTATTAAAGATATAATTCCCATGGTAATTTCCTGTTGAAATGTTTGGCCAGTGACACTAAAACCAAGCCAACTTAAATAAATATATTGCCCGTTTAAGTTGATTTCACTTAAAAATAACCCACAGTAATATCATAAATGCCTAAAACCATACTTATCCATAATAGGTAGCTGTTTTTTCCTCCTTACTATTCAAATAGATTCGACATGAAATGAAAGTAAAATCTCACAATGGTGAAAGACTTCTGGAAATTTTAAAATAGATATTTGCTAATTTGTAAGTCCTGCAAGATCATGAGGAGTTTGTGCTTTTCTGCAGATGCACCTGCATGTTTACTTTTCCCATTAAATGACATTTCTTCTGTTTCTAATCTTCTAGAGATGCAGAAGAATTGCGTGGGACATTTTAAAATATTAGTCACAACTAATTTGTCATCAAATTTTGTGAGATCTTTCACTGACACAGATGATCAGTATATAAAAAGCAAGTCAAATATACTTTAAAAAATAATTACATCCACAGCACCACAACTCTACCTTAATAAAAATTTCACAATTAGGCGGGCTGTGTGTCATTAGCCTCCCTGATAGCATTCAGTGTATTGTCACCTCATGTTCAAGCACACATCTGATAGAAGCAAGACATTCTGCCACCTCATTCCACCTTCTCTATTTTACACCTTTAAAAGTGTGGAGGTAGTGTGCTAAGAGTTATAAATTGTCTTGCTGAAATTCTTTGGGAGAAAACATAGGGGGCTTCCATATAAAATAAACAGTGAGACTCAAAAATTCTAGAATCAAACATTTATTGCCCTCTGCTGTCAGGGTCCACCTCCTGGGAATGTGTGTTACCTTTTGCTCTAATTCTTTTTGAAATGTCTCCAGAGAGTATGAAAATGTAGTGATTTCTCTGGTTTTGATTTTCAAAACCAATAAAGTTTTTCCTTTAGTCCAATTTTTAAAACACAAAATGTTTTCAAAGTATACCCATGTTGTAGTGAGTAAAAATTCTGAAAAATTCTCTATATTAAAAAATAAAAATAAAAAAGTTGAGTCTAGAAGGGGCAGAGAGCAAAGAACAGTGTGAAATATCTACAGATGACAAAGACAGTCATTAGCTTTATTATTTTGGGTGCTAGGCACGTGTTTTCAATGTAGTTATACTCTCCCACAGCTATAAGGGCATAAAGCTACATGTTAGAAAAAGTGCTTCTGACACTACATAAGTGTACAATAGCTACGTTTAGAACTGTTCAGTGTGGTCATATTTTAAAATTATGAAATGTAGGGAAGAAATGCAATTATGTGAATAAAAAGACTGGAAATGGTCTTCATTTCTATGCAAGGATGGCCACAAAAAAGGTGACATGGAGCCATTTTCATGTACAAATAAATGAGAAATAATCTCACAAGGAGGTGAGAGGCTGCACTTGCTCTTCCCCCCGGAGTGGTGTTGCCATGGTAATTATAGTGACTTCAGACACTTCTGAGATTTCTGGTTTCACACTCAACTGGGAACGGCGAATCGCCTCTATGGGTGACAGGATCCACTTTGGATCAATAAGCAGTGCACGTGTGTTCCGGGTCTAGCTCTGCCTTTCATTTGCTGTAGCTTCATAAATTGCTCTGTCCCTCACTCAACTGTGACACGGGTCCTGTCTGCCACTCCGGGTTGTTATGGATGGAGAGCCAAAACGCAGCTGCTCAGGAAGTAACTAGGCAGTGCATGTGGGTTAGGATGGCAAGATTTAGTCTCATCATTTGTTGTTTCCACAGTTGAATATAGTTCTGGCTTTATTATGAACTTTAAAAATCAGAAGAAGAAAATCACACTTTCGTAGTGTTGTTGGATTATTTTTGGTCATTTCCACTCATACTGAAAAATGCTGGGTATTTGAGTCCATTTCATTGTTCCTGAGCAAGGCTTTCCTTTGCTCTTGTGAGCTTTTTTTTTTTTTTTTTTTTTTGGAGACAGAGTCTTGCTCTGTCTCTGTTGCCCAGGCTGGAGTGCAGTGGCATGATCTTGGCTCACTGCAAGCTCTGCCTTCTGGGTTCACGCCATTCTCTGCAAGCTTTGCCTCCCGGGTTCATGCCATTCTCCTCCCTCAGCCTCCCGAGTAGCTGGGACTACAGGCACCCGCCACCATGCCTGGCTAATTTTTTTGTATTCTTAGTAGAGACGGGGTTTCACCATGTTAGCCGGGATGGTCTCGATCTCCTGACCTTGTGATCTGTCTGCTTCGGCCTCCCAAAGTGCTGGGATTACAGGCGTGAGCTACCGCACCCGGCCTGTTCTTGTGGTCTTTCTACAGGAAGTGACTTTTGCTGCAGGGAGCTTCTGTTGGGGGAAAAATGAATTTAATAGTTTTGAAATAGTGGGTTTTAAAAAGTGTATGCCCAAGTTTATTTGACTTACAGTTTTGGAGGCTGAGAAGTCCAAGGTCAAAGGGCCGCATCTGGTGCGGGCCTTCTAGCTGCAGCATTTCAGGGTGTAGGGCATCCTAGGCCCAGAGGGCAAAAGCATGGCCTAAAAGAGTTGTTTTTTTCCCAGATGAGAATAAATTGTTAATTCTTTCCCAAATCAGTAATTTTGGTAGGTTGACTAAAATGTTTTCTGATTGCATCAGAGAAAAGATATAAATATTGATATTTAGAGTGCCTTTTGACCTTGAGCCAGTATCATCTTTAAGGTCCAGTTATGTGAAATTCAAAGTGTCAGTGATAATGGCCTTCCTAATGTACATTCTTTACTGTCACTTAAACTTTCTGCACTCAAAACCATGTGGCACATCGCTGTTTAATATGACAGTCCAGCACGAGGCCTTACATTCACAACCTTCAGTAGCAACAGCGTCAAATTTCTATCATCAAAATTGTAGCATGTAAATATGTCACATGAAGATAGGTTTCAATACAGAATGTACGTGAGAGATAAGTAATGTCTACAAACATTAAAAATTCCTCTTGACTATGTTTCAAGTTTCTAGAAAATGAAGTATGATATTTGCAAAAATATAGCTTCAATGTGTTATGCATAGAACTTAATGTGTGTGAGGCTATGAACAAGACTGTCTCAGTCTCTGACCTGTTATTTGTTCACACTGAGTTCAGATTTTTAAAGGGAAGAATACCAGGAGGGAAAGAGCAATACTCTCTCTTCCCTAAAAGGCTTTGGGAAATGCTTTATCTCATGTGTTAGTGATTCTTTAACTTTTGTGTATACAGCCACATCTAGAAAGAGACTATTTCCTTTTCTAACAGGAGCCTATAGATTTCTAAAAGGAGCCTAAGTCAGGGCACAAGGAACTGCCTCTGGGCTGTGAGGCTGGAGCAGCCTTTGAACAAGGACTCCCAGAGAAATGGCGTTTGACCTTCCTCTGCCTCATTTCTGGCGTTCTTGTTTCTTAATGTTGGGTGCAGGCAGTTTCTGTCACAGCTGACTGAGTTTGGGGGTAAAATATTGTGGCACAATATTTAGTTTTGTTTAATTAAATAAATGACATGGTAAACAAATCTCATACATGTTGCTATCATTTACCTGGCACAAAAGACCATTAGCTGTGTGTGTGAGTTTGTGTGTGCGTACATGCATACGCATGTACACACACATATGTCTGAAAATAAGATTCAAAATATTTACAACTTATTTTTCTTCACTGCTAGGATATTCATTTTTACTGCTGACAGATTTTTAAAAATCATGTCAGTCCATGTGGAGAATCCCATGTGATATGGTCTGGCTGTGTCCCCACCCAAATCTCATCTTGAATTGAGCTCCCATAATCCCCTCGTGTTGTGAGAGGGACCCAGTGGGAGGTAATTGAATCATGGGGGCAGGTTTACCCATGCTGTTCTCGTGATAGTGAATAAGTGTAATGAGATCTGATAGTTTTATAAAGGGAAGTTCCCCTGCACACTTTCTCTTGCCTGCTGCCATGTAAGACATGCCTTTGCTCCTCCTTTGCCTTCTGCCATGATTGTGAGGCCTCCCCAGCCATGTGGAACTGAGTCAATTAAAACTCTTTCCTTTATAAATTACCCAATCTTGGATATTTCTTCATAGGAGTATGAAAATGGACTAATACATATGTGAGATGTTTCTAAGGGGACTAAGGAATTAAGCATATCAGAAAACATAGATGAGCAGATGTTACCCCTGCACCGTTAATGATGATGATGATTGTGTACTTCCCTGAGCAGATGGAAGCACTGGGCTTTATAGGGTAGTAAGAGCTGAGTTTCATGTCCAATGGACCTGAGTGGTGAGTGGCTTTTTCATCTTGGTTAAATTACTCATGGCCATGTCTCTGGCTTCATCACATTTAATTGAGGACAATAATAGAATTTATAGGATTACTTAGACGTTGAAATGCCTCATTGCAATGAAGCACTTAGCACAGCACCTGGCACATAGGTGGGCTTCTGTTCTTACAGCATTCTTCCCCCTTATCTGCAGCTCCACTTTCTGCAGTTTGAGTTTTCCTTGATCAACCATGGTCTGAAAATACATGAGTGCAGTACAGTAAGATGTTTAGAGAGAGAGAGACCAAATTCACATAACTCAGAATACAGTATATTGTTTTAATTGTTCTATTTTATTATTATTTATTGTTGTTAATATCTTACTATGTCTAATTTTATAAATTAAACTTTGTCACAGGTGTGGATGTATAGAAAAAAACAAAGCATATAAAGGATTCAGTACTATCCGAAGTTTCAGGCATCCATTGGGGGTCTTGGAAGCTGTGTATAAGGCAGGGCTACTGTATTTGTTATTTTGTTGCAGTCATTGTAATTAGTTGTAGTTGTGGTAGTAGCAGTAATAACAGTAGTGATCATTGTTAGATTTATAGTTCTTTGCTCAAAATCTCAGTTCAACACCTGAAATTAAAAATCCTCCCTATTGGCCAAGAACTGATTTTTTAGGATGTTCCATATATTTTGAAGATTATATGTAACAAAAAGTGGCTATAATTTTAGTACAATGTAACTTTTTACAATTTGCTATTTTATTTGGTGCATAGAAATTAAGGTCATGCAATCACTTTGGAAAATGACCAATCTTTTTAAAAGCTGGCTCTGTGCCTACCCTATGGCAAAGCCATTCCACTCCCAGCTATGTCCCCAAAAGAAAAAAATATTTACCTATGTCCACATGTACTACAGGTTCCCAGGTACACACAGGCATATACAGTGTTCTTGGCAGCACTTTTCATAATAGCTCCAATCAAAAAACTATGCAAATTCCCCCAAACAGCTAAATGGAGTTATGTTCATTCAATATAATACAGCTAAGAAATGAGAATGAACAGCCAACAACTACACACAACCATGTGGATAAATCTTGAAAAGGTAATGTTGAAGGAAGAGAGACAGACACAAGAGAATATATTCTGTGTGGTTCTATTTACATAAACTTCCAAAACAGGCAAAACGAACCTATCCTATTAGAAATCAAGATACTGGGTGGCTTTGAAAGAAGAGTAATGACTATAAAGAAGCATGGGGGGTGGGGCTCAGGGGTCCTGGTAATTTTTTTTCTCTACCTAAATGTGGGTTGCATGGGTGGGATCAGTTGGTGATGATTCAGCTGGGCTATTCAGTTAAATGTACTCTTCTCTAGGTATATTACACTTTACTGACAAGTTTTTTAAAAAGACAGAAAAAAATGTCAGTGGAGAAAATGTTGTTATTTTATCTTTTAAAATACTGAATAAAATGTTAACAATTTAAATGAAAATGCATGATTGGATTTTAGATTAAATATATCATTTTGATAATATTCTAAAATAATTACAAATTTGTGCTCAAATGAAAAGCAGACCTCTCAGTGTTAATAAACACTGTGTGTAATTCAGTTCCTCAAGTAGTATGGGTTTTATCACTTTCTTCCAAAACATAAAAAAGTGAAACTTACTAAGTTTCATATGCTGTTTTAATGGGCAGGTTCTCTGGAAAGGATGTAAGTACATATGGTGGAAATAATTATAGATGACTCACGGCCATCAGTGGAAATTTACACGTCCTTTGGAACTTCAATACTGAGCATCTGAGAAATTGCAAATTTCTACTATAGAAAAGACGATCAGAAAAAATACCGTTTTCTTTTTTTTGCCATTATCATTTTTTAACTATCTCCTTTTTTGTGTGTTAAGCATGGTATCTCCTTTTTCCTATTTCTTTTCCTTTTCTTCTGGTTCTTATCTTTTGTTAGATCAATTTCTGATTTTCTATGGCAGATAGAGAGCTGGTTTTATTTTTCTAGACTATTCAGTGAAAAAGAATTCATATTCCTCTTTATTTGTGAATATTGTATGAATGAGGTTTGAACAGGTATATTTTGAAAATTTCTTTTTAAATTAAAACACATTTTATACTTTTCCACATTGAGATCCTAAATGCCTGTGGGCTGACTGCAGTCTTCCTTAAATACTATTTAGGAAGTTATATAACTTTTGTTTTCTTTGAGCTCTTCCCAAATATTCCAAATTTCATGCAATAAAATATACTTATTTGTACTTTAAATTTTAAAATGAACATTATTTTTATCAGGTCTTGGCTTGCAAAATTATGGTCACAGGACTAAGGTGAGAAAGTAAACGTTTTTCCTACTCTCTCTGAATTTTCCCTCAAGTTTTTTTTGGCAGTTCATGGTTAATTGGATTGTTCACGTAGAGAACTTTCCACTCATTCTTCTTATTGAGGCCTTAGCAGGGAACACTGTATAACATAGCCTACAATGACTGATTTTTGAGCCCTTCCCATCAAAGCTTTCCCTATGACCTGCCCTGCCCACCACCTAACCAATGGTTAGTCAGCAAAGAATAAATTCTTTCCCCCAAAACTCCCCAGTTATAGTCTTCTGAAATTCCTAGAGTCCCTTCTGTCCTCACCTTAAGCACATTCGAAAGCTCATTGTTTAGTTAAGACCACAAACATTTTAGCTGATAAGGTTGTGAGCAAACTCTATTTTAAACATACCTCTTATTAAATGTTTGTGATTGTCACTATCATCATCAATATTATTATGATAAATTGATCACTATGTGCCAGACACTTACCTGTGCATTTTGCATGCAATATATGCATATTAATGTTATCTAAAAATTAAAGCCTTATAACAACTCAATGGGTTATATTAGCCTCTAAACTGAGGCTCAGGAAAGTTAAGAAATGGTCCAAGTCGTATCCATGATGAATGGCTGAGCTGTAGCTCAAACTCAGAGTTGACTGCCCTTTCTCATGCCATATTATCTCCCTAAAATTATCGATATACCTTCACTAAGGGCCTTCAAATGGGGACCCTCCTATAGAAATACAAGGACGTTTCTGGCATAGCCCCTTTCTCTATGAGGTGGTTAGTACAGCATGGGAGTGAAGCACCCAAATGGGGACCCTCCTATAGAAATACAAGGACATTTCTGGTATAGTCCCTTTCTCTATGAGGTGGTTAGTACAGCATGGGAGTGAAGCACCCACCCAAAGATGAAACACTTGTGGAGGAAAGAAGCCTAATAGGATTGGATAACCTGACAGATAGTTCGAATGTCCTACAAAATCAAAAATGGAATGAAATACCAACTTACACACAAAAGAAACTTGAAACTACTCAAATGGAATAGGCTGATGTGTTTTTTTTTAAATTTTATTTATTAATTTATTTATTTAAGACAGAGTCTTACTCTGTTGCCCAGGCTGGAGTGCGACGGCACGATCTAGGCTCACTGCAACCTCCGCCTCCCAGGTTCAAGCGATTCTCCTGCCTCAGCCTCCTGAGTAGCTGGGATTACAGGCGCATGCCACCAAGCCCGGCTAATTTTTATATTTTTAGTAGAGATGGGGTCTCACCATGTTGGTCAGGCTGGTCTTGAACTCCTGACCTTGTGATCTGCCTGCCTCGGCCTCCCAAAGTGCAGCCACTGCGCCCGGCCAGGCTGACCATTTTGTATGGGAAAGTCAGCACTTTCGTGAATGAACACATTGATCAAGCCACTGAGGAAAATGTGATTCAAATCATAAGGAGGCCAGGACGAAGGTCACACAAAGAGCCCCTGACTCTAATCTACAATCATGACGAAGGGGGCCCCAGTCCAGTTCTAGGAGAAGCCTCCCTGCCACATCCTGTGACAAGTTTCACACCAGCAGGGATCTTGCTGAGCCAGTTAGGTGGGCTGAGTCCAGCCCTGGAAGATGGGCCATCCTCGTGTCCTTCTGAAGGGCACTGGCCTGAATGCCAAGACCTAAATAAAAGCAGATTTTGAAGGTTTAAACGTGGAATAAACCCAAGAGTGACCCAGAGGAGCCAGCTGAAGTGCTAATGCACCTTCACAATCAAAGATATGAAAGCTTGTCATTAATTGCGCACGACAGTCTGAAGGAGGAGGGTGGAGCATCTTGCTGGCTGGAGAAACTTCTGGAAACCTTAAGTGCTCTCCAACTTCAGCATCCAGGGTAGGTGAGGCAACAGCAAGCCTACTGACTGTTTGGGGTGATGGGCTTTTTTTTTTCCTGGAGAGATGCCAATCTTCAGAAGCCCTGAGAGCCTGCAGAGCTCCATGGAAGGTCTCTGGCCTAGGTGCCCAGGTGTGGGTCTGCCTGCACTGGGTCTCTGAATGAGCAGGGCTCCCTCGCAGTTCTCGTCGTGGGAACCCTCAGAGGACACGGCAAGAACAACGTTCCCCTCAGTCTCTAATGGACACGGACTGCCCTTCCCAGGCAGAACGCACGCACTCGCCTGCAGAAACCTTGAGTTCACCATTATTTATTATGTCTGGGGGATGCTGCCATCCCCTGTGATGCCCCTGATTAATGATAATGTGCAAACCTGAGGTAATTCGCTGACATGTTAGATCTTTGTGAGGCACCAGAATGGAAGCGGCATTTTTCAAACTCTGCTCTGCGGGAGCCCCAGGGGCTGTTCCAGCTCAGGGGGGAAGGGGAGGGCGGCAGCTCCCGCGGCTGCTGCTCCATTTTTAGCTATTTTATGTGTTTATTTGTTTACAATGCTTGTTAGGATTCTGGATGGACAAAGAAAAGTATTGCCTACAATAAAAGAAAGAAAGAAAAAACAATTAAATGGAATATTATATGCTGCAAAGGAACATGCCAAGGGGTGCTTGGACCATTTTCTGGAATTTTCCAGTACTGAATATGCCTTTGTATTTTTGGTTGTGTTTTTTTTTAATATTTATTATATATATTTTTGAAGACGGAGTCTCACTCTGTCACCCAGGCTAGAGTGCAGTGGCGCAATCTCTGCTCACTACAACCTCCACCTCCTAGGTTCAAGTGATTCTCCTGCCTCAGCCTCCCAAGTAGCTGGGATTACAGGCGCCTGCCACCACACCCAGCTAATTGTTGTATTTTTAGTAGAGAACTGGTTTCACCATGTTGGCCAGGCTGGTCTTGAACTCCTGACCTCAGGTGATCCGCCCGCCTCAGCCTCCCAAAGTGCTAGGAATACAGGCATGAGCCACTACACCTGGCCCTTGCCTTTGTTTTGATGATCGTCTGCATTCATCTGCTAGGGCTGCCACAAAAACATGCCACTGAGCAGGGGTTTGAACAGCAGTCATTTGTTTTCTCATAGTTTTGGAGGCTCTAAGTCCAAGACGAAGCTATCAGCAGGGTGGTTCCTTCCAACACTGTAGATGGCACCTCCTCTCTGTGTCCTAACGTGGTTGTCCTCCGTGTGTGTCTGTGTTCTCACTTCCACCTCTTCCAATGACACCAGTCATACTGGATTAGGGCTCATCTTGATGACCTCACTTTACCTTAATCACCCCTTTGTAGGCCCTATGTCCAAATACCTTATCCCGAGGTACTGGGGGTTGGGACTTCAACATGAATTTTGGAGGGACATCATGCAGCCCATAACAAAATCTGACAATAGTTGTATATGCACATTCTGTAACACATAGAACCTGTATGATCTACCTGATAGGTGACCGCTGCCCAATTTCAGAGCCCTCAGTTTTGGTCATATTTGCGCTGGTGTTAACACCAGGCTATTATCTAAGGGGTCGGCATCCGCAGTCTATCATGTTGGAAAGCATGGCAGCCATTAGGTTGGCCGTTATTGTCAGATGGCTTCTCAGCCCCCTCTTGATTTAGTTACTGCCTATGTCACTGGTGGATTCCCAATAAGCTTTGTAATTAATTCCAGTACTTGCCTTTGTCTATTCAAATTGTACATGCAGTATAACCTTAACCACCTCTAGGTCCAAAATGAATGTGCCACTCTTGGTGCCACTCTTTGTGCCTGCAGCACATTCTGCTTTTCTAATTCATTCTGCTCTCCTTTAGTTTTTAAAAAGTTAAGAGCCGTTACCTAGCCGTAGCTGGCAATTCTTGCTTGCAGGTAAACTGAGTTGCCATGGCTGCTTTTTAGGAAGGTCTCTGCCTGGTTGGTGAACAGCCCCTTTATTCCCCCAGAACAACATGGATACTTCTCCTCAAATAAATCCGTGCCCCGTATGGACCGTCCGCTTTGCCAGGGAAATGGGTTTGTAGCCCACTGAGAGGGCTGACCCATATGACCTTAGCAACAAAAATATGAAGTGCACAGCTGTGTTTGCACCATCAGCATGGCCAAACACCCTTTCTCTTCTCGTTTCTCTCCACACAGTGATGTGCATTAACTGGCACCTGGTTTCTGCATCACACATGCATATTGGGAGAATTGTTATTCTAGAAGGGGATGGAATGTGACACACCTCAGATAATTGCTCTGAGAAATGAGTATGAGGTCTTTTTAAAAAAACTTTACATTTAAACACACAAACCATTTAAAAAAACCACTCCTCCAAAACAGACACACAAGTGAAACAAACCAAATCGACTGTCCATCCATTTAATTTTGAACTATCTGCAATATCACCTTAAAGCTCTAAGCTCCTAATGATTTTGGTCATTACAAATCCAAAATAACATTATTTCAAAATGAAGTTTTACTATGATTTTTCCCATTTGGGAAACAGTATATCCAATACAACAAGATGCATGTGTACCTCCATTAAAATTTTAACAATTAGGAAAATTAGAATTTATATATGATAGATTAAAATATGATTATTTCCTAAAAGTTTTCTTTAGTTTTACGGGTTTGCTTCTGGATTGCTTTCAATAGTTATTAGTGAATTTAAAATTTGATTCAGTATGAAGGTAATGTACACCCATCTTCTTCAGAACACGTATTTTAAAATGTGACATCATCTGTTCTGAGTCTAAGCACTGAAGAATGAAGTGTCCACATTCACCGTATTTATGCACAGACACATTCTCATTCCATTGACATTTAAGTGATGTAATGAACTAAAACTGCCACAAAGAGAGGAGGGTTGGGAGGCTGAGCTCTGGACAGCTCTGTCACTGGGCAAGTAACATGGTGTTTAGAAAATCTCTGCTCCTTTCTGTGCCATTGGTCTATATCTCTGTTTTGGACAAAAAACCAAACACCGCATGTTCTCACTCATAGGTGGGAATTGAACAATGAGAACACTTGCACACAGGAAGGGGAACATCACACACCGGGGCCTGTTGTGGGATGGGGAGAACGGGGAGGAATAGCATTAGGAGATATACCTAATGTAAATGACGAGTTAACGGGTGCAGCACACCAACATGGCACATGTATACATATGTAACAAACCTGCACATTGTGCACATGTACCCTAGAACTTAAAGTATAATAAAATAAAAATAAAAATTAAGTAAAGTAAAATAAAATCTCTGCTCCTGTTTGCTGTCCCCACTGATAAAATGGTAGAGCAGATCACTCCTAAGTCAGAGCTTGTGTAATAGCTGCGTAGGAGTGTGAAACCAGGCTACTTGGGAGCCAGTGCTGGCTCCAGAACTTTCCAGCTGCGTGTCCTTGGGCAGGTGGTTTACACTCTGTTGCCTCAGTTTCTCCAGCAATAAAATAAGAAAAAAATCATAGCCAGCTGATCAGGTTGTTGTGGAGGATTACATTATTAAATCTTGGCCAAGCCCTCGGAGCAGACTGTAACCCTAGTACTGTCTCATGCATAATCAGTTACTGATGTTGTTTTAAAAGCACTGGGTTAAAATTGCTGCACCTAAGATCTAGAACCTGCCCTACCACTGCCTAGCTGTGGTGGCTGGAGGCATAGAGCCCCATAGTTGTGGAAGGAAGGAGTGGCCCCAAAGGCCTCTACCTAGTGAAGTTCACTTCCCCCTGCTTCCTTCCCTAATGTGGTTTCTTAGAGTTGACATAAGCATATTTCTCTGACACACAAACAGATGACTTTTTCTGCAGGATTGGTCAGAACTTTAGAAGTAAAGTGCTCGAGTTGATGAGATAATTTGCAGCTAACTGCTTGAAGTTCATGTTGGTTATGCTAAACCTTAGAGAAAGAAAGCTACCGTTTCTGAATCTTTACCACTTATGTTTTTATCCGCTCTGACACATTAAAGGGAGAAAAATACCAGTAAAGAAATGGCTAGAGAAAATGGAATATGACAGCTAGGGTCTAGGGAGGAAAACCGTGAAAATGTCTGTAATGAAAAGAAAATTGCTAGACAAAAATAATTTGTAATTTGTCTTCTACATGTGGCATTCTAAGACTACTGAATCAATATTGCAAGTTCTTTGTTAGCCATAATAATAGTAATTTTTAATAAATGCCCAGGTGAGGTGGCTCACACTTGTAATCCCATCACTTTGGGAGATCCAGGCAGGAGGATCCCTTTAGTCCAGGAGTTCAAGACCAGCCTAGGCACCATGGGGAAACCCTCTCTCTACAAAAAATACAAAGATTAGCCATACATGGTGGTGCAAACCTGTAGTTCCAGCTTCTTGGGAGGCCGAGGTGGGAGGATCTCTTGAGCTGGGGAGGTCAAGGCTGCAGTGAGCCAACAATCATGCCACTTTGCACTTCAGCCTGGGTGACAGAGAAGACTTTGTCTCAAAAACCTAATAAACAAAACACTTCAGGTGCATGACTAAGAGTAAGCTTCGTGTTGGGCTCAAAATGCTGTTCAGTTGAAGGCGCTGGAGAAGAGAGGGCAGAAAGCTCTTGGACTCTTGGACAGCCTCGCAGAAGCAAACCTTGCTCCAATGAGGGAGGCACCAAATGGCACAGGTGGCTTTGGCAGGACGTTATTGTAAGCCTGCCACGTTTCCGTGGCATACAGTTTAGGATCCAAGGTTCTTTAATATTGTGTTTCCATAGCTTTTTCCTGCAAGGCAGACACGTAACATTAATGAGCTCACAGCACTCTTGGTTTTAGTCGTAGTTACTGAATCCTCATTGGCTGAAAAGCTTTGTGTATTAAGTTACACAATTTTTTTCTTTTGCATCCAAACTTGAAATAAAACATACCAATTTGATTATTTTATATTAATTATAACATGACTTACGTCATTGTGGTTTATTGAGGTTAAAAATTGATGTGCTATACTCAGAAGACAGAAATGATTATTAAGATAAAAGAGGCCCCTGTAATTCTATGCCCCAGAGATTAACATTTTAAACATGTTGGAATAGATTTCTCCTTTCATTTTGCAGTGAAAATATATGGGATTACATTATTCTAAAACCGTTTTTTCCACTGAACCTATTACAGCACTTTTCCATGGACTACATATGCCTCATTGTTAAATTTTTTAGTCAAACACTACATGCAAATAATTTTAATGTCATATGGTTATAAAGAAATTATAACAACAAAAAACTGAGAATGCATTCCCCGTTTTCCTCCCACGAAGAAATCACTCTCATTATTTTTTAACTAAATTTCTGGTATTTAATTTTTTTCAATCTTATTCATGTATTTATTGACTTCATATTGTGATGGTTCAGAAATTTAGGTCACTTTGCCCATATTCCCATCCTCCCAGTATGTCTTACATTTTAGTTAAATCTATTATAATCATGTAAATATTAAGTGTCAAGCCAAGTTGTGTGCTATGATTACATTTTTCCTTTTTGCTTTAAACATCTAACATTTCCACACTTCAAAGCACAAAATGATTTTCCACATGTTCAACTTTGTCAGGGAATTTATTCTATTTTGTTTTTCCAGCAGAGACAGCTCCAGGAGCCCCTCTACCAGCCTCCAATCTGAAGGGGCTGCCACCTTAAGTATTCTTCTCATGTCTCCCCTATGCTGGATTTCCTATTTCCTAAATCCTGTGCTTTCCCATGTCTTTTTTTCTCCCTCCTTTCAGCGGGACATACCATCCATCATTTCTGAGAAAGGATGCATGAGAAGAACATTTTTAAGAACTTATGTTTGCAAAAAGAATATAAGTTTGGAAGTAATTTTTATCTTAGAAATTTTAAAAATTGCAAAGGGAATGATTTCTCCATTGTCTTTTAGCTGCCAGGGTAGGGGTTGTTATAGTTCTGATTGCTGACCTTCGGGTGTAAGTTCACTTTCTTCCTTTTGGGTGGGCAGTGTTGAGGCCATTCTCTTTATTCCTGAAGTCCCGTAACTTTATGAAGGTGTGTGTGGCTGTAGTGTGCTGGGCACTGAGTGGCATCTTGGAATGCAAACACTCCTGCCCCTCAATGTAGGGTGATTTCCCTGTATTTCTTTATGGATGATACCATTCCTACTCTTTCCACCTTTCTCTCCCGCTGGAATTTCTACTGTTCAAACAGACCTCCTGGATGGAGGTAATTTTTTTTTAAATCTTTATTATTTTGTTGTACAAATCTCCTCCTTTTTGACAGTTCAGAAATTTTCGACTTTTGGTTCTTTTCTTTATACTAACTTTCAGAAAATATCTACACTTCCATCTTAAATACCCAATAATCTGTTTCAGTTTAGCCAGAGAATAAACCCCTTAGGCTATCGAGATGCTTCTGGAAGCAGCATAATGTGCAGCTGAATGTGCAGGCGGGGCACGAGGACGCAGAATTTCAGGAAACCCCTCCTTGTTCAGCCCTTGCCCCACTCCAAACCCCAAAACCTTTGAGGCCTCCCCCTCCCCAATCCTGTGTGCAATATTTGCTGTTTTTCCATTTACTCCCTGACTTCAGATTGTTGAGCTTGAGTTCATGGACATTTCATAGTAACCCTGAAATATTATAAGTCTCTGAAATAGTGTATTTCTCTTCCTTTCTCTTCTCGCTCCTTCTCTTCCTCCTCTCTCTGTCTCTGCTATGAAATTAACTAGTTTCTTATTACAAACCAAAAAGTATCTCAGACAGGTCTCAATCGATTGAGGAGGTGCACCCAGGACACAGGTCTGTGCCTTCCTCCAAAGATGATTTTGAGGGTTTGGGGATTTAAAGGAGAAAGGGCAGATATTGGGGAAAGAGAAAGAGAATTTTAAATTTCAGTGAATCTTTATTTTTACATAAGATAAAATAAACATAGGGCAGAGGAAGCAAATCAGATGTGCATTTGTCTCAGATGGGCAGAGGAATGACTGAGTTCTGTCCTTCGTCCCGCACCTGTGAAGATAAGCTATCAATTTATCTCGTCAGGGTGAAATGCAACAGAACTATTTTAGGGTAAAGATCTTGGGGCCCGCAAGGAATTTCCTAGTGGGCAAATTGTGAGGGAGCTATGTAGTTTTTTTTTTTTTTTTTTTTTGGTTAATCTTTGTAGCTATCTTATTTTGGAATAAAATGGGAGGCAAGCTTGCCTGATATAGTTCCCAGCTTGACTTTTCCCTTGGGCTTAGTGATTTTGGGGTCCCACGATTTATTTTCCCCTCACATAATTGATGACATTTTAGTCCTTATTCCTTTACTTTTACTATTTTTAAAATTGCTTATAAAATCCCAATATTTGTGTATTTTTTAATCAATTCTTAGATAAGTTACTGCTTACTATAAATTCGTGTACATTTTACAATATTCCATATTTTAACAAATTACCCTCAAAGACATATCAAATTATTAAGTTTCATTTCTGGAAAGTATGTATAAAAGTGTTGATTCTTCTCTTACACTTCCTGACATTAAGCGTTATTTTTTAATCAATTTTATATACAAGTCAATTTTATGCCATCATTCATACTTCTAAATACGTACTTTTAGAAAGCTACATATTCCTGAAAACAGAACACTTATTCTTTCCACACAAAATAGTCATTTGAAAACTTCTGCAGATATAGACAAGTAAGTCATAAAACATTTAAATGTGTTTACAGAGATCAAGACTAATTATTTTGTAGATTAAATCTTTGTGTGCGTGTGTGTGTTTAAGAAGATTGTGGGGATTAAATCATTGTGTATATGCACAGTGTTTAAGAAGTTAATGTGCTGGAATTAAGAGGCAAAGGCAAATAAAATTGTTTCTAAAAATTTGTGACCTATCTTTGTGTCAGAAACAGCTTATATTTAAATTTGTTGTTTCTATAAGTCCACTTAATTGTCTTGATTGTTTAAATACAGGTAGAGTAATAATGATCAAAATCTGGGAGCCCTCTGGTGGCCAAAATATCTTTAGCTACAGACATACATCTTTGGCTTATGTTCTAGGTTCTCAAGATCTAGTTATTTTAAACTTCTTGAAAGTATAGGCATTTAAAAATAATCAACAGATGAACAAAGTGAAATAAACAAGAAAAAAATGTAATTGCATTAGGAAAACAATGTAAATTTGAAAAGTGATAGCCAGGTTCAACTCAGTTCTTGTAAGTGTTTTTGGAAACTGGCAAAAATCAAATGCATGTATTTGTCCGGGAGAAGCCACAGTATCATTGGAACCTTGTCCACTCTCAGCAATGCAAAAGCCCTTTGAGGTGGTCCCATAGAAATTTATAACATGTTACCCTCAATGAAGTGAAGGCATTTAAATTGGAGGAAAAAAGAAAAGAGGTGTGTTAGCTGTCTTCAGAGGTCAGAAGGGATTCTTTGTCATAGGATCACATTCCTTACCTGGACAGTGCAGGGAGAAACGGAAGCTGAAAAAACAAAACAAAACAAACAAACAGTTTCAAGTCCATTTAAGAAATAAATTATTATTAAAAACTATTTTTAAAAATGGACTGCCTTGATAAGCAGTGAGTTGCCCATCACTGTGAGTACTCAAGCAGGGAGATGGAAACACACTTGTTAGAATTGCCATGGAGGGGACTCAGGCTCTCAAGCTTGGGTCTAAAGTACATGGTCTCTTCCAGTGCTGTAACCCTGGGGCTACGTGGATCAACAATCAACCATCAGGTAGGAACTGTTGATGGCCTCAGAGCCTGTCTCTTTAAATCAGAGTTTCAGGAATGAAAAGTGATATTGGCATGAGAGGTCTTGGGTCTAGACAGGAGTGAATGTCATTTGTCTCAAGTTCTAGGAGGGGTAGATGTATCCAGCTGCATGCCGCCTTACTTCTGAAGGGATAAAAGCAGAGATGGCTTCTGATCTCCAGCAACTCCTTAGTTGTTCATAAGCAATGAATTTAGAATCACAGATGGGACCACACATATGTCTGTGGGATGCTGGCGTTTCTTTCTGAACAACAGTTCCATTTTTATTGCACTCCTTGTGACCACATCTGCATGTTTCACAGTCTTTTTGAGATTTTTGCAGGCATGATTCCGTCACCCAAAACAGCAAGGATATGCTACTCTTATTTCTATGCCTTCAAAAACAAACAGATCTGCAGATTTGACAACCTTGCTGAAAATATTTTTTTTTTTTTTACCAAACGTGTTTATAATCAAACAAGTTGTCAGAACAAGGGGTCATTGTTGCTTTCTCAAGTATTTCAAGAGTAAGCTGTAATGGCATTTGGAGAGAGAATATAATTTTATTCTCTAGAACAGGGGTGTCCAGTCTTTTGGCTTCCCTGGGGAACATTGGAAGAAGAATTGTCTTGGGCCACTCATAAAATACCCTAATGATAGCTGATGAACTAAAATAAATTGCAAAAATGTCTCATGTTTTAAGAAAGTTTACACATTAGTGTTGGGCCACATTCAAAGCCGTCCTGGGCCGCGGGTGGCCTGCACGCCACGGGTGGGACATGCGTGCTCTAAAGGAAATGAGATGAATGGCTCGTCTCATTATTTTTAATGGAACAGAGCTTCTGTAGTTGATCTGGATCCATTTGAACAGGTGATTTAACCCACTTGGGTGCCTCAGTTTACTCATCATTGAAGGTACCTTTTCACATGCAGTTCTATATCAAATGTTCAAACAGAGCTTTTGGGAGACGTTTAAGCTCAGACCTGAAAGAAGAGAAAGAGCCGCTCATGATAACTGGAATAACAGCATTGTGGGGAGAGAGAAAAGCAGGTGCAAAGGAGGCCAAGAAGCATTTCATGTGTTTCGTGCAGCAAAAGGACAACACATCCCAAGCCAAGTAGTAGAAGGATAGATTGATGAGAAAGGATGTTGAAGAGACACACTGATGCCAGATCTTGCAAGATCTTATATGTACATGAAGGGAATTGGGATCTTATTTTAGTGCAAAGACGAGCCACTTTTAAGCATTTTAAACAGACGAAAACAATTTTATTTACATGGTTCAAAGATGGTTCTGGGCCAGATGCGGTGGCTCACACCTGTAATCCCAGCACTTCGGGAGGCCAAGGCAGGCGGATCATGAGATAAAGAGATCGATACCATCCTAGCCAACGTGGTGAAACCTCATCTCTACTAAAAATACAAAAATTAGCTGGGCATGGTGATGTGTGCCTGTAGTCCCAGCTACTCGGGAGGCTGAGGACAGAGAATTGCATGGATCTGGGAGGCAGAGGTTGCAGTGAGCTGAGATTGCACCACCGTGCTCCAGCCTGGCAACAGAGCGAGACTCTGCTTCAAAAAAAAAAAAAAAAGATGGTTCTGGGGAGAATGAATTAGTGACGGAACAGGAACAGATGCAGAGAATCCAGGTGCACTTGGGACTGAACAGGGTGGCTCTTTCAAAGATGGAGGAAAGTGGGTAGAAGTCGGATATATTTTAAAAGTGGGCTGGACAGGAGTACCCTGATGTTGCAAGTGAGGAAAACTGAAGAGTCGCAATGACTCCTGTTTTGTTTTTGCTTGGACAGTGCTTGTAGATAGAATGAAAAGCAATGCCTTTGTGTGTATGGGGGTTCTAAAGTGAGGGAGTCATGAACTGAGGCTCAGCTTTGGGAACCTTACATTTAAGTGACTGTGAACAGTTTCTACCTTCCTCTGAGCCTGTTCTCTATTTTTCCCCATTGTACTCATCACTTTCTAACATGCTACCTAGTTTATTTATCTTGTTTATTGTTTCTTGTCAATCTCCCTGCTCCACCTGCTCCCTGCTCCTGCATTGAAAGGAAGGTCCATGTGGGCAGCGATTTACTGATTTACTTTTATTGATGTTCCCAGAACAGTCCCGGAGCCTCCAAGGCATTCAGAGAACCTCTGTAGAGGTGTGAAGGAAGCAGTCAGGCTGCAGAGTTCAAAAGAGAGACTTGGGAGATAGAAATGTGGGAGAAATTCATATGTGGATGGTAAAATCATGAAAATGGATATGGTTACCTCAGGAAAGAGTGTGCAGATGGTTCAGGAAACAGCTGGAGAATCTCTAGTTGATGTTTGGAGGGGAAGGATGAGATGGCAAAGCAGAACCAGCAGTGGGCATTTTATCAGGTGAGAGGTTAGAGGGGGATTGTCCTAGAAGCCAAGAAAAGAGAGGAATTTCAGAAAAGGAGGTGCTCACCTTCAGAGGTGCTTTCTAGTGAAGTATGAGGTAAGGCCAACAGTTGCGGGATGGGTGTCTAGGGATGAGAAGACAAATGATGGAGCTCAGGGAACAAGAAGGATGCCAAAGAGGCTGGAAGCAGATGTTAATGATGGTGCAGCCTTCTGGAACCAGCCTCTAAGGAGCAGGGGTCTGGACCTGCACATGGATGGGTGGTGCCAATCTGTGATTTGAAAGCCAGCATGGGGACCAAGGATGGACCTTCTCTTTATCTGGTCCTGATGAAGGTCAGGAAGAGCAGCAGCCTATGTTGCAAAGGATGGGGTGAGATTGGGTCTACAGAGGATGCCCAAGTTTCAGTTAAGACCTGGGGAAAGTGGGGATGATCAGAGCCTATGCTGCTGATATTGGAGGGGAATTTCAGAGAACACACTGGAAGAACTGATGGAAGAAGGGGTGATTGGACAAATGAGCAGACATTCAGTGCAATACCGGGTGGTCTCGGTATGAGCAGTGAGGCTTGCATTTCTGATGCTGATTGAGATGGACAGAAGAATATCAGGGCACTGGGCATAGTTGTTATTGGATGTTCAGCTATGTCCAGCTCACCACATGTGATTTAAACTAGGCATTTGGGGTTTATTTTTAAAGTGCATTTTAGAAATTCCCAGATAACTCCTTGCTTGCAAGCCATTATCTAGTAGGTGTGCAATAATAATGAGCTTCTCAATGCCATCATTTTAGTATCCTAAGGAAGTATATTACAATGCTCGTTATTAGGCTGAATAATATGAAATTGCTGTTTTATATGTCAAATGTGGACCAATCAAGCAATTTCAGATGGTTCAACCTAGCACTCCTTATAGCAGAAAGTATGTCAAAGAGGAAATAGTAGCAACAATTGCAGTGATACAATAAATCAACTCTTGAAAATACTTTGAACTATATGGAATAAAAATAAGATTAACATTTCTATTTTGCAAAGTTGAATATCAGTTGACTTTTCAGAAATGACTGGGGGTTGGGAAATGACTCTTCTCCTGGCCCCCACATTTACCATGTGGCACCTAACTCTGATCAGGTGCTACAAGTGGGAATTCTGCTCTAGCTTTCACCTTAGGGTTGCATTAGAATCATCTAGGGATTAAGATTCCTGACACTCAGGCTGTAAACCAATCAATTAGATCACCTAGGGATGGAACCCAGGTATCTATACATTTTAATTGGCCCTGAGTGGTTTCAATGTATCAAGATTGAGAACTATTGCTCTAAACCAGTGCTTTCAAACTGTCATGCATATGGTTCACTTGGGGATCTTTATTGCCACCTCCCCTGCCTAAGCATTCTAATTCCATGGGTCTTGGGTGCAACAAAGATGTGAAAATTTTTTAAAGATCTCCACGTGATTCCAATGTGCAGTAACATTTTGGATGCCTTGCTCAGTCTAAACCAAGAGCTACATTAAGCCAGCGGTTCTCAGGCATGCATCACATCAGGCTTACTTGGAGGACTTGTCAAACCAGAGTGTTAGCCATGGCTCTAAGATTTTTATTCCAGCTGCCAGAAGATGGGTCCAAGAATTTGATTTGCTAACCCATTCTCAGGTGACACTTCTGCTACTGGTCTTGGTGCCACATCATGAGAGCCTCTGTACCAGGCTCTAATAGAAGTACTCTTGGGTTCCTGTTTGTGGGTGGTATGGCTGGGATCTCCTATATTCCCTGCATGAAATTTTCTTATCTGAACTTGCAGGAAGGAGTTCCAAGAGGAAAGACGTGGGTTAAAAATCCCATCTGCTCCCTACTGCCTCCTTATCTTCCTGTGGTCATTTTTCTATTCTTTTCTGCCATATTCATTTCCTGCTGCTGCTGCTTTAACAAATTAGCACACACCTAAGTGGCTTAAGACAAAGTTATTGTCATACTATTGTGGATGTCAGAAGTCCAGAGCGTTAAATGCTCTCAGTGGTCTAAAATTAAGGTGTTGGCAGAGCTAGGTCCCTTTCTGGGGGCTCTAGAGCAGTTCTGCTTGAGTTTCCCAGCTTTTTGAGACAACTTGCAGCTCTTGACTCACAATCCATTAGTCCCTTCTCTCTGCAAAGCCAGCAATGGCCATTCAAGTCTTTTTCACATTGCATCGCCGGCTCTGATGCTTGCTTCCACTTTTAAGAACTCATGATTACCTTGGACCCACGTGGATAATCCAGGCTAATCTCCCTACATTAAAGTCAGCTGAGGAGCAACCTTAACTCCCCTTTGCCATGAAACCTTACACATTCACAGGTTCTGCGGATTGGGATGCAAACGTATTTGTGGGGGGATTGGGACATTATTCTACCTGTCACACCTGCCTCCCCCCAGACCCCAGAGCTGGAATGCTTGAGTGTGAAACCAGCTCTGCCTCTTAGAGCTGGGTTACCTGGAGCAGGTCATTTAACTTCTCTAAACTGCTGGAACCCAGGGAAATAAAGTATCTACCTCACAGTATTTGTGGCAGGGCTACCTACTGTGGGTAATGAATCATATGTATGTGTGCCAGGTCCTGGAAAAGGGATTTTAGAAAATGTTATTATTATTGTTATAATGTTCATCTTTTGCAATTGTATTAAGAGTTTCTGCCTATAGTCACACAGTTCCTCATTTCATAGGCAAACACCAGTTTCTCGGGTATCCTTTCAGAGCTACTCTATGCATGTATAAGCATATGCAAATATATAATTTATTTGCAGAAGTGGTAAAGTATTATGCCTATGTGAATAATACTTCATTCATGTTTTTTCTTTCTTTTAAACAGCTGCATTGTTCCTATTTTATGAATATACTTCATTTACTTAGCTAGCCTTTATTGATGAATATTTTGTGTTCAATTCTTTTGCAACTATGAACAGGGCTGTAACTGATAGTCGTATAAATCAATAAGCTTGCATATGCACCGTATATCTGTTGTATAAATTCCTAGAAGTGAGTCTTCTGAATCAAAGGTTATATACACTTTAAACGTGTGATAGATGTTGCCAAATTTGTCTCTGTATATATTTTATCCATTTTCATTTCCATCAGTACTATGAGAATGTGTATTTCCATATCTCTTTGGCTGATTCATGTCACCCAGCATTATTATTTCTGCCGTTCTGACAGTTGAGAATAACATTTCATGTTTTTTATTTGCATCTCTCTTTTGAAGAAAACCAGCATCTTTTCACACATTTCTTAGCAATCATATTTCCTTTTCAATTAACTACCCATTTATGTCCCTCATCCATCATGTTTTTGGGTGGTTGATTTTTTTCTTTAATGGATAATTAATAGGATTTACTCACAGTTTAAGGAAAGATCTATTTTCTGTGGTCTAAATTACAAAACATTTTCCTACTTTGTTTACTTTTTGCTTTTGCTGTAAATAATTATTTTTTATGTGGTTAAGTTTCTAAGTTGTTTATGGAATCATAATTTTGTATCATACTCAGATCTTTGCTATCTTAGGCTACAGAAAACAAAATTTCCCATATTTTTGTCTAATAATAACATTATTTTATGTTTGTCATTTGTATCTCTGGAACTTGTTTTTATTTTTTATTTTTATTTTTTTCTTCCAACTTTTTAAAACATTTAATGATATTCTATTTTAAGTTCTGGGGTACCTGTGCAGGATGTGCAGGTTTGTTACATAGGTAAATATGTGCCATGGTGGTTTGCTGCACCTATCAACCCATTACCTAGGTATTAAGCCCAGCATGCATTAGCTATTTATCCTGATGCTCTCCTTTCCCCAATGCCACCAACAGTCCCCAGTGTGTGTTGTTCCCCTCCTTGTGTCCATGTGTTCTCATTGTTCAGCTCCCACTTATAAGTGAGAAAATGCGGTGTTTGGTTTTCTGCTCCTGTGTTAGTTTGCTGAGGATAATGGCTTCCAGTTCCATCTGTGTCCCAGCAAAGGACATGATCTCGTGGAACTTGTTTTTATTTGATGAATTCGATAGGAATGCAATTTTAGTTTTTTCCACAAGTTCCAGTTGCCTCAACACCATTTATCCATACTTGATTCTGTTTTTCCTACCGATTGCTACCTTATTTATTCTTTTTTTTTGGGTGGGGGGCAGGTTTTCTTTAAAATCTGGTTGTTTTTGCATGTTTACTTTAAAACTGGATTACTTTGCTGGAGAAAAAAATATCTTTCATATTTTGCTAGAGTTGTTTGAAATATATAGATTAATTCATGCATTGCTTTCTTTAGGATATTGTGTTCCCATCTTAAGTAGAGTCTGCATTCCGCTTACTCAATGGTCATTTTGTGTAGTAAAGAAGCATTTCAACGTGCTGTTCATATGGTTTGTACACATTTTTTATACTTATGCTTTTTGTTTCTATTGTGCATGGATCTTGGATCTGAAAGCATGCTTCTTTGTACATACTTAGGCAACCTATTTACTTTTTACTTTTTACTCAGTCACTTCACTGAATTATCTTTACCATGTCTAAGAGTTTTTCCATTGGTTCTCATGAACTTTTTATTTATACAGTTATATTTTGTGCAAACAATGGTAATTTCCTTTCTTTTTTAATATGCACAGTTTTAATTTCCTTCTCTTATCGAATGGTATGTTCTAGCATTTAATTTCATCACTATCTGATTCATTCCCTGTTCTCATTTCTAATTTTGTTTTGTTCTTCTTTTCTTGCTTAGTTTAATCAACAATCTAATTTTTATTTCAAAACTTTTGATTTATTTAATAGCTCTAACATCATTCTGTTTTCGAATGCATTGATTCTTGTGTTTATGATTTTATTAACTTGTTCCTTTTGCTTTTTTGTTCGTATTTTATTGATTTTTTTTCTAGTTCTTTTAGTTGGATGCTTATGTCATTTATTTTCATCCTTTCTTGTTATTTATATACGTATGTGTACAAGACTTAAAATGTCTCCTGAGCATTGCTTTTAACATTTTACCTAGGTTCTACTCTCATATATAACTTTTGTATATGTTCTCCAGTCACCGTTTTGGTTTCCTTTGTGATTCAAGAGTGAATTCTTGGTCATAAATCCTGATAAGTTCTAACTTTGTGGGGAAATATTTAATGAACTTCTCTTTGTGACCTAACATGTCTTCAAGATTGGCAATTTTTTCCTTGATTGCCGGGAAGGAATATGAATTATCTGTCCTTAGGTTACAGAATTAGGTAAAGTACAAATAGATCTAACTATGTTGTTTAAATCTTCATTATTTTTGCTTTTGATGTTTAATCAACAATCTAATTTTTTATCTTAAAACTTTACATTTACTTAATAGGTCTAACATGATTCTGTTTTCAAATGCATTCATTCTTGTATTTACGTTTTTATTAACTTGTTCCTTTTGCTTTCCTCATGCATATTTTATTGGCTTTTTTCTAGTTCTTTCAGTTGGATGCTTATGTCATTTATTTTCATCCTTTCTTATTATTTACATATGTATGTGTACGAGACTTAAAATGTCTCCTGAGCATTGCTTTTAACATATTACCTAGGTTCTACTTCATATACAACTTTTGTAAATGTTCTTCGATCTCTGGTTTTGTTTCCTTTGTAATTCAAGAGTGAATTCTTGGTCATAAATCCTGATAAGTTATAACTTTGTGGGGAAATATTTAATGAACTTCTCTTTGTGACCTAGCATGTCTTCAAGATTGGCATTTTTTTCCTCAGTTGCTGGGAAGGAAGGTCAATTATCTGTCCTTAGGTTATAGAATTAGGTAAAGTACAAATAGATATAACTATGTTGTTTAAATCTTCATTATTTTTCTTTCGTTGTATACTGGGTCAGTCATGGACTGAGAGATGTGAATTGAAGTCCCTCACTATTGACATACTTCTGCCTATTTAAAAAATTCTTGTAGGTTTCACTTTATTAAATTTGATGTAATATTTTCATCGTGTGCACATATTCATACCTCTTACATGTTTATTGCTGAGTATATGCTTACTCATCATAAAGGGCCATGCTTTGTCACAGGAATGCTTTCTACCCTGTTTTAACTGTGTCTGCTACTCAGAACATGGCCATGGCTTTCCTTTCCAATTTGCCTGATTTGCCTTTCCACATTATTAATATTTGATATTTGTAAATACTTTAAAACTTACCACAACAATGTATAGTTAAGTTTGTGGTCCAAAGGGAGGCATATGTAGCACATTCACATTGTAAATATCATATTTTACGTTATTCTTTCTCTTTATATCTTTATTTTGCATTTTCCCCTCTTTTTCTGTGTAAGTGTGTGCAATATTTCTTTTCATAATATGAAAATGTGGGATGTTTTTAGTTTTTATAATGGCTAACTCTGTAATTACAAATTGATATAATACAGGTTTTTTTGTTTGTTTGTTTGTTTGTTTGTTTTATTTTATTATTTTTTTTGAGACAGGGTCTTTCTCTGTCCCCCAGGCTGGGGTGCCGTGGTGCAACTGTGGCTCACTACAGCCTCAAACTCCCGGGCTCAAGCAATCCTCCCGCTTCAGCCTCCTGAGTAGCTGGGACCACAGGCATGTGCCACCACACCTGACTAACTTTGTATATTTTGGTAGAGATGGAGTTTCACCATACTGCCCAGGCTGGTCTCGAACTCCTAGGCTCAAGCAATCCTCCCGCCTTGGCTTTCCGAAGTGCTGAGGTTACAGGTGTGAGCTACCATGCGCAGCCAGCCTTCTTCTTTTTCCAAATACAGTGTCAACTTCCCACTATGGCCAGAGATGAAATTATAAAGTATTCTAAGTATGCCACTCCCCAAATTAACTTGGTTATATTTTTATTGGTTTTTCCAGTATTTATATCTTGATTAATTGATTTATCACCATTAAAGAATCTATTTGATTCCTGTATAGGCATCCCTCTATCCCTTATCTCTCATCTTCTTTGTCCTATGGACTTTTGTTACAGTAATTCTAAATTGCCATGATTTACAATTGATTTCTGTACAGTAATTTCCACAGATATTTTACTCCTAATACTATAGTTAAATAGAATAAATGTGGAGAGACAATACTTTGCTATGGTTTTGTGATTTTTCATCATTTTATTATGAAAAGTCATAAATATATAGAAATATGAAAATAATTGTATTGTGAGCACCCATTAACCATTACCTGGATTGTACAATCAATATATGCAATATTTGCTTTACCTATTAGCTATCCATTTAGTGACACTCATCATTCCATTGTATTCACAATAATTTTTGTATTGTGTATTCACAATAATTTTTGTATTATTGTGAAGTGTATTGCACTTCACAATAATTTTCAGATAGCAATCGACTTTACCTTTGAACACGTTAGCATACATATCGTTAGCTAGAGTTCAATATTAGTGGTCTTTCCTCATTTTCTCATTAGCTAATTTTTTTTCTGATTGTCAGGAAGATTTTACAGCCCCTGCAATTCCTGCCTATTTTCCCATTTGAAAATGTGACCTGTAATCATATAATTAAATGTTATTCTGCCTGGGTATAACATTTTGTTTTCTTGAGAATTTCATAGATGTTATCCCAATAGTTTCATAAGTAGACTGTTACTGTGAGAAAATCTGAGATTGGTGTAATTTTAATTTACTTTTTTTTAAGTGAACTCTAAAAAATTTTTTTTCTAATTATAATTTATCTACAAAAGTCCAATTAATGAAATACTAATTTAGATACAGTTCTTGCTAAATTTTTAATATCAACTATTCTTAGGGCATTGTGATCATTTTCATCTGCATATTCAAGCCTTCTTGCAATGATACTTCTCTATTATTTAAAAAAATTATATTTAATACTTTTTTCTTTTTCTTTTCTTTTATTATTATTATACTTTAAGTTTTAGGGTACATGTGCACAATGTGCAGGTTTGTTACATATGTATACATGTGCCATGTTGGTGTGCTGCACCCATTAACTCGTCATTTAGCATTAGGTATATTAATACTTTTTAGCTCATTTATGTGCTGCTCTTCCCCGAGCACACCAGTTATGCAGATTTTGAATCTCCTTGTCTTCTTCCCTGTCTCTCTCCCTTGAATATTTTTTCCTATCTATCTATTTATCATCTATCTATCATCTATCAATCCATCAATCTATTTATCTATCATCCATGTCGTTTTTTTGTTTTGTTTTGTTTGTTTTTTGAGAGAGAGCCTCACTTTGTTGCCCAAGCTGGAATGCAGTGGGGTGATTTCAGCTCACTGCAACCTCCACCTCCTGGATTCAACCGATACTCCTGCCTCAGCCTCCCCAGTAGCTGGGATCACAGGTGCATGCCACCATGCCCAGCTAATGTTTGTATATTTACAGTAGAGACGGGGTTTCGCTATGTTGGCCAGGCTGGTCTTGAACTCCTGACCTCAAGTGATTCACCAGCCTCATCCTCCCAAAGTGCTGGGATTACAGGTGTGAGCCACCGTGCCTGGCTTGGTTTATGTTTCTAATGCAATTCTTCCTCTTCTGGACAGTGTCTAGTTTCTTTGGGTTGATTACAATATGGCAATCAGTTTTTTTATTTTTTAATTCCCTTTTTTTCTTTCAAGTATTCTGATAGCTTATATTCCATCTTTCTCTCGTCTGAACTTCATCTTTTACCTCTGCTCTGAGCTATTTGATTGCTTCATTCAGTTCTTTTCATTCATGACCATACATTTCGTTCAAATGATTCGTCGGCTCAATAACTACTTTTTCTGGTGGAGCATTATGTTCCACTTGTTTTTCCAGTGCTTCTCTGAACCTGGTCTTACATTACATTGATATCAATCCCATGCTGGGAGCTTCTTGATCTATGTCTCGCTTTTTGGTGGAAGTCTTCCTAGATCAGGTACTTGCAAAAGGTTTATTTGGAGCGGGGAAAGCATAACTAGATTAGTAGGAGTCATCCCCCATTTACAGGGAAGTACCTTCTGATATCAGGTTACATTTCTGTGTGAGTTGTTCCACTTCACTTCTCTCCAGCCTACCAAGGTCAGCAGGTTGTGCGCAGTTTGTGATTCTGAGGACCTCTGCCTCACCCATTCTTGTGGACGTCGAGATAGAATTTATCTGGCCCTGCCTCTCCTACTATTTTATGGTGCCACACACTCGAAAGGAGAGGTACCCATCACCAAAGTCATCACCAAAGTCTGTGATTAAGCCATTGGTAGTGTTTCCTCTCTGTATATTTACCCTACTTTGAGAAGAATGCTTCTGCCTGAGATACTGCAGAGACCTTCTTGTGGCGACTTCTACATTTTCATTTGATTTCCCTTGATTTGGGAAGGTGATTTGCATGTACGGAAATCACTTAGTTTTTTTCAAAGATGAATTGTATAAACTCTGCAGCTATTAAACACTTCCCCGTGTGAACTCTTTGCCCATCCTTCCTCTTCATTCTAGAAGGATTCCTTTCTGTTCTATATAGTGCCTTTACATTGTTATATTGCTTTTTCTGCTTTAGTCATACATTTTTTAAAGTGGGAAAATTGGGTAATTGAAAATTGAGTGTTTCAGAGTGGTCTTCACAGAAAACTTTCACAGATATGGTTTCATTTCATCCTTTTGACAATCCTTCAATTTGGGCATTGTAATCTTCATTTCACAGAAGAACAAAAGAAACTCAGAGCACATGTTATGGCTAAAGCCACATACGAACACGTGACTAGGCTGAGTTTCTGACACCTTCATTGTTTCATTATACTGCCTTTCATAACTGGGAATGAAACCTGAACAGTCCCCTGAACATGGTGAGAGTTTAGACATTTGATATAGATTAGAAAAAAGAGAAAATTGCCCTGATTCATCATGAGCAGACTTTGCCATGGTGACAGACTGTCTAATTGGCTTATATATATCTTTCTGTTTCAGTCCGTAAGTTTGCTCATTAGGATGTGTTTTTCTTTATCCTACCTAGGCAGGTATTTGGGGTGTACTCGTGAACCTTGTTCCCATGTTAGGGCCCTGTTGGAGAGTAGAATAGTTTCATGTGCCAGGCATAGGCCCAGCCAAGGACATATCCCCTGCTTCGATGTACTTACACACAATGGATGCCTTTGCTGATTCAAGGGCCAAGGCTCTTACTTCCTTTTAGTCTTGTTAGTGACTAATTAGTTCATCTCCTGAGCTTTTCAGTTAGAATACTTTTACAGGAGGGCAGGGACTGTTTGTACTTTATATAACCTCAGTGCTTCAAGCATTTCAATATAAATGTTTCTTAATTGAATATTATCTGTTCTTAAAAGAAGAGTTGTAGCACTTTGATGTTCTACTTTTGTTTATCTCTTGTCAACAGCAGCAAATATTTATTGGCATTAGTACTAAGCAATGCTCAGATGGATGGTGGAATTGTCATCCTAAGGTGTTGGATCAGGACATGGGCAGTGGTCCCCAAGGATAGCTGGAAAATCGTTGAGGGTAATTGAAGCTTTCTGGGATGTTTTGCAAATGCAAAGGAAAACATGCATTTTGTTGTTGCAGGCGTTTTGTGCATTGAGGACATAAAGTCATTTGCCTGTCATAGTGCAGAATCTGTCAGGATTGCAGCTGTCAGCTTGTCAGTGTGACCTTTCCTAGTGTGACATACCATGGAATTTTATGTCATGCTAGGACAATATGAC
Source organism: Homo sapiens (assembly GCF_000001405.40). Classification (NCBI taxonomy): domain Eukaryota; kingdom Metazoa; phylum Chordata; class Mammalia; order Primates; family Hominidae; genus Homo; species Homo sapiens. The sequence continues at coordinate 40,453,317 of NC_000021.9, read as the reverse complement.
AGGACTGTGCATTGCTTTTTCAGTAGATCTCTCCATCCTTATCTTCTCAAGAAAGAATACATTCTGAAAGAGATAAGGGAGTACGCTTATCACATATTAATCCTATAAAGTCAGAAAGCAGATAAAAAGGTTATACATTAAGCTTGATTTTATGCAGTAATTCACATAAGTGTGTGATATTACTTATGTGTGTTTGCATGTATGTGTAGATATACACATATATCTCACACACACACACACACACACACACACACACACACACACACACACACACACAAAGTCTTTAAAATTCAGGAACCAGAGAGGCAGCCATGTTTCTGTCTAGCAGCAGGCAAAGAAAGACTGGAAATATCCAAACTCATTTTAAATGCCATTCTGAACTTAATATGGAATTACCTAATTATGTCTAATTCAACAACTGAAGCATAAACTACTGATTTCAGCCCAAGCCAGAATTTTACAGATTTCCCTATTTTCCTGTATAGAATATAACACTTGGCACAAATCCTAGATCACATCTTCTTTGCAGCTATTACCAAGGCTCTATGAGCCTTGGTAGAGAATGGTTTGCATCATGCACTAAAAAAAAAGCAACTAAATCCTAACATTTTGAGTTTCTTTTTTTCTATTGGTAGGGAACTCTCACAGACGTTGATATCACATAACCTAGTAGCATCCTGCTTGCTAGAGCATGAGTGCTGTATTGTATGCTTTATGAAATAGAATATAGAAGTTTGCTTGATACTATTTGGCAGGTAATATATTTTATACTTTGTATAATGCTAATAAGTTATTAGAGTAACTGTTGAAACTAAACTTTCAATTGAAAAATGTTTACGAGCAAAACAAGAATTGCATACGATATCACTCTTTAACTTCTTAACTTCACTAAATATCATAAACCTCTTTATGTCCCGATGCACACGTTTCCTGAACCAGCTTGTAAAAGGTGTAATTGTTCAGAAATCAGATTTGAATACTCAGTTTTTTATTTCACAAGTTAGATTGATGCATTTACAGAGTATTTTCCAGGATACCTCCAGGATACCTGTGTGTGTGTGTGTGTGTGTGTGTGTGTGTAATATAGTGTATACATAGTATGTATATACTATTATAGATATTATATAGTGCTCTGTATCTATATATAGTACATATAGTCTGTGTATCTATACAGTGTTCTGTATTTTTCATTGGATGTATTTTTCTCCACATTTAATCATCTTGATTTTGTGTATAATGGGTAGGAAAAATTATTTTTGAAATTCTCCTGGTTGAGGGGCCTATCGGTACTTCATAGTCCCAGGGAGGTAATCAATTGGAATCTTTCAGCAGTAGCGCTGACTGTTGAGGGACCCTTCTGTCATAACCAGTATCCACAGTGAACTGGGAATACCTCCTTAAACCCATTTATGCTGGAGGTTGCAATTTTTTTGAATTTTTGCGTCAGTGAAAAATCAGACTTTGATGATGACCTTGAGCAGTAGGATATAAATAACTCCCACATGTTTAGTGTTCCAATAATGGAACACTTGGGTATTGCATTGATGTTAATAATCCAAATAGTTTCTGGCGTGCACACATCCTCCAGCCACCCTGAAATTCGAACCCTAGTGATTTGATTTATTTGTACACTTCTAGGCAGTCCACCATGTGTTCTGGAAACAGTTGCGGCTAAATTACTATCATTGTTGTGCTTTGGCACATGGATGTTTGATGCAACTGAGAAAGCAATTTTAATGGAATTTATTCTGACAGCTATATATACCTGGTGCAGACTTAATATGACATGATACGAGCCCCACACACCTAATTGTGTAGGATTCTTATGAATACATCACATGGATACAAAACCAAGAAACACTCAATTATCTCATGTGTTTGATGTGGAAATTTCTTTACTACCCCAAGTCTGTTACCTTTCATAACCATTAAAGCAGCCCCACTAATCTTTTTATAAAGATTTATGTTTCATTCAAAAAGAAGGGATGTCTAAGCCAGTAGAAAGTGCCATGGGGAGCTGGGCCATAATAGTAAGTGCTCTCCTTTCATTAAAATACCTCCTGTTCTTTTTTATAAATGCTGGAGACTGGCCTTCTCTTACATTGTGGCCCTTTGGAGTCTGAACAACTTAACCTCAGCCATCAACAGGCGATCCAAATTCCAGTGGGGCAGAGCCTCTGGATGATGGGGCTGAATGCCCAGAGATGACTTGCAAAGCATCTCGGAAATCTTTGGCCTTCCTGCCCCCAACTCCACTGACGTGCATGCTTATTTGTAGGCCTGCCCTTGAAGGACAAGGCATACAGATTTTCATCCATCCTGGAATGGTCCAGCCAACTGGCCAGAATGCCCACCAACAGAACATATCTTGAGCAGGAGGGTAGGTGACCTGCAGAGATTCACACGTTTATAAAATAAGATTGAAATCCTAAGATGCAAAAAAGAAACAAATAGTACTGTTCAATCGTTACTGGAAATTTTACATATGCGTTCCTTAGTAAGAAGCTTCCTATACATTTCTTTTCAGAGATATAGTAATGTCTGTCATTAAAAAGCAGCAACAACAACAAAACTTACCTTTGATAAAGTCTCAGTATATTCAATAACAATCATATGTAACATAGACCCTGTGAGCCCTGATGGCTTAGATAAACTTCATGCCTATGAAAGATAAAAATCTCAAACATTTGCAAGCAAATTTTATTTCTGAATTAAAACCTATGTTGTAGGCTGTGAATATGGGCAATTCATCAAATGTTCTGAAGTCATTGTCCATGAATCCTAAATCAAGGGCTTTATCCCTGTAAATATTTTTTTCCAAGGCCATCAAGCTTGTGTTTCTGGGTAAATAACATTTTTTTTCATTACTGAAAGCAAAGTGCTGAGTTTCATGTAGTTGTGAATGAATTAATAAGATTGTGGCCAGAATTTGAAGGCAAACAGTGGTACATCAAAAACATGTGGGATCTATTTTCAAGTGTCAGCCAGGACTAGAACATTTTAAAAATCTGTACTTGACGGCCTCTTCAGCAAACTAAAAGTGATTTGTTCTGCTGGTTTTCCCAGTATCAAAGCAAGCAGGAATCTTCAGATGTATTATTTTATGTTACGTTGTTTGGTTTGGTTTATAAAGGTGCTATTGTGCCATGGTGTGAAGAAAATTTTTTTTTAAATGAGTACCAGAGTAACTTGTTAACCATTTCCTGTATAGCTTTCTAAGACTTTTCACTGCATATTGACATTTATGTTGATGTGTATGGAGAAATGTCACTGAACATTTCATTGAGTTTTTCTCCTGTGTATCCCAAGGCAGAACTTTCTTAAAAGAAACACAAAAAATCAAATGTAACATATTAAATTTTATTTCTGCCTTTGAAGAAATATTTTAATTGGCTTATGTATTGTGGATTTGGCCATCAACTATTATAATGTATAGAATTAATTAAAAATAGGCTTAAATCAAATATATTAATGTAATTGTGAAAATTCCTATGAGGTACAGTATGCCTAATCTTTATTAAGAAATTTAAGACTGTTTCATCAAAGAAACTGAAGAAGTTTAGAAGTAAAAAAGATATATAGATGTTAGCTCTTCTGATTACCTTGGCTCAATGTTTTCATGCTTTTATCTTCAACAAAAACTGCCACCAGAAGAACACAGGCATAAGTCATATGATGCAGCAGAACTAGCTTTTAAAATAACTGCTTGATTACTGTTTAGAATATAGCATTAGACAATACATCATAGATGACTCCTGAAATCACTTTTTTGGTCACACATCAACATCTGTGGGAGGTACAAGTTTATTTTGATTTCTAAAAAGTGAATGTAATAACTGGATGTTTTCTTTTCATCTTTCATTTCTGAGAATACAAGGATACGGATTAGTGTCATGCATTTACAATTTCACATTGTGGGATGTACAGCTCTTACAGGTGAGGAATATACTTGAGAAATAGTCATGTATATAAAAATATTGTGATAGAATGATGCTCCCCCACCAAAGATGCCTAACATCCTAATTCCCAAAACTTGTGTTATGTTACATTCCATGGGAAAAGGGAAGTAAGGGTGCAGCTGCAGTTAAATGACCTTGAGGTAGAGAGTTTATCCTCTATTATCCAGGTGGGCCCAAACTAATCATATGCATCCTTAAAGGCAGAAGACCTTTTTCAGACATAGTCAGAGGGAGGCGTGACTACAGAAGATGGCCGGAGAGAGTCTATGGTGCTGAACTTGAAGATGGGGAAAAGGGCCACAAGCCAAGAAATTTCGGCAGCCTCTGAAAGCTGGAAAAGGAATAATAATAATAATTTTCTCTTCAGAGGCTTCTGTATAAATGCAGTCCTGCCCACCTTCATTTAGTTCAGTGAGACTCAAGTTCAACTCCTAACCACCAAAAGTATAAGATATAAATAAATGTGTGTTGTTTTAAACCACTAAGTTTGTGGCAGTTTGTTATAGCAGCAACAAGAAAACAAAATAAATATGAACAAGATTTAGCCTTTTCACCCTCCATCCAGAGACAAAACTCTCATAATTATATTTTTGAATTGATTTTGTGAGAATATACTCCTAAAAACAAAAGAAATAGATTTTGTTTGCAGCATACATTAAAGTACTCCAGAGAAATCAGAGAGCCAGTAGAAGATTAGATAAAGTAGATAGATAAATAGATTGATTTATTATGATAAATATTATTGATTTATTATTGATTTATTATAGATAAATAGATTGATTATTATTTATTAGGAAGGTCAAGCAGTCCCATGATCATTTCCCTACAAGCTGAACCAGGAAAGCTGGTGGTGCGAGTCAGCCTGAGTCTCAAGATTTGAGAACCAGGGGACCCAGTGGTATAATTCCCAGTCCAAGTTCCAGTGCTTGAGAACTGGGGGGCCACTAGTGTAAGTCCTAGAGTCCAAATGTCAGAGAACCAGGAGCTGCGATGTCCATTGCAGGAGGAGACAGATGTTCTAGCTCAAGAAGAGAGAATGAACTCACCCTTCCTCTATGTTTTTGTTCTATTTGGGCCTTCATTGGATTGGATGGTGTGTGCCTACGTTGCTGAGGGCCATCTTGTTTACTCAGCCTACTGATTTAAATGCTGATTTCTTCCAAAAACATCCTCGCTTCACAGACACATCCAGAATTAATGTTTCACCAGCTATCTGGGCATCCCTTAGCCAGTCAAGTTGACACACACAAAATCATCACACACAATAAACAGACTATAAAACACAGTTGATTTCCATGTTGACCTATTGAGGGAAGTTAGCCTTTATATTGAATTTTATTCAACATGTACAAGAAATGCTTAATTTTATTAGGCTAATATTATAACAACTGTAGAAATAAATATCTAATTGATCAAAAATGCCCTTTAGCAAAGTAAATTGGTCTTGAAGAATAGAGCAATCACATAAAAATAGAACTTAAAAATTCCAAGTAGGTTTGAAGTTGATCGATATAAGCATCACGCTCCTCCTCGTTATGCTGCTATATTTTGTGGAACACCTACCACAGATAAGCTGTCTGATTTAGGAGAAAAAAATTAATGTCATTCACCACCAACAGAAATGTGCTTATTCTTTCAAAATGATTATTGTTGCTGAAAGTACAAATGTATTGTATTCAGAGTTGCCATAACCACAGTAAGGAGTTATGTTGCATGATGAATGTGTTTTTTTATTAGAAAAACCAAGAAAAGGAAAGTTTGCCATAGCATTTCGCTGTGTAAATTAGAATCAGTCTTTCCATTGGGTCTGGAATGTCTGAAATACTTTTTTTCCTAATTTGAGTAATGTTTTGTGATCATAGGTTACTCTTACACACTATAGCCTTGGATAGAGGTGGTTCATTGTTGTCAAACCATAAAGCACACGAACAGTAATGGTACCCAGAAAAGAATAAATATTTCAGAGGTTTGTGAAAAATACAATAAGTACATTTTAGTTTGTTCGTGGTCTTTACTTATCCTAGACCTTTTACAACCAAAATGAGTCATGGGACTTTTAGAAGGAAATTGTCAGTGTTAGGTTTTGTGATGGTAATGCAGCAATCTCCACCTTCCATGATGCAGCCCATGCTTGGGTATGAGACTGTAAGGAGTCGAGTTTCATTCACCTACATGCCCAACCTTAGCCTGATTAGTAAATCCTCCACCCTGAGGAAGAAATGTTCATTGGTGGGTTCCCTACAGTGACCCCTGTGCTGCTAGGGAAGGGATCTCATCTGCATCCCACACCATCTCTGCCAGAGCATGACAGAATAAGCACAGCACAGGAACACAAGGAGGTGACCAAGCGGGAGGGCACCTTGGCAGACAGGCTACCTCATCAGTAGAGGAGACATTGGGGTCTTCAGCATCACTCAATCCTGTCTCTATTTGTGAGTGTACCTTGTCATCTTTGCTGCATTTGGGGCTGGCCCTGTCATTAGTATTTCCCCAACAGGACTTTGAAAGTCATAGGGATTTATATTTTCATTCTTAAGTACTATTTCCAATAAAAGACTTCTAGATTTCTTAGGGAACATGTGGTTGCTCTACTTTAAGTTGAAAACAGATATGTTTATTTAATGGTAGTCAGTAGAATTATTTCCTTTGAGGGGAGAGCCATAAACCTGAGTTGCTGAGAGTGATTCTTAAATGAAATTCACTTTGAGACTTGGCCAGAGCCTGTTCTGGCCATTGTAAACCACACACTAAACACATTTGCTTTTTTGCTGGTTTTAATATTGACAGAAACACTGACTGGGAATCGCTCTTCCTTAATGCAGTTGATCCTTCACTTTTTTGCAGAGGGGGCCCTGGGTGCTTAACGGAAGATAAACTGGAAGGATACTGAGTGGGGTCTGACCAGCAAAGCACTGTATGCAGTAAAGATTTCCACTGACAACATCCAAGATGGGCTGACATTCCTTGTGCCCAGTGGCCATAGGACTGGACCTTTCCATTGGATTACATGACATGGCCTTAGCAGAGTCCACAGTTGCCTTGATTGATGACAAAGTCAAGCAGACAAGCCAGCAGGTCATTTCAGCATGCAATGACCATCAGTATCCATTATTTGGACTATGTAATAATCTTTCAGGAACACTGTAAACAGTGGTATTAGACCTAAATAACTAATATGGTTTTAATAAACCTAAATTACTATTTAAACTTAAATAGCTTTTAGGTATTCTTGACATCACTTCTTGATGTCTGTCAGGTAATAAGTTCCCACGTAAGAATATAAAGCTAACGTATCCTCTTAAACCTTTGTTTCCAAAACCAAGAGCATTTTACTGAAACTCTAATATACAGGCAAGTTGATCCCTCATTAAGCCATGTGTTCATCTTAACAGATATGCACATATTTTTCTAATACAGAAACCAGTTTCCTAGACTAATTGAAGATCCTTGCATTGAAGGTAATAGAGTCTTATTATTTGCATTCAGTGTGAACTGTAAAATCCAAGTCATTAGAGAAAACAAGAATATGCTTCTCTTTCAAAAAACATCAAGCATGTTTTATATAGTCTTAGTTGCAAATTTCCATAGTTACTATGTAGTGAAGGTTTTCTGAAGGAGATGAGGATTCTTCAGAGCAAGGGTTCAGTTAACTGGCATCTGGAAAGAACCAACCTTAATTCTAAATCCTAACTGGATTTTCAGAGGCCATTCTGAGGGTAGTAGATTTTATCTATGACCTTGTGTGCCAGATGTTTCATTTTATGTTCTCCCTTATTTACCTGAAAGTGATGATGGGCAAGGGAGGCATATGAAATTAGCTGACTAATGATAACACGTGATCAACTACAGGCTTCATAGCTGAGATACCCCAAAGGGTTTAATTAGGATTTCCTGCCAATCTGAGATTTGGAAAGTGATTTGGGATAACAAAACAAACACATGGAAACAGAATGTGATTTAAAGAGACGACTCACTTAAGTCACCAGTCTCCAACAGAACAGAACCAATGTTGCATTATCCCAGAGTGAACTGAGTCACCTAACAGCCCAGAGGCCAGCACGCAATTAAAGCTTCTGAGGTGCTGTGATCTGAATGCTGGTGTCACCCCAGAATTCATATGTTGGAACCTAATACCCAATGTGATAATATTAAGAGGTAGAGCCTTTTGGGAAGTGATTAAGACATGAGAACTCCACTCTCATGAATGGGATTAGTGCTCTCATAACAGATGTTGAAGGGGCTGCCTTGTCTCTTCCACCATGTGAGGATACAGAGAGAAAGTACCATCCTGGAAGCACAGAATATGCCCTCACCAGACACAGAATCTCCTGGGGCCTTATTCTTAGATTCCCCAGGCTCCAGAACCATATTTTGTTATAGCAGCCCAAATGGACTAAACAGAAAACATAGACAATGTAGGGCAAGCGTAGGTCAGTGATAGAGAAGCTTTGAAGCAGGAAGGAAGAATGTGGGATGGACAGTGAGTGAGGCACATGTAGGGAATGGAGGTAGACAGCATCATCCAGGGTACATTACAAATCCCACCATCATATGTAATCTGCCATTGTTCAGTGTGAACAGTCACTGAGCATCAGAAGACCTTGATCCTATTCCCTTCTCTACTTTGGAGCAAGTTACAACATCATGGGCCTCAGTGTTCTCATCTACCAGATAAGAGGATCAGGCCCAGATAATTGTATCAGTTCTTATTCATTTTGTAAATATTTTATGCTATGCCCCAGTTTTTAAAAATAGAATATGTATTAGTCAGCCATTACTGCAATAATGCAGTGTAACAAATAGCCCCTGAATCTAAAAGCATCTCTCTCTCTTGCTCATGGGTGCTCCAGGTGGCTGGATATTGGCTATGCTCAACCGGTTTAGGTTGGACTTGCCTCCAGGTACCAGATTGGTCCAGATTGGCCCTACTTGATTCTCCTCTCCCTTATGCTAGTAAGTATGTGGGGTTTTCTCTTCTCAGGCAGATCACAGCAGTGTCAGAGACAAGCCAAGCCACACAAAAACATTTAAAACCTCTGTTCCAGACATTCTGCTATCACGACCTTGGCTGCCAGTTACATGTCGGACTCCAAAGTCAACAGCCCTGACAAGTGTACACCTCATACCCTCAGGGAATGGCAAACAGTGGGAAAAATGATAGATTGGCCACAATCTAGTATCCTGAGTCTCCAGTTTTAGTTATGAATCCTCTCTTGAACATGTTTTAGAATATTTCAAAGTTGAGAAAGGAAAGTAGCCCCTATTAATGCTGGAAAGACAAGGAGGGAAAGAAAAGTAAAAGCAGCAGTTTTTCCTCTATTATTGCACCTTATTCCTTGTCTTAAGGAAATCCCCATTTTGCACAAGATTAGGTTATTTAAGTGTTTTTCTTCACTTACTTTCTTCTAAATTATTGGTGAAAATACTAAGTTCACAGCCAGAAAGCTTGACATAAATGCCTGTTTGTCAACTTTGTAAAGTGGATAGGAATACAAATATGATGTAGAGCTGCTGTAAATCTGGTAGAATAATTAAAACTTTAAAATATTTCATTTCATGTCACTTGTAATCACTACAACTGTAGGAATGATGTAAAGCAGAGAAAATAGGACCCATCTTACATCTGCTAGTGTTTGTTATGAGGACATTACCTTTCCTTTACTTTTTTAAAAATTTCACCAGTGAAATTATATTGACCAAATGAAAACTCATAGATTACTAATGTGAATTTACTATTTAAAAATAATGTTGAACTCATATTGGACATAACAAGTGATGATATAAACCTAGATTTTATTTTGATCATGAAATAACCTAGTCATGAGGAGTAGGACTGTGGAAACCTGGCTTCCCCAGCAGGAACACAGACGGGAACACAGACCACCATGAATGGAATCCTGTAATCCATCTGCAGCTTCAACTCTTTAACTCACAATGAAGCCATATGAACATTCTCTTTAATTAAGAGATGTTACAGTTTTGTGAGATACAAAATACTACCGAAATAAAGAAGGATTTCAACGTCTTTATTGACACTCTACTGCAGCATAAATGGATCTACCAAGTAGGGTACATTATGCAGATACATGCCCATAGCAATACAAATGTTAATTAAAACCTTGTTTAAGATTTCTATTTTGGAATGAGTTAGCATTTCATGCTGGTAAAAGAAATTGATTAAGCGAATTACATAAATTAGCCAATACTCAGAAGATCCACATAGCCTTCCTGTCACTAATATAGATTTTTATCAACACGATATGATCCACAGGTGTGAGAGCAAACATAACAAAGGAAATAACTAAGAAATCTGTAGTGGTGATTTCTGCATCTCGGGAACTTATCATCTAATACTTTATAACAAGAACAGTTATACTCTCTCCTCTGCTATTTTGTATGCTTTTGTTTCATGTCCATCCACACATGCATACACATGAACACATGTACCGGGGAAGAGAGACAAGGTTCACAGATGTATCCTGTATTATTTCCTTCATTAAGGGGGCATGTTCCAGTTGGAGAGTCTAAACATTAATAAAAAATTAACTCGGCCAGGCATGGTGGCTCACGTCTGTAATCCCAGCACTTTGGGAGGCCGAGGCGGGCAGATCATGAGGTCAGGAGTTCGGGACCAGCCCGGCCAATATGGTGAAACCCCGTCTTTACTGAAAATACAAAAATTTGCCGAGCGTGATGGTGTGCTCCCAGCTATTCAGGAGGCTGAGGCAGAAGAACTTCTTGAACCTGGGAGGCAGAGGTTGCAGTGAGCCGAGATCGTGCCACTGCACTCCGGCCTGGGTGACAGAGCGAGACCCAATCTCACCAAAAAAAAAAAAAAAAACAAAAAAAAAATTAGGGGTCTTAATTTGTATCATATTCTTTTTATAAATTATTGAATACATTGGTAGTACATGTTTATTATTAAAAGGTAGCAGATACCTTTTAAATATAAAAAAATTAAATTTAAAAATATTTAAATTTAAAAAACTAGTAAATTTTAAAAAATAAAATCACTCTGATGTCACCATGCTAAGATGGATACTGTGACCATTTTGACCTCAACATCCAGACTTCTCTCTACACATATGCATGTAAATGTATATATAAGTTATATACACAGATATTTTACATATATAAACTTAAACAGGATTGTGCAGTGCCTAACATTTTATAATGTACTCTTTGATTCAACAATATATGATGAATTACTTTCTGTACTAAGAAACATTTTTAGGGAAACTCATTCTTTCAGCAAATATGCTCGGTTTCTTTCAATATACCCCCTTGGATGAAGTTGTAATTGTTTGGTTGTCTTCATAACCTCTACCCTCTGGATCTATAATCTAGAAGAGAAGATAAACATTAGTTAAGTAAACAAACAAGTGGATTTCTTACAAATAGTAAGAAATATTCTGAAAGCAAAATAAACAGTGTGCAATGAAAAAGAGCAGTGGAAGAATAGAAGCATGAGGAGGAAATGGAGATGAGTTGCCAACAAACTCAGAAATGATTCCATCATGGGGTCCCATGGCACAAGGATCCTGAGCAGAGGGCATTGGTCAGCGAGTAGATGGGAAAAGATGCATGCACAGAAGCCCAGTGAGCTAAGAAGGAACCAGAGAAATAAGTCTGGGGTTCATCCAGGGCTTGGTAGGGCAGGTCAAGGGTTTAAATTTTATCCTAAAGTTTGAGTATCTTTTAGACAAGAGAAGGAAATGATCTATGTTTGGAACCAGAAGTTCATTGATGATTTTGGCAAAAGGATGCTTAGAAGAAGTAGGAGAGAGGTAGCCAATTTGAAGGGTGAATGGTTTCATAAATTTATGGTGAGGGATCTGCCTTGTTAATCCTTCTCATATTGTGGAATATTTAGCATCTATTGTCTTTGGTACCAAAACAAAACTGAAGAGAATGATGGTAAATATCTATATCTTGGATAACTAAGTCACAATGAATAATCCTGCTTGTTAGAGGCACATGACAACTCACACATGGTCAACGCTCTATGCTTATTCGGCCTCCAGGGAGCTAGACCAAGGGAAAGACTTACAAGAAGACTACAGGATGGGGTTGAGGGGTGAATTTCAGGGGGCTAAATAAACAACAAGGCTCTGTCTTCTTGGGTCATGTCTTCCTTGGTCGGCTCTCAAGAAAGATGATCCTGGCACTTCCTCCTTCTTGGAACCTGGGCTCTAGGGTCTAGATCTGGTCTACTTGGCACTCAGAGACAGACACTCCCTTTTCCTTCATATTCTATGTGTTTGCCTCAGGGTTTACCATTTCTTGTCCACAGACTAGTAGAAACTGAAGATCCAACTGAGTAAGCTTGGGGTTGGGGGAAAGAAGGGCTGAATAGGTCCCATAGCCTGCATCCAGTGCAGACCCCAAACTTGCCTGAAGTCCATTAAGAGAGTGTCCTCAAAGCTCCAGGTGGTCCATTCTAATAACATTGATGATAACTGTATTAATAATAGGACTAGCTAATACACACTGTAAGTGCTGTTCAATTTACATATGTCAACTCATTCCATCCACTCAGCAACCTCATGTGGTATAGGTCCTGTCATATGGGGTAGCCCTGAGGCTACGTTGCTCAGTGTCACACACAGCCAAGACTCATGTCACACACAGCCAAGACTCAGACCTGGGCCTTTGGACTTCGGAGTCTTTAACATTTGTGATTACCCTTCTTCTATACTGTCTCTTTCCGTGTCTGTAAGTGCTGTTCAGTTTCCACATGTCAACTCATTCCATCCACTCAGCAACCTCATGTGGTATAGGTCCTGTCATATGGGGTAGCCCTGAGGCTACGTTGCTCAGTGTCACACACAGCCAAGACTCATGTCACACACAGCCAAGACTCAGACCTGGGCCTTTGGACTTCGGAGTCTTTAACATTTGTGATTACCCTTCTTCTATACTGTCTCTTTCCGTGTCTGTAAGTGCTGTTCAGTTTCCACATGTCAACTCATTCCATCCACTCAGCAACCTCATGTGGTATAGGTCCTGCCATATGGGGTAGCCCTGAGGCTGTGTTGCTCAGTGTCACACACAGCCAAGACTCAGGCCTGAGCCTTTGGACTTTGGAGCCTTTAACATTTGTGATTACCCTTCTTCTATACTGTCTCCTTCCATGTGTCTCTCTGGAGAACTGCCACTAGGTTGAACAATGAGTCAGATGTTCAAAGGGCTAGCATCATGGATGCTGATCACCCAAATGCTATCTCACCATGGCCACTGACATCATTAATGTGCAGATACATGTTCCTACAACTCATTCAGAAGACCCAGGTTGCTTTACAGTCACAAAATACTTTTTTGTAAATACTGTAAATTGTTGAGGACATTGATCCTCCCTGATTTGGACTGAGGCACAGAGCATTGGGAAGGGGTCCAGAAGGTGATATGGTTTGGCTATATTCACACCCAAATTTCATCTTGAATTCCCATGTGTTGTGGGAGGGACCTGGTGGGAGGTAATTTAATTATGGGGGCAGGTCTTTTCCATGCTGTTCTCGTGATCTTGTGATAGTGAATAAGTCTCATGAGATCTGATGGTTTTGTAAGGGGGTGTTTCCCTGCACAAGCTCTCTTTGCCTGCTGCCATCCATGTAAGACATGACTTGCTCCTCCTTGCCTGCCATCATAACTGTGAGGGCTCCCCAGCCACGTGGAACTGTGAGTAAATTAAATCTCTTTTTCTTCCCAGTCTTGAGTATGTCTTTATCAGCATTGTAAAAGCAGACTAATACAGAAGGAAGCATTGGGCTTTAGCATGGCTAGGCAGCTCCAATGTGTGCATGGGACTCAGATCTCAGCCACTTCTGTCTGAGGTTCCGAATACATGCTTCCTAAGTACTCAGTGCTGAATTCTTTCTGTTCAAACATCTGAAGTGTTGCTAGTCCTACCTTTATAGAACTATGTTTCACTTAAATCTGTTCTACCTTTAACTTGACTTTCTGACTTCACTCCAGTTCCACTGTATTAATAACTGAACAGTGGGATCCAGGCCTGATCTGCACTGGAATAACATTTTTGCACAGGGATCTTTTAAAAGTGATTTAAGTTCTGATTCTGTTTTGCCTGTGTATATGTTGTGGAACTAATATTAACTAATTTATTGAGTACTATTTGCAAGACCTATCATAGCTGTTTTGTGTCTAGTTTCTCCCTTAATCCTCACAACAGCTCCATGATACAGGAGGTAATATTAATATTCCCATTTTGGAAATGAGTAAGCTAGGACCCAGAGAGGTTCAGCAATTTGCCTAAATATGCACAGCTAATGGGTGGTAAACAGGGATGTTGCTTGCACCTATGACAATGGTGCAATAGAAAAGGGTACTTCTACTTTATGATACCTCACTTTCATCTGCTGAAAAATTATTGAAATATACTGGTTTTTTAAGAACATGCCACTCTATGGCTACCTTCCAGAAAAAAAAAATTGTAAAATTTATAAATCTAAGATGTCGATATTGGCAGTGTGCTTGGCATCCCCTAGAGTGTGTAGGGGTGAAATCTGTGAATCCAACTCCAGGAACCAAGCTCTCAGCATGTATGTTACAGTGCCTCGTGAGAGATGAAAGGTCTGCTGTTTTTCAAAAGGTGCCAGAAGACACCCTCATTTTGGAGAGCAAAAATAAATTATCTCAATCAGTCCTCATTCCTTATGTTGTTAGCATCAAAAGAAAGCTTTTTCTCGGGCCAACATGGTAGCTTTTACTCAGAGACACTGTGTGCCTATTACCAGCAATGATAGGTCCAACAACTAAATGTTGATGAGACCTTGGACCTTGAGGTTGGCCAAGGCCGTGCTATGATTGCAAGATTCAATTTGGTGCCATGGTTTGTGAGGCTTACAAAAGTGTATAATGTTCATTTGCTTTATGTCGGATTATTGCACTTTCTCATTTATTTAACTCCTTCACTTACCACTCATTCATTCATTCATCAACCCAATCATTGTTTGAAAGCCTACTGTATATCAGGAACTGTTCTAGACCTCCAAGATACCAAGATTAACATAACACATGATCGTTGCATCTATGGAGTTTATATTCTAGAATTGTTTTACTTTGGACAATATCACAAGCTCTATTTTATTGAGTGTGATCATTAAATTAGGATACCAGATCTTAGGGTTGAAAAGGGTCTCAAAAATTATCTCATCTCCTTCATTTTAAGCTCAATGACAAGTGGCATCCTCAAGGTCACACAGTCTATGGCAGAATACAGACTCGATGCTGTGTCCCCAGACTCCTGGTCCTGGGTCTGCTGCTACTGCCAGAAACTTCATTTTAATCAGGTGTTGGTGTCAGCATACACCTGGTGGCGAGCAAGAAGGCAGCTTCAAGGTCAATACAGGGTAGGACATAGGGTCAGACTGAGACCTGTGAGGCTATGAGATGAACATTGCTGCAAGCCAAATCTGAGAGCTTGGCCTCAAGGGCCTGACTGCCAGTGCCCCAGTTCTGGCTCTTCTTCTTTTTTTCTTTTGTTTTTTTGAGACTAAGTTTCACTCTTTTTGCCCAGGTTGGAGTGCAGTGGCAGGATCTCGGCTCACTGCAACCTCTGCCTCCCAGGTTCCAGTAATTCTCTGCCTCAGCCTCCCGAGTAGCTGGGATTACAGGTGCCCACCACCACGCCTGGCTAATTTTTGTATTTTTAGTAGTGACGGGGTCTCACCATGTGGGCCAGGCTGGTCTCGAACTCCCAACCTCGAGTGATCTGCCTGTCTTGGCCTCCCAAAGTGCAGGGATTACAGGTGTGAGCCACCACCCCTGGCTGGCTCTTCTTTTAAGGTCTGTGAACTTGAGTAAGTTATTTAACCTCTCTGTTCCTCAATGCCTCCCTTGCAAAATAGAGATAATCATAAAGCTGGTCTCACAGGGTTTTCACTAAGATTATGTAATTGCTCATGGGAATCTTCATACTTCTCCCATGGTTGGTGCTTGGTGAAGCTTGGCTATTGTTATTACTATTATTAGTAGTAGTATTGCCTCTGTGACTCTGTGGACACCTTGGTGGAGCCCCGAGCTTAGTTTCTTGAATCCCCCTTGTGATTCTTAGAGTGGCAATTCCCACAGCAAGTCTCCCCTTGCTTGAAAATGGTCCTGAATGTGACCCAAACAGTGAACATGTCACAGAGCCTGTCTACACCCCTTCTGAAGAAAGCCGCCTGTAGGTCATCCATCAAAATAATCATTTAATTTCACATTCCTGATTTTGATCCTTTTCAGGAATCCTGAAAGTGAATTCCTACCTTTTCAGCCAAATGTAATCTACTTCCTGTGTTTTCAGCCACCACATCTGATTATAGGTATGTGGCATATCTGCAGTAAGTGTAACACACTATTTCCCAAAAAGAGGCCATAACTCACATGCAGAACCAAATCCTTTTGGAAAACAGTATATGCCCTTCCCAGAAACCCAAAATTTACAATAACTTATTAAACACCCTGGAGGGTACTGAGGTAATAAAATCTAAATTCTATAAATTGATTGTTTCAGCAAGAAACAGGCTTCCAAGCTGGCTTCATGCATGCAGGAACTCTATCATCCCAAAAGACTGTGCTCTTAGAAGGACCCAGTGCTTGACTTAATGCGCTGCTGTTTTCGTCTTGAAATTCTTAACCATTTTTTAACGAGGGCGGCCTAGTTTCACTTGGCGAGTCCTTCAAGCTTTGTAGCTGTTCCTGACACCCCTCATCATATCCCACAGAACTGGTGTTCTGCCAAACAAGTCTCAGGTGAGACCCCTGTTGTCTGTTTTCTGTCATCTGGGTCAATAAGAGACAAACTCAGTGGAGAGTTAAGAATCTATCTTAATTGTTAAAAATATGCACCAGATTTCCTAATCTAAATGTATGTGCACACACCACTAGATGCCAGCATGAACCAGAGCTGCTGAATTCCTGTTCAGAGAGAATTCAGCTCAGCCTTGTTTTGAGAAGTTCTAGGTTCTTCCCCCAGAGGACTATGATGGGGCAACTTAAACCCGAAAATACTGTTCAAGTGTAATTTGTGTAAACTAACCATCTCAGGGGGAAATTTTTCCATATTAATCTTTGTGTAATTTCTGAATTATAAAACTATTTTTAGATGAAGAAATACATCACTACAATTGATACAGAGACACTTTAATTTAATTGGCACAAAAGTATGTTAAAAATATTCCACAGTACAGATGCTCCCTGACTTATGATGGGGTTATGTCCTGATAAACTCATCCTAAATTGAAAATATCTTAAGCTGAAAATGCATTTAATATGCCTAACATATTGAACATCATACTTAGCCTACCTCAAACACTCAGAATGCCCACATTAGCCTACAGTTGGGCAAAATCATCTAACAAGTCCGTCTTGTAAAATGTGTTGAATGTCTCATGGTTGTTTTTCTTGATTCCATGGCTGACTGGGAGCTGTGGCACCCTGCTGCTGCTCAGCATCATGAGAGGGTATCATATCACATATCGCTAGCCTGGGAAAAGATCAAAATTCAAAGTATGGTTTCTATTGAATGGGTATCACTTTTGCACCAGTGTAAAGTGCAAAAATCCTAAGTCAAACCATCGGACAGGAACTGTCTGTATAGGTAAAGGGATAGGCATAGAGATCAGTGAAACTGAATAGAGAACCCAGAAATAGACCCACACAAATATGCTCAGCTGATTTTTGACAAAGGTACAAAAGCAATTCAAAGGAGGGATGATAGTCTTGTTTCCATAAAACAGTACAAGAGCAATTGGATATGCATAGGCAAAGAAATGAACCTTCACCTAAATCTCATAGCTTTTTTTTTTTTTTGGTAGATACAGTTTTTAAATTTGTATTATTTATTAATTTTTAAACTTTCATTTTTAGGTTCAGGGGTACATGTTCAGGTTTGTTATAAAGGTAAACTTGTGTCACCAGGGTTTGACATAAAGATTATACAAAAATTCACTCAGAATGGATCCCAGGCTTAAATCTGAAATGTAAAACTATAAAATTTGTTGTTTTGTTTGCTGCATAATACCAACTAAATTAAACAAACATTAGAGAAGTTGAAAGAATGCAAGGATTTAATAAATCATCTAGCAACAAGGCTGCACTTTGAGCAGCTGCGGGCTCACAGGATTTTCCTTTAAGCCAAGAGGATTCCGCTTGGCAGCTGCGGGGCAAGGCCACTGGTGTGCCACGCCACCTCACACCGCAGCCACCAGACTTCAGAACTGGAAAAGGGTGATTCCGGGGTAATCTCTGCCACCTCCTGCCTAAGGAGAGATCTTGTCCGCTCCCTACCATTTGTCTATCACTGATCGATTCCATTATTGGAAAACTTTCTAGAGCACTTGTTGGGGACAATGTAGGTCTTTCAGGATAGGATGGCCTGTCTCAAAAGGTCATCCTAGGGCCATGTTCTTTCTTCGTTTCCTACTTGTCCCACTCAACAAACAAGGCTAATTGTGGCTACCTCTCAAGGCTGTGAGGAAATAATCATTCATAGCTGAAATGGGTCTTGTAGATATCAGTGATTGTACATTCTCCCCAATATCTGGATTTAGTGTCTAATCGGGTGTTTTTTTGTGACACATGTTGTATTGATAATGATCAATATAGGTTTATTGAGAATAACAAATAATTACACAAATTCAAAAATTATTTTCCTTCATTATACACAGGGCATATCAGGACTGCTTTTTGCAATTATAATTGAGGTGCTGCTGCATTATTTTGTTTAATTATTTCCACCTGATGGCCTGATTAGGAAAATTGCTCACCTTGTTTTCCTAGCATAATGCACCATTATGAGAAGCAATTACTGCAGCCTGTGTCCCCAGCCCCCAGGCTGAGCTACCATCCTACAGTGGCTACCATCCTGTAGTGTGCATGGTCTTGCCAGCGTCCAGATAGAGTTTGAGTTCAGCCATTTGATTCTAAGCCTAAATTCAAATAATCTGTTTTTCAAGAAAGGGTTTTGTTTAACTCTAAGACACTGGAAAGGTGATGTGTGATTTCTCATTTGCTGATGTTTGACGCCGTTGTTGGCGTCTCCGTGTTGGCATGAGCACACTGCTCTCTGCCTCCATGTTGTGTGTTCACACCTGCTCTGGCTGTACAAGCTGAAAGGGTTAAACGTATCCTGTCCTGGTGGACTTTGTGTGGCATTAATGTTTGAGAATAAGTGTGCTCTGCCACCACGTGATCATGTGTGTGTAAACATGATTAAAAGGAAAATGGTGATGACAAGGCTGGTAAGGAAAGTTGTGGAACTGCATTAGGACAGGCAGCCATGCGAGGGCCAGAATGAAATACCCAGTTTGGAAGAAGAAAGGCGGTCTAGATGCCCCTTGGAAGTCACTGGCCCTTCCCAGGTGAAACCATGTGGTGTGGACTCCAGCTGCCTCAGGTGACATCGCCCAACGCAGGTGATATTATCCACTTCAGATGACATCGTCCACTTCAGGTGAAATCACCTACCTCATGTAACATCATCTACCTCAGGTGACATTAACCAGCTCAGGTGATATCTTCTACCTCAGATGATGTCATCACCTCAGGTGACCTCATCCAACTCAGGTGACCTCATCCAACTCAGGTGACATCATCTACCTCAGGTGACATCATCCACTTCAGGTGATATCATCTACCTCAGGTGACATCCACCTCAGATGATGTCACCTATTTCAAGTGATGTCATCCACTTCAGGTGACATTGTGCAGTCTCTTGCTAGCCATTTCCCTAAACTGGAAGAGAGATAGAAAAAAATAAATCCTACCTCTGCCATCCGCCAACAGTGTGAACAAATCCAACTCTCTCCAAGCTTTTGTTTTCATTCCTTAATAATTGAATTATAGGAAAATCATCTTCAAAGAAAAATGCAGTCCCGTGCAGGGGTTGGAGATGGGGCCAGTCAAAGCAGAAGGAGCCCATATGAACAGGCAGATGTTATGCTTTCTGTGTTGGTCCCGTGCAGCTGGTGCCTGCCTGCTGCAGGTGCTCTTTTTTTTTTTTTTTTTTTTTAGACGGAGTCTTACTCTGTCACCCAAGCTGAGTGCAGTGGCATGATCTCAGCTCACTGCAGTCTCCACCTCCCGAGTTCAAGCAATTCTTCTGCCTCAGCCTCCCGCGTAGCTGGGACTACCTACCATGCCCGGCTAATTTTTTGTATTTTTAGTAGAGACAGGGTTTCACCGTGTTGGCCAGGATGGTCTCTATCTTCTGACCTCGTGATTCACCCACCTCAGCCTCTCAAAGTGCTGGGATTACAGGCGTGAGCTACCATGCCCGGCTCATTTTGACAGGTATATTAATGAATGAAGAAGAAATGTGACTGATTTTTTTTGTATCTGTAAATTGCTTATAATTTGAAACAGATAGAAAATGGTTACAACAGAAATGTTGGCTTTCACAGCTGGGAAAGAAGAACAAACGAGAAGCGATGGGTCAACCTGGTTAAGAGAGTAGGTTTCAGGCTCAGACTTCCCCAGGTGCAAACCCAGCTCAGCTACCGTGGAACCTGGGCACATGACTTCACCCTCTGGGCCTCAGTTTCCTCACCTGTATGACAGAGATTATCTCACCTAAGCCATATAATTGCTTTGAGATTTAGTAAGTTGATGCATGTCAAAATGAAGGGCACTGACTACTTTTTTCCTTTACTATATCTATTCATAGCTCATCTTCTGGCTTCGTTGATGAAAAGGGGCATCTATTTTAGGGCAAGATAATTAGCTGTGTCCTATATGATAGGCTGAATAATGCCCCATTCACCAAAGATGTTGAATCCGAAGCACTAGGAACCTGTGAATGTTACTTTACGTGGGAAAAAGGACTTTATAGATGTGATTAAATTGAGGATCTTTGGAAGTGGGGAGGATATCCTAGAGTGTTTGAGTGGCATCTAAAGGTAACCCCAAGGGTCCTCATAAGACAGAGGCTGGAGGGCCGAAGTGGGAGGTGGTGGTGTGAGGAAGGAAGTGGAGATCTGAGTGATGGCCAGGAGCTGAGAAACACCGCAGCCTCTGGAAGGTGGAAGAGGCAAGGAACAGATTCTCCACTGAAGCCTCTGGAAAAAACAGCCTTGCCAACACCTTGATTTTAGCCTTTTGACTATCAGAAGAAGAAGATATTTATTTATTTATTTATATATTTATTTTTTATTATTATTTTTGAGGCAGAGTCTCATGCTGTTGCCCGGACTGAAGTGCAATGGCACGATCTCGGCTCACTGCAACCTCCTGGGTTCAAGCAATTCTCCTGCCTCAGCCTCCCAAGTAGCTGAAATTACAGGCACCCACCACCATGCCTAGCGAATTTTTTTGTATTTTTTAATAGAGCCGGGGTTTCACTATGTTGGCCAGGCTAGTCTCAAACTCCTGACCTCAGGTGACCTGCCCGCCTTGGCCTCCCAAAGTGCTGGGACTACAGGCATAAGCCACCACACCTGGCCAGAAGAATACATTTATAAGAGAATCAGTTTCTATTGCTTTAAGCCACTAAGTTGGTGGCAATCCATTACAATAGCCACAAGAAACTAGTACGGTTGACTCTAGAAAAATGCAGCAGTTGGGGTACTGACTGCTCAGGCAGCCAGAAATCTGCATATAACATTTTACTCCCCAAAACTTCAATATAGTAGCCTACTGCTGACTGGAAGCCTTACTGATAAACAGTTGATTGACATATTTTTTGCATTATATATTTTAGATACTGTCCTCTTACAATAATCTTGAGAAATGAACACATTATTCAGAAAATCATAAGGAATAAAAAAATATGCTTACTATTCATTAGGTGGAAGTGGATCATCATAAAGGTCTTCGTCTTCATCATCTTCACATTGAGTAGGCTGAGGAGTCATAAAGGTCTCCGTCTTCATCGTCTTCACATTGAGTAGGCTGAGGAGTCATAAAGGTCTTTGTCCTCATCGTCTTCACATTGAGTAGTTCATTAGGTGGAAGTGGATCATCATAAAGGTCTTTGTCCTTGTTTTCACATTGAGTAGGCTGAGGTGTCATAAAGGTCTTTGTCCTCATTGTCTTCATATTGAATAGGCTGAGGAGGAGGAAGGGGGAGAAGGATTCATCTCAGGAGGGGCAGAGGCAGAAGAAAATTTGTGTATCAGTGAAACTGCAGAAACTTGGGTTGTTCAGGGGCCAGTTGTACACCCCATTACATGAGATTTCAATTAGTTTAGATGGAAGTTTTTCTGAAAATCTTTGCATAACATCAGCCCTTTTAAATGAGAGATAATGAAGATGTGGCAGGATAACTATTTTTGTTCTATTTATCTTCGCAGAGATTCTGTATAACATAGAGATGCTCCATATTCTCAGACTGCTTTGCTTTTCGAATTGCTGGTTTTCATTTGTAAGATTTTGCAGTTGTTTTTCTCCCTCTCCAGCTGTCTCAGTAGCGGCTTCTCTCTCACTGCTGCCTCCACCCTTACCACCTTCTAGTTGTACAGCTAGAGAAGAAGAATGCCGGTAAAGATGTGTGAAGCACGTGCTGTGTGTTCTGCCTCAAGTGCGTCGCACACGGTATCTCATTTGACTTTCCCAAAACCTCTGTTTACAGATTGTGACAATGAGGCCCAAAGAGGCGAAGCCGGCAGTAAAGCTACACAGGAGGAAGATAGACAGGAGTCCAGCGGTAGAGCCAGGGCCCTGAAAACCACTCTTCACTGTTGTATTAATTGGGGTTCTCTAGAGGACAGAACTAATAGGATAGATATGTGTGTATATATATAGGGGAGTTTATTACGTATTAACTTACACAATCATAGGATCTCACAAGAGGCTGTCTGCAAGCTGAGGAGCAAGGAGAGCCAGTTCGAGTCCCAAAACTGAAGAGCTTGGAGTCTAATGTTCGAGAGCAGGAAGCATCCAGCCAGGGAGAAAGATGTAAGCTGAGAGGCTAGGCCAGTCCTTGTTTTCATGTTTTTCTGCCTGCTTAATATTTGCTGGCAGCTGATTAGATTGTGCCCAACAAATTAAGGGTGGGTCTGCCTTCCGCAGCCCACTGCCTCAAATGTTAATCTCCTTTGTCAACACCCTCACAGACACACCCAGGATCAATACTTTGTATCCTTCAATCCAATCAAGTTGACACTCAGTATTAACCATCACAGCTGTCTCTACATCAACTTGTAGAAAACATTGTGTTGCTAAAACTGTACCTAAAATAGCACTGAGCTAGGCTGTGAGTGAAGGTATGAAGATTAATTCTCCATCAAATGCAATGTGCAGAGTGCTGGATTTTAGCAAGAGGTGACAAGCAGCGACCAGCCCCCTCTATGTGTGTGAGGGTACTCTTCAGATTACTGGATATTAGGAAAAATTATTTTTTGTTCATTTGTATTTTACACAAGGTCTTAATGACTTTTAATAGAGTTGCTCTGAAGGCTCTTTTCTTGGTCATTTTTAAGGAGATATTAGTAACTTTAATTCCTATGACCCAAAATTGCATTAAGGAAAGAGGTCATGTCTTATTATATTTTGCATCTCACCATCTGGAATAGCGCCCAGCATAGAAAAAATCCAGAAAGTGTTTATCAAATAAGTAAAATAAGTAACATATTCTGGAGTACTTAATAATAGCCAGCACTTAATGAGTACTTACTGTGTGCCAGGCAGTAAGCCAGGTGCTGTTTGTTTGTATTAACTCATTTAATTCTCTACTGACATTATAAGGACCTGAAGTACAAGGGCGTTTAACAACTTTCCAAACTACAAGTGGCAGCCCTGAGCTGGGAGCCCAGGCTATCTGGGTCCACAGTTCACACTTTAAAACTTGATGCAGGCTGGGCTTGGTGGCTCATGCCTGTAATCCCAGCACGTTGGGAGGCTGAGGCAGGTGGATCACCTGAGGTCAGGAGTTTGAGACCAGCCTGACCAACATGGAGAAACTCCATCTCTACTAAAAATACAAAAAATTAGCCAGGCGTGGTGGTGCATGCCTATAACCCCAGCTACTCGGGAGGCTGAGGCAGGAGAATTGCTTGAACTCGGGAGACAGAGGTTGCAGTGAGCCGAGATCACGCCACTGTACTCCAGCCTGGGCAACAAGAGTGAAACTCTGTCTCCAAAAAAAAAAAAGCACAAAAAACTTGATACAATACTGCCTCTCTAAAGTCCATAAATGTAACATTTAAAATTATATTTTGCAAAAGACATTTTGCAAAAAATTGGAAATCTGCAGTTGTGTTTGCAATGAAAAACATTATTATATTTTGTTGGTGCCATATAATAACATTGAAAATTTGGATACAACTTTAAGCACCATGGGAGAGCAAAGATTATGTCTTGTTGCCAGTTCATCTCCCTTGCCTAGCAAGCTCAGAGCCTCCTATACAGTATGTACTCAGTAGCCATGTGGGGGCTGTCAAAAGTGCCATGCTGCAAGGGGTTACAGTGATGCTTGAAAAAGTACCTAAAATGCAAAGTTTTCATACACTAATGCAACTTTCATTATATTTTATATTCCTAAATGAAAGGAGTCACATGAAATGGTGTGTGTGTGTGTGTGTGTGTGTATTAGGTCGCTGTATGATAAAGGAAGTAGAACGATATCATGTCAGTGGTCAGCTGGGACACAACATGCCTATGCCCAGGGCAGCGGCCAGCTGAAACACACAGCCCCACGACACTAAATATGGATATTTGCTCTAGAGGGAATTAGTAAATTTGCATATCCTGTTTGGAGATAGTTCTGCCTTCTCGTTTAGTTTTTGCTTGTCTTAGACTCTATAAAAGACTCATAACTGCAGTTCAACAATTGATAATAAAATAGTATTTGCAGCAGTGTGTGGTGGCTCACACCTGTAATCCCAGCACTTTTGGAGGCTGAGGCGGGTGGATTACCTGAGGTTGGGAGTTCGAGACCAGCCTGACCAACATGGAGAAACCCCATCTCTACTGAAAACACAACATTAGCTGGGCATGGTGGTGCATGCCTGTAATCCCAGTTACTCTGGAGGCTGAGGCAGGAGAATTGCTTGGACCCGGGAGGCAGAGGTTGCAGTGAGACGAGATTGCACCATTGCCCTCCAGCCTGGACACCAAGAGCAAAACTCCATCACACACACACACACACACACACACACACACACACACACACACACACACACACACAAAGTATTTGCCCTCATGGTCACACAGTTGAGGCCAGCGCCTTTGTTGGGAGAATGAAGAGTAAGTAAATCTCAGGTAAAATATTAGGGTTAAGACAGATGAGCTTTGGTGTTGAACATGCCAAGCCTAAATTTCAGAAACTTAAAGGCAGATTCCCCTTCATAGTAGATCAGACTGGACCTGGACTGTGAGGACAGACAAGAAAGATGGAGCTCTCCCAGAGCGAAGATGATACAGTGTAGCACAAAGTATAATGGGTCAAGGTCTGGAAGAATTTAGGATCAAAATTCAGCTGATTAATCAGTATCATTTGGGAAATTCCCTTTAAAAAAATGGGGCTTTCTGCCTCAGTGCTGATATTCATCCAGAACACAATACTTAACTGACCTCAACTGGATGACATCTTCAATCAAAGCTCACAGGAAGACATAGCAGCACCAGGCCACATGCGGCAGGCAGCCGTGAGCATAGCCTCCCTAGCTTGTGTCTGGTTTGGTTTGATGCATCAGGATGAGAATCTGCAGCATTCTTCCAATGACAAAGCCAATGGGGCAGCTTATCCTCTCCCTAACTCTTTCCCTGTGTTTACTGTGCTGTAGAGATTTTGCATAAAGTGCTGCAAAGTGGGTAGCAATAAGGGAGCTGAGGTTTCATTCACAGAGGGAAGGCCAGGGATTCTGAATGTTGACTGCAGGTGGGCATTGTGTTTGGCAAATCTCTTCTACTTGAGGTCTGACCTTAGCCTTCTAGACTCTGAAAAACGATCCTGATACTGACCCAGATTGGAGGGGGTTTGGTAATTCTGGTTCATGGTAACAAAGCTCCCATTAACCTATTGAACAATTGAGTTTGTCAGTATATGAATGGCCCATGCCCAGGGCCATGGTCAGCTGGGACACATGGGTTCATGCCGAGGGCCATGGTCAGCTGGGATACACGGGTTCATGCCCAGGACAGTGATCAGCTGGGACACACGGGTTCATGCCCAGGACAGTGATCAGCTAGGACAGACAGCCCCATTCCAATGACAGTGGTCTGGTCAGCTGGGACAGACAGGTCCATGACCAGAGCAGCAGTCAGCTGGGCCACCTAGGCCCCTCTCCTGTATGCCCTGCTCGCTGTCTTCAAGGCTCATTGCAGAGAGTGCTGTGGCCAGAAGGTTGCTTGGTGAGCCTGGAATCAGAACACTCAAGCTTCTGGTATCTCAGACGGCTGACAGCATCAGGTCCCGGGGCTGACACCTAGGGAGCTGCTTATTATACCCCCTGTAATAAGTATTCCCACAAATAGGGATAGTACCCTTGCACACTAGATTTTTTTTTCAAAGTGTTAGCCAAGTACCAATGAAGAAAGAGCAAATGTGAGCCAAGATGACGGTTTGGGCTTGACTGAGGAGAATGACTGTGGACATTGTCCTGTGTGTGCTGCTCCAACCCCCCAGCCCAAATGACACCATTCCCATTGTCATGTTTGCTGTGGTCACTAGCTGGTGCTCCTAGGAAGCACACAACAAAGCTTGCTGGGCCTCTTTCCTAGGCTCCAGCCCTTTGAGTTATGCCTCTGGGAAAGTATCTTGTACTTTTCTTCATCTCTCATGTCATAGTACTCTCTAGAACACTTATCTTTTATGACATTGACATCTAAAAACAAAATAAATAGTGAAATGTGGCCTTTGACAACTTTAATATTGCCATTTACATTATGAACCTTTAACAATTTAGAATGTATAACGAGATGACAAATTTCCTATTTCTGAAAGTAGTCACAGATGCATAGTAGTATAGACACATAGATGCCGTGAACTGTTCCCACAGCAGGCAACGTCCACTCGTGAAAATGCCCATAGACCACCTCGCCAAATTACTGAATGGCCAATGAAAGGACAAATGGAGAGAAAAGGAAGCAGCACAGGTTTTCCAACAAACTGTCCATGGATCTTGTAAAGTGACAACATTTGTGACCATTGTAGGCAGACCCATCTATGCAGCTTCTGTTAACTGTGACAGCAGTCAGGCTAGTTTAGGAAGTCTGCCTCCTGCTTAGCTAGCCCCAGGGCACAAGCCCCTGACAATTGTGCCTGGCTTTGCTGGATACAGTCCAGAGTCGGTCTTTTCTTCCAGTGCTACCAATGGAGTAGTATGGGGCCAGCCACACCCTCTGACCCCAATCCATGTGTGTTCACAGGTGCAAATTTAACAATCAAACATGAGATTTGGAGAAGCTCTTGATTGACCAGCAAGCAAAGTGAAATTTACTGAAAAGTTTAGCTTCATTGTCCTTTATTCTGCCCCCTACAAAAGGATATTATATATAGATAGATATCCATATATACATAGTTTATTCATGTTCACATATATAACATATATAGTTAACATGTGTATGTTTATATATGTTTATGGATACACATGCATGTGTGTGTGTATATACATGCTGAAGGTGGATTAGAAACTATAAGATTGGAAGTAAATATATTCTTTAGAATTATACTAAAACAGAAAAAAAGCTGTATTTTTGTTTTTAAGTTTATGAAATGAACAAGGAAGAGTTTTTTTTTTTTTTTTTTTTTGGACACCGAGTTTCGCTCTTTGTTGCTCAGGCTGGAGTTCAAGCGATTCTCCTGTATCAGCCTCCTGAACAACTGGGATTACAGGCACCCGCCACCACGCCCAGCTAATTTTTGTATGTTTTTTTTTTTAGGGGGGGGTAAAAAAATTCTTATTTATCTATTTATTATTATACTTTAAGTTCTAAGGTACATGTACACAACGTGCAGGTTTGTTACATATGTATACATGCGCCAGGTTGGTGTGCTGCACCCGTTAACTCGTCAACCAAACACCGCATGTTCTCACTCATAATTTTTGTTATTTTTAGTAGAGACGGGGTTTCACCATGTTGGCCAGGCTGGTCTTGAACTCCTGACCTCAGGTGATCCACCCACCTTGGCATCCCAAAGTGCTGGGATTACAGGCATGAGCCACCATGCCTGGCCGGGAAGAGAATTTTAATCTCAGCTACATCATTATCTTTTTTGATCCCAGCATTCCTTTATGTAACCCAAACCTTGGTTCTGTTTTGGAGTTGTAGCCTCAATAACTGTAAGAGATTAAACTTCTGTTGTGATAATTTTTGTTTGTTTTTTGAGATGGAGTTTCACTCTTGTCACAGAGAGTGCAGTGGTGCAATCTTGGCTCTCTGCAACCTCCACCCCCCAGGTTCAAGCAATCCTTGTGCCTCAGCCTCCAGAATAGCTGGGATTACAGGCACCCATCCCCATGCCCAGCTAATTTTTTTGTATTTTTAATAGAGATGAGGAGATTCACCATGTTGGCCAAGCTGGTCTCAAACTCCTGAACTTAAGTGATCTGCCCACCTTGTCCTCCCAAAGTGCTGGGATTACATGTGCGACTGGCCTGTTGTGATAATTTTTTGTGGAAACCCCCAGGAAACTCACACAGCTTATTTAGATTAAAGATAAGAAAGCTATTTCCAGAATATAATCTATTCCCAGAATGTCATGTCCTCAGGCATATCGTTGTTGAACCTTTGATTATATTCTGGAAATAGATTTTTTATCTTTAATCTGAAGTAAATTGTGTGAGCTTCCTGGGGATTCCATAACATATGACCACAATAGAAGCTGATTCTCTCACAGTTCTGGAGCTTACACCTCCAAAATTCAGGTGTCTGCAGGGCCATGTTCTCCCTGACAGTTCTGGAGAGGTCCTTGCTCACCTCCTGCGGCACCTGGCGCTGGCTGGCAAGCCTTGCTCTTGTTGGTTTGTATTATAGACATCACGCCAGTCACACGGCTGGCTTCTTCCAGTGTTTTTACCTCATGTTCCCTCTATGGGTGTCAGTGTCTGTCTCCATATTTCTCCATTCTATAAGGACACCACTTATATTGAACTGGCACCCATCCTAATGGCCTCATTTAAATTTGATTATCACTATAAAGACCTTATTTCCAAGTAAAGCCATGTTTTGAGATACTGCAGGTTAGGGGTCTGCCATGAATTTTGGGGGGACGCAATTTATCCCATGACTTCTAAATTAGAAAATAAAAGAAATCTGTTTTAAAAGGTACGTCATGCTGCTAGGCTATCTGCAAATTAACAGTGTTCCAAATCTTGGTATTGATGTTTGCAAAATTTAAAAATAGGACAATTCAAATTTTACCTTCCTGTTTTTAGAAATCATATTTTTATATTAGCTTATTTATTAAAGTGGAAAACCGATATTAGCTATATATAAAAAGAGAAAGGATAATAGGAAAGTGAGGAAATATAAAATTTTGTTTGTAATATTTCTCTAAATGTTTATCCAGCATCTCCCTCTTCCCCACACCCCTCACAGCCTCCGCTCTTGGATTTCTGCCCATTAAGACTGATAGCAGGAACATCTATGAAATGCCATTCATAATTAATTTTGTTACATCACTGATCATGGCCCACATGTGTTACTGGTGGATGGTATCTGAGTTACCGGCAGCGAATCCATATGGCTCTATAGCAACACCAATTCTTGCCTCCTCAGAGGAAAGAATTCGACCAAGGGGTATAAGGCACAAAAAGAGACTGAGGCAAGTTTCAGAGCAGGAGTGGAAGTTTATTTTAGACAGCTTTAGAACAGGAAAGAAAGGGAAGTACACTTGGAAGAGACTGAAGCAGGCAACTTGAAGGACAAGTGCAATCTTTAACCTTGATCCTAGGACTTTGTAGGCTGGCCCACTTCAGGTGTCTTGCACCCCTTTCCCATGACTCTTCGCTTAGGACGAGCTTCCCGCATGCGCAGTGCCCTCCTTCCCCTTGGGAGGTGAGCATGCGCAGTGTGTTTAGGAAGTTGTAACACCGTTTACATACATGTTCTCAATCTCTCTCTCTCTCGTTGTGGATAATGAGTCAGTTAAAAATTAGTAACTGTCCTTGTTAATGAAAACCTACCTACATTAATACAATACTTCTGTTCAAAATATTCATCGTGACTCAAAATTTTGGGAATGAATATATTTGCTGTTAAAATGCTTCTAGATGCTCGCATATGCCACTGCCTGGCAAAGTCAGAAGAGGGTACATAAATTACCCAGGCGATACCTTCTATGCCCTCTGGACTTTTATGCCTTGTTAGTGTCTAAGGTTACAGAAAAAAGAAATGGAACACTCGGGTTGCCAGGGAGACATCCAAGCCTGTCAACCCCTCTAGCTCTAATAGTGACAAATGGTACTTATTACATCAGGACTAATTTCATTGGATTCTGCTCAGATAAAGATACTTAACCTTTACTGATAAAATTGTGTCGTTATAATTACTTAGTAAAAGACCTTATTAGGCAATAGTATTCTATGTGGATAGACGAACATTTTATTGAGGTTGATTACCTATTACATTGATGGAATATTTGAATGTATGATTTTCTGCAAGACCTTTACTTCTTGGAAAAACCTGCAGCAAAGAGATTTTGGTTTTGTGGCTGCCTCATATGGAGGAAGTTTAAAAATGTGGTTTTTGCAAGTTGTTATTGAAAATCCAGAAAAACAACATATACATTTTTTAAAAAATAGACTTTACATGTCAACTTTTTTGTTGTTGTTATTGAGACGGAGTCTCACTCTATCACCCAGGCTGGAGGGCAGTGGCGCGATCTTGGCTCACTGCAACCTCCGCCTCCTGAATTCAAGCAATTCTCCTGCCTCAGCCTCCTGAGTAGCTGGAATTATAGGCATGCACCACCATGACCGGCTAATTTTTGTATATATATATTTTTTTTTAGTAGAGATGGAGTTTCACTATGTTGGCCAATTTGGTCTCAAACTCCTGACCTCAAGTGATCTGCTCACCTCCGCCTCCCACAGTGCTGGGGTTATAGGAGTGAGCCACTGTGCTCGGCCACCAACTTTTAAAACAAAGCTTTCTATCCAGGCACATAAAATTAAAATATCCAAATATGTCAACGAACCTTTTAGACTTTTAGGGTATATGCCCTCGAAGGCCAAGACTGGAAATAAATTACATTTTGAATGTCAGTTCCATCTGACTGGTAGTGACTGCCTGGAATGCAGAACTGAGAAGGATTCTGAAGTCTTATCTGTGCTCACTAGAAAAGAGTGTAGTAATTGATTAGCAATGTCTGCCATGGGCATGAGCAGGACATGCATCAGTGGATATGCTCATAATTGCCATCCCTTGTCTAAGTTTATAGAAAGATAGCAGTTGTGTCAATGAGGCATTCAGTTTAAAAGAGCCTTTTCTGTCTCCTCCATATGCATTACATGCTCAGAGCCTCCTCATTCTCAGTTTGTCTTAGGCAGGGAAACCACAGCCCTATAGGACATTTCTCAAGGTTGGCTCTGTAGACCTCTTCTAAGCACCCTCCCCTGCAGGGCACCTGGGAAAAGAAATGTCCTCTCCCAAGGAGCTATTTGTTTCAACACTGTCAGAGAGAAAGTCATGGAGATATTTGTCTTAAAATCCAAGTACTTTTTGTTTCCTTTGTCCATTTTGGTTTCCGCCTCTCAGGTGTTAATTCTGCTAAAATGGTGATTGATAATACTGTTGTTTATCTCTCCTGAGAGCCAAAGATATGCCCCTTGATGGCGGAAATTCAAAGACTGTGAGAGGCAGTAAAAGAAAGGCTCTGGGACAGGGTTATTTTTCAACATACACCTCAAAACACACAGCGCTGGCAGCTCCTATGAGAGCACATGTATTTGATATCCAAATTTTTCTAGCCTAGTGTCCCACACCAATCCCACAAGCACAAATGTAATTCTTCAAAAAGGAGCATGCTAAGAAGTGCCCTGAAGTTTGCAGAATGAACTCATGCAGCACTTTCTGAGCAGGCTGGGTTCCCCTTGCCTATGACTATGCTTACCGAAGGTCAGGCTTCCCTTTGACAAGACAGGACAGGTACTGTATGCTTAGTTTCTCTCCTCTGTCTCACCAGTTTCGGAGGCGTGTTCAGGTTCTAACGTCAGGGGTGAGGTGAATCCAGGTGAGGAATGGTGGAGTGAAGGATGCAGTGATGGGCCTGAGCTGCAGGCAGTGGTGATACCAGCTCCTCTCCATGGCTCTCAAGTCTTGAACACACATCAATTCCTCTGTCTTTCTTCATGGCTGAAACAATTGTCAGGTTAACATATTATGGTAAATATAGGTGAGAAGGTGACACTTTTAAGACTATGCCTGAGGCTGTTGCTCCCAGGCACTCTCCTTATTAAGCTTCTATATTAGTTTAATATTAGTTTAGTATGCTGGGTCTGCCATCACAAAGCACACACAGTGAGTGGCTTACAGCGAAAGAAATGCATCATCTCCCAGTTTTGGAGGCTGGAAGTCTGAGATCAAGGTATCAGCAGGGTTCTTCCTTCTGAGGACTCTGAGAGAGAATCTGTTCCATTCCTTGATCGTAGCTTCTGGTCGTTTGCTGGTAATCTTTGGCATTTTGTTGGCTTGTAGAAACATCATCTGATATCTGCCTTCAGGGTCACATGGCATTCTTGTATGTCCGTTTGTGTCCAAATTCCCCCTTTGTATAAAGATACCAGGCATATTGGATTAGTGCTCACTCTAATGACCTCATTCAGCTAATTTCATCTGCAAGGACAGTATTCTCAAATAAGTTCACATTCTGAGATACTGGTGGTAGGACATGAACATACAAATTTTGGGGAAACAGAATTCAACCCATAACACCATAGATACTTGGTTCAAACCAACTCTCCTGAATCCTGACCTTCCTGCTTGCTCCATAAAGTTTGACTTGATTCCCTCAGTTTTCCTCAGGATTTCAGTGGCTTCCACCTTTTGAAAACAAAAGCTGATTTTCTGAATTATAAATACCAGGCATTCTGATTTTAGCAAATGTAGAGGCTTTTGATACGGATAAAGAAAAGATAAACGAAATCCAGAACCCAAGTCATAGATCTTGAGTCATACACTCAAGCGCAGATTCATGTCAAACTGTTTCCTTTTAGTCTTTCACATATATCTATAGACTTACTTTAAAAATGAAAATTGGCATTGTTTATATATAATTTCTCACCGGGCTTATTTTACCAGTGTTACATTGTGATTATCTCATCAAATTATTCAATATTCTTGAAAATATGAGTTTTCTTGAGCTACAAAGCTATCACAATTGGTATCCTGTTACTGTATTTTGCTTTGTGCCTAATTTTTTTGTTTTATTATATTATCAGTCCCTTAATATGTCATTTTCATAACCACTTTTTCTCTAATGACTCAAAAGCATTCCTTCAGTATTTGTTCTAATGATTACTCTTAAATTTTATATATACTTATCCAAACTTTTTTATAGGTGTAAAAGCCAAGAATAAAAAAGTATCTATGGGTTTCTTGGGTATAAAGTGGGTAATTTTATATAATTTTAATTTTTTATTCTTTCTAGTCAGTTCCTTGTTCCAATAACAATAATGTGAGACTTTATACATGGTGATGATGATGCTGACAATGATAGAATTGATTTTAGGTTTCATGACCATATCATATCTTTTGACATAATTTATGTTTAGCTGAGATTAAGTTATGCAATACATTCTTGAGTTCTTTTGATAGGCTAGAAGATGTATCTGAGTAATTTTTCCCAGAAATTATATGTGAGTGGTATAGCTGGTGAGACCTTGAATCTGGGTGAATCTCTTTCTTTGCCCTCATATATGAAAGATAAGATGGCTGGGTATAGAAGTTTGCTCAGAGAGGTGCATATTCTGTTCCATTGACCTTGGATGATGAAACCCAGTGTTTTCATGTATAAATTACCTGTTTTACCAGCCTGCACAGTTAGAAAACTTTCTTTACCCCTATATTTCAAAATTCTTTGATATATGTTTCAGAATTATTTCTCTTTTAAATAATATTTCGGATACTTCATGAATTTTTCTATCTGAAAACACAGGATTTTATGAACTCTTGAATACATTTAAAAAATATTTTCTGGGCTGGGTGTGGTGGCTCACGCCTGTAATCCCAGCACTTTGGGAGGCTGAGGCAGGCGGATTATGAGGTCAGGAGATGGAGACCATCCTGGCTAACACAGTGAAACCCCATCTCTACTAAAACTACAAAAAAAAAAAAAAAAGCTAGCCGGGTATGGTGGCGGGCACCTGTAGTCCCAGCTACTCTGGAGGCTGAAGCAGGAGAATGGCGTGAACCCGGGAGGCAGAGTTTGCAGTGGGCCGAGATCGCACCACTGCACTCCAGCCTGGGTGACAAAGCGAGACTCCATCTCAAAATAGATATATATTTTTTTCTTTAATTATTTCCTTTTCTGTGTCCTGAATTCCTGGAATTTTTGGAAAAAAATAGGTTGAATATTCATGTCCAGTTCATAGGTTTTTAAATTGTTCTATCAGGGGTTTTTTTTCTCTAAATTTTTGTGAAACATTTATAGTTTGTATTTGTATTTTACCCCACTAATTCAATTTTATGCATTATTCTACTGTTTTCAGTCCTTAATTCATTTATCATGTTTTTTCATATCTATCCAGTTTATTCACATCCTAGCCTATCCCCTCATTTTAGCAGATTGTTCTAGTTTCACATACAAAATTCCTTTTTGGTTTATGTTGTGATAATTAATTAGATGTTTTCTAAAACACTAATTTTTACTGTTTGCTAAACAATCTTACTTTTGCCCTTCAGTACCGGCAATCCTGAGCAAAAGAAGGCTTGCTTTGATTGCCAGTAAAACCCATGTTCTTGTGGCCATAATCTTCACCTCACATAACCTAAACACCCTCCTTGGAATATTACAAAATTCTCCCGTTCCCAGCTGCAGAACTATATGAATTGGATTTACAGATATCATAGTTTTTTTCAGCATCCACATCTTTAACTTGAATTTCAATTAAAACTTATTGGTTGGTCAAAACTTAAACTCTTAGAAGATTTTTTGCTCAGATACCATGTCAAAGTTTAGAGGACGTTCACTGAATCCTTTCCTCTGGCCAGCCTTACTTTCCTGTCTTCCCACCCAGACAGTTTTCCAGAATCTGAGCATTGAAATCTCCTGCCAAACACAATGGATAACACTGAATCTCAATGCTTTCAATGGATGGCATTGAAATCTCCTGCCGAACACAACTGATACTCTGGCTTCATGTTCATGAAGGTTCTTTACACCCCTCTAATCCCCTATCGTACTTCAATGGTTACTTCCAAGGAAGTTCTCCAATCTGCCTTTTGTTGAGGAACTTTTGCATAGAAGAAAGGGCAGGTGTATCCACGCACTAGGTCTAGGTTTGAGGCTGCCTTAAAGTTACTGAGGGCAAGGGGCTTCATAATTTGGAGCCTCACCTTCCCCGTTTATACATGAGGATCATGATAGTGGACAGGCATTTTTCTTAGAAATAAATGAGATAATTTGTATAAACAACTTTTTTTTTGTATTTTGTTATTGTGATCCTTTCTTCATGTCTATTATGTCAAGTGATGTACTTATGTGAAAGGGATTTTTTAATTTTTCTTGTGATTAATATTAACTAAGCACAACGATTATAATTTGCTAAGTTAAACTGAATTAAATTGCTTTATATATCTAGAACCAGACCGGAAATATCTGGGTGGTTATTATAGCTAAATTCCATACTATAGCAATAAGATAAAATATGAGTTATTTACTGTCTAATATGGACATATACATGGCTCTGTATATCTATTTTTCTTCATCAAATATCAAATGCAATATTACACATTAGACACAACAATTAACTTGTGTTCATGTTTCTGAAATTGATTCTAATGTATTTTCTATTGTACTCAGAAATTTACCATCAATTTGCAAGATCTTTATAATGATTATTTAAAGATTACCTTATTTCTTCACCTTTATTGTCTTGAAAAATGGTTTCTGCTCAAAAAGAATTAAATCTGTAAATGACGAGTTAATGGGTGCAGCACACCAACATGGCACATGTATACATATGTAACAAACCTGCACATTGTGCACATGTACCCTAAAACTTTAAGTATAATAATAATAAAATTAAATCTGTATGAAATATTATATATTGGCAATAAAAAATGAAAATAAATGAGATAAAAATAGATGTTCACGCAACCTTAACAACTTTACAATGCTATTAAAGGAAAATTTTAGGAAATTTCCTATTCAGTTGGGAGTTGTCATATTGGAAATGCAAATATGGACGTCAGAGTTACAGATATAGTCAGATGCCTCAACCAAATCAGACCAATGTCACCTTTTCAGATGACAAAATTTGAAGGAGCATTGCACGTTCCAGAGTCCCTTGATTTTCACCTGTAATGATAGCTAGTTACATGAGATGTTCTTGAATTTTGAAATTATAAAGCATTTTTGGGGGGCATGAAATGTTCATGAAAGAATGAGATTTTAAATTTTATTTACATTTCTGTTTTTATCTTTCTAAAAAAATCCTAAATTAATTCTGAAATCATCTTGCTCTATAATCCAACCACTAGAGAGTAGTATAATACCTCTCCTAGACATATCATTCATGAAATTTTATTAAAGTTTTTATTATAGGATCCTTATTTTCTTTTAGTTTAATAATTCTATCAACTCAATTGAAGTTTATATCAATCCCTACAATTTTTTTTTGCAAATAGCTCACTTTTTTCCCCAAATTGCTGAAACTACAAACCTGTCATTTTTCATTTTGCTCTTGCTTTGTCTTGAAATACAGTGACTATTCTTGTCTCCAAACTCTTTGTCTGCTTATTTTGGCAAAATGACAACATTTACACAAGAGATGGCAAGAGGAATGTCCATTTTCTTTATTAGATAACTTCAACAAGCATCCATTAAGCACCAAAAACTTACCAGGCACAGAGTGCAACCAAGGGTATTTCTACAAATAATTACGAGGCTTTTCCTTCCTTTATTGATAAAACACGCAGACAGATGAAGACATAATCTGTGTGTGAGCACAGTGGGTCAAGCGATCAGTACAAATAAGGGTAACGGAGTTCAGAAAGGGGAGAAACCAATGCAGGATGGGCTGTCAGAAAAATGCCACAAAGAAATAGAGGAGTGGGCAGGAGCAGAGCCTTGAAGGACAGGTATGAAGCAGAGCGTTAAATCAAATGTGTCCAATCCAGAAAAAGGGGATCCCCTCATGTCCAGCCAAGGCAGGACTTTTCACATCATGTCCAAGTGTGCAGGTCATTTTATTGAAAAAAATATATTTGCACAGAAAAACTGATGAAGTCTAGATTGCAAATAACCTCTTTTGCCTATTTTGGAAGTTTGAAGTAATCCTGTGTGCCTGTAGTTCCCAACCTTTTTTTCTGCCTAAAAATAGAAAATCTGAGCTATAAAACCTATGTGTCATTAATAAAAATGGATAATGATGACAGCGATGCATGACATGATGGTGCCGTCCTGAGAGTTGGGGGAAGGTGTGTATAGGGATTGCGGCAGGGGTTGGGAGAGTTTAGAGAGGGGAAGCAGTGTATAAGGATGAGAAGACCCTCGAAGAGGGTCCCACCGGCCCCCTGGGGAGCCTGTGCAAATGGTGCCTCACAGCAATTACCTTGCCAGGGTGTGAGATCTCCCTTAGAGGGATAGAGGCATTTGTGCAGTTCTGCAGATCAGATTTCTCCAGGGCCAGGGCAACTTCCCTGTCCAGGCCTAGGCCAGTTCTTTTGTCCTTTCAGGATTCTAGATTTCTCTTCCAGTATTATCACAATGTCTCCTAAGCAACTGTGCTCCTTGAAAACATTTGGTCTCACTCCTCAGCATCTTGCACAGTGACCATCCAGACCTGGGTCATTCATTAGTTTGTCTACCTCATATTCATTTCTCTTTGAAATACATCTATAACTCAGTATATTAGCTCTGTTTGTTGTTTGAACAGTCTAACAGTGGTGCCACCAACTTTTGGCACGCTCTGTTAAAGAGACTGTAGATGACAGTGCCCTTTTATATTCCGCCATGTTGCACTGCTATTTTGTCCTAGAAATTGAGCCAGTTAAATTCCATCTGTCTTTTCTTTTTTTATAACTATATAAAATCATGTATCCTACATTTAAATATAAATACAGAGCTTTGTTAGAAAAAATCAGGCTCGTTTGATGATAATCTTTAATTTGATATCAAGAAATACATTCTATTGAGTACCTAACATGTGAAAAACGTCCAAATCAAATTCCAGGTCTTTTTTTCTCAGGCTTTTTCTTCCTTTGTTTCCATGGAATCACACCTTCTTTCTGTAGCTTTGATCCTGGAAAATGTTGTAGGCATATATTATAAATCCTGCTATATGTAACTTTGGATATATTTTATTGAGGGTAAGAAAATTGTCTCTTGGTTACTTGTGAATATCTATATGCTGAATAAAGCTGAGATGAATAAATAGCTCTTCCTTCCTTTGTCCCATGTCTTGATAAATTATCTTTTTAGCTTTTAGACCTGATGACTTACCTTGTGCTTTATCAGAACACTTTGTTGCCTTAGGCAGGTTCATGTCGGCAGGTAATGACTCACTCGAGATATTCTCTGCACTTTGATAATAATAATCTGTGATTTTTGAGACATACCTATATAGCTAACTGGATCAATGTATTTCACACTGCAGGTTGCACTCATTGTTAGGATCTGAAATACATTTAATATTGTAAGGCCAACATTAAAGAAAAAGAAAGAGAAAAATAGGGACTAAGCAATATCAAAATGTACCTCATGGAAAAAGTGTAAATTATTCATTAATATTTTGCATTCCCACAAGTAATAGTTGAAAAGTTTAGTTGTCTCAGTTCTTCACAGTACGTTTTAATTTTAGCTATTCTAGGAGGTATGCGTTGGTATCTCATTGTGGTTTTACTTTACATTTCCCTGAAAATGATATTAAACATTTAAAATATGCTAATTGACTGTTCATATATCTCCTTTCACTAAGTATCTGTTCAAATATTTTGCACATTGTAAATGGCAAAGAAGACTTTTGTTTTCTTATAGTCGAGTTCTAAGAACTCTTATATGTGCTAGATACCGGTCCCTTATCATATATATGTTTTGTAAATATTTTCTCTTAATCTGCAGTTGGACTTTTTATTTTCTTAAACGTATTTTTGGAAGAGCAATGGTTTTCAGCTGTGATGTAACTTGTTTTATAAATATTTTTTCTTTTATAGCTCAAATTATTTTTGTCCCATATAAAACATCTTTGCTTAGCCTAAGGTCACTTCCGTTTTCTTAAATGTTTTCTTCCAGAAATATTACAGTTTCAGCTCTTACATTTAGGTCTATGAGCTACTTCAAGTTAAGTTCTGTATATGGTTTGAAGCAATAATTGAGGTCCATTTTGGCCATACAGATTTCTTAGTTTTTTTTCCCCTATGTATGTTCACATATTCCAGCACTACTTTTTGAATTTTTTCTTTCTCCATTGAATTACCTGTGCACATTTGTTGAAAACCAATTAACTCTATCTGTGTGGGTCTGTTTTCAGAATCTAATCAGCTCCTTAGGTCCCTATGTTTATCTTTGTGTGAATAATATACTGTCTTGATTAGGTAACTCTATAATGAGTCTTAAAACCAAGTAGTCTAAATCCTTTCACTTTGTTCTTATTCAAAGTTGTTTCAGTCATCCTGTATCTTTGGAATTTCCTTGCAGACTTTATAATTAGTTTGTCAATATCCTGCTGGGATGATGATTGGGATTGCATTGAATCAAGAGAAATAGGAGAAATTGGCAAAAACAAAGGGGCTACAGGCCCCATGTAAGTCCCAAATCCAGTAGGGCAGTCAAATCTTAAAGCTCCAAAATGATCTCCTTTGACTCCATGTCTTGCATCTGGGTCATGCTGATGCAAGAGGTGGGTTCCCATGGTCTGGGCAGCTCTGCCTCTGTGGCTTTGCAGGGTATAGCCTCCCTCCTGGCTCCATTCATGGGCTGGTGTTGAGTGTCTGCAGCTTTTCCAGATGCATGATGCAAGTTGTCAGTGGATCTACCTTTCTGGGGTCTGGAGGACAGTGGCCCCCTTCTTTTGGCTCTACTAGGTGGTGCCCCAGTAGGTACTCTGTGTGGGGACTCTGACCCCACATTTCCCTTCTGCACTGCCGTAGCAGAGGTTCTCCATGAGGGCCCTGCCCCTGCAGCAAACTTCTGCCTGGGCATCCAGGCATTTCCATACATGTTTTAAAATCTAGGTGGAGGTTCCCAAATCTCAATTCTTGACTTCTGTGCACTCGCAGGGTCAACACCATGTGGAAGCTGCCAAGACTTGAGGCTTGTACCCTCTGAAGCCACAGCCTGAGCTCTATGTTGGTCCCTTTCAGCCACAGCTGGAGCAGCTGAGATGCAGGGCCCCAAGGCCCTAGGCTGCACACAGAGACCTTGGGCTTGGCCCATGAAACCACTTTTTCCTTCAGGTCTGTGATGGGAGGGGCTACAGAGGTCTCTGACATGCCCTGGAGACATTTTCCCCATTGTCTTGGGGATTAACATTTGGCTCCTAGTTACTTATTCAAATTTCTGCAGCAAACTGGATTTTTCCTCAGAATATATTTTCTTTTCCATCGCATGGTGATGTTACAAATTTTCCCAACCTTAATGCTCTGTTCCCCTTTTAAAACTGAATGCCTTTAACAGCACCCTAGTCACATCTTGAATGCTTTGCTGCTTAGAAATTCCTTCCACCAGATACCCTAAATCATATCTGTCAAGTTCAAAGTTCCACAGATCTCTAGGGCAGGGGCAAAATGCCATCAGTCTCTTTGTTAAAACATAACAAGAGTCACCTTTGCTCCAGTTCCCAACAAGTTCCTCATCTCCATCTGAGACCACCTCAGCCTGGGTTTCATTGTCCATATAATTATCAGCATTTTTGTTAAAGCCATTCAACTAGGCTCTAGGGAGTTCCAAACTTTCCCATATTTTCCTGTCTTCTTCTGAGCCCTCCAAACTGTTCCCAGCCTCTTCTTGTTACCCAGTTGCAAAGTCACTTCCACATTTTCAGGTATCTTTTCATCAGCACCCCACTGGACTGTACCAATTTACGGTATTCGTCCATTTTCATGCCGCTGATAAAGACATACCCAAGACTGGGCAATTTACAAAAGCAAGAGGTTTAACTGGACCTACAGTTCCACATGGCTGGGGGAGCCTCAAAATCATGGCAGAGGCAAGGAAGAGCAAGTCACATCTTAGATGGATGGCAGCAGGCAAAGAGAGAATGAATGCCAAATGAAACGGGTTTCCCCTTATCAAACCATCAGATCTTGTGAGACTTATTCACTACCACAAGAACAGGAAAGCGAAAGACCCAACTCCATAACCCAAACAACTCCCACCAGGTCCTTCCCACAACACATGGGAATTATGGGAGCTACAAGATGAGATTTGGGTGGGGACACAGAGCCAAACCATATTAGTGAGTATTGGTAGTTTGTGGTTTTATGAGAAACTAGTCTAAGGTGTTTAATTTGTATGTGTAGAATTGCCCATATTATTCTCTTATTATTCTAATATCTGGAAGATCTTCAGTGGCATCTCGTATTTCATTACTTATATTGGTAATGTGTGTCTTCTCTCATTTTCACTTCTTCAGTCTTTCTGTTTATCACTTTGATATCTATTTCACATCAATGGTTTTAGCTATTATAACTTATGTTGAGTAGTGTTTATGTGAGATTTTTTGTTTGCCTTATTTTTTATATCTTTTTGCTTT
Organism: Homo sapiens; assembly: GCF_000001405.40. Taxonomy (NCBI): domain Eukaryota; kingdom Metazoa; phylum Chordata; class Mammalia; order Primates; family Hominidae; genus Homo; species Homo sapiens. The sequence continues at coordinate 40,411,562 of NC_000021.9, read as the reverse complement.
AACCTTTCTATGACTTAACTTAAAGTATGTTTCTTTTACACAGCATATGATTAGGTCTTGCATTTTATACAATCTGATAATATTTGCTTTTTAGTTGAAATACTTGCAGTATCAAAATTCAGTGTGATTATTGACAATGTTGGGTTTCAGTCTTGCTATTTGTTTTCTGCTTATCCTATCTATCCTTTGTTCTATCTTTCCCCCTTTCTTGCCTTCTTTTGGATTAAGTCCATATTTCATTGTATTAATTGTATAAAACATTATTTTGTCTCCATTCGTGGCTTATTCTGCCCCTCTTTTGTTGTTATTGTTTGCTTGTTTGTTTTCCCCTACAATTCAGTGTGTGTGTGTGTGTGTGTGTGTGTGTGTGTGTGTGTGTGTGTGTGTATATAATTACTGTCTATCTTCAAGTAATATTGAGTCTGGTCACATATATTGTTGAATCTTATTACAGTGTATTTCCAATACTCCCCTGCTAGACTTGCTACTATTTTTGTGTGTATTTTATTTCTACATATGATGTAAACTTCACAAAATATGGTTAATTATCTTTTAAATGGTTAATTATCTTTTAAAGATATTTTAAAACTGATAATAAAAGGTGTTACATTTAACCACATATTTTCTGACTCTCATGCTCCTCACTTGTTTACATCGGTTGAATTTTTTCTGATGTTCTTTTCTTTCTGCCAGAAAGGCTCCTGTGAGCAGTTTAGTGCAGGTCTGTGGGCAATGACTTCTTTCTACTTTGGTTAGTTTTAGCAAGACTCAACTTTACTTACTTTTTTGAATTTTTTTTTTTTGTACTGTATAGAGAATTCTATATCAACAGTTTTTCTTTGAAAACTTTACAAGTGTCACCCCATTGTCTCTGGTTTGCATGGCAAAATCTTGTCTTTCTTGTCTTCATTTGTTCGTAATTTAACCCTGGCCCCTTTAGATATTTTTTTCTTCATGACTGGCTTTCAGCAGTTTGATAATGATGCATCTCGGTGTTGTTTTCTTCATATGTCCTTGGCTTAATATTAACGGTACTTATTGCATCTGTGGCTTTATAGTTTCATCAACTTTGGAACTATTTATTTCAATACTCCCTTCAAATATTTTTTCTGTTCTATCTCTTCTTTCCTCTGATAGGAGTCCTAACTCTGCCTCCCCTAAGTCTCTAATTGCACATATTCTATACTGCTTGATATTACACTTCAAGTCATTGATGCTTTGTTCATTTTTATCTGGTTCTTTTTCTATCCGTATTTCATTTTGTGTAGTTTCTATTGTTGTTTATGAGTTCACAGATGATTTCTTCTGCATTGCCCAACTTCCTATTAATCCCAACCAATGATAATTTTTCATTTCAGATATTAAATTTCTTATCTTCTAAAGTCTTACTTGGGTTTAATTTTTATATTCTATTTCCATTTATACTATCCTTTTTCTGCCTTCTTGAAAATGGCACATATTTATGATCCGTGTTTTAATTTCCTTGCCTGTTAATTTTATCATCTGTTTCATTTCTTTATTTTTTGGACTGTTAAAATGGATTTATTTTTCTCCATATATATAATTTTGCTTTATATAATATATACATATTTCTGCTTTAGACATGTTTTGTAATTGTTTAGTGGATGTCAGCCATTTTGAATTTTATGTTTTGGGTGCTGGATTTTTTAGTTTTCTTTCAATATTGTTGGACAGTTTACTGGGATGCAGTTGAGTTACTTGGCCTCAATATGATTCCATCAAGCCTTGCTTTAAGCCTTGTTTGCACAGTTCTTGTTTGCATGGTTCCAGTCTAGAACTGATTGGCTCCCTTACTAAGGTAATATTAATACAATTCTGTGGTTTCTACTTGATTTCTCAAATATTCAGACATACTTTCACTGACTTGCAGGGATACAAACTATTCCCACCTCTGTATGAGCTCCAGTGATTCTTGTTCTTGCCGTAGCCTTGGCTAATCTTCCCACATGCATTATCAGAATAACTCAATAAAAGACAGGGGTGGGCCCTCTGTAAAACTCAGGATCTGTCCACCTCTCACTAGGATTCCTCTAGTACTTTTTCCTACATTCTAGCTCTGTGGCCTCTTCAGCGTTGAAACTGTGCTCTCAACTCAGAGAAGAGACCATCAGGCTGGTTGGGTCATCTCTGGAAAAGCAGAGATTTCACTTTGTTCGCTTTCCTTATTTCAGGCTTCCCTGCATGTTTTCCAAATTTATAAATCACTATTTCATATATTTTGACCATGACTCAAGTTGCATAAGATAAAAGGGAAAATAGGGACTTTCTTAATCAAGGCTGAATGTGGAAGTGATTATAGTGTAATGTAACATTTAAAAATACAAATTACATTCTAATGGAACTTTTTAATGCCATAGCTCTCAATACTCAGAAGCTAAAGGTATTGCCAGTATTTACTGTACAGTTTTTATGACTATGTATTTGGGAGCAGTTTTGAAAATACACCCTTAGGTATTTAAATTATTCTTTAGGCTTAATGGTTTTCTTTCTTTGTAAGCATTAATATTGAACTATAATTGTTATCCAAATAAATATTTAGTGATTTCTCAGAGAAAAAGATAACCACACATTACCTAAACACCTGGATAGGTCAGATGATAATATTCTAGTTCCATTCATAACATACTAAAAATGGACTATTTGGAGATTGCTACCTATTAGAGAATAAATGTCTCATTTATCGGAATCACACTAGCCTACGAACTCTAGTTATGTCATTTAAAATTATGACTGGCATCATGGGGCACACAGTGACTGCACTGCACATGTGAGTGAACACGTCACTCCAGCTGTGTGTCAGACAGGGGTACTGCATCATCCCTCCTGTAGGAATGAGTGGGCTCGGGGAAGGAAAATGGAGGGCACATCAACAGACAAAAACAAAGCCTACTGAATATCCATAAATGATGTAACTAAATCTTAGGATAGAAGAAACCTACAAGAACCAATGCCAACTTACGACTGATGAATGTCTGTTGCTGTGTCAGAAATAAAAGATATTCAATTTTCAGGTTGTCAATGCTCCTCACTAAATGTGTTCCCCAAACTGAATGTGATGCCCAGATGATCTCGTAGGGCAATTTCCAGCAAATGTCTCATAACCAGCATGTCCCTTCACATTGTTTGTCAATAGCCTTTCAAGCCCTTAAAGCTCAACATTTCCAGAATGTATGGTTTCCCATTCTAATGATAATCTATTTTAATAAGTTACCTTAAATTCCAGCTTTTCAGTGTCCTGTCCCCCCACCCTATCACAGACCTTCCAACTTAGTAACCATTCTTTCTTTCTCATCATCCACGTCATCAATGAAAATTGTCAATGCTAACCCTGAATTATTTAGGCTTAGTGTACTTCATTCTTTATTTAATATATTCTTTGTTTTCATGTTGGGCACCGAGATGACCCAGGGCTTAGATAATTCTGTGCCTCCTTGTAGCAACACAAACCTATTTTCAGGCAAAGATGGGTAATATCTTCTGTTGTTAAAACACAGTGAACACAGTTCTGTAGTGCTGTGTAAACCCACCAGGTAGCCAGCGAGCCTTATAAAGAGCTAAGTTCCTTTGATGGGCTCCTTGAAAGATAAGGAACCATCAAGATATTCCTCTGGATCTGGTTCACACCCAGAAGGGTTATAACCAGTTATTAAGAGATGCATAACAAATCACCCAGAAAGTTATTACTCAAGATAAACATCATTGTACAGCTTATATTAATAAGTTTTTGGGACAGGAAGCAGAGCAGGGTTCTGGAGGGCAGCTTGTCCCTGCTTCACATGCTGTCACCTGGACTGGGTCTGAAGAATCAAAAGTGGCCTCCCACCTGTCTAGAACCTCAGCTGAGACAGCCCAAATGAGTGGGCTTGCAGACCTCTGGAGCCTCGCTACTCTTCCACATGACCCTTGTCTTTATATGGAGTGTCTCATCCTCCAGGGTCTCCCCTCCATGTGACCTCCCTCTTTATATTAGGAAGTTTGGATTCCTTCTTATGTCTGCTGGGTTCCACCTGAGCAAAATTAGAAGCTTGAAAGACCTCCAAAGGGTCACCTTGAATCTCCCAGGACATTACCTGCATTGCTTTCTATTGGTCAAAGCAAGTCACAAAGCCATCCCAGATTTAAGGGGCAGGAAGAGTCCCTACCCTTGAATCTGGGAGTTAAGGCAAAGTTGTCTCACAAATGGGTTGTTGACATGGAGAGGACTGATTTATTGGAGACCTTCTCTTTTTAAAATTTAGTTTTAGTGGACACATAAAAATTGTATATACTTATGTTGCACAACATGCTGTTCTGAAATATATATACAATGTGGAAATGTACACAATTTATTCTAACTGAGCTAAATTAGATAAAGCTAATTAAAATATATATTACTGCAGACTCATTTTTTGTGGTGTGAACATTTAAAACCTATGCTTATAATGATTTTCAGGTATACAATACATTGCTATTAACTATAGTTGCTATGTTGTACAATATATTTCTTGAATTTATTCCACCTGTTTAACTGAAAGTTTATATTCTTTAGCTCGTATCTCTCCAATCCCTCCACCTGTCAGCCCCAGGTAACCACCATTCTACTCTCTGCTTTTATGAGTTCAAGTTTTTAGATTCTACCTATGAGGCTGGGTGCGGTGGCTCACATATGTAATCCCAGAATTCTGGGAGGTCGAGGCAGGTGGATCACTCGAGGTCAGGAGTTCCAGACCAGCCTGGCCAACACGGTGAAACCCTGTCTCTACTAAAATTTAACAACAACAAGAAGAAGAACAAAAAACACAAAAATTAGCATGTATGGTGGCACACACCTATAGTCTCATCTACCTGGGAGGCTGAGGTGGGAGAATCACTTGAACCTGAGAGGTGGAGGTTGCAGTGAGCCGAGATTGTGCCACTGCACTCCAGCCTGGGTGACATAGCCAGACCCTGTCTCAAAAACAAACAAACAAACAAAAACGTTTTACATATGAGTGAGATCATGTGGTATTTGTCTTTCCGTGCCTGGCTTGTTTCACTTAGCGTAATGTCCTTCAGGTTTATCCATGTTGTTTCAAATGGCACGATTTCATTGCTTTTTTAAGGCTGAGTTGTATTTCATGGTTTATACATATTTTCTTTATTCATTAATGCTTTGGTGGACACAGGTTGATTCTGTATCTTGGCTATTGTGAATAATGCTGCAGTGAATATGGGAGTGTAGCTGTCTCTTCAAATATTGATATCATTTCCTTTGGATAAATACCAACTAGTGGGACTGCTGGATCATATGGTAGTTCTATTTTTAGTTTTTTGAGGAGCTTCCATACCATTTTCCATAGTGACTGTCCTAGCTTATGTTCTCCACCAACAGTTCATAGGGGTTCCCTTTTCTCTACATTCTCACCAACTCTTGTTTTCTTTCATCTTATTGAAAATAGTCATTATAACAGGTATGAGGTGATACGTTATTGCGGTTTTAAATTGCACTTCCCTGATGATCAGCAATGTTGAGCATTTTATCATATACCCCTTGGCCATTTATATATCATCTTTCTTTGTTGTTGTTGAGACAGAGTCTCACTCTGTTGCACAGGCTGGAGTGCAGTGGTGCAATCTCGGCTCGCTGCAACTGCTCCCTCCCAGGATCAAGCGATTCTCATGCCTTGCCCTCTTGAGTAACTGGGATTACAGGTGCACGCCACCACACCCAGCTAAATTTTGTATTTTTAGTAGAGACGGGGTTTCGCTGTGTTAGCCAGGCTGGTCTTGAACTCCTGACCTCAAGTGATCCACCTGCCTTGGCCTTTCAAAATGCTGGGATTACAGGCATGAGCCACTGTGCCCGGCTATATATCATCTTTTATAAAACAAGTATTCAAGTCCAGTCCCCATTTTTTAATTAGATTATTTGCTTTCTTGTTATTGTATTGAGTCTCTTATGTATTTTGGATATTATCAGATATATGATTTGCAAATATTTCCTTTCATTTTGTAGGTTGTCTCTTCATGCTGTTGGTTATTTCCTTTGCTGTGCAGAAGCTTTTTAGTTTGATATCATCCATTTCACTATGTTCCCTTTATTGCCTGTGCTTTTCGGGTCAAATACACAAAAATTATTTGCCCAGACCAATGCCATGTGGCTTTTCTACTGGGGACCACTTTTAGCATATATCACTAATGCTTACCCCCAAAATTGCACCAGTGGATATAATGCTAGGTCTTGATAAATTGCTCAACTCCTAAGTGCATGCATAGATATTATATACACAAGGTCTCAGAGGGATAATATGGTAAGATGGCTGCTCTGATCCCAGTTTAATGCATGAAAGACCCTGTTACATTTTCCCAGGGTCTACCTCTGCTCAGTGCTTTCAGAACATAAGCATCACTCAGTATGAAAATTATTATTTTTACTAGACAATATACGCCACTAGATTCTCAGTTCCTGGGGGCCATGGGCTATGTCCCATTCACCTTTGCATCTCCCATACTTCATGGCTTCTGTTATACGGGAGCCAGCTGCCCAGTTGAAAAACCAAAATAGCTCAACTTGAATAATACATATTTTGTACTGAAGCAAATTAAAAGCCTTGCTGTAACCACACTAAATTATTTCATATGTCTCTGAGATCCTAGAATCTATTGCCTAGGTCTGTTACTGGGTGTGCCTGCTGACCTCATGAATATCAGTCATTTTAGGAAAGATGATCCATCCATTGAATCAAAATGGAAATGAATTTGAAGCAAACAGTGCCAGGAGTGCAAACTGAGGAGACTTTCCTAGAGGATGACAGCACAGTGAGCTCCAGTCAAGGAGGGACCACGCCTTCCTCCACTCACTATTCTATATCCAACCCCTGGCCTGGAGCCTGGTGTATGACAAGCCCTATGTGTTAAATGGAGTGTTGGCAATGATAGAACTTTCCGGAGAGGATATCTAAAAGTGGAATTATTCCCTGTGTTTATTTAAGTGCAATTCAAAGAGCAGGTTTTTCAGAGACACACAGGAGGAGCCTGGAAAATCTGTGACGTGTTAAGGGACTTGTGCTGTATTAAAGAAACACCAGGTTTCCAAGGAAACCCTTTTAGCCTTGTGCTTAATGTTTGCTCTTCTGCCCTCAAGAGGCCCAGTGAACACACAATTGTTTATAACTAGTCAAGAGACTGGATCTTAGGAAATCACTTGCAAAATTGTCCAAAATTCCTCTAAAATCTTTGATCTAAGAGATCTCCAACCGCCTCTTGGTTCACAGAATCTGAAACAGTATCTTAACTGTTTCACTTTGCTATTTATGTACATTTCCAGAACATTTTGCAAATGTAAAGTGCCTCGTAGCAGCATTTTGTTTGTACCATAGATGAATCCCTTTGAAGTTAACCTTTATTGAGGCAATTGTTAAATGCAGTATCATGAACTTGTGTTCACAGAAGACAGGAAAAGTGTAAGCTATAGGTCTGAAATAAGAGAGAAATAAGAGAGTCAGCAAGGGACACAGCAGTCCATCTCAGGGCTTTCTCATTTATGTTAAAAAGGGAATTAACATAGATAATCTATGTCAGTTTCTTGGCACAATGCTGAACAGGTAGTTCAGTAAGTTGTAGCCATGATGGTGATCATGATGATGATGAATGATTTGGAAACAGACATGCCTGATTTTCATATTATTTTCTAAGATATTTTCTTCATCAAATGTTCTGAACACTTAAAACTTAACTGCTGTATGCTTGTCACAGGCACATTCAATACTCAAGCTTTATTAATGAGCATAATGTCCTCATCAGCCATTCAAGTCTAGGGCCTTCTATCACATTTTAGGCTCAACTATCTTCTTTTGTGATTTTGTCATTGGTAGCCTCATGGTGAAATTTATGGCTCTACAGAGAGAAGGGCATGTGTATTGTGTGTGTGTGTGTGTGTGTGTGTGTGTGTGTGCACATGCATGCTTGCATACATGTATGTAAGCATGTGTGTTGATGACAATGATTAGCCTGCCAAACCACCCATGTAAGAAATCGGCTGTATAAGGCATAGTTTGTTAAACCACAAGTCTGATTTTAAGGTTTCCAAAGAAAATTCCACTGGGCATTGTCTTTAATTTATTCTTTGTAAAATAGATTTACTCTGTAGTCCCAGCTACATGGGATACTGAGGTGGGAGGATCACTTGAGCCCAGGAGGCAGAGGTTGCAATGAGCTGAGATTGCATCACTGCACTCCAGCCTGGGTGACAGAGTGAGACCTTGTCTCAAAAAAAAAAAAAAAGATTTACTAATCACCTGGACATTAAAAAATTGTTCTTTTAAAATGTACATTCTCCATTAAAGTATGCTAGTTCATTGATACCTTTTCCTTTTTAATATTTCAAGGGATCACTGGAAATATATAGTGATGCTTTTAATAATTATGTCCTTTCTAATCATTCCACATCATTGAGCGTGTTAAGCACACATGATGTCAGCTTTGGTGCTTGATAGAAATGATACAAGGTTGGCATGTTATTGGAAGTGCCTGCTTTCAGTGTCTAGTGAAGGATATTGGGAAATAGTTAAATGAGCCAGAATAGGGAATTACTATGAATTATGGGGTGGGGGGGTATAATCTTGCTTCCAAATTTTCTCAATTGTGTTAATTCATTTTTTCCTGTACTTGTCTCTCTTAAGTAATACAAAGAAATAATTTATTGATAGCTATTGCCTTACTCTGAGTTTTGATATGTCATTAAAATTAAGCCTTAAAACTTTGTATTTTGAAAGGTCAAAAAATGGTTAGTATAATGAGAACCTGACTTCCTAAACCTAAAATTAAAATGTATCTCAGAATCAATTGAATTTTTCCTTCAAGAAATTGTTGTTAAATCTTCCTCTCAATAAATTAAAAAAAAAAAAACAAATAAAAAAGACAATGTCAATTTTGAGTTAAGTGCCATTTTTTTTAATCCTGTTTATCTACAAGGAGCCACAGTCTGCCTAACTTTAGGTAAAGAAAAGCAGTATCACTTGGAAATATATAGATAGTTTACTCCCCGTGGAAAAAATCATTATTTCTCCATTTAGAAATAATTTCACATTTAAGATCTCTAGAACTTTACTTTTTCCCTAGGCAGATACTTGTTCTAATGATCTGAGAGGTAAAAACTCTTAGCTTAGCTTCTTCTTAGGAATCTAATACCATTTGTCTTAAAAATAATATATTTTAGCCGGGCGTGGTGGCTCGAGCCTGTAATCCCACCACTTTGGGAGGCTGAGACGGGCAGATCACGAGGTCAGGAGACTGAGACCATCCTGGCTAACACAGTGAAACCCCGTCTCTACTAAAAATACAAAAAAAAATTAGCCGGGCGTGGTGGCGGGCGCCTGTAGTCTGTAGTCCCAGCTACTCGGGAGGCTGAGGCAGGAGAATGACGTGAACCCAGGAGGCGGAGCTTGCAGTGAGCCGAGGTGGCACCACTGTACTCCAGCCCGGGCGACAGAGCGAGACTCTGTCTCAAAAAAAAAAAAAAAAAAAAAAAAAAAAGGAATAAGAATAATAAGAATAAATTTTACTTGACCATTTAGAAATCATAAATGTTCCCTGTCAACCACACGGGGAACTTAAAAGGGGGAAACATTTGATTATTGTCCAGTGTTGCTCTGCTCAGTTGGGTGTAAAATATAGCTAGCAAGGCTGGGCCGACTTCTGGAGAAAGAGGAAGGAGAGCTGGCAAGACGGGCCCATGGCAGGTCTCCAGGTCAGCAGCCTCCAGAGGGGAACATGGGGCCCCTTTGGAAGGCCCTGGCTTGGGCTGGGCTTTGTGCTGTTCTCTTGACCCTGGTGGGAACATGGCTGTAAGAATACCATCCCTGTCTACTCTCCTTATATCCTTTGTAACATATGATTATCCCATCTGCAGCACATTTTAAATCACAATGCCAAAGTGCAACAGTCCTCAAGGAGTGGTCCCTGCACGCTTGATGGTCTCCAAGACCCTTTAGGGATTTGCAAGGTCAAAACTACTTTCAAGATAATATTGAGATATCATTCACTTTCTTTGTTGTTTTGACATCTGCAATGGTGGATAAAATTGCTGGTGTCTCAGCAGGTGTCAAGGCTGCGGGATCCAATTATACTTGTTTTGTGTAAATAGTGTACTATATTCTTCACTGCTACACACTAACAGAAAAAAAAATCCAATTTTATTGAGAATATCCTTTATGCAGCCATATAATTATTAGTTTTATTTTATCTCAACCCTTGAGTATATGACTTTTTAATAGCCTCTGTGAGGAAACAGGAAATGTATTCCCATAAAGTGTGGTTATTTTGAGGAAAAGCATTTGAGTGGTTGAGCTGCAAGCTGAAATAATCCTTTTCTTAATAGAACTTTAAAAAAGTTACTTTTCCTGTTACTGTTACTTTTACTTAGCGGAACAAGGGACAGAAAACTATGGTAATTTGGACTACAGATGACAGTTATTTTCTCAAAGTATGAACCAAGGTGATCCTGTTACTTCAAGGAAAATAACCAACAGTATTTGATTCAATGGTAAAATTTTTCAAACAAAAATTCAAATTGTGGAAAAACTGTATCCACCATTATGTACTTGACAGCCTCCCAATATTTAAAGAACTTTTGTGATGAGATCAGTGATTATATTAACAAATATGATTTTTTAGTGTTATATATTGAAACCTGTCAACATTTGAAAGATCTGCATAACTCAGTGAACTATAAATGACTAATGCATGATGTTACAAAAGTCATGCATTAGTAATAGATCCATTTAAAGCTCAAGATAGGGCAATCAATTTTAACATAACAGAGTATGAAAATACCATTCCAACTAACCTTTAAGAAATTACCCCAGAAGGCCAGGCACAGCGGCTCATGCCTGTAATCCCAAAGCTTTGGGAGGCCAAGGCAGAAGGATTGCTTGAGGCTAGGAGTTCAAAACCAGCCTAAGCAACATAGCAAGACCTTGTCTCTACAACAAAAGTTTTTAAATTAGCTGGGTGCTCATGCCACTGCCTTCCAGCCTAGGCAAGAAACCCAGACCCTGTCTAAAAAGAAAGAAAGAAAAAAAACTTACCTCAGTAGAATATTCACAATTACTTACAAAGACTATTAAAACACTCCTTTATTTTCCATCTACATATCTCTGTAAAGCCTGAATGCAGATGCAGATATGAGAATTGAGCATTCTATTAGGGTAGACGTTAAAAAGATTTATGAAAATATAAACAATATTACTCTTCTAGCTATTTTTTTGTTTTGGAAAATACAATGTTTTCATTAAAATATTTTTAAATAATGTAATGGGGTTACTATTTCATTTTTAAAATAAATACATATTTTAAAATCTTTTAAGATTTCTACCACACTAAATATAAATAGCTACAAATCACATAATGAAACCTCTTTATGGTCTCCAATAATTTGGAAAAGTGTAAAGGGGCCCTGAGACCTGCTGCACGGGAGGAAGGTGCTCCCGGAACAGGGAGAAAGGTTGAGTCTGGGGAATGCTGACCATGACACCTGCTTCAAACACAGATTCCCTGTGGCTGTTTTTCCTCTAGGATTCTGTTAAAAATCCTGTTGAAGAATCCATTCCACATATGGGTAAAATTTAGAAATATGTTCCCTGGAACTGGGAAATCCAGGGACAGGAGAAAAAAGCAGCAACATTGCTTTGTTACTTTGTTTTACTTGCTACATCAGACAAAAAACAAAAAGGAATGGATATAATTATTTTACGTACCTCTTAAGGGCAGTGTGAGGTTTATGTGAGTCAACGTTTATAATGCACTTAAGGCATACTTGTCACTACTAAGTTTATATAAATTCTTGTTAAATAAAAATGAATGAATGAATGAATAAGCAGCTTCTAACAGAAACCGTGGCAGCATTTTTTGCTGAGCACATTGCTAGGCAGTAACTAAATTAATATGATGCTTGACCTCAGAGATTTAGGAAGTTGGTCCAATCTAGGCACATGCAGAGAAGATACGTTTAGAATTCTGAATTTTGATGGATATTATCTCAAATATCTTTCTGAAACACAGCGAAATATAAAGACTTTTATAAAATCAGATAGCATGCACACAGGAATTGACAATCCAGGCTCTCCAGTTTAAGTAGGTGGATTTCCTAAAGAACTCTAAAGATATTTAGGAACTAGAAGTGACTCAGCTTCCAATATAGAAACCCTTTTCCACCCATACTCTCAAAATCAATGTGAAATAGCTATTTGTAGATGGAATCTTTGGACTCCTATGTTTTGTTTTGTTTTGTTTTGTTTTGTTTTGTTTTGTTTTGTGAGACAGGGTCTTCCTCTGTCACCCAGGCTGAAGTGCAGTGGCACAGTCATAGCTCTCTGCAGCCTTGACCTCCCAGTTTCAAGCAGTCTTCCTGCCTCAGCCTCCCAAGTAGCTGAGACCACAGGCATGTGCCATCACACCCAGCTAAGTTTTCTATTTTTGTAGAGTCAAGGTCTGGCTATGTTGCTCAGGCTGGTCTCAAACTTGTAGGCTCAAGCTACTTGCCTGCCTTAGCCTACTAAAATGCTGGGATTACATGTGTAAGTGACTGCACCTGGTCTGGACCCCAATTTGGCTGAATCATTCATTCCTCAAGCAACAAGTACTTACATGGGAGATACAAAGAAAACAATATTGCCTCTTCTTAGAAAGAAACTCCTAGGCTGGGTGCGGTGGCTGACACCTGTAATCCCAGCATTTTGGGAGGCAGAGGTGGGCAGATCCCGTCCCTACTAAAAATACAAAAATTAGCTGGGTGTGGTGGCACACACCTGTAGTCCCAGCTACTTGGGAGGTTGAGGCAGTAGAATCGCTTGAACCCAGGAGGTGGAGGTTGCAGTGAACTGAGATCATGCCACTGCACTCCAGCCTGGCGGCAGAGTGAGACTCCATCTCAAAAAAAAAAAAAAAAGAAAGAAAAAAGAAAGGAAAGAAACTTCTAATTTCACAGTGGAGATTTCAGTGTGTATGCATAATTCCAAAGTTAGCGGAGCAGACAGAGCAAGGGTGTTGGGACTGTAGAGCCCTAGAGGCTAATTTTAAGTCCAGCTCCAATCATTTTGTATCTGTGTGACAGCAAGCAAGTTATTTATTATTTTAAACATGGGATAGGGAATTGGGGGTATTTTGACATTTTAGGAAGAGGAAATGAATGGTGTGAGTGAGCACAGGGGAGAAAACTGCAAGGTCTGTTGGGAACCATTTGGAGTCAACTGCAAAAGGGATCCGGGCTGTAGGTTAGGATCTGGGACAAGGTCATGTTTAAGGGGACCTTGAACTTCAGGATGCTCAGAATAACTGAGGAACCATTAACATTGGGTCACTTCTTAAAATGTCTGAATCAAAGTGACATGTCCCCTAAGAGTGTATAAGTGCCCAGAGCATGAAGATTCCGTAGTTTGTAGACAGGCCCAGGACCAGGGAATTTAGGTAAGTTTTTTCAGCAATAGCCAGCAGAATCCAAACATCCTTAATGAGGTACTGTGTGCAGCACAGCCTCCTAAACTACAAGCTTACTCTCAAAAGTGTAAGTTGACAAGGAGTAATGCTCCGGGTGCTCTTAGAGTAGTGGTAGAACTAGTGGCAGTAGTGGTGGTGGTGGTAATTGTTGCAGTAGTAATGGTGGTGGTAATAATGGTATAGCAATAATAGTAAAAGTAGTGGCAGTAGAAGTACTGGTAGTGGTAGTAGTGGTGGTGGTAGTATTAGTGGTAGTAGTGATGATAGTAGGGGTGGTAGCAGTATTGGTAATAGTAGTAGCATAGTAGTGGTGGTAGTATTAGTGATAGTAGCAGTAGTGGTAATAGTGGTAGTAGTAGTACCGCCAATAGTAATAGTGGTAGCAGCAGTGGTAACAGTAGTATTGGTAGTGTTGCCAAAACACTAGGGGTTCAGTCTAGGTCCTACTGCTCGCCACATGAATGCCAATCACTGAGTGTTTTAGGCTGTTCTTGAATTGCTATAAAGAAATACCTGAGACTGGGTAATTTAGAAAGAAAAGAGGTTTAATTGGCTCACAGTTCTGTAGGCTGTACGGGAAGCATGGCATTGGGCATCTGCTCAGCTTCTGGGAGGCCTCAGGAAGCTTCTCATCATGGTGGAAGGCAAAGGGGGAACAGGCATGTCACACGGTGAAAGCAGGAGCAAGGGAGAGAGTGAGAGGGAGTTGCCACACACTTTTAAATGACAAGATCTCGTGTGAACTCAGAGCAAGAGCACACTCGTCACCAAGGAGATGGCCGAAGCCCTTCATGAGGGAGTGACCCTCATGATCCAATCACCTCCCACCAGGCCCCACCTCCAACACGGGATCACATCTCAACATGAGATTTGGCAGGGACACAGATTCAAACTATATCACTGAGACAATGATTATTGCCAGTGAAGAAGACTATTCTGGTGCTGCAGCCAAGGAGATAGAAGATCAGTCTCAAATCCATCTCTCAGATTGATTAAAATTGGGGTTTTTATAGGATGAAAGCAATGTAACCATGTGTGGGAAAACAGGAATTAGGGAAGGGTAAGGAAAAGGAGTTTGTCAATAGGAAGCAGGTGGTCAGTTAGGCAATCATGATAGGTGAGGGTCTGGTACCTCACTGTCTAGATGTGGTGATCTGGGAAGTTTCAGTTCTTTGATGTTATCTGGGAGGCCCTCATGGTTAGTTTCCTAAGAAAAGGACTTAGATAAGACAAATGTAATTTTGTCAAGTTGTAAGACTGGGAGGGTCAATTTCTATGTTTATTCAAAAGAAACTATAAACATTAATTCTATAGGACAGTTGGGCCAGCATCAGTTGTAGTAGCTGTGGTAGATGGTGGTAGTGGTAGTAGTTGTGGTAGGAGTGGTGGTAGTAGTAGTAGTAGTAGTAGCAGCAGTGGCAGTAGTAGGGGTAATAACGGTAGTAGTAGTGGTAGCAGTGTTTTAGGGGCCTGCATTCTCCAGTATTTTCCTCACAGACCAGTGGCCACAACCATTTCCAGTTAAGTGTTCCGTTCCTGGTGGGCACCCAGCTCAGGAACACTGCACGTGTGTACTGTGAGTTGCCCCCCATCTGAAATATTCTTCACCTGCTCACCCTCCATTACTGAGCTGAAACTTCCACAACAAACCAACAGCCTCCTTGTGTTGGGAAACCGTTCCCATTACAGTAGATATTAACGAGCCCTAAATCCAATCTAACTGAATTTGGCTAATTCCTAAAGTTAGGATTTTCTCAGAAGTTGGCGTGATGGTGAAGAATCCCTTTTCTCTGGTACCCGTTATGGTTGACAATCAGTGAAGTTTTCTTGTGCAATTGCATGGCATTTAAACATTATTTTAGCATATTTTTGTGAACTAAATATACTATTTTGGAATTTGAATTTATCTTTTGGTGAGACATAGTAGCAAGGAAGAGGAAGTAAACAAAATCTCTCTAGTGAATTAAAATATAAAATGGTAAATGTCATCTCGATTTAGGAACCCTGTCGGCGGTTCAGAAGCAAAATGAGCTGCCCTGAGTTGGAGCCTCCATGGGACCCGCTTCCGTAGGCACAGGCATAAAGTCAGCTTTCTGTTGCTGAAGGCTTGGAAGAGGCTGCAGGAGAACACTGTAATCAGATTTGACATTCCGAACTGATGGCTGATGGGCTGTGAGGGCCGTGGCAGGGAGTGATTTCAGGGGCTTTAATAAGGCTTGGCAAATAAATGATCAGGTCACACTGTCACTGTGTGAATGCCAATGTCTTTCTCCCCAATCCATTCCCTGAGAGGACTCCAGGGCCAAATAGAAAATAAATTTAAAATGAACTGTGAACACTAAAAAATCTTTAATAGACTTTGTCCATGGAAAGTGATTCTTTTTTATAAAATTGCTTTAATGCCCATTTTCTTTGTGTTCATGAATATAAAGAGAAAACAAAACCAATAGCAAGGTCTCAGTATTTCTGATTTTTTTTTAAGTTTTGTGATTTAAGAAAAAAAAAGAAATCAAAGATACATTCCTTGCGAAGGCAACTATGGAATCTACACCCAAATCTCCAAATTATATTCATAAGTCAATTGTAACTAATTTTAGTATTCCTAAAAGAATGAATTTACAAATTGCTCTCAACCCTTTTAGCCTAAAATATAGGAAAATGTTACAGTCTCCAGGTAGGAAAAAAAACATGCGTCATTTTACAGCTGGATACCAAAGAGACTCAAATTTTTGATCTAAAAGAAAAAAAAAAATACAGAAGGAAAGTAAAAATAGACCTGACCTTTGAAGGCAGAAATTTCTTGTCTTTAAATTTGACTTTCATTTTCTTTCATTAAAATAAAAATAAAATAAAATAAAGAATGCCCCCTAATAGTCTCTTCTCAAGTTAAAAATACTGCACCACATCAAATTATTTTTGGAACCAGCCAAGAGAGGAAAGGGAGGAAGAAGTTAAAATACAATGCTATCATTTCTTATTGAAGTTAGAATTTTCATAACAATCTTGCCAATGTTTTTCGTCAATTACACTGACTGAACACAGTATATTTGTATCAAACGACATTGTTTGACCACTCAAATTAACCATGTAAAAATTACCTAATTCTACCTTTACTTCCTTATAAATTTTCCTTAGAGTTCCCTTGGGAAATATTTAACATACAGTAAAGATCCTGGGATTAAAGTTTTAAACCCCTCTGCCATCTAAGACTGTCTGTATTTCTATCCTAATCTCTCTTAGTACTCCCCAATTACACACAAAGGATCCAAGTCTGAACTGGTATGCCTTCGGTTCTACAGTTCTCAGTGTTGAAAATCTCCCTCTCCCCTGTCTTCCAGGTGATATTCATCCATTATCCAAAACCTCAGCCCAAGATCAAGGCTCCCTCTAGGGAAAAGATAGCTTGGCCCTGCTAGGAAGAATTTTCTCACTCTTCTGTAAATACTTCTGTGCAGGGTTTGTGTGGCTCAATATTGCATTTCCACTTCTTTCTGGTTTACCTGCCTTGGTTGAAGACTCAGGGAAGCAAAAAGCTGCATTCCCAGACATAGCTGCCAGGGCTCTGGAAGCGGTTAAAACGCAGTCAGATGCATTGTGTATGTATGGAGACTTGAGAGACTCTGACAGCCTGTTGAGTGCAGGTTCATATTCTATTATTTTTCATCCTGACTGTATAAAAGCCATCTGGTCTGATGTGGAAGAAAGAATGTGGCATTGGGAGTCAGGCAAGCCTAGATTGTATGACCTTGGTCCTCAACCTATGCAATCTTGCTGAAACTCAGACCTCTCATTCAACTAATAAAAAGGGTTAGGGGAATTAAATGAAGTAATATGAAAAATGCCTGGACTGTAGTAAGCAATAAAGATCATTGTTCTTATCTTTATCTCGCCTCATCTTCATATTCTAGGTGAAGTAGATAAGTGTGAATTCACTGCTGTATTTAGACCCCCACAAGATTGTCATTGCATTAAACCACCCAACAACTGCCTTGACTATTCCATGAATTTATCAGTTTGATGTCTTTCTTTAAGAAAAAGTATAGATTTGACCACAGAAACTTTCCTTGAGAGAACTGTATTAAAGAAATAATTAGAAATGCAGAAAAATATCTATTTGGAAACTTATTTTAATTATAATGGTGAAATATTAGAAACACTCAAGAACAGATAGGCTAATCCAATTATTATATACCCATCCAATGGATTATTACACAGTATTAAAATGATGTATTAAAGCATTCAAATGACAGGTAGCCACTCATAATTTAGCAACATTCATACAATATTCATTGAGCACATGAATCTCATAAAAGGATCAAATAAAATAAGCTGAATGGAAAGCTATTTAAATAACAGTTTAATCTCAATTATCTAAATACTATATATATGTAGAAAAAAGCATAGACGGATATATGCAAACATGTTAATAATGGTCAGCTCTGGTGTTCAGCTGTTCATCCTTGGTAATGGAATTATGTGGGATTTATATTTTATTCTTTCTAGTTTTTATTTTTCAGATTTTTCACACTGTGCCTATACTTGTAGTCAGAAAAAAATGTAAGTTAAAGTTTTATAAAATGATAATATGGATTTCCTATTACCTTGATTTTAAAAAAATATGCCTATAAAAACATATACATTTAGTAAAGTGGCTTTCTAGAATTTTCGTTGTATTTTCTCCTCCAAAGCACAAGCTCACAAAAGGGCTGGGAACATGTCTTTTCATGTTTAAATCTTAATGAAGACTCATCCATGTATTCCCTGTTCGTGGAGCTGTTATGGATTGAGTGCTGCTCCGCATCAGAGGTCATGCACGTGGATCTGGAGATTCCTGGATGATGAAGGGGAAGGTGCCAGAGCCTTTGGGTATGGCTTTGAAGTGGGAGAGACTGAGAAATCATTACCTTTCTTTGGCAGTATACCTTTAAGTCTGCACTCTTTAGATTTGAGGGCATTCTAAATCTTTCATCCAAGAAGACTTTGTGGTCTCAATTTGGAGCCGATATTAGGGAACCAGCCTTTGGAGCTGCGTGCATTAAATATGGGCTTACACTTGATGTCAAGGAAGCAAAATTTGCCTGATATCTAACATGCACTAATAATTCTGTACATGTGTATCAGCTCATTGATCTTTTTAGTACTTGATTTGGGGGTTGAATTGTAAATTTTATTATATCTTTTGAATGTGTTAAAATTTTTTTCATGATTAACAGTTGACCTTGTGGCTTCCTAAGGAGCTCTGGCCAAGCTGTGTCATGCTTTGAAAAATTTCACTGAGTTGTGGACATTGCTTCTGAGGTTATATTCACTGTACTACTGCTCTTTGGTCCTTTATGGGAAGCATCTCTTCAATAGCATCTTGCAGAGCTTGGCAGGACCTGGGGGAAATGCTCGTGTTTGGGAGTAGACCCAGAGGCTTCACCGTTCTGTACGTGGTGGCTTCTTTCCCTTCTGCGTCTGAGATACATAACACATTCCCCATCCTGGAATTCCAATTCCAGTGTTACAAGAACTTGTGTTCTACCCTTCTTTCTGACCTCGAAGGATACTTACAATAAATTCATGTGATTATTACTTTCTACGTCGTGTTGGTTAGTTTCTTAGGAAATCGTTGAAAATATATGCTTTACAGGAGTACCATTTTCTAATCCACTCTCATCCTATAACTATTTAAAAAATACATATCATTTTAGGAAGAGTGTGGCCTATAGATGAACCTCTGATCTGACTATTTGAGGCTTGTTTTATTGCTCTTAGATTTTTCCAAATATTTATCAAACACTGTTTATCTTTAACCCACACTAGAATAATACATGATTATTATTCTTAATACCTGTACATAAATATCACTTATAGGCATTAATTTTTATAGTACTAATAGGTTTGCATGTTCAGGAAGTACTGAGGATTAAAATAAAGGAATTCCTCTCATTTACCCAATATTTGAATATGAGATTTAAGATGTGTGTTGGATGCCAGACGAGGATATGTAGAATAACCATGGAGATAATGAAGGAAATAAGAAATGACTTTTGAAAAGACTGGTCAAGGCAACTACCTTATGAAGACTCAGCCTCAGGTGGGTATTTCACCGGCGTGGTTCCCACAGCCCGAACTCCATGCTCTTTTTCACATCTGCTTCCCCCTTGGAGAGGTGCTTTCTCTCTGGGAAGAAAGAAGGGGCTAGCCAAACTTCCTGGCGTGTGAGATGACCCAGAGTCACATTCTAATGCCTAGTCTGTGCAAATTGTGTCAACATACCATACTCAAAATGAGATTTTTGTAGTTAGCAATCTTCTAATTTTTGCAACGAGAAATTTCCGATAACAGCAATGTGGTAATACACTTCTCTAAATATTTGCAGTGAGCAAGTATGTATTGAGTGAACATACCTGATGCTATGTGGGACACTGTAGGAGAAATCATCATGCACCAGTGGGGAGACATCCTGTCACTGACACTGCTCAAGCTTACGCTAACCTGTAGAAAAACTCCACAGTATGAACAACCCTGGAGAGAAGGATAAATCATAGTATGAAACTGATAAAATTTTAAAAAGTCCCCTTCCAAAGAAAGAAACATTGAAATGCTCTATGGTTGTATTAAATTACTTTCAAGCACATTGTATCATTTGATCAAACTAAGTTGATGGTTCTCTAATCTTCTCAATCTGCATTCTTTGCACGTAATTTACATTAACTATAGCACTCTTATTTCAAACAGCAGGTGGGTAGACTGTGTAAAATTTAGCCTCCCTCCAGATTTCTATATGTTTGTGTTTATGCACTCAGCGATTTTTAAGCGTAAAATTGGCTTCTTATTTAAAGCCAAAGTGAGTGAATAGAATACTCATTGCTGCTCATTCTAACAGCCATGAGTCCAGCCCCTGGTAAGGCAATAGCTCTCACCTGTCTTTGTGAATATTATTTATATTGCAGCATTTGCTGGTATGGTTGGACCTTCAGGGATTGTTTAAGGAGCACAATGATTTCATGCGGTCTGCATCATCCAATATGAAATGTTATATACCTTGAAATATTTTTCCATAGTGAGAAGGTCTCCCTCCACTCCCTACACTTGCAAAGAACCATAGATACAGTTTTCTTTCTTTTATTTTAAGCTTGTTGCTACCTGAGGTAGGCAAGGAATGAGCTGCTTTGAGATGTTATAATAGATTCAATTGTGTCCCCTCAAATGATATTGAAGCTCTAATGCGCCAGTGGCTCAGAATGTGACCTTATTTGGAAATAGGGTCATTGAAGATATAAGTAGTTAAGATGAAGTTGTATTGGAGTAGGATGGGCCCTTAATCCAACATGACTGGTGTTTTTGTAAGAAGAGGGAAAACTTAAACACAGAGAGAACATGGCCATGTGAAGATAGAGGTGGAGATTGGAATTACGCTGCCATAATCCAGGGTCATTGAGGCCTACCAGAAGCTGGGAGAGAGAAGGGAAGATCTTCCCTTGAGGCATTGGAGTAGGTACGGACCTGCCAATAATACTGCTGGCCTCCAGAAATGGAAAAGAATACCCTGCTATCATTTAAACCACCCGGTTTGCAGTACTTTGTTGCAGCAGCCCTGGGAAAATAATGTGGATGCCACATCAGAAGGTGAAGCCAAGAGCACAGCACGGAATAGGGTGCATCAGCAATCAGCTAACCCAAGGCTATCCACCTTCTCTCCATGAATTATTCAGGTCTTATTTTTGTACCTGTCAGTTTTTAAAGGGAGATTGTCATCTCTTGATTGGCTATTACGGATCCATCTAAAATGGTTGCTGTCTAACAGCTGACTGATAGACTCCACACTTTTTACCCCTGTGCAGTGAAGAAGAGTCAAAAGAACAAAAATGTAGTTTTTGATTGAATACTAAGATCAGACTCATCCACCTGCTGAGCAGGTCTGAATACCACTGCACATGCAACTGGGCAAGCATAGTCAAAGGAGGCTTGATTAAGCAAAACGAAGCTGAGACAGCTCCAGCCTCTCCCTTGCCCCACCCTGTCCATGCGTGCAGCTCCCCCTCCAGGAGATTTGAAAGGGACAGGGTGGGGTGGTGGGGGAATGGATAGACACAGGATGAGCAGGTGACCAAGGAGGCTTATTCTCAATGATGCCTGATGAGAAGAAACACCCAGACTTGTAGCTCTGACCACACAATACGTCCTCTTAGGATACATTCTTTCTCATTTATTCCCCGTGTCCTCACGTCCACACCTGTTCTCTCACTTTTGCATCCTTCCCAAATCTGTGTTCTTAAGTTTTCTCTTCCTTGATGCATGAACACGTGGCATGGCCATTGGGTAGGAAGCAATGCAGGCAAACAAGTCGGCCAGTGTACATGAAGATTTCTCGAGAGTACTTGTCCATTCTGCGATGGTAACAGGCTATATCTTCTTTCAAAGACAAGAGTTTAGGGTGTGGTTTATCACTCTTTTCATTAACCTGAGTCAGATAAATCCAGATTCTGATGTACTTTATGTTTTAGATGGTAAGCTCTTTGTCAACTTGGTTCATATGGTTAAAATGATTTGGAGAATTTAACAAATAATTTAATCAATATACCTGGACAGTATTAATGATAAAAATCCTATTATGGTAATTCAGCATAGATTTTCTATAATCTATTGTGGTACTGGCCAAATACAGTGGATATCTTTGGAATGTGCCAGAAAGAAGTGGTGCCCACTAATCAGATGTCTTTTTTAGAACATTAGCTGTTTTTTAACGGTCCTCTTTTTTGTTATTTCTCTTCATAAAATATTGGCTATTTAAAAGAATATTCTCTAATTAAAATTTAATGTCAGGAAATGAAAGAAAGATGGTTTCAATGCTAGACATTTATAATGACTTTTGATTTCCTTGCTCAAATGACAAGTGAAGTTTTCTCAGCATGACATGAGAATAATTTATCAGAAGATATAAAAATGAGCAAAATGTACATTGGAGAAAACCCTTTTGTACTCTCAAGAAGAGAGCAAATTATCTTAAAACACGGGGGATTTCTATTCATCTTTTATGCAGGAATATCCTACTTTTATTAAATACATGTTGAATTACATTGAGGGAAAGAGTAAACTTACCATATTGTATCCCACCCATTTCTAAATGGCACAGGGTAGTTACACTGTACACTACATTTACTGTAAGAATTGCTAAGAAAAGCCAACATGAAATGAGCATGTTCTACCTGGAATTTATAAACAATTACTAAGTGGGAAAATGTGGGGAGAAAATACAGGGAATGAAATTAAAAAGCAAGATTTGCTTACCCAGAGTGGTGAATTTATACCACCCTACTCCAATAGGGTATGTGCATTTGAATGGATTGTAATAGGTTTTAGTAGGATTGAACACACTTTCCAGAATGTGAAGTTTGCAGTGCTTAGAGTTGTATCAAATATTTTCAAAGAACACAGCTGGTTTATCAGTGGAGGAGGGGGGGTTTAAAATGGCCTTAACTCCCGTGATTTTCCTATGAAGATTAAATAGAGTAATGACCATGACAGCCTTATGGAAACTGTAAAGAGCAAGGTCTGGTTTCTCAAACAGTAAAGAGATGCCTGCCAGGTTAAGATGTGGGTGAAATGGAATTTGTGGAAAAGTGTCAAAAGCACTAAAGAGATTGCTTTTCTTCACCCACAAATACAGCACGCTGACCTACCTCATACCGAGAAACACAGGACTTCATGATACCATCTGCTGTGATCTCCCTCCCATCTGAAATGCAATTGTCTTCCAGTGTTCTAGAGGCATCTAACTTTTTATATCAATCATATTTGCCATTATTATCACTTTATACAGTCATTATTTGTTTAGGGTTACTCACGCATACCTCGTTCTTTCTCCACCCTTCTTTTTGCATCTCATTATTGAGTACAATTTCTTTTCTGGAAGCACATCCTTTAGTTCCAGGCGCAAGCCTGCTATTGGCAAACTGTCGGTTCTTATCAATACTGGGAAATTTCCAAATTGTTTTCCCAAATATTGCTTTTCTGCCATTTTTTTCTACCCTCTCCTTGAACTGTGGATTTCCTCTATCTCTCCTTCAAGTCTCTTAACCTTTCTTTCATATGTATCTTTCTTTCTTCCATATGTTTCTTTTTCTCTCTAGGAAATATTCTGAGTAATTTCTGTAGATTTATTTTCTTGTTCACTAATTTTTCCCAACTGTGTCTAATATAAATATTTATGTCAAGGGTTATGTGTTTTATTTCTGCCCATTCTGCAAATATTTTATTGTTTATCTAATATTTGTATCTTTTATGATATACTCTTATTCACTTATCCTATTTTTAATTCAATTCTATAGTTTTGCAACATTTAAAATACTTATTGTGTAAACATTGTCGAGTTATTTCATTGTCTGAGGCCTCTATTGCTTCTTCTGACTCCTTTTTATGATAAATTGTTCTCTAATGTGTTAGAGGTTTGGTACTGGAAGCTCAAGATTGGAAGGGAGGAGTCAAGCTTCATCTGTAAACATTTCTCAGTGCTCCTTCCTCCAGGGAAGATTTATTTGTCTTTGCTTCTGCCAGATGTCCTTAGAAGCGAAGTCACTATATGTTATTTTCTAGAGTGAGGTCTACTGGACCCTGGAGACAGTGAGACTACAAATCCCAAACCAGAGCAAGGCCAGTACTATGGTTAGACATAATCCCTACACAAAGCTTAGGCTAGGAAGGCAAGGGTATTTGCAAAGGCTGTTTTTTTTTTTTTGGAGGTCCAATCTTTTAGTGAAGTTGTACTTTTCTGCAGACTTCTCTTGTGTAGGACTTGTGTAGGACTAACAGCCTTCCATTTCCTCATTGCTGTTAAAACTATGTTTTTTCCCCCTAAATGTGCAAATGTCACAGGGAAATTATAGGTAGTATCAACAAGATCTTTGCTGTTAGGTATTCACCCCCCCTCTTCCTTTATAGAGCCCAGAGGGCTTTCCTTACCTGAGAAACCTGCTGTTCATTTAAGTCAATGTTAGATTTATGCAGCTTGTCTAAGTTTCTTATACCTGGAGAGTTTTCAAAATAATTAGTTTTTTACATAGTCAGAAATGGAAGTTGCTACAACTCACTGCTGATTCACTGACTATATTAAACTACCTGAAAAAAAAATGGAAAAATAAGGTTCCAAATAATGTAATCTGACATACATTTCATGAGAGAAATGACCAAAACTTAATCCTAGAGGGAATTTTATCTTAAAATCCTAGAGGGAATTTTATCTAAAGAAAATTCATTAGATGGTTGTAAAGCAAAAATGAAATTAAAAAATAATATAAATAAACGTGGAGTTCAAGAAAAACGTCACTGTTTCCACTTTTAAGTGGAGAAGTAATTTGACAAATTTTCATTGAAAGAATTTTGCTGATCACGAGTTTCTATCAAAACCCAAGAAGTGTAAACATAGGAAGTGCTTATAGGTTAATAAAGCAAAAATCATGTGTTATTAACGAGGAAGTGTTAAGGTGGTGCCAGATCCACGGGCACTCACTATTTCATTTCTGGGAGCGTTTTTCAGCCTGCAGTTCCCACACCACGCGTGCCGTGGAGCTCTCTGTGCCACGCTGCGGGGCCTCGGTCTGACCAGCAGGGGGCACCGAGTGTTCTCCCGCAGCGGCCCGGCGTGGGCGGCGGCTCCAAGGCCGATTCCTCAGCACCAGGCAGGTGCCTTTGAAGCAAAGGGCGTTCATTCACATTCACAAAGGTCTCCGGAACAGCCTTGTAGGTTCTTCAACTGCCCTCAACTAAAGCTTCGGAATCTGAAAACCTGGGAAGAAGCTTAGTGTCCTGACAGTATTTTCCTTTTAATTTTGCAAAGTTTACAAAATCCATTAAGAATTGCTTTGCAATGAAAAATATACACATTTTTATACTTTTTGTTTTCAAGTGCTTCATTCCATTTATATTTAGCGGTGAGGCGGGCCTAGGCAAAAATGAAATAAAAGCACAGTGTTAAGATCTGCAAGGCCATTAAATTGCAGTGCACGTAATTAATGGACCATGATATTGCTTAAACACAAATGTACACTAATCTTGATCCAGCGGTACTAGTGATTTGTTGTTACAGGGCTAGATCCACCTAAAGCTCATGGTGAACACTTACAACCTTGCACAGAAAGTGACTGTGCTTGAAAGCACGAAGGCAAAATCCCATTGGCCAAAGATACCTTGTATTCCTAGCTGTGAATCGGTTTATCCTCTTTATTTTATACTTTGCATTATTTTATTACTTGGAAGAATTCACCCACTTTTTTCTGACAAAGGCTTATCAGATTTTTCTTCTTAAAAAAATATATATAAAGTTTTGAAGAAAAGACAAAGCATTGCAAAGAGCTGTCAGAGGGGGACGAGAAGCTTACAAAGTGAGCAGGTGGCACACAGCCTGTCTGCAGTGGTCATGTGAGAGCCAAACCCCTCAGCCACATTAACAGCCTACAGCATGTGCCAAGCCCTTAAGAAGTCACATAGCATTTCAGAGAATCCCACAAAACCAAAAACACAAATTCTGTCAATGCAATACATATATTTCTAGGTAGACGTATTAGTACGTCTCTTATGTGGGTGCCGAGGAATCTTGTAAAAGTTTGTGCAAAATTGACGTCAGTTTTACTGCTTGTCAGCAGTGAAATGAGTGGATTCATTGATTCATTCATTTGACAAACATTTAATGAACCACTACTCTGTATGTGTTCTAGGGACTGGGAATACAGCATTGAACAAAATACAGAACTAAATGCATGCTTGATGGAGCTTTTATTGCCATGGTTAGCATGAGTTACATTCATAAAATATACTTTATTTTCATTAAAAAGAATGAGCTAGATTTCTTTATATCAACATAGAGAGATCTTAAGGAAACATAACGTTGGATGGGAAAAGTGAGTTTTTCCATGAGAAATAGTAAAATACTTATGTAAGTTTGAAAAACAAAGAGAAAATACAGAACCATACTATGTGAAGTTCATTGTCACAGCTATGTGTGGGAGTGTGTGTGTAATAAAATAAAAAGTCGAAACTGGGAATACACACTAATATTTCTGATAATAGGGTTTTTTAGGAGAAAAATATAGGATGGGGAGGGAACAAAGAGAAAAATAAAGCATTTTCTGTAAAGTTTTATTTATTTCATTAAAAATAAATAAAGCAAATTACACCAAATGTTAACAATGATCAATTTTAAGAAATGGGTACATGGATGAGTATGTCATGCCTATGTGGGTGATTGGTACTTTTTCAGTTAAATAAATAAATGGCAGTTGGAGGAGGGACAGAGAAGGACATGGGGAGTGAGACCAAACAAGGATCATGATGAGACCAGAACTTCCCTAGAGGAGTGGCCCGTTGTGAGCCTGAGAGATCCCCTGTAGCGACACTGAGCAGAGCTCCCTGTGCCTCTTTCCGTCCTGGCCTCACGCTGTCTGGTTGGCTTTCCCGATCCGTCGTCCATCTCTGTTGTCCTGTTGTTGTTGTTGTGGTTTTGAGATGGGGTTTCGCTCTTGTTGCCCAGGCTGGAGAGCAATGGTGCGATCTCAGCTCACCGCAACCTCCACCTCCCAAATTCAAGCAATTCTCCTGCCTCAGCCTCCCGAGTAGCTGGGATTACAGGCATGGGCCACCATGCCTGGCTAACTTTGTATTTTTAGTAGAGATGGGGTTTCACCATGTTGGTCAGGCTAGTCTCTAACTCCTGACCTCTGATGATCCACCCACCTAGGCCTCCCAAAGTGCTGGGATTACAGCTGTGAGCCACCACGCCAGGCCTTCTGCTGTCCAGTTTTAGTAACAGCTTTAGCAACTGCCTTGCTCTGCTCTCAGCATTCTCTGTTTTAACCATCCCGATTTCACCTCTGCCTCCCTTATGTCTACCTTTTGTCTCACAGTCTGACAATGAAAATCATCTGCCACTATCCTAGCACCAACCTGTGGGCCTCCCTGAACTCCCACTTACCTGGGCCACGTCAGCCCTGCAGCCCACGGAGCTCCTCCAGGGGGTGCCTCTCCTGTGTTTCCTTGGCTGTGATCTCCAAGCAGAGGGCAGGCCAACTGCGTGTTTCCTAGTCCCCCTAAGTAGCTTCATCTTTCCCTCCTAGCAGTAGACCCCTATCCCTTTCTCTAAGAAACACTGTATAACCCACCTCTTCCAGGAAGCATCGTGAACACAGTACTTCTCAAATCTTTGTCATTCATGAACTATCTTTATGATATCTGCAATCATTGAATGCCATCTGTGCTAGTGTTTTTGTCCTTTGAATAATTCTTGTTTACTTAAAACAATGTAATTATAAAAAAATGCATTACTACTTTTAAATGGAAAATCAGTTTAACTAGCCATACAGATAAATGCAATACAATGAAAGAAAAACAATAATATTAAATTCTAGTCAGATACAAT
The DNA here is from genome assembly GCF_000001405.40 of Homo sapiens. Taxonomy (NCBI): domain Eukaryota; kingdom Metazoa; phylum Chordata; class Mammalia; order Primates; family Hominidae; genus Homo; species Homo sapiens. The sequence goes on along the minus strand of NC_000021.9, from coordinate 40,383,694 downwards.
TGCCTTCCAAAGACTCTAAACCAGCGGTTTACTTTTCCTTTGTCTAAAAAAAAAGAAAAGAAAGAAAAAGGAGACTAAGAAGTGTTAGAGCAATAGTGAAGATAACTTACTTCTGCAAAAACGTGCTGAGAATTCTAGTGGAGGCACCTAAGTCAGTGAGTGGATAACTGGTACCTTCTGTGGCTTTCCCTTTGAAAGAATCACAAGAATTGAGATTTACAGAGGAGAAAAAGTCTCACCATGTGTCCGGATATCATTTCTCTATAGCGTCTTATCAGCTGCATACCATCAGTGGGTTCCACTCCATTTTAATTCATCATGGATATATCATTTTCTTTTCTTTTCTTTTCTTTTTTTCTTTTTTTAGAGGGAGTCTTGCTGTGTCACCCAGGCTGGAGTGCAGTAGTGGCATGATCTCAGCTCACTGCAGCCTCTGCCTCCCGGGTTCCAGCATTTCTCCTGCCTCAGCCTCCTGGGTAGCTGGGATTCCAGGCGCACACCACCACGCCCGGCTAATTTTTGTATTTTTAGTAGAGACGGGTTTTGCCACGTTGGCCAGGCTGGTGTCGAATTCCTGGCCTTAGGTGATCTGCCTGCCTCAGCCTCCCAAAGTGCTGGGATTACAGGCATGAGTGACCTGCCCAGCCAGATATATCATTTCCAATCTCTCTTTACATCAGCGCTTACGTATATCCAACTGACACTGTTTGCCTCTGTTTTGCAATTGTTTGCACTTTTACTTTATGGTATGTTTCCTTTCCTTCTCATTAGGAATTAGCCTTTTAGGTAACTTGGATTCCATTACTAGGTCTGCATATGATGGGCAGTTGCTACATGATTTTATTAATACCATTTTGTTACAAAGGTTATTGCAAGGCAATGGAGTTTGTGATAAGCTAGATCTGGGGAAGTCATTTAGGGAATTGAGTTACTCTCACAGTGCAAGGCTCTGTGACATGAAAGACAGTCTCAAAGATTCTCATGGGGTCAGACTATTTGAAACCAAAAGGCAGTGGAGTGGGAGTGACACGAGGGACCGCATCTGACATGGTTTCTACCCTTGCGTGTTCTTGTAAGTATACATATTTGCATGTACATTTGTATGGATAGCTCAGTAAACTCATTATAGTTTCCTTTGACATCATCACGTGTCATTGGGAAACAAATGTAATCCAAGACCTTCAAATGATGTTGCAGTTTTAAAAAAATAAACTGCTTTCTCTGCTATTCCCATTATAAATGCAACCAAGCCTATGGCCTTATAGACTTGCTGGTCTCAAAGCATGTGTTTGAGGTGGGAAAAAATGTGTCATGTCCAAGGAAATGATACAAGATATACTTTGAAAATAGAACTGATAGGACATAGAATTGGCCTGAATGTCAGGATGAGGCAAAGGAGATGAGGACCAAGGCGGCTGCTAGGTCTTGGTGAGGAGCCCTGAACAGGTGAAGAGTCCCCCTACCAGGAATAAGAACTAGGGGACTTGCTAAAGCAGGAATCTTTAATTTAAAATGCAGAAATATTTAAAGAGAGAACTTTAAGAATCCAAGGTATACCAGCTGATGCTAAAAGACGATTAGCCTTGCTTTGAAACGGAAGCCTAGTCAGAAAAGTAACAATTCCATCACTAAGATGTTGAAAAAGGCTCTTCAAACATTTTTTGCTCTGACTCACAGTAAGAGATACATAGAATAAAGACATTTTATCTTAGAACTCAGTAATGCATACACATAAATACACACATAAATATACAAACACACACATAACTTTATGTATGCACAGGTGTACTGAAACAAGCTGCAGAATATTTATCACCACTATTTGATACACACTGATACATTCTATGCTCTTTTATTTCATTTTTTTAAAAAGTAAAGCTGCAATCCATGAAACTGATTTCACAACCTATTAGTAGGTGAACCCAAAGTGTGAAAAACCATTATCCCATAATATTAAGTGGCCACAACATAGTGTTAGTTTCATTCTTTATGGTGGTTCCTATTTTTCCAGATTCTTTCCCATAATCCTATGCCATCTGTATCAGGTAGACAAACTTTACAGTTAATTTTCAATGTGTTTTGCCAATAAGCCCAGTGTCTTAAATTCCTTTTGGGTTGCTAACACAGACCAGGTAAGCATAGTCACTGTGGGTTGAAGTGCCGTGCTCTGACCTTCCTTCACTTATTTTTTCCTTTTTGTATGTGTTGCTTTTTAATCAGCACTGTATTGTGCACCCACAACTGGAACAGACAGTCAACCTGAAATACACATTCCCTTCCAGCCCCAAAATGCAGAAATCTTGTGGGACAGTAAATAATGCTGATGTACCTCTTCTAAACATGAGTCCGCCTGATACAACGAGCACATCCAATAGCATTCTCTTCCTTCCCCTTTCCATATCTCTATAAAGGGCTACTTTCAATTCCCCAAAGTCCAAAATAAGTCAGCCATGGACAGCCAGTGCCACACCCCGTGGTTCTTATTCCTGGCAGGAGGACTCTTCACCTGTTCAGGGCTCTTCACCAAGACCTAGCAGCCACCTTGGTCCTCATCGCCTTTGCCTCATCCTGGCATTCAGGCGAGTTCTATGTCCTATCAGTTCTATTTTCTTTTTTTTTTTTTTTTTTTTTTGAGACGGAGTCTCGCTCTGTCGCCCAGGCTGGAGTGCAGTGGCACGATCTCGGCTCACTGCAGGCTCCGCCTCCCGGGTTCCCGCCATTCTCCTGCCTCAGCCTCCCGAGCAGCTGGGACTACAGGCGCCCGCCACCACGCCCGGCTAATTTTTTGCATTTTTAGTAGAGACGGGGTTTCACCGTGTTAGCCAGGATGGTCTCGATCTCCTGACCTTGTGATCCGCCCGCCTCGGCCTCCCAAAGTGCTGGGATTACAGGCGCGAGCCACCGCGCCCGGCCTCAGTTCTATTTTCAAACCATATCCTGTGTCAGTTCCTTGGATATGCCACAGTTTTTCCCGCCTCAAACATACTTTTCCTTTAACCTTGTTCTTAGCTCTACTTATCCATGAATAATCCCTTCTTATCTTCCTACCTTCTGTGGCTCTGCTGAAGTGCACGTCCTCAGAAATCCTTACATACACACCCCACTCCAAACCCCCACCATCTAAACAGCTCTTCTCTTTACTAGAGTCAACTTCTGTTTCTCAATTCATGTAAATGCATTTATGAGAGTGGATTTATTTTCTTTGTCAATGTACTCTTTTTGTCTGTGTTCCCAACTGAAATATTTGCTTTCAAATGTCAGTGGCCAAAACCATCTTGTTCATCGTATAAATAAATAAATACAATTTATAAGTTTTACGAGCTTCTTTGGTTCTTTAATAAAAAATTCTTGAAGTGATTCATTTAAAAGTAAAGGAATTATACAATTATATTCTTTCTAAGGATTCATTATTTTAAACAACTAGAAATCTAACTAGAGCAAAGATTAGTGACAGACTTGAATATCTGCACAAAGATCTGATCATTAACAAACTAAATAGGGTAATTAGGTATACAGTTGGAATGCAGTATGCAGGCTTAAATTAGTAGTGTATAATTGAGCCTCATTTAACTGCAGGAGAATTTCACTGAGAGAATTTTATTTACATAAAAGAAATGTCTTAGTGAAATTGCTTTGAGAGAATTTAAAATATGTACACCAAATCTCTCCTTACATACTGGATCCAGCAGAATTGTAAGCTTATTCCTCATGCCCCATGTGATGGTGTTATTTCTAGCCAAATGATTTCTTCCAGGCGGCTCAAGATCCACGCTGGGGCTTCATTATTTCTTGGATATCTTGATGATACTCTCATAAACATAATAGGCTCCAAAGAAGGTTAAATAAAATGATATGGTGAGAGCTCTGCCCCCTCAATATGATCCCTTATTTTACTGATCCTATTTTTAGAAAAAAACTCGAAGTATGTATATCTTCTAAACAGTCACTTAATTTAGCACTGTGCAAACCTTTGGGGGCAGCAGGTAAGTGGGGCAAACAAGAGGATCCCTTTGTCTTCAGAGAGGCAACTGCCATTTTGAGGAGGCAGCTCTGACACCCAAATCAACTGGACTGATGCAATTATGTGTGAAATGGGGAATTATCACAGAAGTTCAGGAAGAGACAGAGATCAGCTACATGGCAGATTCAACTTTTGTGTGAGGTATTTGGAGGGGAGGGAATACAAAGACCAGGGTGAATATTGAAAGTCTCCCCTTCTGCTTTTAGGCAAGTCCAGGTAGCGACCAGCTTGAAAAGCAAGCATAATAAAAGCCCTCTTTGACGCATCTACTCCCGACAGCAACATCATCCTAAATTTATCTCCTTCTATGTTGTGTGTTACATGGGTTTGGTTTACGTCTACTGTGTCCATATGCTCACCACCCACTGACATCTTTTTCCAAAATACATTTTAACTACCCAAGAAGCACATTAATAGAGTCTTCTTTTAAGATACTCAAATACGTGACAGTGGGAAATGAAACATAATTTCTCCTCCCCTTCCTCTAATCCACTCATGATTTCAGAGGCAACCACAGTTAACATTTGGGCAGATATCTGCTGATCCAGGCCTCTCTGTTCATTTGCATACACAAATTTATTCATATACCACTGCCTTTGGTACATAACATTACAGATTGTTATGTAACCACTTTAGACTATGTAGTGGAGATTTTTCTGCAGGGTATGTGTACATATACCTTACTGTCTTTTATGTAACTGCAGAGTATAGATGTACCCTAATTTATTTACTTATTTATCCCTTGATTGGCATTCAGGTTTATGTATAAGTTTTCATTGTTGGCCGGGCGCGGTGGCTCACGCCTGTAATCCCAGCACTTTGGGAGGCCGAGGCGGGCGGATCACGAGGTCAGGAGATCGAGACCATCCTGGCTAACACGGTGAAACCCCGTCTCTACTAAAAATACAAAAAAAATTAGCCGGGCGTGGTAGCGGGCGCCTGTAGTCCCAGCTACTCGGGAGGCTGAGGCAGGAGAATGGCGTGAACCTGGGAGGCGGAGCTTGCAGTGAGCCGAGATCGCGCCACTGCACTCCAGCCTGGGCGACAGAGCGAGACTCCGTCTCAAAAAAAAAAAAAAAAAAAAAAAAAAAAAAAAAAAAAAAAAAAAAAAAAAAAAAATAAGTTTTCATTGTTAAATTATGCATCCGTGCATTTGGGGGTGAACGTCAAAGTGTGCACTTCTGAGTTTTTCCATAGGATAATCTTTGACGTTGCAAGAGGGATTGAAAAGTATGCAAGTCTCACACTTGAAATATACTGGCAAGTTGCCCTTCAAAAATCAAAAGGCTTCACCAATTTACATGCCCACCTATAGAGGTTTTTATTTCCCATACCTTTTGTCAAGACCACTTATTTTCAAACATTTTATTTTTTGTTCTAATCTCCTGTATGAAAAGAATCTCTCATTTTAATTTACATTGATTTGTTCAAGTTCTAAGTAAATTTTGTTCAGCAATTAATTAAAACGTAATTCATTTCACTTGTGAAAAGGTGACATTTTTGCAATATTAAGTTGACTAATCCTAGATTTGGATATGCCTCTTCATTTATCCAGGGCTTCTATTATGTCATTTGGTAATGACGTGGAGTGTTCTTTAACTCAATTTTGTGCATTTCTAGCTCTTAGACACTTAATATTTTTATTGGTTCAGCAAGAATATTTTATCATATTTTATTACAGATTAGAGCTACTCTAAAGTGCTTTTCTCTGTCAGGTTCTTACATGGATGTTCTTATTTAATATCATGATTTTCCCAAAAAGGCAATATTGCCCCTTTGTACAGGTTGTATATGTACTCAAGGCTATGGCAATAGGAAGGCAGGGAGCTGAGGCCCTTTGCAGCATCCTTTAGAAGTCCTCTCCTCCCCTGGCTTTCTTAGCGCCACACTGGCTTGTGTCCTCCATGCCTCCTCTCACTCCTTTCCTGGGTCTTTTCTTGGCCTTCTTCCTTCACTCGCCTTCCTTCACTCCCCTTCCTGGGGAGTTACTAAACTTCAGTTCTCATGAAGGGCTTCTCCTCAACAAGCATAGTTTGGTCTCCAACGCCCTGTCTGCAGCTTGACTTTTTTGATTTTAACTGACTCAGCATGCTCACAGCTGAGCTCTTATCTTTTCTGAAACAGAATCTCCCCTACCCCAACTCCTTTGTTCTACCAAGGCCACCCCAACCCCATAGGTCCCTCAGAATCAATACCTGGCATCTTCTTCTCCTCACCCCAGCTCTGTTGAACCTTTAGGTTAAATTTCTTTCTGTGCTCATGGCTTCTGCCCCACTCTGGTTGTACCTCCGCTTGCCCATGCCTTGCCGTCTCACACTTGTGCCATGGCCCAAACCCAGGGGAGCGATTTGCGTGAGGGCATGAGCCAGCAAGCCAGGGCACCATCCTGGCACAGATACTTCTAGTTGTATAAACTGGGGCAAGTCCCTGAACTTCTCTGTTTCTCAATTTTCTCATCTGAAAAATGGGAATAACAGTATCTTCCTCTTGGGGTCATTGTAAGAACTAAATGTGTCATAACATAAATAATGCCGAAAGCAGTGGTAGCCTCCACCTAGAACCTGTTGGCTCTGATTAGGATTCATGTTAATATCCATGTCTCTATCTAAATTTTCCCTTTTTATAAGGACACACCGGTCACATTGGATTAGGGGCACACACTATCCAAGTATGAGTTCATCTTAAGATATTACATCTGCAGTGACTGACCCTATTTCCAAATAAAGTCACATCCCGAGGTACTGCAGGTTAGGACATTAACATAAATTTTTGAGGAAGGGGGAAATTCAGCTCATAACGTCAGGTTAGATGTCTTCTCTTTAGGGGGCTCTTCTTTTCTCTTATATGCAGCTTTCAACATGTGCATATTTTTATCTGGCAACTCAATTGCTCAGGAAATATCTGTAGCTCGTTCATGCCTGCATGTAATCCTTTATATATATCATATATATGATATATAGATATCTATATAAGATATATATGATATATATGATATATAGATATCTATATAAGATATATAGATATCGATATCTATATAAGATATATAGATATCGATATCTATATAAGATATATAGATATCGATATAAGATATATAGATATCGATATAAGATATATAGATATCGATATAAGATATATCGATATCTATATAAGATATATAGATATCGATATAAGATATATAGATATCTATATAAGATATATAGATATCTATATAAGATATATAGATATCTATATAAGATATATAGATATCTATATAAGATATATATGATATAGATATATATATATCTTCTATTTCCACTTCTATTTTAGTTAATGCTAAGAGGATCATGTGGTTTCTAATGCTATATACTTAGAACTTAGATTTAATTCTTATGTTCCTCTAATATTTCAGAAACTGTTATTGAAACGGCTTTGAAGAAAGCTGAGTTTCATGACACAGTGTGGCCATCAATTGGCGACGGCAGGCGCAGCTGAGAAAAGCTTCATCGTGCTTGTGCTACCATTTAACATCTTATTAGCAGAGCCATCTCTTCTTTCAATTGCTATTAACTCAATTCATATAGACTGCAATAGGAAAAACACAACAACAAGAGCTCTAAGATATATTTCTCTAAGTGAAAAATGACATATGCTTTTAAAATCTTCCCCCAAATAGTATTGCCTTTACTGAAGATCTAACAGCTTAACCACACAGTAAAAAGCCAGGGAGCATAATGAAAGAATAATTCATCACAATCTTAAAATATGCTCATTTTCATATAAGAATATATTCATCTCTGGAGGAGAACAAACTCTTTTTATGCAGTCTACATGAGGAAATGTGCCGAAATCTAAAAAAAGGTACTTTAGCTTTCTTTTTACTGAGACCTAGGAAAGGATGTTTTGAATACAAGCAATAATAGACTGTTTCATCCACCCATGCATGCATTCAACAAATATTTTAGGATGTCATAGCCAAGTACTGTTCTATGTAATGGAGATGAAATGTTGAACAAGACAAAATGAGTTCTTGCTATTCTAGATGAAGGAGGGAAATGTTAAACCAATCTCATGCACATGTACAAGATAACGTCACATACAGGTATAATAAAACCAAGTCTCTCATCATGAATGACCATGATCATGTGACTTTGCTGGAAATTTGACTTAAAAACTGAGGCCAGGATGACAAGAAGGACCCATCCAGGGAGAGATCTGGGCTCAGAGCCTCCAGTCAGAGCAATTAAAAGAAGTACAGCATGGCCTGGGTATGGTGGAAGAAGGAGAGAGTGGAGTGGAAGCTTTTGGAGATATGGCCAAAGCCCAAACTATCATAGACCATCATAAGTGGTTAGGTCTAGTGGGATTCCATCAAGGCACTAAATGATGTATATTGCTAAATGCTCATGCATGTTGAATAGAGATTAAATTGTAGGGAAGCAGAAGTGGACACAGAGAGTTTGAAAGCTACAATCCTTAGATGTGTGTGGTACAGTGTTGAGGGAGGAAAGTGGATGGATTCAGGATATATTTTGGAGGTAGAAGCAGAGGGCCTTCCTGTTAGATAAAATATGATGGACAAGAAATGATTAATTTTGAGAACTTCAGGATATTTTTTTTATACTCAGATACTAACAGATATGCCAGGGAGAATTGTTCAAGTAACATGATAATGATTTTGGGGAAAGTCCCTGAGTTTCTGTGAATATCCATTTCTACTGTGGAAAAGACTTCTGAAGATAATATCTTGGTCAGCTTGGGCTACTATCACAAAATAGCATGGACTGGGAGGCTTAAACCACAAAAATTTATCTCTCACTGTTCTGGAGGCTGGGAAGTCCAAGATCAAGGTATTGGCAGATTTGGTGCCTGATGGGGGCTCCCTTCCTGGATTGCAGACAGCCGCCTTCTCACTGCGATCCCACAGGGCGGAAAGAGAAAGTGAGGTCTGGTCCCACCCTTATAATCACACCTATACCTAATTACTTCCCAAAAGCTTTATTTCCAAATACTGTCATATTGGGGATTAAGAATTCATCATATAAATTTTGTGCAGATGCAAACATTCAGTTCATAGCAGATGTCTGTGATCCTCCTTTCCCCAAGCCTTTCACTGGGGTATACAAAAATACTCCATGGACTCAGTATATCTTTCTATGTTTACCAATGCTCTGTCATGTGACATTGGCTCAGAGGTTTAGTAAATATTTTGCCTGTGGTGAAATAGCTCCAAATGGCAGAATTATGATGTAAAATTCATCTACATCATTACCACTCAGATGCTTTCTTTAATATATGCGGTTGCCTTTCATAAGTAAGCAAACAAGCAATTGAAAGGGGGCCCTGCTATGTTTATGTCAGTGGGATCTTCCCTGTCTGGCTCACAAAGGCTACATTTTATACACCTGTGGATTGTCCAGAACAGCAGAATAACAAACATGGCATTTACTAGGATAGATACCAATTTAATTTTTTATTTATTAATATTTTTTTCAATTGAAAAGTTATATACATTTATTGGGTACAATGTGTTGATTTTGTATGTGTCTATATATACACACCTATGTGTATACACGATGTGAAATGATTACATCAAGATGATGAACATATCTACCACCTCACTTATCCCTTTTTTTGTGATTTGAAATTTACTCTCTGAGCTATTTTGAAATATAGAATACATTATTATTCAGCTTAGTCACTCTGCTGTGCAGTAGATGCATGACTATCTGCTAGATGACATAAATGCATTTTAATTTGATCTTCAACAGCAGAACAAAGAGATTACTCATCATCTCTCTTTTTTCTAGATGAAGAAAGCAAAGTTTAGAGTTAAATGACTAGACTGAGGCCACACAGCTGGAAAGGGACAAGGACCGTTTTGTAGTTCAGATCCACTGGCTTCCAAAGCCCAGGTTTTTTCTTCCACACTGAGAAATCTCTCAAAGTGGATGAGCTTATTGCACCTCAAACCAGGGAAAATCTTTTAATTTGATTCTTCATAAGAACAAGAAAAAGTTAGCTGAGAAGATTGAACAAGCACATTAATGATGAGGACTTTAACATATAAAATTAAGTATTTGTATTAGAATAACACACAAGGATAAAAGCAGGTATGGGGATAAATACCAGTTTTCCTCCCTGGGTATCAGTAGCCCCTTCATCCCAGGGAGACAAGGACAATGCCACTTCCTTGATTGCTCTCCAGGTTCTTCCCTTCTATCCTTTTTCCTCAACTTCTTGGGATGTTCCTAAACCCAAAGGCTCAAATCTGTTTAGATTATAAGCTCCCTAGAGATAGGGGCTGTCTCTCTCCTTTTTGCATTTCTGGAGCCTAGGACAGTGCTGGTCCAACGAATGGGTGCATCACTTGGCTCTGTTTCCTGACCACCTATAACACCTGCTGGTTTCTAGAATCAACTCTGATGTGCCTCTTTCTGGAGATCATGCATGCCTGCTTTCTGCGGCTCAGATCTTAAAGATCTGACTTTCAGCATTAACAACCCATAGTTCAGCAAAATAGATTTCTAGAACTGCTGCTATTTTAATATCTGCCTTTGAAGAAAACCCAAAATGGTGTTGTGCCTGAGTTTCAGAACCCACTGCTCTATGAGTGTTTTTTGCGGCTCAGCTCCGTGACAATGGGAAGAACGTGGCTGTAGAACTCCAAATCTGAGGGTTTCTGCAACATTTTCCTACTGGGCTAATGCCCCATTTTCTTTGGTAGTTTTGTGTCCCTACATAGAAATATCCCACTGGCCCCTATGCTAATCTTAACCAGGCTGACTGAACTGACACCAAGCGCTGGATTTATTTTAGTGGCACTAACATGTAAGCTCATGTTAACTGATGTTGGAAAACCACTATGTTACTTGCTCATAACCTATTTACTCTTAGTTTATACAAAGTCCTAAAAGCCTTGATATGTCTGTTTTCTAACTCTCAGCATACTGAATGCATCACACTGTGTGTTGACAAAGATACTGATAACAAAGGGAAGTAACATATAACAGCTGGATAGTAAAGGAGGAAGCAGAAAAGCTAATAAAGACAAGCTCAGAGACTTGAACATCTGGCAGTCTGGGACCATTCCATGCATCTTGAGATGCCACATAGCTTCTGAGACATCCCTCTGGTAACTGAGCAGCATGGCTCAATAATCGATGTCCAAAATGATGACTCAAAATCCAAAAATCATTCCCTGTTCAGTAGGCTCTAAATTGCAGTGTGTCTAACATGACAAAAAGTATGAACTATGTTTTAGAACTGTGTCCGGTTAAAATGCTAATAGTATTCCAAGGAAAATAAAACAGAAAGACACACAAAGGGAGACAGAATGAGACAGAATTGTGTGTTTGCACTTTTTGCTGCCAATAAATTGTATTTAAACATTTGCCTATTTTAACAGAAGCACATCCATTAATCCCATTGAAGGACATGAACAAACCATTTAATCCATATGACATGGAAACCTTTGGTGGCATAAGGTAGCAAGTGGGGTACAGTGGCAAGTTAGGGAGCAGTTAAAATGATTCCTTGTTACCACAGGGCTGACATATTTGGTGCTCTAATGACTTAGCTGTGTCCTTGTTGTCCCTTGATAGTTCCACAGGACTCCTGAGTTGAGACTGTACCCAAGGACCCTGGACTTACCTGTTCCTCTCATAATTAAAAGATCCTACTTTTCAACCTTATTTTATGTTTTAAAATGTTGATCAATTTCAAGATGAGATAAATTGAGAAATGAAGGACTAGACAAAGGAGGTCAAATTAACCCATTTATGCCTGAGGTTGCAATTTTTTAAATTTTTGCAATCAGACCTTGGCAATGACCTTGAGCAGCAGGAAATAAATAATTGCCACATGCTTAGCGTTCCAATAATGAAACGCTAGGCTTAAATGGGTTTACGCACAGAAACTCAGTTAATGTCAACTCCTTCATTCCTGTAAACATCTCAAAAAATGCTTAAGACAATCAAAGGTTCAAGTTCTTCTGAAATGATACGCCCTAAAGCCTTATTTAACGTAAGTGGGTAAACGAAAAAAATGTTAGATATTACAAGAACAAAATGTTCCTAGAGAATAGAGCCCTCTCTGGAATCAGTAATAATGCAGGCTGCTGCTATCTGTGTGCATTTCTCAACCTTTCTGGAAAATGGCACACAAAATCCTTCCCACTTGTATTTTGCCACCACTCATGGCCTATCAATTCTAATGAAAATACTCCACGCTAAGAAGGTGACAGGAATTACATACATCATCTTTTTTTTTTTTTGACTTTCCTTTCTGTCTATCAAACTGTACTTTAAAGGAACTGATTATTAAAGCATTATGTAAGTATGCAAAATATATTGAAAGAGAAATAATGTTTCCATTATACACAATGTGTATCATAAGAAAGGCTGGTGTGTGATGACACATGACAAGTGGTAAAAGGTATTTTTAGTTGCTTTCATTTTGGGGAATAATAAAGCAAAATTATCTGGAATATACAGCATTAGGAGATTTTTCAGCTTCTCTAATAGCTAGCATTATTTATGGCATATTTTAAACTAAATGTCTAACTGGAATTGTTTGGAAAGTTAATATAGATATTACTTTAAAGATATTTTATACTACCTTTAATAATTAATTTGCGCTCCTTTGAAAAGCTTATACAAGGTCAGTATTTGCTCTGTTATTTTATGATCTTTTTCACATCTGTGTTCTTTGGAATTACTCCTAACTCATGATAATTCATAAATCATTTTTAGGCTGGGCATGGTGGCTCATGCCTGTAATCCCACTTTGGGAGGGATTACACTCCCTGGCACTTTGGGAGGCCAAGACGGGTGGATCACTTGAGCTCATGAGTTCAAGACCAGCCTGGGCAACATGGTGAGATCTCGTCTCTATAAAAAAATACAAAAATTAGCCAGGTGTGATGGCCCACTCCCATAGTTCCAGCTATTCGGGAGGCTGAGGTGGAAGGATTGCTTGAGCTCAGGAGGTGATGGCTGCAGTGAGCTGAGATGATACCACTGCACCACAGCCTGGATAATACAGCCAGACCTTATCTCAAAAAAAAAAACCATAAACCATTTTTAATTTATCTGAGAAACTGACCTATGCATGATGTGTAGTTACTGCAGAAAATGACCAAGAAATTATCTTTACAATTTAAATATGTAAAGCTCAAAAGCAATGAAGCTAAGACTCCTGGAAATTCTGACTGAAATAAACTAAAGGATGTTTCAACTGAACCTGAGAAAAATAAGCAATAAAAGTTGATTATTTGGCATTTTAGTCTTTTTTCAAAGATAAAAATCACATTCTTTCTAGTGGAATCACATCACATGCAGAAATAGCCCATAGAAGAGTCTAACGGTGGCAGGAGGTGTACTGAGTTACCCACCGGGAAGGTGCAATGAGGCACTCTCAGCTCTACTTTTTTTTTTTTTTTAAAGTAAAAGACCAGAAATTTTATTATCTTAGGGAAATTATAGAATCCACTTACGATGATCATTTACATTTTACCTTTATGCTCCAACTTGTTTTATCAGCCAATTAAAATTGAACAGCGAAAAATATCTTTAAAAGTTACATTTTCAAAGGGAAAAAAACATTTTTGCCCTCTTAAACTAACACTGATATTTGATCTCAATGTTGGCCCTTTCTGTTCAACTGAAGCTTTACCGGTAAAAATTAGAGGTTACAGATAGGACATTGTTTTGTGCTGACATAATGGGGAATGACTGATCATGAATTTTTTTTCTTGAGGTGAAAATTGTTATTGTTAGTGATTTGAACAGTCCCTTTAAAAATTAGTGATTAAGAAATAACAGAGTATTCTAAAACACTGAATCTGGGAAGAATTGATATGTGTCATAGAATATAGTGATAAATATTGGTTATTAATGTGAGGAAATAAGACAGCCTTTTTAGGGGAAGTTTGTAGAATATTTTATTGCTTTGTAGTCTAATATTTTTGTGCTTTTATTGAAACATTTTAAACTGAGGCAAAAGTTTATACTTTCATAAGCTAGAGATGTGCAACAAAAAGTTAATATTCCCTTAATTTGTCACATTCTAAGGGAAATGTAATGATCCAAGAAAATCTTCTGTGTTCGGTATATACCAATTATATGACAACTTCGTTGCTGTAAGATAAATGCATGATCTAAAAAAAAGTTTATGAGGTTAGATTTGCTAAGTATATATTTATTGTATAGCATAAGGACTAAAAACCCTTAATGTAGGCTAGTCAAAAAATTAAAACAGCTTGGACCCTTAATTGACACACACACACACACACACACACACACACACACACGCAGACGCACGCACCCATTTTTAGCCTTTTCATTAAGTTTCTTCAGGTGGGGGAAAAAAAAAACTGTTTAAGGACTTTGTCTGTGTGGTTGGGTTGCTTTCATTGTCTTTTAACCAAGCCACTGTTTTCCTCTATTTCAGGATCTAGATTTCTCATCACATCCACGGGAGCCTTGTATATTAAAGATGTACAGAATGAAGATGGATTGTATAACTACCGCTGCATCACGCGGCATCGATACACCGGAGAGACGAGGCAGAGCAACAGCGCCAGACTTTTTGTATCAGGTAAAAACTTATCAAGACTCTGTCTGCTATGTCTGCTATTTCTTTGTTAGTGTCCTGAGACGACTCAATCAAAATTGTGGAGTGTTGCCACTAAAATGGAGCCTTCAATTCCTTTTCCAAAATATTTTAGGAATTTTAAAACTCTTTTAAATGAATATGAGTACAATTTCATAGAAATACAGATTTCACATTTGTCAAACCAGTAATTGACACATTCACATAATGATGCGTTAGCATTTCAGGGAGCACATTAGGAGTGAAAGATCCATCTCCATCCCAAATATCCATCTCAAATGCAGTCAAATTGCATTTGATTTGATTATAAAACCAAATACAAAATACCCAACCTTTGCCTTTGTAGCTGAAGAATATAAAATTGCCCCCCTGTGGTAAATATCCTATAAGGTTGTAATAGTGAGATGGAAGTGACCAAAGGTTGCTTGCTATCAATATTTGAGAAGTACCTTATTTGTAATAATGCTTTATGGGAAGAAGTGAAGGGAACTTGTTGAACATTGGAATAATTTAAAACATCACTGCCTGAGCACCCACTTTTTGTCCTTGATAATGTACTGTTGGGATTTTTCTCTTCATCACTTACATCTTCAAAATAGCCAATAGTCTTTCAAGGTCCAGCACAAATACAAGTCAGAATTAAATTAGTTTTCCTTTGAACTTGCAAGTATTTTTGTTTCTTTATCTGTTCTTTTACAAGTCAATTGCTATTTTCTCCCTTGCTTTTATAGTTATCATGTCTTTTGGGGGAAAAATGAATTAGAAAATGAATAATAACTATCATCTTAGTCCATGATAGCTTTAAGGAGAGCACAATATTCTGCTTATTCAGAAAATCCTAGAAAACGTCCTCTTTGTGTTAAAGAGAAATTTTCTAATGGCATGTTCAGAAAAGAAAGGGGAAGGATTCGAGGTAGGAGGGGGATCCTGATATAAAATTAATTTGGGATTCGCAAAATTAGTAAATAAGCATTTCTCCCTCCAAATGATGACATAAGTGGTGATGATCTAAGAGCCCGTCTTTCTGTTTCAGGTGACCTTTTTTATCTTCATGCTGAATCATCAAGTGTTGATTTTTAAATGTATCTCTCAGGGTTGGAAAGGCAAGTTTACTTTCCTTAATCCCACGATGTTTGTTCATTTTTTGTTTTGGAGTGATTCACTAATGTTTCAAAAATGGACAGAAGTAGTCACAAGCATTTTGTCACCATGGGAGTCCTAGGATTGCCTAGTGAGCATTGGAAAAGTGAGAGCAACAATGTATAATCCAGCCAGGGAATATCATACACTAAGCCACCTGCCGAAAAGTAGCCAAGGAATAAGACTGAGCATTCAGGACTAACAGTATAGATGAAGACAGGGAGGTGATAGATGCCAGGAGAAGGGAGGGGTCCACAGAGTCACATGCCACAAAAAGGCTCATATGAGAGTCTACCATATGTGGAAAATAACTCAATATTTTTTGTCATTGAAATTTTAATAAAGCAGTTGAGGAAGAAATTTGTTAATGCTAAAAGATGAGACTGTAGACACTGAATACAGAATGCATTTCTAACATGTCAAGCTTTGAAGGAAAAGAGAAATTAATTTCATTTTAAATTAGATTTAAATATACTGAAAAATGTACATCTGGAGTTTGGGTCATGGTGGAAACATGTTGGTGTTTGACCCCAAACTCCTCCTGAAACCAACACAGATAAAATAGGATGACAAAGAAAAAAGTACATGGATGGCACCTTCAACACAACTGGATTACTGGCAACAACAGGACCAGCAGCAGAGGTGGAAGGCAGTAGAAGGGGTCAGCCTGTTGGGTTTATGGTAGTGTCAGAAAACTGCAAATAACCAACGGGTCCCCATCTCCAAAAGCAGAGGAGAATTCTTTGTGTCTTAGAGTCCTCACAACACTGGGATAGAACTGCATGAGGTCTAGGTTGGAGATGAGTCACAAGGCCATTAGAGTGGCTGGTAATGTTTGCACAGGCCAGTGATGGTCTATGTCCTTGAAGATAGTGGAAGTACTCAGCAAGTACTCCTTTCAGAAGAACAGAGACTCACTCTCAGGGGAACGGCTCAATTTAGAAATCAAATTGAGCCAGAGTAGAATACAAAGAGTAACAGAGAAGGCTCGGGAACCAGGGGAGGCCCTAGAGAATTCCATCCTATGAAATACTGCAAAAGAAAATACAACACGCACAGCCTTAGAATGTAAAAAACAGTGTTCTAGGAAACACATGGCCAGAAGTGGAAGCCCATACAGTTCAATCCCATATAGCTCTGAGAGATGGGCTAAATGTCGAGTCCTTGAAGGTAATATCAAGGGAGAAGACTGGAAAAATATACTCATTTCATCCTCTCCTGCAGGAACCTTCTCCTAATTAACTAAGAATCTCTATCTTATTGTAAAATGAAACAAAAAGGAAAAAGATTTAACCCAACACAACTTTATCACAAGAAAAAGAATGAAAATTTTTAAAAAAGTTTTGATTATAAGTAACTACAAAAAATACTGACAAATCATATGAAAACTATATTTTTTTGTTTGAAATGATTAAAGCTTTGAAAGAGCAGTATAAATCAGAAATAAAATGATGAAACAACACAAATCTGTGAAACAAAAAGTGGCATATTTTGGAAAAAGTTAGAAAAATGAAGAGTTCTAAAATTAAAATGAAATGACAGGGAACACATCAGAGGATAAACACAACAGAAAGCATAATATGGGAAATCAAAAATATTAAGGAATAAGACAAATAGAGTTAAAAATGTATAGATGTCTGACAAAGATGATGAAACACATGTATAACTAAATTCTCTTAAAAAGAAAGCCAAGCAATTGATGAGAATAAGTATTAATAATAAAACACTAATTCAAAAAAAGTCTCCTGTCATTAAAAAGAATGCATAATGACTACATATTAAAATGGCACAACCCTACCTGGAAAAATGGACCCAGAATGGTCAACATGCAACATAGTCTAATAAAATTTTTGAGCTGTAAAGATAAAGAAAAATATCATTTAGACAGCCAGAAAATAAGTTCAAGTTACTTCTAAGGGAGAATATAAACAGACTAATGAAATAGAAAATAGACCAAAAGAACAGTAAATGTAATAAACAAGTTTTTTCTTTAAAAAAAAAGTCAGTAAAATAGACAAACTGACCTAATATTTTTTAAAATGGTCTTGATTTCTGTGCTAGGGCTAGTTATTTGGACAAGTCATTCTTTCTCTGAGGATAACTAGAAAGACTTGTTAAATGTGTAAAAAACATCTGCTCATGGCTGTTAGGAGCTAGAGTGAAAACTTACAGGACCAAATTCCAGAGGAAAACAGCCACAAGAAGTGAGTTTGGTATTGAGGACTGCCTTTTCAGTAGGGACAGTTTTAGAGGAGATTGCTGAAACTCCGAGAAGATGAGCAACTCTTCTGAAAGGTTAGTAGTGTCTAGAAGGTAAAAATTGGAGTCTAGTCTCTATATATGTATTAGGGTTCTTTAGGGGGACAGAATTAATAGGATAGATGTATATATAAAGTAGAGTTTATTAAGGAGTAATGACTCACGTGATCACAAGGTAAAGTCCCACAATAGGCCGTCTGCAAGCTGAGGAGAAAGAAAGTCAGTCTAATTCCCAAAACCTTCAAAGTAGGGAAGCCAACAGTGCACCCTTCAGTCTGTGGTCGAAGGTCCAAGCGTCTAAAAGTTGAAGAACTTGGAGTCTGATGCTCAAGGGCAGGAAGCATCCAGCACGGGAGAAAGATGTAGGCTGGAGGACTAAGCCAGTCTAGTCTTTCCATGTTCCTCTGCCTGCTTTTATCCTAGCCATACTGGCAGTTGATTAATGGTGCCCACCCAGATTGAGGGTGGGTCTGCCTCTCCCAGTTCACTGACTCAAATGTTAATCTCCTTTGGTGACACCCTCACAGACACACCCAGGAACAATACTTTGCATCCTTCAATCCAATTAAGTTGACACTCAATATTAATCATCACATTAAATATATTTGTTTATATATTATATATTATAGATACTCATTTTTATTTATAGTAGCATATATAGTGGGATAAGTGAAAAGTGATTATGTTTATGTTATTTTTATTTTTATTTTCAGTATAAGAGAAAAATAAAAGTATGAAATTCTTTTATAATTCTTGAAAATTTATAGAAATTCTTGAAATATAACAAAAATGTAAGGCATTTATACAACTGAAATAATTATTTCTAAATACTTTACATATGTACTTTTTATCCTAAGCTCTAAGAGAACAGATGTGCCTTAGTGTGTATATATATGTATGTGTGTATATATATATATATATATGTATATATACTAGTGTGTGTATATATATATATGTATATATACTACTGTGTGTGTATATATATATATATATACACTTTTTTTTAATTGTACTTTAAGTTTTAGGGTACACGTGCATAACGTACAGGTATGTTACATATGTATATATGTGCCATGTTGGTGTGCTGCACCCATTAACTCGTCATTTAACATTAGGTATATCTCCCAGTGCTATCCCTCCCCCCTCCCCCCATCCCACAACAGGCCCCGGTGTGTGATGTTCCCCTTCCTGTGTCCATGTGTTCTCATTGTTCAATTCCCACCTATGAGTGAGAACATGCGGTGTTTGGTTTTTTGTCCTTGCGACAGTTTGCTGAGAATGATGGTTTCCAGCTTCATCTATGTCCCTACAAAGGACATGAACTCATCATTTTTTATGGCTGCATAGTATTCCATGGTGTATATGTGCCACTTTTTCTTAATCCAGTCTATCATTGTTGGGCATTTGGGTTGGTTCCAAGTCTTTGCTATTGTGAATAATGCCTCAATAAACATACGTGTGCATGTGTCTTTATAGCAGCATGATTTATATTACTTTGGGTATATACCCAGTAATGGGATGGCTGGGTCAAATGGTATTTCTAGTTCTCGATCCCTGAGGAATCGCCACACTGACTTTCACAATGTTTGAACTAGTTTACAGTCCCACCAACAGTGTAAAAGTGTTCCTATTTCTCCACATCCTCTCCAGCACCTGTTGTTTCCTGACTTTTTAATGATCACCATTCTAACTGGTGTAAGATGGTATCTCATTGTGGTTTTGATTTGCATTTCTCTAATGGCCAGTGATGATGAGCATTTTTTCATGTGTCTTTTGGCTGCATAAATGTCTTCTTTTGAGAAGTGTCTGTTCATATCCTTTGCCCACTTGTTGATGGTGTTGTTTGTTTTTCTTGTAAATTTGTTTGAGTTCATTGTAGATTCTGGATATTAGCCCTTTGTCAGATGAGTAGATTGCAAAAATTTTCTCCTATTCTGTAGGTTGCCTGTTCACTCTGATGGTAGTTTCTTTTGCTGTGCAGAAGATCTTTAGTTTAATTAGATCCCATTTGTCAATTTTGGCTTTTGTTGGCATTGCTTTTGGTGTTTTAGACATGAAGTCCTTTCCCTAAATTTTAAAAAATGCATAAAATCCTTGAAATGTCAAATTCCAATAGAAACTATTGGTATTTGTGGTATGCGTGGTGGCTCACACCTGTAATCTCAGCACTTTGGGAGACCGAGGCAGGCAGACCACTTGAGGTCAGGAGTTCAAGACCAGCCTGGCTAACATGATGAAACCCCATCTCTACTAAAAATACAAAAATTACCCAGGTATAGTGGTGGGTGCCTGTAATCCCAGCTACTCAGGAGGCTGAGGCAGGAGAATTGCTTGAACTCAGGAGGCAGAGGTTGCAGTGAGCCAAGATGGCACCATTGCACTCCAGCCTGGTGACAAGAGTGAACTTCCATCTCAAAAAAAAAAAAAAAAAAGAACACAAAAAACTATTGGTACACACTTCAAAAAAAAAGTATGAATTTTCAGTCTTTCCACTGAGAAGTCCCAGAAGTGATGAGCAAACAATAGCAACAAGCCCCTCTAACATCTAGATTGTAGATTCTTTTAAATATAATTCACTACTAAAAGGGACCATGGCTTCTTGGAGGAGTGGCTGATTGAAGGTCTGAGGCAGGAAATGTCTGAGGTGAGTCTGAAACATGAATGGGGTCTTGTCAAAATGACATAGGAATCAACATAAAGCGGCTCTCGTCAGCCAAAGGGGATGAATTGAGTATCAGCAGTGATGCTTGCACATGATTGATAACCATTAAATATTTTGAAAACCTTTGAGTTCATTTTAATTTTATACATACATGTGTGTGTATATATAGATATATACACATATGTACATATATACTTACATATGCACACCTGCATATATATTTCATATAAAGAAAGAAAGAAGAATCTTATTGGTCTGCATAGTAGAAACCAGGGCACTAACTCTTCATTCTGATAACAGATGATTAAAGACAACAACCACTAAATGTATTGTCTTTCCTATAGCTGCTGTATTTTAAGATAACCAAATAACCTTAGTTCAGAAGGGAAAGTTCATTCTGCAGAATAATTATATCTACTGAATGCGAACGAAATGACACAATTAGAAAATTCCATTTTCAACCTTAGCAAAATAGCTCAGATAAATTTTAACATCTGACCTCACTGAACAATTGAGTGTCACTAAGAACGGGAAAACCATACATTTTGTGGAAGCAATGTGAAGTGCACAGCACCCCTCTCAAAGAGAGAGAGGTTGAACACTTATCTAACCAACCCACTGAAATAAATTCCAGTTCATAAGAAAAATGCCTATGGCAATAACGGAACAAGTTAAATGATGACATGGACAAGCAAATTCAGCATGGTAACTACCTGGTTTCTTTTTTTTTATTATTATTATACTTTAAGTTTTAGGGTACATATGCTGCTATAAAGACACATGCACACGTATGTTTATTGCGGCACTATTCACAATAGCAAAGACTTGGAACCAACCCAAATGTCCAACAATGATAGACTGGATTAAGAAAACGTGGCACATATACACCATGGAATACTATGCAGCCATAAAAAATGATGAGTTCATGTCCTTTGTAGGGACATGGATGAAATTGGAAATCATCATTCTCAGTAAACTATCGCAAGGACAAAAAACCAAACACCGCATGTTCTCACTCATAGATGGGAATTGAACAATGAGAACACATGGACACAGGAGGGGGAACATCATACCTGGTTTCTTTAAAAAGCCAAGTCAAATACATGGGAGAAAGGAGGAGGGCTAGCTCTGCATTAAGAAACACTCAAGAGATGTAACAACTGCATGTGAGCAAGAGAAGGATCTTGATTTAATTAATTCAATTGTTTAAAAGCTAGCCACTTTTGAGCTGATGAGGAAAAATGAATTGGGAGTGTATAATACTTGATATTATGTAATACTGACTGTGGTTATGTAACAAAACCGTATTTTTATTAGGGAAACATGCTAGTCATGTAATGATAAAATGACATAGCTTCCCTTTTTTGTTTTTTGTTGTTGTTTGTTTGTTTGTTTGTTTGTTTTTGAGATGGAGTCTCACTCTGTTGCCACACTGGAGTGCAGTGGTACAATCTCAGCTCACTTCGATCTCTGCCTCCCGGGTTCAAGTGATTCCCCTGCCTCAGCCTCCTGAGTAGCTGGGACTACAGGCATGCACCACCACACCCAGCTAATTTTTTGTGTTTTAGTAGAGACAGGGTTTCACCATGTTGGCCAGGATGGGCTCGATCTCCTGACCTTGTGATCCCCCTGCCTCGGCCTCCCAAAGTGCTGGGATTACAGGCGTGAGCCGCTGCACCCAGCCTATAGTTTCCCTTTTGTTGCATATACTTTACCACCAAAAACAAAGTAAAACTATCAAGAAATAAACATGACGAAAAATAGAAAAGGTTTGGTGCCAGAGCCATTAATATGATGAATATATGGGATGCGTCATATTATTTTTGTCTACTTTTCTGTACGTTTTCAAATGTTTGGGGTAAAAATAATTTTTGTAATATATATATATATATAAAAGTTTGAAGACTTTGAGACAAAAAAAAATTTGAAGGGGATGAAAATGAAAGACAATGCCGTTCGGTTATTCAGATTTGATATATGACCAAATATCCCCACAAGAGCCTGTCTCAAGCATTGCTTCAATCATGCACTTAAAATATAAAACATCAGATGCTGTGAGGGTGCAGAGAAAAGGGAACACTTATACACTACTGGTGGTAAAGTAACTTAGTCCTGCCATTGTGGAAAGCAGACTGGAGATTTCTCAAAGAACTTAAAATAGAGCTACCATTTGACCCAGCAATCCCATTACTGAGTAATATATCCAAAAGAAAATAAATCATTCTTCCAAAAAGACATATGCACTTGTATGTTCATCGCTGGGCTATTCACAATAGCAAAGACATGAAATCAGCCCAGGTGTCCATCAATGGTAGATTGGATAAATAAAATGTGGTACATATACACCATGGTATACTGGAAAGCCATAAAAAAGAATGAAATCTCATTCTTTGCAGCAATGTGGATGGAGCTGGAGGCCATAATTCTTAGTAAATTAACATAGGAACAGAAAACCAAGTACCTCATGTTCTCACTTATAAGTAAGAGCTAAATATTGACCACACATGGACACAAATACAGGAACAATAGACACTGTGGACACTAGACTGTGGAAGGCAGAGAGTTTAGGTTAAAAAGCTACCTATCAAGGGCCAGGCACAGTGGCTCACACCTGTAATCCCAGCACTTTGGGAGGCCTAGATGGGCGGATCACAAGGTCAGGAGATAGAGACCATCCTGGCTAACACGGTGAAACCCCGCCTCTAGTAAAAATACAAAAAAAATTAGCCGGGCGTGGTGGTAGGCGCCTGTAGTCCCAGCTACTCGGGAGGCTAAGGCAGGAGAATGGTGTGAACCCCGGGAGGCAGAGCTTGCAGTGAGCTAAGATCACGCCACTGCACTCTAGCGTGGGCAACTGAGCGAGACTCTGTCTCAAAAAAAAAAAAAAAAAAAAAAAAAAGACTACCTATGAAGTACCATGCTCACTACCTGAGGAACAGGATCTCTACTCCAAACCTCAGCATCACGTAATATTCCCATGTAACAAATCTGCACATATACCGCCTATATCTAAAATAAAAGTTGAAATAAAAAAATAAATACCTCATTCAGGTTTCGTAAAACAGTTTTGTTGAGAGGTAGTTTACTTTAATATAAACTCCATCCGGTTTATTCAATTCAATAATTTTAGTAAATGCATGGAGTCGTGCCACAATTACGCCAATTTAATTTTAGAATATTTTCACCACCCAAAAGATTCCTCCTACCCGTTTGAAGCCAATTTCAATGTCCATCCCCAGTCCCAGACAACCACTAATCTATGGTCTGTCTCTGTAGAGTTGCATTTTCTGGATATTTCACATAAATTGATATATGGATTTTGTGTCTGCCTTCTTTCATGCAGCACCCATGTTGTTACATGTATTAGTCATTCATTCTCTCTTGTTGCTGGAGAGCATTTGCTCATCTGTAAATACTGCATTTGGTTATCAATTCACTAAATTATGAATATTTGGGTTGTTTCCACTTTTTGATTATGAATAATCCTGCTATGGACATTTGTACCTAAGTCTTTGAGTGAACATGTTTTCATTCATTTAGGGTAGATACCTAGAACTTGGGGCCTTATGGCAAATTGAAGTTTAAACACTTTAAGAAAATGCCAACTTGTTTTGGCTGCTTTTATTTGGCAAGTATACCACAATACACCTGGGGAAAAAATAAACTCTAGCCAATGTGATGTAAGAGGAGAAAAATGTGTGGGTTTGTAGGAAATTCTGCTTAAAAGTGACTTCACTGAGGGGGCATTCTTAAGCATTTTTGCTGTGATGTGGATGTGAAGGCTGGCACTCCAGCAAGCCATTTTTACGTGAGATGTATATGTGTGCATATGTAAGTATATATTACCTTCCACCAACGATGTATGAAGATTCCAGGTCCCCATATCTTCACCAGCATTGTTTGTGATTTTATTGCAGTCATCCTAATGGGTGTGAAGTCATGTCTTACTGTGATTTTAATTCATATTACCCTAATGCCTAGTAATATTGAGCATCTTTTTGTGTACTGATTAGGTATTTGTGTATCTTCTTTGGTGATGTAAAATAGTCAACTATTTTGCCCATTTTGATTGGGTTGTTTCTTTTCATTATAGAGATATAAGCATTTTTAATATTTTTTGGATTTGAGTTCTTTATTAGAAATATGATTTTCAATTTTTTTTCACTTTCTAAATGGTGCCTTTGAAAATGCTACAGTTCTTAATTTTTTTTTTTTTTTTTCGAGATGGAGTCTTGCTTTGTTGCCCAGGCTGGAATGCAGTGGCATGATCTTGGCTCACTGCAACCTCCGCTTCCCGGGTTCAAGCTATTATCCTGCCTCTGCCTGTAGCTGGGATTACAGGCTCATGCCACCACACCTGGCTAATTTTTGTATTTTTAGTAGAGACGGGGTTCCACCATGTTGGCCAGGCTCGTCTTGAACTCTTCACCTCATGTGATCTGCCTGCCTCGGCCTCCCAGAGTGCTGGGATTACAGGCGTGAGTCACCGCACTGGGCCAGTTCTTAATTTTGAAGAAGTTTATTATGTTGATTTTTTCTGTTTTTGCTTGTTTTCTTAGTGTTATGCCTAAGAACTCTTCAAGGTCATGAAGATATTTTCCCTATGTTTTCTTCTAAAAGTTTTTATAGTTTTAGCTGTTATATTTAGGCCATAATCCATTTTGAGTTAATTTTTGTAGGTAGTGTGAGGCAAGGTTCTAAATTATTTTCCATGTGGATATCCAGTTGTCTCAGCCATTTTTTAAAAATGTCATTAGAATTACATAGCACTATCTTAAGCATATTTGAGAAATTTCTGCCAAGTTTCAGTTAGAATAAAACTTTTTAAGTGCAGTCATTGAGAGTTGATTTTTTATGAATAGCATTAGAAGTTGGTGCATTTCATTTTCAGAGATTGTGGGATTATTCTGCAAAGAAAGTCAGAGGTGCACACTGTGGTGTTTATTGTCAGCCACCCCTGCCAAAGGGGTGACATCTTTGTGCCACCTTCTCCAACTCTACTTCTACTTCCTACTCTAAGTAAAATGACAGATTTTGCAGCTATTTTTTCATAGTACTTTCTAATATCTTCAATATTCCACTCTAGTGTAACTAAAATCTGTATTACTGAAGAACGAGAGCTATCATTATATTCTCACATTTTTTGTTTTTGTTTTTTTTTATTATACTTTAAGTTTTAGGGTACATGTGCACAACGTGCAGGTTCGTTACATATATATACATGTGCCATGTTGTTGTGCTGCACCCATTAACTCGTTATTTAACATTAGGTATATCTCCTAATGCTATCTCTCCCCCCTCCCCGCACCCCACAACAGGCCCTGGTGTGTGATGTTCCCCTTCCTGTGTCCAATTCTCACATTTCTTAATTAAATGAAGACAGAGTTCAGAATAATAGAGAAGCTTACCCCAAGTAATACATATTATCTTGGATGTGATTTCTACTTACTAAACAATATTGCAATGGTGTTTATATGGTCTGCAAGTTAGTGTACTAGGAATTAAAAAATCCCATGTGGTTAAGGATGTCCAGGACCATTTCTGGAGCTGGCTTTAGGCACAACTTTGTGTCTTCTAGTTCACTGAACCCATTGGGTGTGCAGGTGATGATACTTCCAGTAACATGGATGCAGACAGCTAACCATTTTTCTGGATTCTTGGTTCATGCTAGAAGATGCCAGAGATCAGTGAGACATCATTGGTTAGGCCTGTCTCCACTTAATTATTCAGTCTATGGGAACATAACTTGATCTTCAAACCAATACTTTTCAAAGTCCGTTTGTAATTTCCTTTAGAAGCAGGTAAATGAAGCAATGAAGTTTTTGCTGGCACAGGCTCTGTACCTGGGTATTGTGAAACTTTTATATCTCTCTTGCCTTCTGGAGCCCTATAGTCATGCATATGAATGACTGTAATTCTGGAATATAGAATTCTTCAGTTAATGAAGAATTAGAGGAGTCCTGGAAGCTCATCAAGTATTCTTTAAAAGAGTATTTAGGTTCCCTCATTATATCACTGTCATAAGACACCAGTGAAGTAAAAAGAGCAGCAAGTTCATAATGAAGTTTTATCTCTGATGATCACAAAAGAAATAGAAAGCCAAGACATTTCAGCTAAATGTTTTTGTTCTATTTTCAACAGTGCCTGCTGACTGCCCTCAGTGGCTGACTACGGAATCACAGCCTCTTAAAGAAGTCTTCCTACTAATAAATGATTTTTTGATGTTATTGTTTATTAAAACAGAAATTTACTCTCTTGTATATAAGTCCAGAAGCTGGTTTGCCAGCTTCAGTTTCACAAGGGACCAGGCTTTTATCTTTCTGATCCATTATCCTCACGTGCAGTTCCATTCTCAATATGATTTCAAAGTCCAAAGTGATTGCTGCAGCTCCTACCTTTATATCCACCTTCCAGGTGATGTAAAGAAGCAAAGGAAAAATGCATAAAAACACCCCTCCCAGCTAAGTCGCCTTTAAGCAGAATTTCCTACAAATCCACACATTTTCGCCTGTTACATCTCCTTGGCTAGAGTTTATTTTTCCTCCAGGTTAATTGAGGTATTGAAAAATGAAAATTGTATATATTTAAGGTATACAATGTGATGTACAATGTGCATATATATATATATATATATCACTATCAAGCAAAATAACATATCTATTGCCTCACATAGTTAACATTTGTGTGTGTATGTATGTATGTGTGTGTATGTGATGACAATGTTTAAGATCAACTGTCTTTGCAAATTTCAAGTATGTAAGATAGTGTTATTAACTGTAGTCACTGTGCTGCATAGTAAACCTCTAGAATCTATTCATCTGGCATAACTGAAGCTTTGTACCCTTTTACCTACCATATGATCTAGCAATCCCACTCTGGGTATATATCCAAAGGAAATGAAATTACATATCTGCACTCCCATGTTTATTGCAGAATCATTCGCAACAGCCAGAATATGAAAAAAACTTAAGTGTTGATATACATATACACACATGCATAGGAATATCATTCCTATATACACAAAGGAATATTATTCAGCCTTAAAAAAGGAAGCAAATCTTCCCATTTGCAATGACATGGATGAACCTGAAGGGCATTGTGCTTAGTGAAGTAAGCCACGCACAGAAAGACAAACACTGTCTTTTCTCACATACATGTGAAATCTAAAAAAGTCAAACTCAGAGAAGCAGGGAATAGAGATGTTCGTCAAAATTACAAAGTTCCAGATGGCTCTCATTTGATAGGACAGTGAATATCCATTCCTTGGCCATCAGATTTATTGCAGGTAGATCAAAAGAGTCATGGCATTTTTCTCACTGAGGCAAAGACAAGAAAATTTCAGGTAGCAGGAGTCTATAACGTTTCTGTAATATCCATGTGGAATGCAAGGGTATTGTTTCATGCAAGTTCTAAACAGGTTGAATTAGAAGAGAGAGCAGGGTGAGAACACTGAGTTTTACGTTTAGCATCCAATCAGGTGCTGTATTTTATATTCTTCATAGTCATGCAAAGATTATGACCTTGGGAACATCACTCCATTCAAACAAACTTGAAGGACATTGAGCTGCGTGGTTTCCACAGACCCAGTTCTTGAGAATATTTTATCAATTTCCTCACCTGGTTCAAGATGATGTCACAGAACAGGAAAATTATACAAGGCCCTGTCATAAGTGATCATTTGCAAGCTGCTGCTTTTTAATCCATTGTCTTGCTACGCCACATGCTGTCGGTAGTGCTCATTCACCTTATCTCAAATACCATCTTCTCAGAGAGTCTGTCCCTGAGGACCATATCTTGAGTCCTCCTGGCTGCCTCCACACCCATAGCACGTGGACTTCACTCTCTGTTATGCCCTCTTTTTCTTTCTTTAACTACACTTATTACAAACTAAATTATCTTTATTTGCTTGCTAATGTGTTGCTTGCTCCCCAACACCACCCGCCCAACAGAACATGAGCTCCAGGAAGACACCTGTCTCATCCACCACTCTCCCTTTAGTCCCTAACTCTGTGCTGGTCTACACTGAGGGATCAAAACATATTTGTGAAATGAATAAATAAAATGTTTTAAAATTCAAAAGCTATGTGTAAAACTCTTTTGTGCAATAAATTTTACTAAAGTTAAACAGCTATTTCTGCTTATGTTGCTCTTTTTTTTTTTTTTTTTTTTTTTTTGAGACAGAGTTTCTCTCTTTCACCCAGGCCGGACTGCAGTGGCGCTATCTCGGCTCACTGCAAGCTCTGCCTCCCAGGTTCATGCCATTCTCCTGCCTCAGCCTCCCGAGTAGCTGGGACTACAGGCGCCCGCCACCACACCCAGCTAATTTTTTGTATTTTTAGTAGAGACGGGGTTTCACCGTGTTAGCCGGGATGGTCTCGATCTCCTAACCTCGTGATCTGCCTGCCTTGGCCTCCCAAAGTGCTGGGATTACAGGCCTGAGCCACCATGCCCGGCCTAGTGTTGCTCTTTTTTTCTGTTTAAATTTATTTAGGCTGGGTGTGGTGGTGCATGCCTGTAATCCCAGCATGTTGGGAGGCCCAGGCAGGAGGATCACTTGAGCCCAGGAGTTTGAGACTGTGGTGAGCAATCATTGCACCACTGCACTCCAGCCTGAGCTACAGAGTGAGCCACTAACTTAAAAAATATTTATTTTATTAATTTTATGATATTTTATTGATGCATAATAGATATATAGTTTGGGGTACATGTGATAATTTAATGTATTCATATAATTTGTTAAAATCAAATCAGTGTACTTGGGATATCCATCACATTATATGTTTGGCTTTTCTTTAAGCTATAATTATTTCAATTCTTCTGTTTTAGCTATTTTGAAATATACAATACATAATTGCAAACCATAGTCATTCCACTGATCTGTCTACCACTAGGTCTTATTTCTTATCTCAAATTGCATATTTGTACCCATTAAGGATCTTTTAAAGAGAATTCTGACATTCCCAGTTATGAAAAGACAATCTGATTTTTGGCCTGAGCTGACAGCTCTTGTTGAAGCCTGCTCATTCTGGATCTTTTATTCATTTACTGAGGAATGACCAACAGAAGCTCTGACCAGTGTTCAACCTTTTGTAAATTCTGAGCAGAAAATAAATTGTATGAATAGGGCACTTCTTTTTCTGTTCACTTATAAAATCTTAAAGATCTGTATCAATAGTTGGTATGATGCACCGTATTTAAGTTATACATGAAGTCCTACAATTCTAAATGACCACTTCAACTCCTCATTCCTGCCTCTAAGAGTTTTTATTTCTTCTACAGACCCAGCGAACTCAGCCCCATCCATACTGGATGGGTTTGACCATCGCAAAGCCATGGCTGGGCAGCGTGTGGAGCTGCCTTGCAAAGCGCTCGGGCACCCTGAGCCAGATTACCGCTGGCTGAAGGACAACATGCCCCTGGAACTTTCAGGGAGGTTCCAGAAGACCGTGACGGGGCTGCTCATTGAGAACATTCGCCCCTCGGACTCAGGCAGCTATGTTTGTGAAGTGTCCAACAGATACGGAACTGCTAAGGTGATAGGCCGCCTGTACGTGAAACGTAAGTTGGACGGTAACTTGCAAAGGTGGTGTTGGCTTCCATCGATGGAGCTCCTGTTATAAGCAAATCTCCATGTTTTCTCTGTAGCTTTCCATTAACTCCCAAAACAGTCCAGCTGAGATCAACAGAAACCTCATTTTACAGATGTGAAAATTAATGCTCAGATGAATTCCCCAAGGTTACACAACTGGAGAGTCTTGGCTGTCGGATTTGATTTGAAATCTTTCTGATCCCCAAACCTCTGTGATTTCCATTAGGCCACAGACTATTACATTTCCAAGATATGATTTCAAGATAACACTTCCTAGCTGATGAATTCACAACAACCAGTCTCTCTAAAAATGAACAGAGAGAGAGGGTAGGATTGTTCTTTCAGCACAAGTGATGGTAGCCAATCAAAGCAGTTGTCCTTTGTCTGTTTCCAGACCATTTCTCCATTAAATTTCTAAATGAGGCTATTATCACCCAAAGTACGGGGCTCAAACATACCCAAATATTAGACTTGTGCCTAGTATTATAGATCATCTACTCCAAATATAATGGATTTATTTGATCTTCTATTGATTGCCTTGGCTGCCTTGAGGAATGTGTTCAGAAGGATACTGAAGGCAGATTTGGAGGAAGGAGGGATGTGATCGCAGGGTCACAATCTAATCTACTCAACCACCCTCAATTTTGCTCTTGCAGAAACCAAATTAAAGTGAATTACCCAAGATCACATGGCCAGAAAAGGGAGGCAGAGCATTGGTCAGAGAGGAGGTCTTAGTTGCCAATATAATGCTCCTTTTTTGAAAATATATTTTTATTTGATGAACTAAATTGAACAAATTTAACCACAAGAATCTCACAGTGACAATAGAAGTGTTTTCTTACTTCCTCCTCCCCACCCAGCCCTAACCCTGTTTATGGAACTTTCTCTTCAGTGTCAACCTGAGTGTAGACTGCCTTAGCGCAACACCAGCCTAAGAGAATATATTTATATTAAATATCCAAATGACTCTCTATCTGGAACAGGCTGTCCAGCCTGAATCCTGCAAATATTTGAATATGTTTAGTCTGGGATTAGAAAGAAATGGATGATAAAATCCACAGTCACACTTCTATAGCTGAAGAATCATGTGGATAAAATAATGCAGCATTGGACAGCCAGTAAGAATTATTCCCACGGGCTCAAAGTCTCTTCTGTGTTTAAAGACCTCTCCTAGCTCCCTGTTCTCCATTGAATAAAGTTTATATCTTAGGATAGTACTGAAGGCATCTCAAGCAAATCTGTCTGGTTGTATTTCCCATTGTTTTGCATTAAAACCCACTTATGACTAGTGTTCCATTATTGGAACACTAAGCATGTGGGAGTTATTTACATCCTACTGTGCAAGGTCATCACCAAGGTCTGATTGCAAAAATTCAAAAAAAATTGCAACCTCAGGCATAAATGGGTTAATAAAAACCTATTCCTGCTAAATCTAACTTCTTCCTAATCCCTGCACAAACCTATTCCTTTCCTGATTGCAAGTCACATTACTTATGTTGCTTCCTCCACATGGAAGATTATTTCCCAATACTTGGTTATCTAACACTTCCCAACTCTCTTAGCCTCCATCCACAAAGATGTGTTGTTCCCCATTCTCCTGTCTCCTTCTCAACTCAGAGTATGTTACTGCTTTCTCTCTAAAGGCGTTTATCACTACCTATATTTTAAAAGCCTTTATTCTTAATGTGCTTATTTTTATCATTGTTCCCTTCTTCCACATCTAGGTGATTCTCCAATGCTTCTGGAATATTCTCTGCCTCCCTTCTGACTGCTTCTTCTAACTGCAGAAGAAAACAGCTTCTTCGTTCCTATCTCTCTTCTCTATTGGAAGGCATTCTCTTGGGCTCCAAATTCAGAACTGTCTTCTTGTCAAGCTCTTCCCTTTTCCTTAGGCTCTGTTTCATTTGTAGAGCTTCGAATTCCTTGCCCCTGAAAATAAGCTCTGAATCTGTACTTACAGCCTTGGCGTCCTTCCTGAATGTCAGACAAGTGTGTCAACCAGCTTTCTTTCAGAAATTTAGTTGGCACTTCAAAACAACAGGGTCGGATACCAAACTGAACTCTCCACCACCTCTTCCTTCCAAATGGCTCTTGTTATTATTATCAACATCTTCCTCCTTCTCATCCCTCAGATGCAAACATGAAATGTTGGGTGCCCTTTAAGCCTTTCCTTTCTACATCCTGCCAAGTCCTGCCATGTCCTGCCAAGTCATACAAACTGAATCTCACAGTTACTCAGCTCTGTTCTCAACCTCTGTCCTGTCCTAGATTGGATCTTAATTGTACCTACACTAGACATGTGTAATGTCTTCAATGACGGGTTTTCCTCACCCTAATTTGTCAAAAGACCTATGACCTAGTGATTCCATTAAAAGTATGTTTGTGCTGGGTGTGATGGCTTGTGTCTGTAGTCCCAGCTACCCAGGAGGCTGAGGCAGAAAGGGAGAGGAGTTTCAGGCTACAGAAACTCCTCTGTATGATTGTGCCACTGCACTCCAGCCTAGGTGACAGAGCAAGGCCCCAATTCTAAAAAAAAAAAAAAAAAAAAAAAAAAAAGTATGACTTATTTGCTAAACACTTTTGAATGCCTTCTTTAGTTATCTTTGTTTAATTCCAAAATCTCAGGGACTCTCTGTTGCATCCAAAATGAATCAGAAATTCTCAGACATGCCCCTGCTCCCTGCCTTAATTCATGTGGTTCCCAATCTCTGTGATTCCCTCTTTCCATTCTGACTGATCTCAGTTCTATGCACCCTTGATATCTGTGGATTTCCTGCTCTTCCCATCCACCCTCCTCCACATGTGCTATGTCTCTAATGGCCCCTCCATCACTCTGGTTGGTTATTACAGCCATTTATTGCCTTTGTCTTATCAACCTAGAAGACTGAGCTCCTTGAAAACAAAGTGTGGTGAGATGAAAAGTTAGGAACAACTGGGGTAAAAAAAAGCTTTTTTTTCACCCACTTTTTGATGGGGTTGTTTGTTTTTTTCCTTGTAAATTTGTTTAAGTTCCTTGTAGACTCTGGATATTAGACCTTAGTCAGATGGATAGATTGCAAAAATTTTCTCCCATTCTGTAGGTTGCCTGTTCATTCTGATAGTTTCTTTTGCTGAGTAAGTAGAAGCTTATTAGTTTAATTAGATCCCATTTGTCAATTTTGGCTTTTGTTGCAATTGCTTTTGGTGTTTTAGTCATGAAGTCTTTGTCCATGCATATGTCCTGAATGGTATTGACTAGGTTTTCTTCTAGCGTTTCTATGGTTTTAGGTTTTACATTTAAGTCTTTAATCCATCTTGAGTTAATTTTCGTATAAGGTGTAAACAAACCTGTAGGTTCAGCGCATGTATCCCAGAACTTAAAGTGAAATAAATAATAATAATAATAATAGGAGAAGATTACCAGAATGGATTAAAAAGCAAATCTTAGCCATCTGCCATCTACAAGAGATGTTTGTTAATTTAAAAGATATATTTATATGTCTTCTGGCCTCCATTTGCTTCTGCTAAACAATCAGAGGTCATTCAGATCTTTGTTTCTCTGTATGTCATTTGCCATTTTTGCTGTCTGCTTTAAAGAATTTCTCTTTATTTTTCGTTTTCCATAATTTGTAATATGACTAGACAGGATTTTCATCAGATTTTCTCTGCTCAGCACTTTCTGACCTTTAAAAATCTGTAACTGTAGGTCTTTCACCAAAAATTTTGTTTTGTTTTGTTTTGATTTGCCATTTACCTGTTGATTGGATTTGGCTGAGTTATTTAAGCGCTCTCAATAACTATTTTCTGTTTTGTAAAATAGAGATAACACAAAAATTACAGGATTAGGAGAAGACTGACTTAAATGATGTATGAAAGATAGTCGATAATTTTATAGCACAAGCTAGCTGCACCACAAATATTATTCCATTTTTCTTGCCTGTGAGTTTAACCTCATCCTTGGCATATGACAGATGCTCAGTAAATGTTTTCTACATTGGATTAAGGTTGTTGAATTGAAAACATAGCAAGGCGAGGATGAGAGTTTCTTCCCTGTCTAAATCACTCAGCCCCATTTTAAAGAAAAACTCTGTTTCGTGGTCACAAATTCTAATACCAACCTGTTTTTGTTTTTTTTTTCCTCACAATTGTGTGTTATTGGCCCTGGGTAAACCACATATGTCATACATGTGTGTGAGAATGGCCCAGGGCAAACCCACCAGTGCCACCTTGGGACAAGGCAAATTAGGATTTATATGATCAATACTTAGGTCACTATTGGTAGCCAGCATGTTGCATTTCTTTTTTTTTTTTTTTTTTTGAGATGGAGTCTCACTCTGTCCCCCAAGCTAGAGTGCAGTGGCGCCATCTCAGCTCACTGCAAGCTCCTCTTCCCAGGTTCACACCATTCTCCTCCCTCAGCCTCCCAAGTACATGGGACTACAGGAGCCCGCCACCACGCCCGGCTAATTGTATTTTTAGTAGAGATGGGGTTTCACTGTGTTAGCCAGGATGGTCTCCATCTCCTGACCTCGTGATCCTCCCACTTTGGCCTCACAAAGTGCTGGGATTACAGGTGTGAGCCACCATGCCTGGCCTGTATCTCTTATTGTCAGTGGATTTATATCAACATCCTCACAGAGACTCCTGAGAAGGCAGTTTGACCAACATTATTGCATTTGTTGCAAAGAGAAATAAAGCCAGAAATAAAAAATAGCGAAGAGGATGTTCCCAAACAAAATGCTCCTCTGTGAAATAATGTGGCTGATACGAACTGCATGCAGTATGATAGCAAAAATGTGGCTGATAGGAACTGTGTGGAGTATGATTGCAATAATGTGGTTGATAGGAGCTGTGTGGAGTTTGATTGCAATAATGTGGCTGATAAGAACTGTTAGGAGTATGATTGCAATAATGTGGCTGATAGGAACTTTATGGGATATGACTGCAATAATGTGGCTGATAGGAACTGTGTGGGTATGATTGCAATAATGTGGCTGATAGGAACCGTATGGGGTATGATTGCAATAATGTGGCTGATAGGAACTCTCTAGGGTATGATTGCAATAATGTGGCTAATAGGAACTCTCTGGGGTATGATTGCAATAATGTGGCTGATACAAAATGTATGGGGTATGATTGCAATAATGTGGCTGATAGGAACTCTCTGGGGTATGATTGCAATAATGTGGCTGATAGGAACCGTATGGGGTATGATTGCAATAATGTGGCTGATAGGAACTGTGTGGGGTACGATTGCAATAATGTGGCTGATAGGAACTGTGTGGAGTATGATTGCAATAATGTGGCTGATGGGAACTGTGTGGAGTATGATTGCAATAATGTGGCTGATGGGAACTGTGTGGAGTATGATTGCAATAATGTGGCTGATGGGAACTGTGTGGAGTATGATTGCGTGATGCACTTGCTTTGTTGAAAGTCCAGCCTGTTGTCGAAATGCTATCTAGTGATGTTTTTATCTTTTTTCTCTCTCTCTTACTAAAACCTCCAGAGCCACTGAAAGCCACCATCAGTCCCAGGAAGGTTAAAAGCAGCGTGGGTAGCCAAGTTTCCTTGTCCTGCAGCGTGACAGGAACTGAGGACCAGGAACTCTCCTGGTACCGCAATGGTGAAATCCTCAACCCTGGAAAAAATGTGAGGATCACAGGGATCAACCACGAAAACCTTATAATGGATCACATGGTCAAAAGTGACGGGGGCGCATACCAGTGCTTTGTGCGCAAGGACAAGCTGTCCGCTCAAGACTATGTGCAGGTGGTCCTTGAAGGTCAGTGGGCCTCGTTTCAGGGTATGGCTGAAAAAGAACCCAAACCCAGAGCACTCAGAAAAGAAGAAGACAGGGTGAAGCAGTGCTGATCGCTCAGTTCTAGGCTCTCTGTCTCACCAGCTAGTACTCTACCCTAATTTTTCAAGCTAAATCAGGCAAATGGGAGAGAAAGTTCTGACGAAAATAAAATTGTTTCATATTAGAAGTAATGTAAAGTAACATAAATGTTGCCCACTTGTGCATTAGAAGTTATCTGCCAGGGTTTAAATCTTAGAAGAAACTTGACACTTAACAGTTTTGTTGATTATTCATCTCTAGACCAGGGTCTTTCAAGAATGCCTTGCTTGGGGAATTTTTTTTTTTTTTTTTTTGAGATGGAGTTTCACACTTGCTGCCCAGGCTGGAGTGCAGTGGCACAGTCTCAGCTCATCACAACCTCTGCCTCCCGGGTTCAAGCAATTCTCCTGCCTCAGCCTCCCGAGTAGCTGGGATTACAGGCATGCACCACCACACCTGGCTAATTTTGTATTTTTAGTAGAGATGGGGTTTCTCCATGTTGGTCAGGCTGGTCTCCAATTTCTGACCAGGTGATCTGCCCGCCTCGGCCCCCCAAAGTGCTGGGATTACAGGCATCTTGGGAAACTTTTTTATGTGTTATAGGATCTTTGGCAGCATCTCTGGCCCCTTTCCACTAGATGTATGCTAGGAGCACCTTCCTCCAAGTTGTTACAACCAAAAATGTCTCCAGACATTGCCAGGTGTTTGCTGGGTGGGGTGGGGGCAATAGCCTCCAGTGGAGAAGTACAACTTCAGATTGAAAATGCAGAGCAAAATGTCAGTACAGTGGTTGGTAGAATGAAAATATGGCATCTGTTTGGTGCAGTTGTCCCTAGTTCCATCCAAATGTTCTCAGATTTAAGTAAATGAAATTTGTGAGGAATTATTTTGTGGTATAATAACAGGTTTTGGATATGTGATACGATTTGCTTTTTTTTAACTGGTTACTGCATACTAAATCTTAAAGCTTATCAGTCAGCCAGAGAAAGAAGCTATCACAGGCAACATATATTTATCACTACCTGATTGAACTAGCTTCTATCTATGTATTTGTGTGTCTTGTTGGAAATTATGTCCATATATAATTTAAAATTCATCTGATATCAATTGATTAAAATAATAAAATGATTTTGATATAGCCTAAAGGGAGTACAAAGAAAACACACTAATATGTGAAAGTAAGTTTAAATATATCTTGATTATAAGACCATATTTCTGTCATTCTTTTTTAACCTTAGCTAATTTTTTAAGAAGTAGCAGGTTTAGCAATGAGATTCCTATTTTGATTCAATCGTTTCATTGCAGACAGTGAGATTTTTAAAGCAGAGGTGAAATTAGCTGAAGGCATGGTATTCATATTAAATGCCTGACACTGTGTTCCGTATAATAATTAAGTGCAGAAAGTAATCAATTTGTGCAGAACCAGTTTGCTAATGATGATGCACTCTAGTCCTTACATAGTCACTATTTTTAGATTCTTTGTAGAAAAAGGAGAAATTACCTGTCTAGGCCCAGTTACCCCGGCAACCATTTGGTGCAACTAAGAAAACCTAAAGACCATATTGATGATCCATAACGATGTCAGAAGAGTTCAGGTTATCAGAGTGACAGCAAGAAAGATTTCAAAGACACTCAGGTCTCCCTGGGAAAATAATGTCTGCTTTCATCTCCAAAAGAGCCTGTCACTTGAACTAAAAAGGGGGCCGAGGCGCACCGCCAGCACACTCGCAGATTTATTTGTCGCATGTCAGCTTCCATTCAGGACAAGAAGCTTCACTTTTTTTTTTCTCTCTTCTGAGAGATGACAGTGCTAATGTAGCAAAGAAAGCAGAAATGGAATTACAAATACATATCTAGTACCTGCTTTAAAAGAGTGTCTGGCTAATTTCCTCTGGAAAACAAAAACACTCCCATTATTCTCACTGAAATAGCGATGGATTAAAGTAAAATTATAAAAATTTGCAATACTGTGAACTAGGACTGAGGATAGATACAATGGAGAATCTGAGAATATTTCCTATGAGGCTATAAAATGGAATTTAATAATTATAAGTTCAGGATAAAACCATAATACCTGAAAAATGGAATGATTTTAAAAAAGAATAATAAAAGTTTCCAGTTCTGGGAATGGTAAAATAGCATATATCAGCCTAACTCCCAAGATGATAAAAACAAGAAACTTTGGGAAAAGCAAAAGTATATATAGACATTTGAGAGACACCAAAATCAAGTTGGGGAGTGTCCTCTTCCACTGAGGACACATCTGAACTCCAAAAATGGGGAGTGAGAATACAAATGTGCAATAAAAATGAGACATACAAAAAACAGGACTCTGCACCCAAAGGACAAAAGACAAAGCAAACGATAGAAACAAATCATGAGAGGACCCAGATGTTAGAACTGGCAAACAAGGACTTTACAGATGCTATTTAAAATATGTTCAATAACTTACAGGAAAATATGGACTGAAAGAGTGAACGTATGGGAAAGACCAACAGAGAAATTGAAACTGTAGAAAACAGTCTGTAGAAATGAAAAAAAATCACCATATTTGTTTAATACAAG
Organism: Homo sapiens; assembly: GCF_000001405.40. NCBI lineage: Eukaryota > Metazoa > Chordata > Mammalia > Primates > Hominidae > Homo > Homo sapiens. The sequence continues at coordinate 40,345,047 of NC_000021.9, read as the reverse complement.
ATTAGAGAAGGAAGAAGAAAGTATCAGTGAACTTGAAGATAAATCTTAGAAAATTATTCAATCTGAAGCATGGAGAGAAAGAAGACTGCAAAGAAAATGATTAGAGCTTCAGTGACAAGTAGGACATCATCAGATAACGTGACACACACATATGACTAGAGGCCCAGAAAAATAGGAGATACGGAATGCAGAAGAAAAAAGTATTCAGAGATAATGACCTTAGTTTTATCGACTTTGGTATAAAAGTAAGGTTGCAGATCTAAGAAACTCAGCAAACTCCAAAAATAAACACAAAGAAAATTCTATGTCAGTACATCAGAGTTAAGCTGCTGAAAACCGAAGATAAAGAGAAAAACTTAAAAATCTGAGGGAGGAAAAATATTACATAATGAGGACATCAATAACAAATGGTAGATGATTCATCGGATATTTTGGAGGACAGGAGACAATGGAGCAACATCTTTAAAATGTTGAAAAGAAAACGAAAAACAAAGACACAGCCCTGCCAACGCAGACTTCTGTAGCAAAAAACCCAACAACAACAGGCTTTAAAAATTAAGGAAAAATAAAGATATTTTCAGTAATAAAGAGGTGAAAGAATATAATGTCAGCAGCCCTGCACATTAATAAATGATAAATGAAGTCATGCCGGATATAGAGAATGGACATTTATATCTACAGGATATAGATAACATGGAACAGAAATGGAACATAAAATGGAGACATATCTATAAGAACAAATACCATGAGAAATGGTAAATATATTAGTAAATATTTAGCAAAATTGTGTTTTCTTTTTTAATTTCTTTAAACAATTGATGATTATAACATTATAAAATTACCACACTTGGCCATGTGCTGTCGCTCACGCCTGTAATCCCAGCATTTTAGGAAGCCGAGACAGGCGGCTCACTCGAGGTCAGGAGTTTGAGACCAGCCTGGCCAACATGGCAAAATCCTGTCTCTGCTAAAAATACAAAAACTAGCCAGGTGTGGTGGCATGTGCCTGTAATCCCAGCTACAGGCAGAGGCAGGAGAACAGCTTGAACCCAGGAGGTGGAGGTTGCAGTGAGCCGAGATCCTGCTACTGCACTCCAGCCTGGGTGACAGAGTGAGACTCCATCTCTAAAAATAAAATAAAATAAAATAAATAAAATGAAATAAAATAATAAAATAAAAAATAAAATAAAATGAAATAAAATAATAATAAATAAAATAAAGTAAAATAAAATAACACTTTATTATAGAGTAAATATAATAGATGTAATAACACAAAGGGCAGAATTATTTGTTGCAGGGTTCTTACATTTCACATAAAGTACTGCAATCTTAACTTTTAGCAGAGATAATTTAAAACATATACACACACATTGATATACATATAGATTGTGTGTGTGTGTGTGTAAATCAATTGGAGCTTATCTTATAATGCAAGATTGGAAGAACATTAAAAATCTAATCCGTGTAAGTCACTATGTTAATAGAATAAGGGAGCAAATCCAATTGATTATCTCAATATATACAGAAAAAATCATTTGATGAAACTTGCATCCATTCAGCATAAAGAATTTCTAGCAAACTGAGACTCTAGAGAGCTTCCTTGACCTAATGAGTGGCATCCTGAACAATCTACAGCTAAAATCATACTTCCTGGTTAAACACTAAATGTTTTTCATTTAAGATTGAGACCAAATCAAGGATGCCCACATCCACCACTTCCATTCAACATTATACTAGCAGCCCTAGTTAGGCTTGAGTAGAAATAAAATGGATGGAGTTTGGAAAGGAAAAATTTCAGCTGTCTTAATTACAGGCATTGTTGTTTACAAAGAATATGCCAAGAAAACAATAAAGCAATTTCTAAAAGAGAGTTTAAAAAGTCATTGGATATAAGAATGATACACAAAATGCAATTTTATTTCTATATACTCAGAACAAACAATTGGAAACTAATATTTTGAAACTTTCATTTACAATAACATAAAACATAAGATAGGAATATATTTTAAACAAACGTGAAAGATTTCAACATACAAAAATACAAAACTCTGCTAATATAAAATTGAAATAACCTAAAAAATTGAAAAGATATACCATATTCAAGGATTAGAAAACTAAATATTCCTAAGTTAACAATTCTCTCTAAAACGATTAATGTGATTTCAAGCAAAACTGAGGCATGGTGGCTTGTGCCTGTAATCCTAGCCCTTTGGGAGGCTGAGGCCCTTAGCCCAGGAGTTTGAGGCCAGCCTGGGAAACATGGCAAAACTTTGTCTCTACAAAAAAAAAAAAAAAAAAAAAAGGCGTGGTGTGCACCTGCAGTCCCAGCTACTTGGGAGATTGTGCCACACCAAGGACAACAGAGGGAGAGAGACACTGTCTCAAAAAAAAAAAAAAAATATATATATATATATATATATACACACACACACACACATATACACATACTATATGTACCTTTTCAACAAATTAACACTGAAACAACTCAATAAATGTATGGCAAAAAAATGAGTATTAATCCCTACATCACACTTCATATCCACACAAAATTAAGTTGCTATCCGTATAGAATTGAATATAAAGTATAAAGCAACACAGTCTCCAAAAGAAAACAGAATAATTCTTCATGATTTGCGAATAGGTGACGATTTCTTAGGACACAGAAAGCATTAAATGTCAACACAAATACATTATTAAGAAAAGAAAAAGGCAACCACAGACTGGGATAAAATATTTTATACACACACAAATATATGTGTCATATATATGTTGACAGATATTATATATAATCTCTATAGGAATCTTACAAATGTATCAGATCATTATAAGATATCTGACATAGATACTATATATATATTTCCTTGTATTTCAATTGTTGTATTCCACAACAAATCAAAAACAAAAAGGCAAACAGTCTAATATAACAATGGCCAAAGATTTGAGCAGACACCCACTAAAGGAAACACACGGATGGCCAATAGGCACATAAAACACGTGCCTTCCACGGTATTTCTGGGAAAAATATACAACCTGCGTTTAGTCATGAGGAAATATGAGACAAACCCAATTTCAGCAACTGACTACAAAATTACTCTTCAAAAATGTAAAAGTCAAGAAACACAAAAGAGGCTGAAGAATGTTCCAGATGAAAAGAGGCTGAAATGACATGAAACATAAATAATGGGTGATACGGACTGCTCTGGAAAAAAAACAGTGACGAGGGATATTAGCGGTCAATGGACAGAATTTTGCTGTGGACAGTGAGTTAGATAATAGTACTGTTCCAAAGTTACATCTTCTAATTATATTCTAAGTGTACTCTGATTATGATGATATATATGCACATATAAAGCGTGCATACTCTATTATTATGTTTCTTCTAAGCTCAAGCACAGGCAAAACCAGCACATCCTAAGAGGAATCAGAGCAGTGATCTCTGTTGGATGTGGATTTATTGAAAGGAGCACTTAAGGAATTTTGGTAATGGAAATGTTTTATATCTTGATCGTTTTTGTGGTTACTCTGGTGTGTATATATTTAGCAAAACTAAGCTGTACACTTAAGATCTGTATATTTCACTGTATGTAAAATTTACCTACAAAAAGAGAAGTATAACTGAAGAACATTTTTCTAAACACTTGAGTTTTCAGAGCTTAATGTAAAAACCAGTGAAAAGAAATCTACAGCTAAACACATTTTACAAAAACCATGGAATTATAAAGGACACGTGAAATAACTCCAGTACTCCTAAGTATTAATGACTGATCATGGACAATGAATAGCAATCATGATGACATCTAACTTCTCTGTAAAATTAAACACAGGATGTGATGAGGCAACGTCTGCAGTGCGTTAAAGACAAAAGCATCAATTTTTCATTTTAATATTTTAAAGTTGTCTTTTTCATCTCTGATAGTAAGAGACAAAATGCTTACAACCCAAGGACACTGCAATATGCTACTTATGAGCATAGCCTGGAGGAAACAAACTCCAGGGACTTCTCCAGCCACCTGAAACATGAGCTGGAATGAAGAAGTGAGATTCAGGAATTTGGAAAGGAGTAGGGGGTGGAGGGAAGAGCTGCAGCACAGCCCCATCACCATGAAGACCCTACATAACTGGCCTCCCTGACCAAGAACTAGGCCCCAAGGTTCTGGGGGAATGAGTGGCACTTTCCTCAAAGGTGTCTGGTACTATTAACCATTAACTGTCACCTTTCCCTGATGGAATTGCAAGCTATCCTAATTTTGCTTGCCTCCTTTCTTTTTGTTTATAATACTTTCCAATTTTCAACAAAAAAGATATTCAACAATGGAGATTCATTACTTTTATAATAAAATCAAAAACTAAAAAAAATCTACTCATTCTTATCTTTCATTATGGGACAACCCTTTAATTGAACACAAAAATTCTTTTAAAAAACAAAAGATGTCCCCTCCAGCAAGGTCTCTTACCAGACTCAGAAATCCTGTGGCATGTGATTGCAATTATGTCAAAATGACCCACTTATGCCTAGAAAAAATGTGTCACAGTGTTGATTTGTATGCCTGAGGCTGGCTGACCTATTGGTAACTTTTCTTCTGATTTTCATACATTTCCTTTAATATGCATGTATTTCTTTTTATAAATGGAAAAACATATATAAAAGAAACATGCATTTGTAACTATTACTATATAAGAGAAAAAACCATATGGATGATAGAAAAATAATGGAATATGAAAATTTGATCTATGTAAACATACTGAAAATTTCTATGGAGACTTCTCTAAGATTAAGATCCTAGTTTGCCTGCGATAGTTCTGGGTCATGCCTGTTCTCTTGGCATAATTATTAGTCCTTTCTGTTTCAGCCTCAAAAGTGTCCCAGGTTGGATGTTAAATTATATGGCCAGCCTACTTAAGATACTTTTAGAGAGATTTAAAACATGCTTAAGTACCCTACTTAAGATATCTTTAGAGGTTTTTAATACACGGCATTTAATACAAACTTTATTTAGCTTCTACCCATTCTCAGAGACTTCATGGAAGTTTGCATGCAATTACTATTTGTAATTAAAGTTATTAAAAGAGGATTTCTTATGAGAAAATGATGAAGATGAGGTCATCAATCTCTCAGTAGTTTCCTTTATTCCTGTAAAGAATTCCCTAGTGAGAAAACCCCAAATAACTTGAGGAAGTATTAGGTTGGTGCAAAAGTAATTGCTGTTTTTGCCATTACTTTTTGCAATCACTTTTGCACCAACCTAACAGATAAAGTGACTGTTTGTGGGAGTGAGCGGGTGTGGATTTTCCGTCTGTTTATAACTTTGTGTGAGGAAACACCAGTTTTAAATTAAGGACTTCTTAGGAGCTGTCATTGTTTAACCTGAACATCTGAGTTGTATTACCATTCCTCTTAAGTCAATCAGGAAATATAGAAACAGTTGATGAAAGCTTGCTAACACTGTGCTTACCTGTTTTGAAAACAGTGAACTCTTGTTCTGATTAACGTTTTGCTTTATCAGGAAAACCAGACCTTTTTGGTAATGTTTAACAACTACGACATTTACCCCCTAGACATGAAAGACATATACTTGGAAGTTGTTTAATTATTTGTATGTGCCACTTTCTTCCATAATTTGTTTTCCTGCAGATGGAACTCCCAAAATTATTTCTGCCTTTAGTGAAAAGGTGGTGAGTCCAGCAGAGCCGGTTTCCCTTATGTGCAACGTGAAGGGAACACCTTTGCCCACGATCACGTGGACCCTGGACGATGACCCGATTCTCAAGGGTGGCAGTCACCGCATCAGCCAGATGATCACGTCGGAGGGGAACGTGGTCAGCTACCTGAACATCTCCAGCTCCCAGGTCCGGGACGGGGGAGTCTACCGCTGCACTGCCAACAACTCGGCGGGAGTCGTCCTGTACCAGGCTCGAATAAACGTAAGAGGTGCTTGTCAAATCAGCTCCTCAAAAAAACACACATAACTCATTATAGTGGAGAAGAAGATTTCTGCATGCACCGAGCTGGGTCTTGGAATGCCAGAGCGGATTAACTGTTGCTTCCCATTTCCTACCCTCTCCTTCCTACTCAGGAATGGCACTGACTGGGTTAATGTTGGAAATGGCATTTTGGTTTCTGTAGTCAGCTTGTTCTTTTTTACTCTAGATCTGTTCACCTGATGTTTCCTTTCCTGGTTTATGCTCTGCATGCCCTTTCCCTTCTCCTTCTCTTCGGTTCTTCCACATTCATGGTAAACCTTCATGTACATGGTATTAAACTTACATTCATGCTGCAACGTGATGTAACCTCCATTGTCGTCCTAGATTTTACAGAGAGAGTTAAACAATTGATCAATTGCTGCCAGTGTGTTCACCAAAAGTGCGTGATTGTCCAGTATAGACTAGTTACTTTCTATTAATTAAATTGCCTTTTATCTTGTAATTTTTAATTCAAAACATTTTCATAGAAGTAGCAGATAAAGTGTTTCACAGTTATACATTTGAATTTAAGAAAAGGAAAGAAAAACCTTTGTTGTAGAAAATGCCACATGCAAAAATATTTGTTTAACTGAAAAAGATGTGCTTACATGAATATAATCTACATTTTTAACTCAAGGAAAAGTGTACCCATTTCCCTACATGAGATGTACCCTTAAATTATTTTCAAGAGTTTCTTTGTGTCTCTCCAGGGCCTGCAAGCATTCGACCAATGAAAAACATCACAGCAATAGCAGGACGGGACACATACATTCACTGTCGTGTGATTGGCTATCCGTATTACTCCATTAAATGGTACAAGAACTCTAACCTGCTTCCTTTCAACCACCGCCAAGTGGCATTTGAGAACAATGGAACTCTTAAACTTTCAGATGTGCAAAAGGAAGTGGACGAGGGGGAGTACACGTGCAACGTGTTGGTTCAACCACAACTCTCCACCAGCCAGAGCGTCCACGTGACCGTGAAAGGTAAGCCCTGTTCTCCTGGTTCCCACACAACTCATTCCATAGCCCGACTACTTCCCAGACCAATGATTTGAAGTCGGGTAATCCAAGATCTGCTTATTTAGAGCAGGATAATTGTACAGGCTGAAGAATGACAGGGAACATGAGATGTCCTCTTTACTACTGACTGAATCTTCACAGGAACTTTAGTTGATCTGATTTTCTCTCCAGGTGGAATTTTGGCTTGGTTTTCCAGAGGGCATGTGTTGTTAACAATACAACAGAAAAAAAAGGAGCACATCATTAGCTTCATTATCTAGTCATCTCTCAGATAATTTTTAAATAAATAACCTTCTTTTCCTAAAACCTCCTAAAAGCAAGGTCTCTTAGAACTTCACTGGAAGGGATTTTCTGTATTGGATGAGGATTTCAAACAAACGTCTTATCTTCTGTAGATGAGCAGGTCAAAGCAACAACATAGAAATTATATGTTTAAAGGATGCCACAGAACGTTTTCCTCATTAAATTATTCTTTGCATCATGACATGGACTGTCATGGAATCTACCTGTCAGGATGATCTTTAGAGATCCTGCAATTTGAATTGACTACAATCTCCTTACCAGAAAAAAACAATAAGGTGATCAGACTCATCCAAGGATACGCAGACTTTTAGTGGCAGAGCCTCAGAAAGACTCATTTCTTCTATTCTACAAGTCAGTTTCCTGAGCTGAATATGAAATAAAATTGTTTTAATTATGTAAGGAATCTACCTGAGGTGGGTCCTAGGAATAGAACTAATATGTTATAAAACTATTTCCGAAACCTGTGGGTGTTGCTTCTAGCCACATTGAGCTGCCTGTCTGAGGTGTCCAAGTTCTCTCTCCAGGAACCAATAAGTGGCTTTTAGTTGCCCTTGTTACAAAGTTGCATAGGTTTCCTGTGGTCTTCCCCAAGCTTCTTTTCCCACCAACCCTGTGAGTTTTACTTTTGTGAGAACGCATACAGACACACACACATGGAAATAATAATATGTGTATACTATTATTACGGGGCATATATATTGCATTACATTATATATTATAGAATATGTATTGTGCATTGTATATTAGATATGCCTGCACATAATTATAAATCGGTTTTTAATAACCATATGTCTTGAGAATTTCCTCAAATCACTAGATATTCTTGGTAAACCAGGCTGCATAAAGGTTCATTTGGTGGTTGTGTTTATTTATTTAATCCTCATTTACAGAACATCTGCTTCATGCCAGGCACTACTCTAGACACTGAGGAATACAACAATGAAAAAGGTCTGCAAGGTCCTTTCCTTCATTGACTCTCTTCTCAGTCAGGAGAGACAAACAATAAACAAATAAAACAAGTGAATAAACCAGAAAACACCTAATGGTACTCCATACTATGCAGAGAATTAAAACATGGCAGTATCTTAATGGTTCATTGCAATAGTCAGATGCCATATCAACACATTTTCTGTACTCTGTCATCTTAAAATTCATTGGTCTATCATACCCTTGGAAGGAATGTTTTACCCACACATGATTTTGTAACATAAAAAGTTGATCATTTGGAAATGATTGGTTCACTGTGTTACACAGATCTTCCAAATGTTGATACAATTTGTTATACAATATCAAAATATCACAACTACTAACATTACCATGATCTCATCAGAAAGTCTTCAAGTAAACTGTCAAGTTCATGCTGATGGATGCAAGTTTTCTAAAATTCTATTCTTTCTTGAAAGATTCAATTTTATTATTTATAATAAACACCATCAATTGTAATTGTAGGAGTGATGGGCTCATTTATCTGTAAGAAATTGTTTGACAAATAGAAAAGACCGCATAACCATCGTTTTTAGGTAGCCATTCTTTTAAGAAAGAAATGGAATTCCATGAAGAAAAGCAGCTGGTCGAATTTGCAACTCAAGCAAGCACAGACATACTCTGCTTGAAAATAGCCGTGCTGCTCAGGAGGTGGAGGAAACACTGTGCCTTCTTCCCATTTTATTACACAGGACATAGAACATTAAAAATAACGTGAGCTTTAGGGTAAAGATGTAATAAAACTGTTATGTTTCCTGCTTCGTCAAGTGTCTGTAAGTGAATCTGGCATTTTTAAAAAACCAACTCACAGTATGCATCGGTAAACAGTACAATGAATAGTCATCCTGTTAGTGTCCCTGCTGGGATTCATGGTAACGCCCAGCAGTCTCACCCACCATGGCTTTTGCTCCAACAGTGCAAATGTCAACACCATGAGAAAGGCAAACAGCACCTCAGCATTGTCATGAAAACGATTTTCTTCTTACAGATCACCTAAAATTGTCTCAGGGATCCCTACAGGTCTGTGAGCTACATTTTGAAAACATCTAATACAGTGCTAAAATTTTAGTTTATTTTTAATGTTTGACCATTACAAATGAGGCATCAAATGAACTTCTTTATGCATTGGCCTTTGTCTGATTTTAAGATTATTTCTTTCGAGAAAAATTTCCAGAAGTATGACCATTGGATAAATAGGTATAATACTTTAATGTAATTTTTAGGAGACATAGATTTAAACGAAAGCCCTTTGAATCATTAACATTTATTCTTTAAATTTGCCAGATCAGTATAAATGAATGTATTCATCTTAATCCTTTTGAAGTGACAGAAACCAACTCAAACTAGCTTATGGCCAAAAGAATAATTTATTGTCTCTTATAAACAATATATTTATGATTTTAGGAAATAATTCTATTGAATAATTTTTTCTTCAGGAGCTTCTTTTCTTCTGAATACTTATCATATAGTATAAAACTTGTCAGCTCCTTTGCAAGTACTTGCAAACAAAAGAAGGAAAATATTATTTTATGTGGTATTTTATTGCCTGGAGAGAAATGGCAGTTGTTGGGATTTGGGGCTTGCCAAATTTTTCAGAATAGTCGGGAAAAGCTGCCTGGAAAAAGTGAGATTTTGAGCAAAGATGTGAAGGGGTTCAAGACAGCTCATGGATACCTGGGGAAGGGACATCCTAGGTAAAGGGAAGAGATACAACCACGGTGTCTAGAGTTTGCCTGGCAAGCTTGAGGAATAACAGAGAGGCTGGTGTGGTGGGAGCCAAGTGAACAAGAAAACACTAAAAGGCCCTGAGTCAGAAGGAGCAGAACCTTTTCACGGGGGACTTACTAGATCAGGACTTCGGTTTTCAGGACGTGGGGTTTTCTGCTGAGTGAGATGGGGGCTTTATTGGATGACTTTAAACAGAAAAGTCACATGGCCAGACTAAGGTTTTAAAAGGATGCTTTTAGCCAGGCAAGGTGGGACGAGCCCGTAGTCCCAGATACTCCAGAGGCTGAGACAGGAGAATACTTCCAGTCTAGTAGTTTGAGGTTGTGGTTGTGGTGCACTATATTTGCACCTGTGAATAGACACTGCACTCCAGCCTGGGCAACATAGTGAGACCCCATCTCTAAAAAGAAGAAGGACGCATCTGATTCCTGTGCTGAGAATGGTCTATTCGGGGAAAGGGGGCAAGTAGAATGACCTGTTGGAAAGTGAATCCAGGTGAGAGATGATGGTGGCTTGGACCAGGGGGAGAGCAGAGGAGGTTGGGGGTAGAAGACAGACTCCGGATCTATTTCGAAGGTCTATTCAGTCGGTTTTCCTAGTGGTTGGATACAGGTGTGAGGAAAATAAAGACATCAAGGATCAGGTCAGGCTTCTGGCCTGAATATCAGGAAGAATGGCATTGCTTTCTACTGAGTCAGCAGAAGATGCAGTGGAGCCGTTTGAGGAAGGCGATTAGGAGTCTAGTTATCGATGTGTTGAGGTTGAAATACACACTAAACAAAGAAGTGGATGCTGTCAGTAGGAAATTAGATATGGGAGAGTAGAGTTCAGGAATCCAGGCTGCAGATCTGGTGACATCAGTGAATAGATGATGTTCAACACCAAGGCCTGAACAGGACCCTCAGGGGACTTTGTGCACTACACCGCAGATTTTAACTTCATATGTACAGGCTTCCCCAGCCCCCAGTCAGGCTCACATTAGAACCCTTCACCAAATATCTGAAAATAAAGTCTGACAAAAATTCAAACAAGGACTGTTTGAAATGTAAGTTTACCTATTTTTAGATTTCCCAGATTGGCACAGATCCATGTATTGACTATGACCCCATTGGTTGCAAGGTGCGAGAACCCAAATTACCTTTGCTTAAGCAGCCAGGTGCAGAGGCTCACTGCTGTAATCCCAGCTACTTGGGAGGCCTAGGTGTGATGTGGTACGCACCTGTAGCTCCAGCTACTCCGGAGACTCAGGCAGAAGAATGGCTTGAGGCCAGGAGTGCAAGACTGTGGTGAACTACTTCCAAAACACAGTAACAGTTTTACACCATTCGCAATCTTAGCCTTTACTCAGAACTTAGAAGGGTCTTAAATAAAATGACTTCTGAACATTTAAGTTTACATTTTAAAATATTTTAACCTCAGCACTTTGGGAGACCGAGGCAGGAGGATCACTTGAGGCCAGGAGTTTGAGATCAGCCTGGCCAACGTGGCAAAACCTGGTCTCTACTAAAAATACAAAAATTAGCCAGGCATGGTGGCACACACCTGTAATCCTAGATACTCAGGTGGCTGAGGAGGGAGGATGGCTTGAACCCAGGAGGCGGAGTTTGCAGTGAGCCAAGATAGCACCACTGCACTCCATCCTGGGTGACAGGGAAGACTCTGTCTCAATCAATCAATCGATCGATCAGTAAAATGTTTTTAAATGAAATATTAATATATAAAGTAAATTATACTCCAATGGTCAGGATTGTAGTTTATCAAGGCTTTTTAAAAATTAACCTTTACTATTTTCAGTTACCAAGTATTAGGGGAGGGAGATAAGAAATTAGCTAAATTTTAGGAAAAGACTTAGAATTTTGGCTTTCCCTGTGGATTAGGATTGAAAGAGACTTTCTTATTTTGTTCATGTAAATGCAGCTCCACTACTTTTCCTGGGAGACCACACAGTGAATATTTCAGCCAGCTAATTTTGGAAGAGCAAACCTGAAGCCTTAAAAATTGGCTTCCTTGGGAAGTGGAAGTGGCCCACTTGATCCCGGCAATAATGCTGCTAACAGGGAAACCAAATTATTGTTATCTTGTCCCCAGGAGGTTCGTTTTAAATACTGGATATAGCGGAAAGTGTGTGCATATGTGTTTAGATGATATTTGGAAACAATACTATTTTTTCATCATGTCTTTTCCTGGCAATAGTCATAACCCTTTGCTTATTTTGGAGCATATGCCTGCAATTTTTTTTATTTCAAAGATTGATATAAATAATATGCTTATTATTGATGGTGGTTGAAGCTTAAGCAGTTCTGAAATATATGTAACTATCCAGAAGTGCAAGTTTGCTGCCTTCAAACATATAGGCAGAAGTAAAAGTCAAAGTCCCTTCTTTCACTTCATTTCAACTTAACAAGCAGTTTTATATTTAACACATTTTCAAGCTTTGTCTTTCCCATTTTAGGTGCCACATTGAACTTGAACGGTGCTTAATTGCGTGTTCTAATTGCTGGGGATCAACACTGCCAGGAAAGTTAATTGGCTGCTGGATAAAAATGTCACCTTTTATTTATATTTATATAAAACTTTATAGTTTACAAAACACTTTCATCTGTGTCACCTTAATTAATACAGTGACTCTGTAACGTAGATAAAGCATAATCAGGGAAAGAATAGAAGAGAGATGAGGCTGCGCACAGTCACCCAGTAATACATTCAAGACTCAAACGCAGATGTTTTGATTCCAACACAACCCGTGGTGACTCTCAGAAGAATAATTCGTATTGCAGCGGGAAGCCAGGGTAGGAGTGGGGAGAAATGAATACAAAGAACCCAGGAATAAAGCTATTTAAAAAGTCAAGACAGACAACATGTTAAAATGTAGGGCAAAAGATATTGAGGGACTAATTTAAGAGAGATAGCATTTGTTAAATTGGAGAGAGGAAAAGGAGAGAATGGATTTGGTGAAAGAGGGCAGGTCAGAACAAGAAAGGACTCCAGAAGCTCTTGCTTGGGAGATGGAGAGGCTGAGAGGAGCGATGTGGCACCTGAGTGTCTTGGCGAAAGCCTTTGGATGGCGGGGTTGGTCTTAAGTGCCTGTGGATCACCATTCTGGCTTCAGACCATGGGGATTTAAAAAAATAGACAGGAAAGCAAACTAAAATTCATAGAGAAGGGTAGTTAAAATCACAGGTAAATAAATGTCTAAGAAGCACCAAGCTTTCAGAGTCATATTTTATGAGGATTTTTAAAAGTGAATGTTTGCCAATAGTGAGATGAAATGGCCATGCTAGGAATGCAGAGAACAACAGAAACATTCGCTTTTACATATTTCATTCCATTTCTATATTTGTGGCGATTTCTCATTTTAATGTACCAGCATTTTTTTACCATGTCCTCCTTCAAATTGAAGGGAGAATTAGATGTCACTGCCAGGGTTTTCAGCTCTTGTGTTGGTGGTACTTTGTGTACTGTAGCCCAACAGGGACACTGTTCTGCACATTTTGACGTTAAAATCCTGCTTCCCTGCAGCTTTTTGTCCTGTGCTGTGTCTCGTCTGTCACCGTAATGTCTTGCTGTATTGCTGTTGGTGCAAGTGGGGAAATGAATGCTGAGTTAAAAATAATGCTGTGAGTGTGTCTGCTCGCCTTCCACTCGAGGTGAGCGGCCGGGGATGCCGTCTTCTAATGACATCATTCTTCAAAGGCTGGGAACAAATGTCATCTCGCCTAGGTGGAGGGACAGCTTTGTGCACAGAAACAGCCTTGGCAGTTTCCCCACTCCTGCTTTCAGACATTTGCTCATTAGCTGTTCCAACCTTGGCACTATCAGCTTCCACTGAATTCCAAACCCAACTCTGTTGGCAAGGAAAGGTCTTTCATTCTTAATCTGTCACTTTCTTCCACTTTCTCCTACTATCTCTCTAGATACTGGAGTTACTTGCAATATTGTTTATGGAAAGGACAGCATTTTGAGTTTATTTTTCCATTTTAGTTCCTCATTAAAGTGGAGCAATGGTTAACTTAAGCTCCAGTTTGCTGGGGTCTTTTGTGTGTGGCCATACACTGCAGTCATCCACATATTTTCATATTTATTTTTCAACAACGACTTGGGAATTGCAGAGCTTCTATTATGAATAATACACGAGAAATATAGACCTGGGGAAAAATAGAATGGTAACGTATTAAATGTATAATCCTTTTATGTTAATTTATTATTTAAAATGAGAATTTATACTCTCTTTTTAATTTAATACCCTAATGTGAGAAAAGAAAGCTAATGAAGTGGGAACTTTCACTGTCCTCCCTTTTTAAATGACGCAAGAAAGCACTCATGCTTCAATATACTTAAATGGATGCATTGGCTCAGCTACCCTGGGGGTTTATGCTCTCAAGTGTCTGCAGAAGAGAGGTAGGATATCAAAATTGAGTGCAGGACTCAGCTTCTATGGGTTCCTTCAGACAGGTTTGTCCTGGAGGTGGAATGACTTAAAATTCCTCTATTCTAGAAATCGAAGCAGACACCTTTCTTTAAAATATGGCATTTTATTAAGTGTTTTATAAGCGATATCTCAAATTACTTTACCCTAATTGGAGGGAAAAAAAGACTATGTGTAAGATTGGTTTCATTATGAAAGAATGCTATATATATATATATGTATAATATATATTTATTATATAATACATATATAAATATATGCATAATTTATTATATATAAATATATGCATATAATATAATAAATATATAATTTATTATATATAAATATATGCATATAATATAATAAATATATTTTGATATATATAAATATATGCATAAATATATGTTATGTATTGCATATATTACATTACATATTGATTTTAAATGTATATACATGATTTTTTACATTGTAAATAAAATAATATGTATTTACATTTTAAATAAAGTGATACGTATTTCCTGTGTATAGTATAATGTTTTGAAATATATATCCATTGTGGAATGACTAAATCTGATCAAATAACATATAGGTTGTCTCACATAGTTATCATGTTTGTGGTAAGAACACTTTACATTCACTGTAAACATTTTTCAAGAATACAATAAATTATTAGCTACAGTCACCATGTTGTACAATAGATCTCTTGGACTTTTCCTCCTGAAATTTTGTGTCCTTTGACACACACCTCCCCAGTAACTCCAGCCCTTGGGAACCACCATTCTCCTTTCTACTTCTATAAGATCAACCTTTTTAGATTGCATATATGAGTTAGATGATGTGGTATTTGCCTTTATGTGCCTGGCTTATTTCACTTAATATAATGTTCTCCAGGTTCATCCATATTGTCACAAAGGACTACAGCTCACTCTTTCTTAAGGTTGAATAGTCTTAAGGCTGAAGGTCCTTATTTTATTTTTTATTTTTATTATTTATTTATTTATTTATTTATTTATTTATTTATTTATTTATTTAGAGACGGAGTCTCACTCTGTGGCCAGGCTGGAGTGCAGTGGCGCGATCTCGGCTCACTGCATCCTCTGCCTCCTGGGTTCAAGTGATTCTCCTGCCTCAGCCTCCCAAGTAGCTGGGACTACAGGCGTGCACCACTATGCCCAGCTAATTTTTGTATTTTTAGTGGAGACAAGCCTTCGCCATATTGACCAGGATGGTCTCAATCTCTTGACCTCGTGATCTGCCTGCCTCGGCCTCCCAAAGTGCAGGGATTACAGTTGTTTTATTTTAACTTGTCCCTTTTTTTGGCAACCATTGTGTATGTATACCATATATTTTTTAATCCATTCATCTGCTGGTGACCATTTAGCCACTTGAATCCATATCTTGGCTATTGTAAACAATGCCACAATGAACATGGAAGTGTAGATATCTCTTCAACACACTGATTTCATATCCTTTTCATGTATACCCAGTAATGGGATTGCTAGAAAATATGGTGGTTCTATTTTTAATGTTTTGAGGAACCTCCATACTATTTTCTATAGTGAGTATAATAACTTGCATTCCTATCAATACAGTACAAAGCTTCTCTTTTCTCCACATGTTCACCGATGCTTGTTTTTTTCATGTTTTTTATAATAGCCATTCTAACATGTGTGAGATGATAACCTCATTTTGGTTTTAGTTTGCATTTCCCTGATAATTAGCGATGTTGAGCATTTTTTATATACCTGTTAGCCATGTATGTCTTCTTTTGAGAAATGTTTATTCAGGTTCATTGCCCATTTTTTAATATTCATTCAATTTGCCTATTTTCAAATCAGGTTGTTTTCTTGCTATTGCATTGTTTGAATCCTTTATATATTTTGGATAGTAACCTTTTATCAGATGTACGGTTTGCAAATATATTCTTTCCTTCTATATATAGGTTGTCACTTCATTCACTCTGGTGATTGATTCCTTTGCTGTGCAGAAGTTTTTTTAGTTTGATGTAATCCCATTGTTCTATTTTTGCGTTTGTTGTCCATGCTTTTGGGGTAATAACCAAAAGTCACTGCCCAGAGCAATGTTAGGAGATTTTTCCCTATGTTTTCTCCTAGTAGTGTCATAGTTTAGGCCCTTCCATTTAAGTCTTAAATCCAGTTTGAGTTTAATTGTGTATATGGCATTAGAGACATCATAAATTAAAGTTAATGATCTAATTCCATTTTTCTGCTTGTGGGTATCTAGTTTCCCCAACACCATTTACTGAAAAGACCCCATTGTGTGCTCTTGGCTCCTTTGTTAAAAATCAGTTTGCTGTAAATGTGTGGATTTACCATTCTGGTCCATTGGTCTATGATTTTATGGAAGTACAATGCTGTTTGGTTATTATAGCTCAGTAGTATATTTTGAAGTCATGTGGTGTGATGCCTCTAGCTTTGTTCTTTTTCCTCAAGATTGTTTTGGCTATTCTGGCTCTTTTTTGGTTATATTGGAATTTTAGGATTTTTTTTTCTATTTCTGTGAAAAATGTCATTGGTATTTTGGTAGAAAGTACATTGACTCTGTAGGTCACTTCAGGTAAGATGGGCATTTTAACAACATGAATTCTTCTCATCCATGAACACAAGTTATGTTTCCATTTATTTCTGTCTTTCTCAACTTCTTTCACCAATGTTTTATACTTATCACTGTAGAGATCTTTCACCTCCTTGGTTAATTTATTCATAAGTATTTTAGTTTTTGTAGCTATTGTAAATGAGATTGTTTTCTTTAATTTTTTTCAGATAGTTCACTATTAGTGTATACAAACACTACTGATTTTTGCCTTGTAGCTTTATCATATGATTATTTCAATAGGTGTAGAAAAATACTTGACAAAATTTAACATCCTTTCATGATAAATATTCTCAACAATTTAGATACAGAAGGAATGTTCCTCAACATAATAAAGGCCATACATGACAAACCTACAGCTAACATTGTACTCGAGACAAGTTGGAAGCTTTTCCTTAAGATTCTGAACAAAAAAAAAAAGATGCACACTCTTGCCACTTCCATTCAACATGTCACTGGAAGTCTCAGCCAAAGCAATTAGGCAAGAGAAAGAAATACAAGGCATTCAGATAATTCAAATTGGAAAGGAAGAAATTAACTTGTTTGCAAATGACATGACCATATATATAGAAAACCCTAAGACACTACCAAAAAGGATTAGAAGTAATAAACCAATTCAGTAAAGTTGCAGGATACAAAATCAACATATAAGAATACAATTCTTTTATTTAGTTAAAATTGCAAGATAAATTATGTTTTATAATACTTGTTGCACTTGCTGAACATGGGAAACTTAGAGAAGGAGAGAATTATGTAGAGATAAGAAAGGGAAAAGAATGCCAAGCAAATTACTAACACTTTTGCTGTCTAATTCATAATTAATCTGCAAATACACACACGTTTGTGCACACACCACAGGGAAAAACTCTTTGGCAGTGCTAAAAATAATGCCGTGATAATGACATTTTAAGTCAGAAATAACAACTCTCAATTATTCAGAACCATGCGGTAGGATCTTTTATATGCATTGACTCAAAACACATGTAAATTGTTTAAATATATAAATTCAATAAAATTGTGTACTTCATACACCTATATAACATTTATATGCATTATATTTTAAATATAAAGATATATAAATATAAAACACAAATATAAATATACATATAGTTATATATGTATATTATATATAAGTACATATATATGTGGTTACAGATATATAGATGCATGATACAATTATAGACTCTTAGAATCTTAGGGCTATAAATCAGCTTGAAGTTCATCTAGACCAGCCTCCCATGTGATATTCAACATGCCCCTGGACTGTACCCCACATTTTTCTAGACTCTTCCTGCACGATCTGTGCAGTGGTTCACTAAGCTCTCAGCCCTTTCTGTTTCTACATGGCTGTGATTGTCAGACAGTTCTTCCTCTGTCTGACATACATACAAATAGAGATACATACAAATATGCCTTCTCTAGCTCTTCTCTTCTTTCTGGTTCGAATATTCCCTCTAGAGCAACACTAAATAGTTCCCCGTTTCTCCACATAAAGCTCCCAGTCGTGCAAAAGACTAAGCTTTGTCTTCCTGGCTAACCATCTCTAGCGTCCCCATTTGTTTAAATACTTTGTATGCAACGAAGTTCAGCAGCTCCTTTCCTTTGAAGGACACACTGATGTGTCTATTTTGTCTCAATGAAACATAGCCCTCTGGGCATTTTCTAATGAATAAAAGAGGGGAATGAGAGTGCCACCTCTGTCCTGAAGACAAGAACGCCTAGTTGCAGCCCATGTCCCACTGTTGAGCCATGGTTTGGGACTCATGAACAAAAATCCCAATGGTGAATTTTGTTTTTGTTTTGTCAACTTTTGGCTGACACCACACCATTATCATCTGTCCATGCAAGATCCTTATTTTGTTTTATTTTAACTTGTCCCCCCTTTTTTCAACCATCCACCAATTCTGGTATCGTTTGTCCCTGTCTCATAGGCACAGACTTATGTGTACTTAATATATTTATTTTAAATTAATTTTCTGGCATCCTTATTTAGACATGCATGTAAATATATACAATAACAGCACAAAAGTGAATGCTTAGTTTGCCCCCCACCCAGCCCTTTGACTCTGTACAAATACTACCATGGGTATCTTATAAATGTGTCCATGTGTAGTATTAATATTACTAGAGGGCCAGTAGTAGAATTGTTAGGTCATAGAATTTAACTTCACTAATAATTGCATAGCCACTCTCCAAAATTCCTATACCAGTTTACTTTACCACCAGCTATGCATTAGAGGTCCCAGTTCCCCGCATCCTGGTACCTGTGTTTCTATTTGTGACAAAGCTGATTGATGTAAAGGAGCTCTTTGTTTTAATTTGTTTTCTTTTCATTACTATTGTGCTTGAATGTCTTTTTATACTCTCAGGAGATGTCTGAGGATTTCATCTATGCATTGCTTTGTGCATTTGCTATCACTCCTGCTACTTCTTCCTGCTTTGCTGTAGTTCTTTAGTATAAATATGAATCTCTTATTACTTAGAAATGATTGTGAATATCTTTTCCAAGGCTGTCTTTTCTCTCTTAACTTTGCCTTTGTCTTCATTTGGACCTTGTTTAAGAAATTTATGAGCTCATGAAGATGCATTCCTATTTTTTTCTGTATTTGTTCTATGTCTCTATTTTTGCTGTTTGCATTTAGGCCTTCAACCCACACTGAGCTTCACAGATATAGTAAAGCTGGGGTCCAATATATTTTCTATCTATATCGAGTCAGTTATCCCAATATTTATTAAATGACCCATGTTTTCTTCTCCTCTCCATCTACCAAGATACCATGATGGTGCTGTCAGAGGCAGTCTTAGTTCTGTGAAATATATTGACTACCTTTTTATACCCTTGTCTCACTGTAACATATTTCAGCACTTTACTTAAAAAAAAGCCTCTTCAAGTCAGTTATTATTAACCAAGCTTCTAAAGAGCTATGACCTTTTCTAAGCCAACGTCATGAAAAATACTTCTCAAGCAAATAATCTATTACTAACAATCCTTGTAAAAAAACTAATTGGAAAAATAAGCCAAGTTTTAAAATGAATACCAGTGATTTTATGAATCTTGTTTACTTTTGTTATTAAGCCTGGTTGTCGTCACCTCTGGTTGGGGTCACATGGCTTTGCTTCCATCAGAAGTCCATATAAACAAAAATAAAATAATTGTACCTCATCTAGATGACACTTTTCTCTAACTAAATAAGTAAAACATGAGATATGTTTCATTTTCTTGATGCCTTGATGATTCAAATGGCTTTTCTTTTCATATTAAAAATGCAGAAAAGTAACTCAGTTTTATTACAGTCTTCTGTATGAAGGTATTATTGCTCTCAACCAGGGGAAACATAACCTGTCATCCTGCTCAGACCATGGTGACTCTAATTGTTTACATATAGATATTATCATAAGTTTTTAAGTTCTTGGTCGTTTTAATCTTTTAAAGAAACTATTTCAACATAATATGATTATGGCTTTACAATACACTCCATAAAAATAACTTTCAAGAGATGTTTCATATGATTGAAGACTCAAATGGCCCCAAGAAATTATCCAGTTCTTTCCACCACATTCCCCTTTAGGCATCTGGTTGACAATATTGCAGGGCATCCATTTTTTTTGGAAGTGCATTGGAAGGAGACACTGCCATGCTTCTCAGAGTTTGTTTTACTCTTTTACGCCCCCAAATTTCAAGTAGTTTATTTTTTCCCTTTATTGTATCCAACTTGCATCTTTTGTGTTTCTCTTTATTATAATTCTACTTTATGCCTTGGGATATCTTTTTCTTGTTCCTAAAACATTTTAATTATTTTTTTCCTCCCATGGACTTACTTGATAATTTTAAACAATTTTTGGGAAAAAAGTTATTTGCCTTCCTTTTATTTCCTTTTCTCTCTCTCTCTTTTTTTTTTCTTTTTTTTTTTTTTTTTTTTTTTTTTTTGAGACAGAGTTTCACTCTTGTTGCCCAGGCTGGAGTGTAATGGCACAATATCGGCTCACTGCAATCTCTGCTTCCTGGGTTCAAGCAATTCTCTACCTCAGCCTCCCAAGTAACTGGGATTACAGGGGTGAGCCACCATGCCCAGCTAATTTTTGTATTTTTAGCAGAGATGGGGTTTCACTATGTTGGCCAGGCTGGCCTCAAACTCCTGACCTCAGATGATCCGCCCACCTCAGCCTCCCAAAGTGCTGGGATTACAGGCGTGAGCCACTGCACCCAGCCCCCTTACTTCGTTGTTATATTTATGACTCTTTACCTCTTTTCACAGTCTAGCAGTCTAAAATAAGCATCCTATAGAAGAACTACTTTGTTTAAAATCATTGTAGAAAAGTTAGCTACTCTTATTCCTGATATATTCCAATTATTAGAGAGAAAAACTGAATTTTTGCTCAGAACACTAGCTAAACTTGGGCCAGCTGAATGAGCAAAAACAACAAAACAAACACAGCATTTTTTTTAAGTTAGTGAGCAACAATTTTAAAATTCACCTTTTAAACGTTTTCCCTTGCTTCTTTTTTTATTCTTCTTCTATCTTTTCCTTGTTCTGAGGGAAAATAACAAGATACTTTTCATCATGTATAGAGGGGTATATTTGAAAGAGAACTCAGCACTAATTCTCTTCTAGTCCCAGTCCCAGATGAGTTAAAGTAATGTGAATGGATGGTTGAAGTATATGGAGAGTGTGTCACACACAGACCTGGTTTTGTTATTAATGGTGCATGCATTTTTGCTGTAGATGAAACAAACCATTGTGGTTGGGTTTTTCGGGAAGCTGACTCTGAGATGGATGCTAGTGTGAAGAGTGTTTATCAAGGAGTGCCTTATGATCAACAACCGAGGAGGGAAGGACAGGAAGAAGGACTGGGCGAAGAAAGAGTGAGCTGGGATGCAGGCCAATGACAGTGAGCTCTGGAGCAAGAACAGTCCTTCAGGGTTGTCCTGAGTTTGGGCAGAATTGCTCCTCAATCAGTCACTAGATTGAGGACACTCCAAAAAAGAGCCTGTCCTTGGGTGAAGTGGGCCTCTGCAGCTGAGACAATCTCCGAGGTGGCCAATAACTTCCAGATGACATCACCCCATGAATTGGTGGTAACATGTCCTTTCTTGAAAGGAATCTGGTCAGTGCAACTCCTCCCACTTACGTAGATGTCAAATGGCTATACATGTGGGTCTTAAACACCTTTTCCTAAACACATTTTTTCATTCATTTGCGCCCACTGGCCGGGCGTGGTGGCTCACGCCTGTAATCCCAGCACTTTGGGAGGCCGAGGCGGGTAAATCAACTGAGGTCAGGAGTTTGAGACCAGCCTGGCTAACATGGTGAAACCCTGTCTCTACCAAAAATACAAAAATTAGCCAGGTGTAATGGCGGGCACCTGTAGTACCAGCTACTCGGGAGTCTGAGGCAGGAGAATTGATTGAACCTGGGAGGCGGAGGTTGCCATGAGCCGAGATCATGCCACTGCACTCCAGCCTGGGCAACAAGATGGGAAACAAGAATCTGTCTCCAAAAAAAAAAAAATTGCTCCCGCTTTCTATAATGACATGAGTCCAATATTTCAAATTAGAAATGAGAAATATTACAGTGTACCATAGTGTATTGTGTTGTAGTTCATAGCTCAATTGGACCTTTGTCATCAGAACAAGTTTCAACTCAAAAAATCTCTTTAGTTTTGTGAGTGCTAAGATGTTTTTTAAAAATGTATTCAGGTAATACTTGTGCGTCTGCTGTTAATGAGATCAAGTAATAATAGGATGGTCACTGCCAGCAAGGTGTTGGGGTCTGTGGGAGAACCCACAGACAAATGATGGCAACACACGACAGGAAGCAGCAAATGTCCTGGGCGAGGGGCAGCAGAAGGTCCAAAACAGCAGCCATGACACCTGGCGCAGGAGAACAGCAGGGAGACAAAGAAGACAAATGCAGACATCAACACAATACCATCAGAGAAATATGCAGTATGTGTTTTAGGAGCAGAGGAAGTGGACATTTATCTAATTCTGGGCATAGGGTAGGCTGAGAAGTCTTGAGGAGCCAAAAAAGAATGTCCAAGAAAAGCTGAGTTGAATCTCAAAAGGGTCTAGCGCCTGAAACGGTTTCCAAAAGCAGAAACAATTGAGTGTAGTTTTGCCATTATAAGATGATCAGAGTGAGAATGGGGCTCGGACAGGGTGTGGGGACAGAGGTGGGTCAGGTGCAGTTGCTCACATGTAAGAGCCCCTATGGCTGACACAAAGGATACTCCCAGTAAGCGAAGGTCTGCATCTGCACAGAGAGGACCAGGCCTCGGAGAGTTAGCACATCCTGCTGAATCCTAAAGGTGTTGGAGCAGAGGTAAATGCTCGCAGCAATGTTTTAGAAACATTAATCTGGTTGAGGTGGGTAAGGTATATCACAGTGCAGAAAGATGAAAAAAAAAAAAAAAAGAATGACCAGTTAGGACACAATTGAAAGAGTTGTAATTAAAAAGGTGATAGTACTGTGTTTGGAAAAAGAGAAACCACACAAAAGACATGTTGAGAATTGGAGTAGACAATACATAGCAGCACACTCTCAGCAGCTGGACACAAAAAGAAATGCACAACTAGGAACGCTTTTATTATTCGAAGCTTCTTGCAACCAAAATATTTTGCTATCACTACTAAGAACAGAGAATTGAAGAAGCTTAGATTAAGGGGAAACTTGCTATGTTTGGTTTGGGATTTGAGATACTTCTGAGACATCAAGATGAAGATATTGACATACTACTGAACAAGCAGGCATGAATCTTGAGAAGGAGTTTTTGTTTGAAAATTTAGATTAGGAGTCAACAGCATTGAGCTGACAGCTGGGGCAAAGGAGGTGCTGAGACCATCAGGGAGAGAGAAGGAAGAACAAGGCCAGGTCAGGACACTGAGGAACAATGGTTCCATTAGCGTATGATTAGTAAGAGACATTCCTTTCCATCTGAATTGTTGAACTATTTATTCATGGTTTTCAATCTCATAATTCAATTTTGTAATGTGTAGTATGATTCTTCAAATGAATGTGATATCCACCCTCATTAACTTTTGCCATGGGATCTATGAACTCTCATAAACTCTTGTAGGGTACTTATCTATCTTTTAGACATTTAAAGTAAATACACATAAATGAACAGAGATGGTGACTGATAGGGTTTGGCTGTGTCTCCACCCAAATCTCATCTTGAATTTTACTCCCATAATTCCCACGTGTTGTGGGAGGGATCTGGTGGGAGATAATTGAATCATGGGGGCAGTTTCCTCATACTGTTCTCGTGGTAGTGAATAAGTCTTATGAGATCTGATGGTTTTATCAGGGATTTCCGCTTTTGCGTCTTCCTCATTCTCTTTGCCTGATGCCATCCATGTAAGGTGGGACTTGCTTCTCCTTGCTTTCTGCCATGATTGTGAGGCTCCCCCAGCCACGTGGACCTGTAAGTCCAATTAAACTCTTTCTTTTGTAAATTGCCCAGTCTTGGATATGTCTTTATCCACAGCATGAAAATGGACTAACACAGTGACAAAATTTATTATTTTAAAGAATATATTACTGGCCCATTTAATTAACTTAGAAATAATTTCAAATCATATTTACTATAAAAAAATTGTGTGATACAATTCTAATAATGGAACAAAGCTAACACTGCAATGGCCATATTAGAATCTTTATTGTGTAAAATAAAGAATAATTCTATATAGGAAAAACAATATGCATTATGAAATAATACCAGGAAATAAAATAATTCAATCCACTGTTTAAAATTACAATATAATATGAGGAAAGATTTTTATCACATCAGTAACTATAGCGGACATAATGTTCTTCTATTTTATTTCATTTAATTTTAAGTTCCAAGGTACATGTGCAGGATGTACAAGTTTGTCACATAGGTAAATGTGTGCCATGGTGGTATGCTGCACCTCTCAACCCATCACCTAGGTATTAAGCCCAGCATGCATTAGCTATTTTTCCTGATGCTTTCCCTCCCCTTACCCATGCTTTCACATGCTTTCTTCCTCTCCCTGTGTCCATGAGTTCTCATTGTTCAACTCCCGCTTATAAGTGAGAACATGCAGTGTTTGGTTTTCTGTTCCTGCATTAGTTTGTGGAAGATAATGGCTTCCAGCTCCATCCATGTCCCTGCAAAGGACATGATCTCATTCCTTTCTATGGCTGCAAAGTATTCCATGGGGTATTTTTACCACCTTTAATCTCTTGGTGCCCACTCTGAGTGAGAATTGTGAAATTTGGCCTGCATGATTTAGTTGTTAGTATGGCTGTGGTCAAAAAGTCAAAAGATAACAAGTGTTGGCAAGGCTGTGTGGAGAAAATGGAACCCCGTACAGTGTTGGTGGGGATGTAAATTAGTGTAGACATGATAGGAAACAATAGGAAGTTTCCTAAAAAAATTTATATAATCCAGTAATTCCACTACTGGGTGTATATCCAGAGGAAATGAAATCACTCTGTGAAGGGGGTACCTGTGATCCCACGTTCATGGCAGCACTATCCACGACAGCCAAGACATGGAAACAACTTAAGTGTCCATTGGTAGATGAATGGATAAAGAGAATGTCACACACACATACACACACACACACATGCACACACGAACATTATTTAGCCTTTCTTGTTTGTTTTCTCCAAGTCACAGCAGGTTCAGTGCCTTGACACTTTCTGAAACTAAGGAAGACATGGATGATTGGGTCCAGCTATTTTTTTCTGTCCATGGGGAACATGTTTTCTTAGAATGGAGAATGTGGCCAGAGAAAACTTTGGTCTGCTGTTTTTACTTATAACTCCTCCCCTAAAGGAGGTATACTTCTCATTTGAGTACACCTTAAATAATTCAAAAGATGTAAATTTATCAAAATATACTCAAAACTCCTACTTCATTCATCCACAGAAATTCAAATGTGGTATTTCAAATCTATGTCTAGAGAAAAACAGATACTTGAAACATTTTTTAAAGTTTTGTATGATTTGGGCTATTACAAATATGCCCAAGACACAGTTCTTTAAGGAAACCTTAAAGATAGATCCTAAAAGTCATCTCCACCACACTGCAAGGACAATGCCTTGTCCTTCCCTGTCCTTCCCACCCAGAAGGCAGGGCCAAAGAATTCCCCACTGGCTCACTCTTGCCTTTTTCGCCTAGGTCAATGTCAGTTAATATCAGCTCATATTGAACCCCGCGGGGAGCTTGGAGTGAGAGGCTAAGAAGGGAAACTAATGGAATCTAAGTTGATGTGACCCACGCAGCCTCTGGTTTCTTTTAGCACCCACCGGCTCCAGCAATATCCTTATCACTCCCTCATCATATGTCTCTGCATCTTGGCCTCCTGCCCTTCCTGCTAAAGCAGGTGCAGGTCACGGGACCAGCAGCCTAAGTCACGGTAAGCTAGGTGCATCTCTGGCTGCTGCTGGTTGGAAGTCACCGATCTCAGGGAAACAAACTCACATAGCAATTCAGAGTTGGCGCGAGGACCGTACCTAAATAAACAAGGCCAGATATTGACTCAAGCTCCCCAACTGGCCCTGCCAGCAGAGGGGAGAGTTGGCACAGTAGTTAGAAGTCCTCGGCCCCTAGGCTAATAAGACTATGAAGAGGAGCTTCACTCTTGTCCCTGCCATGTCGTCATTATTAAGTCCTGGAAGTGTCTGCCTGCTCCTCTTTTCTAAGTCATTCTTTTTTTTTTTTTTAATTATACTTTAAGTTTTAGGGTACATGTGCACAATGTACACGTTAGTTACACATGTATACATGTGCCATGCTGGTGTGCTGCACCCATTAACTTGTCATTTAGCATTAGGTATATCTCCTAATGCTATCCGTCCCCCCTCCCCCCACCCCACAACAGTACCCAGAATGTGATGTTCCCCTTGCTGTGTCCATGTGTTCTCATTGTTCAATTCCCATCTATGAGTGAGAACATGCGGTGTTTGGTTTTTTGTCCTTGCGACAATGATAGACTGGATTAAGAAAATGTGGCACATATACACCATGGAATACTATACAGCCATAAAAAATGATGAGTTCATGTCCTTTGTAGGGACATGGATGAAATTGGAAATCATCATTCTCAGTAAACTAAGTCATTCTTAATGACTTCAGGATTGTCTAAAGTGCAGAGTGTAAACATATGTTCATCATCACCTCTGAAAGTTTTTTTCTAAAAAACATTATTCAATCAAAATGAACAAGACATCCAGGCTCGGTGGCTCACGCCTATAATCCCAGCACTTTGGGAGGCCAAGGCAGGTGGATCACATGAGGTCAGGAGTTCGAGACCAGCCTGGCCAACATGGTGAAACCCCGTCTCTACTAAAAATACAAAAAAAATTAGCCAAGCCTAGTGGCGTGTGCCTGTAATCCCAGCTACTTGGGAGGCTGAGGCAGGAGAATCACTTGAGCCCGGGAGGTGGAGGTTGCAGTGAGGCGAGATCATGCCACTGAACTCCAGCCTAGGCAACAAGAGTGAAAACTCCGTTTAAAAAAGAAAAAGAAAGAAAAGAAAAAAAAAGAACAGGACACTATTTATCCCACTAGTTGTGGGAAATAAAAAAGATAAACTTGATAGATCTCCTGCCCTCCTGGGTCACTCTACTTAAGAAAATGGGCACGTCCATAAATCACTGTACTCACTTGAGTCATCAATGTGATAAATTCCATACAAGAGTTTTGAACAAGAGTGAGTAGAGGAACCGCTTACTTGTGTTGTATGTACATTGTGGAGAACTGTATCAGACTGGGTCAGTAATCTAAAATTTAGCTAAACGATGTTGTTAAGTAGCAGAATTGACCAGATAACCAGACTTATGGGTGAGGAGATCTTGAAGGTATACCCCGGACTAGAAACTCCCACCTGCTCACAGCCTCATCATTTCGGAGTCACGCCTTGCACTGAACTGGACAGTAAATAGCCCTGTGGCTGCGCAGAAGAGCTACTTGCTGTCTATTTCAATGCAAGCTGATAATGAACTGTGTTTCATTATCACCTCGTTACACATGAAGAGATAGAATCGCAGAGCTAAATAAACTGGATCAAGATAACACTGCTAATCACCCAGAATTGACGAGCACCCCACCCATGATTTTATCAAAGTCTTATACGCCTCTTCTCTAGGAGAAATCAAAGCATTTCCCTCCATGAAGAAGAATATACAATTAATTTTTAAGAGACAAGACAGAAATATATCAGTCTGATCTAATATTCTTGTTAAGGGTTTAGATAGAGTAAGAGTCAAAATTGACATTTGGCAGTATTCAATGGCTCTGAGCTGCCTAGGAAAAGGACCCCCGCCATTATGTAGAGTGAAATACACAAGCCTGGTAATAAATGACCTTTATCAGATATTTACGTACTTCTTGTAGAAAGGGTATGTCAAAAGCGGTGTGTGTCATATTCAGGATTTCTGCTCCTATGATATACAAGCTTTTACTGTCAGCAAGATTCAGATAATTTACCTTATTTAGGTGATATCATGAATCAGGTAATCAGTGTGTCTCAAATAGGAGGTTCAGCTTTCCCAAAATCATGAGAAGAGTTTTCTAATCACTGGAGTTACTTTGTGCCATCGATCTTATGTCTTATGAATATAAAATATAAGGCTTAAGACGCTTTAAAAATTTTATGCATTTGTATGCAGCAGACTTGCAACTCACAGCTGATGCAAGCAAGGCAACTTAAGCAGTGAAGAAAGAATTGACATGATTGACAAATAGGTCTTGTGATTTAATTTACATTAACAATGATGTAATGTGCATACTGACCTAATGTGTCCTTACATAATGTGGCAAGCAAAGCAACACATAGCAAACCTAATTTTGACATTCTTCTGGGAAAACGCTTTTCCTTATGACTAAACTTTTCTTTAATATTTATTTTAACCATTTTGGAAAGGCTTTTTTTTGGTAGATATGTTTTAAAATATTTTAAATGTATCTTTTTATTTAATATGTTAACCGTGACTTATAATTCAGAATGCTAATTAAGTATTACGATTTTGTATTAATTACAAAAATGCTGACTACTAAGGGCAATGTGCTCCCAAACAAAATGTCATCCAACTACTGTGTGTGTTGCGTTTTTGTGTCTGTTCTTTATAATTTACTTTTAGTTTCTCACCCTCCTCCTTTTGCTTGCCAATTGTGGCTTCTTACTAAGCCCTCTTCAATATGCCTGAACTCCCAGAATCTGATTTAGGCCAAGATATCAGATAACTGACAGTGTTGTAATGATTTAAAATAAGATGTTCAAAGCAAGGGATTATCCTTGGAGTGATGTGTATGAGATTTAGTGCATTAGCTTTCTGACACTGGTTTTTCAGTGCTTTGGAAGTGTACTTCTTGATTTTCAGCCCTGTTGCTTTGTACTAAAGTAATGATAAAAATATTCCTTAAATACCATACACTGATGAATTGCAAATATTTTGGAATTATAGAAAACACAGGGTTTTGGTTTTCGTTTTGGTTTTAATGCTGATTCTTCTATAGCTACCTCTTACTTCTGTTCTTGAAAATTTGTATGTGCATATATTTCCTGTATTCTATAACTCTCTTATGCTCTAAAGGGACATTCTAATACTTTACAATTATTTACAACCTACACTCTATGTTTTCCTTTTTTTTTTTTGAGACGGAGTTTCGCTCTGTCTCCCATGCTGGAGTGCAGTGACATGACCTTGGCTCACTGCAACCTCAGCCTCCCGGGTTCAAGCAATTCTCCTGCCTCAGCCTCCCTAGTAGCTGGGACTATAGGTGCACGCCACCATGCCTGGCTAATTTTTTTTTTTTATTTTTAGTAGAAACAAGGTTTTTCCATGTTGGCCAGGCTGCTCACGAACTCCTGACCTCTGGTGATTTGCCCACCTGGGCCTCCCAAAGTGTTGGGATTACAGGCGTGAGCCACCACACCCGGCCTTCTTATTAAATAGCTAGATTAAAAAATATGCTATGTCTTACCTTTCTTTCTTGATTTGGAGAAAGTAAATCCTCACGTATTCCTTCTCCCTGTTGTAACTGATAGAGAAAATTAGCCCAGTAACCTTTCAACTTACCTGTTTTTTCCTCATCTTAAAGGCTTGTGAAATAGAACAAATGCTAAGAAACTGATTCAGATACACAACTAAGTTTGAGAATTACTGTGTTAACTCATTCAGAGCTCAAGGCAGCACTCTATTTTATAAATAAGGAAACTGAGACCCTGAGAGGGGTTAAGTAACTGTAGTAAGTAGCATAGCTGAACTTAAACCAAAGTAGCCTGGCTCCAAAGTTCTTATCTTAGAAAAATTGTCTGTAATTCAGACAGTAAGCACCAAGCCAAGGTTTGTCTGAGTATGCTGACAACCAGGTTTTTGTGTCCAGGAAATCAAAGGGGAGGAAATGTAATTATTTTCTTTAATAAAGCATAGCAATTTAGTATTAATAATATTTACATATATAGTGAGCATTTATGCCACTTGGGGGCAAGAGATTTAAAGAAATACAAGCACCTTTGGTACAACATGACATTTTCTCCAGCACATTCCAACTGAGAACGTTCATACCTCAGTCTGACCCGATTCTCTCCACCAGCACTGGATAGAATCTCATCCTGAGACCTTTATCTCTTAGCATCAGATCAGCCCTTTTCAATCCCAAAGATCTAACTTTACATGGAGAATCCACAGGAGGATTGACATTGAGTATGCTTGTCGGTACCTTTGACCATTTAAAAAAATTAATTTCCCTGGTAAAACCTAACTTGAGCTACCTACTTCTTC
Organism: Homo sapiens; assembly: GCF_000001405.40. Classification (NCBI taxonomy): domain Eukaryota; kingdom Metazoa; phylum Chordata; class Mammalia; order Primates; family Hominidae; genus Homo; species Homo sapiens. The sequence continues at coordinate 40,314,274 of NC_000021.9, read as the reverse complement.
GACCTCTGGCTGTACTTGCAATTTTGAGTTCTAGCTCCCAACTGCTTTTGAAAGCAGACAGCCGTCATAGTGATAATACGAAATAAGAGAAGCGCCATGGCTGCACTTCCTTGCTGTCTGCGGCCTATGGCTATATATGGAAGCTCCACTGGCAGAGGCTGATGGGTTATGCTCATTGCTGTGTGCCCAGCACGTTCACTGCTGCCACACACATCCCAGGTGCTCAATAAACATGACTTGATTGAATGAACAAATAAATGAATGAATGGTTTTCTATTCAAATTTCTCAGCCGGATCCCTTACCTCTTCCTTAAGCTGATAGTTGAAATGGACTTACAATTGTTGAATAAACTGTAGAAATCTTTAATAACTTCATTAGGAAAAACTCGTAATATAATAATTGGTTTATATTAGATTATCACATGATTAATCATCTTAGTTTGTACTCTTAGTCATTTCCAAGCCCCTGCATACAAATAAACCTTTTTCTTTCCAAGAATGTATGCAAAAACACAAAAAAGGCTTACATTACAGGCTCTGATATTAGTTATATTGACATGATTTAAGCCCTCCGAGAATAGTTAACTAGTTCTAAGACCAAAAGGGCAAGGTAACATCTTTGAGTATCACTTTTCCCATCTGCAAAGTAAAGCAATAAATAACTAATCCGTAAGGCTGATGAAAGAGCATATTACTTTGCTCATAACTAACAAGTAACAGTTAGAGTTCAAATGTGGTTCATCTGACTCCATTTTAACTATTTCAGAATGTTAATACCCTATGACATCATCTAGGAGGGCACTGAGGAAGAGAGTTCCTAAGGCAAGGTGGACAAAACAGGCATCACTCAGCAAAGCTGAATCAGGAAAGAGCTTTCCAGGCTGAGTTTGCTTGCAGTGTCCATGGCAGGCCAGGCTGAAGGCTATAACCCGACCTCCTTAGCAATACATCAGCAAGTCAAATAACCTGCCACGGACCAGTTCACAATTAAAAGTTACACACGTAAAGTGTGCAAAACTAAGAGATGCAAAGTAAAGATGTAGTTATTCTAATATGAAATAAGAATTTATAATTAATGGTTGTTATTAGTTGGACATAACAGAGAACTTTAACAATAAAATTGGAATATTTATTTTACTTTTTTTTTTTTTTTTAGTTTTTTAGACACAGGCTGGAGTCACCCAGGCTGGAGTGCACTGGTGCCCTCGTAGCTTACTGCAGCCTCGAACTCCTGGGCTCAAGGGATCCTCCCGCCTTGGCCTCCTCAGTAGCTGGGACCAGAGGTGCACACCATCGCACCTGGCTAATTTTTTAAAAAAATGTTGTAGATATGGGGGTCCCGTTATGTTGCCCAGGCTAGTCTTGAACTCCTGGCCTCAAGTGTTCCTCCTGCCTTGGCCTCCCAAAGTGCTGGGATTACAGGTGTGAGCCACCACATCCAGCCAAAATTGGAATTTCTGCTTCTTCAGTGGGTTTAGAATATGCCTATTTACAAGGCAGGAAACAATTAGAAGGGGAACAGTAATTGTAGTGTCATAGTCGCAAAGTAGGAAAGAAACCTCCTCTTGTATACATCATTTTAAAAGGCTTTGAAGGAAAACCAAACCTAAATCCCTCTTTCACACTATTTACACTACAGATATAGTCTGAAATGTTTTCATTCAAAAATAATTTTTAAATTAAAGTTTGTTGAACAAAATTAACTTGCTGAAGTACAAATTGAACCATGGTTTTTATTTAAAATGATGAGAACATTCAAATAATAGAAGCAGAATTTCAAATTTGCTACAGTTCCTGTATTTCTATGCTGTATCTATGATCGTCTGTACTACCCTTTCAGTGCCGTATACAGGGTTAAAGGAAAAGCAAATGTAGAATAAGCACAGTTCGTTATTATCTTTCTTTTTTCTTGCAGTTCCGCCTTTCATACAACCCTTTGAGTTTCCAAGATTCTCCATTGGGCAGCGGGTCTTCATCCCCTGTGTTGTGGTCTCAGGGGACTTACCCATCACGATCACCTGGCAGAAGGATGGCCGGCCAATCCCTGGGAGCCTTGGGGTGACCATTGACAATATTGACTTCACGAGCTCCTTGAGGATTTCCAATCTCTCGCTCATGCACAATGGGAATTACACCTGCATAGCCCGGAATGAGGCCGCCGCTGTGGAGCACCAAAGCCAGTTGATTGTCAGAGGTGAGCAAAGGATCATGAGCCATGTGGCATCTGTAGAGTTGATTTAACAATGGTTTAAGATGATGGGGCTTGAAATATTTCGAAAATAACTGGAACTTAGAAATTCAGTTTTATCTCACTAAAAAAAAAAAAAAAAAAAAAAAAAAATACGACTCTAAACCCAACCATGAATTCCCCTAAACTCCAAGATAAGGTTTTATTTACCTAAAATATGTTTTAAATAATTAATAGCTAAGAAGGTGGGAACCATAGGATTTAATTCATGAAATAAGGCTTCCGTATGCTAAGCCAATGAGTTTTGAGGACTAACGTCCGTGAGCTTTTGCTTTATTGTATTCATATAATATTTTTAGTATTTCTTATTTCAATAAATGGTTTTTTAAAAAATATGTCTCAAAGCTATGTATCAAAGTTTTTCTAAAGAGCCATGAAATAGCTTTTCATAATGTTTGTTTTAGTTTTAGAAATGTGGTTTTCTTTGCCCATCTATTCTATTTAGCATTAAATCTATCATTATTTTGGGACGCCATTGCAACGTTTTAAAATTAAGCAGAGTATGGTAGTACTTATTCAAAAAAATTAAAATAGGGTAGGCTAACTTGTAGAAAACTGGCAGTAATCTCATTACATCTAAACTGTAAGCTTCAGTCTTATTTTGAACTTCTATTCAAGTCACCAAATTCCCATTAAGGCTCACACTCTTCATCTATGAAATAAGCTGCTAGTGTTCTCTAATGTATATCAAACACAGACATTCTGTGATGTTTATGATTCTCCAAGAGTACTATACATTAATCTACCATTACAATATTCATCCACATTGCAAAAGTAACTGTCTGAAGTTAAAGATTTATATTAACAATGATTATTTGCATTTTAAAATTCCCCAGATTGTGGTCCCAGAGTGGTTGTTAGGAGGGGGAGGATTTCTGTAATTTCCCAGAGAGTGGAGATAGCTCTTTCTTGAGCAGGAGATTCTCATGTCCTTCTTCATTCCTTACTCCTTGTCCCCTTGATACCTCTTCTTCCTTGCCAGCTGGGAAGAAATGCACTTTTTATCTACCTGCCAGCAAAAGGAAGTGACACAGACTTAGAAGTCATAGGAAGAAACTAACTTTGTATTTCTGAAAAAAAAAATTTCCAGGTGAATAATTTAGAAAATATATATTCAATTAGACACAAACTTAGCAGCCTCATGACATTTTTCTCATTTCCACCTTGCACTTTGGAGTGGAAGAATTGGGATACTTGATTTTTTCCCAAATTTTGAAAGATAAATAAAAAAGGGAGCCAACCTAGTATCTGTTTCCCAAGCGTTTTCTTATAAGCAGAGTTAACTCTTGGGTTTGTGAAGGGCAAAATAGTACATCAGCCTGCTTTCTATATAATCTGCTCTGAAGGATCCAGGCCAGGAATCTGAAACGTCAGATAAAAATGTACGGGGATGCTTTTTGTACAACTTGCCCTTGCAGAAAAGGCAACCAGAAGTTTTTAACCAAGGCAAAATCAGATGAGCTGAAAATGAGCCTAGCTATTTGGGATAATGTAGCTGATCATGATATGACTGATGTCTCCATGTGATTGTTCTTCAAATATGTTAAATAAGCTTTAGTTAAATTAATATTAAATCACCAGTGAGATAATGCAGCCTAGAGGAAGAAAATGTGCTTCACAAACAGGTCAGTGTGACTGGAGAAACAGGCAGGGACAAGGTGATGTGGGACTGTGGTTCTCAATCCAGACAGTTCTGTAGAATCTCCTGGGAGGCTTAAGAAAACACTGATGTGCATTTTTTGGTCCCAATCTACACCAATTAAATCATAATCTTTAGGGGTAAATCCATCTTCCAGATCTCTGGGGAATTGTTCTTTTTTCCCAAAAATCACTAGTTAGTGGTTCTCAAACTTTGTTGTACATTCAGATTGCATAGGGAGGTCTAAAAAGGTCCTGATGACCAGGATGAAGCTCCTGTCAATTAAATAACCATCTTTGGAGGTGGGACCCAGGCATCAATAATTTGTAAAATCCACAGGTTTATTCTAATATGTAGCCAAGTCTCAGTTCCAGCCCCCTGAGTAATTAGAACGTGCAGCCATTTTGAGGTGTGGATTTTCTTCTAGATTAAAGAGTTGGCACTGTTGACTTTAACCACCACAGCACTATGGCCTGATTGATCTTTTTAGTTGTCACACTAGTAGCTGTCTGAAGAATGGACTGGGCTAGAAAGCAAGAAGAGTAGTTAACAGGCTATTTCAGACATTCAGACAAGATAAAAATGCCTTGGATGAAGGTGTTAATGTTAAGGTCATGAGAAGCAGTGGAATTCACAATCTATTTTGGCGGTAAAGCAAATAAAACACGCTTATGGAGTGAATGTTGCAAATGAGATAAAGAAGAACCTTTAGTGGAATCATGCTTTGCCTAATAACAAGGTGAATGAAAGTGTCTTTAGCAGAAGCAGAGAAGAAATGAGGAAGAACGGTATTGACAAGGGGAATAATGGTCAATGATATGGGAGAAGCACCTGTCCCAGCAGTCACTAGGGCACTCCAGCATTTAAGGCCCCAGAATAAGAGAAGGAGGAATCAGCAGAAGAGACGAAGAGGGAAAAGGAGCAGCCTGTAAAGGAGGAGAAAATCCAGTGGACTGTGGCACTCTAGAAGCAAAATCAGAAATAAATCGAGAAAGAGAATATTAAACAGTATTGAATCCTGCTGAAAGTAGACAAAGAGGAAAACCAAGAGTTGGTCACTGGTTTAGGAAGATGGATATTGTTTATGACCTTGATGGATATTGTTTATGACCTGGTGTCATTGCAGCGAGGGCTTGATTAGAGGAGCTTCAGAAAAGAAAGAAGGTCAATGTGCAGGAACTCAGAAAACACAACTATTTTTATATTTTTAGGAATTTTGCTATCACAGGAGGCAGTAAAATGGAGACAAAGTTGGAAATGGACATGGGGCAAGGGCAGGAGTTATTTTTAAGACTGGATACTTTACAGCCTGCTTTATGCTTATGAGAATAAGCCAGTAGAGAGGAAAAAAATATGTGTCAAGATAAAGAGGAGATTATTACAGGATCAAAGTCCTTGAGTTAGTGAATGCAACCAGAATTCTTTGTACCAGTGCAGTAGTACGTTCAAAGTAGTATAATAACAACCATGGTGTGAAGCTCCAGTAGGTAGCACCAACAGAAATGATTGAAAATTATAGGGAAGGGGGATGTTTTGGGTCAAAGAAGTGGAAAAACAAAAATTATCTAATAGGACCATCACAGAGTAACAGGTAACACATTTATCCTCCTACTACAAACCAACTATAAAATTGGTCTAATATATATAAGAACTGCTTTCAGGAACAAAACAAAGTGCATGAAGTCAGTTCCAAATTCACCCCAGATAGCTGCTTGGGGTACTTTCTGCACATGACAGAGAGTGCAGAGCCCAAATAGATCACAGTGATCTTGGCAGGTGGAGAAAACAGAGAGAGAAATTGAAAGATACTAAGATGATTACTGGGTATTGAAGGACAAGCTACTGGAGATTAGGGAGCTATTCAAAGAAAGGTCTCTAGAAATCTGTACAGGGCTCCTTTGCAGTTTCAGCTGAATACTGTTCTTCACATGCACAGGGTGCTAGCAGAAGTTGCACATTGCTTGGGAATGCTGGAGTTCTAACTAGCCAGAATAGGGGAATTCAGCCGCAATCTCAGGAATGCCACACCCTAGGAGTAGGACTAATCTATCCCCAGCATAAGGGTTACTCTAGACCAGCCCTAAAAGAGCCTAAGAAGATTCTTGGCAAGATAAAACTTCTCCACTAGTAAGTTAATTGTGTGCATAAACAATATTTGACACTAAAAAGGAAGACAACAAAATCCAGACCCCCAACAGCATAGCGTATCCACAATGTACTGCATTCAATAAACACAGGCACACCTGATTTTATCACACTTTTCTTTTTTGTTGTTGTTGTTGTGTTTTTTTATTTTATTTTATTATTATTCTTTAAGTTTTAGGGTATATGTGCACAATGTGCAGGTTAGTTACATATGTATACATGTGCCATGCTGGTGTGCTGCACCCATCAACTCGTCATCTAGCATTAGGTATATCTCCTAATGCTATCCCTCCCCCCTCCCCTCATCCCACAACAGTCCCCAGAGTGTGATGTTCCCCTTCCTGTGTCCATGTGTTCTCATTGTTCAATTCCCACCCATGAGTAAGAATATGCAGTGTTTGGTTTTTTGTTCTTGTGATAGTTTACTGGGAATGATGATTTCCAATTTCATCCATGTCCCTACAAAGGACATGAACTCATCATTTTTTATGGCTGCATAGTATTCCATGATGTATATGTGCCACATTTTCTTAATCCAGTCTATCACTGTTGGACATTTGGGTTGGTCCCAAGTCTTTGCTATTGTGAATAGTGCCTCAATAAACATACGTGTGCATGTGTCTTTATAGCAGCATGATTTATAGTCCTTTGGGTATATACCCAGTAATGGGATGGCTGGGTCAAATGGTATTTCTAGTTCTAGATCCCTGAGGAATCGCCACACTGACTTTCACAATGGTAGAACTAGTTTACAGTCCCACCAACAGTGTAAAAGTGTTCCTATTTCTCCACATCCTCTCCAGCACCTGTTGTTTCCTGACTTTTTAACGATTGCCATTCTAACTGGTGTGAGATGGTATCTCACTGTGGTTTTGATTTGCATTTCTCTGATGGCCAGTGACGGTGAGCATTTTTTCATGTGTTTTTTGGCTGCATAAATGTCTTCTTTTGAGAAGTGTCTGTTCATGTCCTTTGCCTACTTTTTGATGGGGTTGTTTTTTTTTTCTTGTAAATTTGTTTGAGTTCATTGTAGATTCTGGATATTAGCCCTTTGTCAGATGAGTAGGTTGCGAAAATTTTCTCCCATTTTGTAGGTTGCCTGTTCACTCTGATAGTAGTTTCTTTTGCTGTGCAGAAGCTCTTTAGTTTAATTAGATCCAAAAAGAATCCAGGACCAGATGGATTCACAGCCAAATTCTACCAGAGGTACAAGGAGGAACTGGTACCATTCCTTCTGAAATTATTCCAATCAATAGAAAAAGAGGGAATCCTCCCTAACTCATTTTATGAGGCCAGCGTCATCCTGATACCAAAGCTGGGCAGAGACACAACCAAAAAAGAGAATTTTAGACCAATATCCTTGATGAACATTGATGCAAAAATCCTCAATAAAATACTGGCAAACCGAATCCAGCAGCACATCAAAAAGCTTATCCACCATGATCAAGTGGGCTTCATCCCTGGGATGCAAGGCTTGTTCAATATACGCAAATTAATAAATATAATCTAGCATATAACAGAACCAAAGACAAAAAACACATGATTATCTCAATAGATGCAGAAAAGGCCTTTGACAAAATTCAACAACCCTTCATGCTAAAAACTCTCAATAAATTAGGTATTGATGGGACGTATCTCAAAATAATAAGAGCTATCTATGACAAACCCACAGCCAATATCATACTGAATGGGCAAAAACTGGAAGCATTCCCTTTGAAAACTGGCACAAGACAGGGATGCCCTCTCTCACCACTCCTATTCAACATAGTGTTGGAAGTTCTGGCCAGGGCAATTAGGCAGGAGAAGGAAATAAAGGGTATTCAATTAGGAAAAGAGGAAGTCCAATTGTCCCTGTTTGCAGATGACATGATTGTATATCTAGAAAACCCCATCGTCTCAGCCCAAAATCTTCTTAAGCTGATAAGCAACTTCAGCAAAGTCTCAGGATACAAAATCAATGTACAAAAATCACAAGCATTCTTATATACCAATAACAGACAAACAGAGAGCCAAATTATGAGTGAACTCCCATTCACAATTGCTTCAAAGAGAATAAAATACCTAGGAATCCAACTTACAAGGGATGTGAAGGACCTCTTCAAGGAGAACTACAAACCGCTGCTCAATGAAATAAAAGAGGATACAAACAAATGGAAGAACATTCCATGCTCATGGGTAGGAAGAATCAATATTGTGAAAATGGCCATACTGCCCAAGGTAATTTATAGATTCAATGCCATCCCCATCAAGCTACCAATGACTTTCTTCACAGAATTGGAAAAAACTACTTTAAAGTTCATGTGGCACAAAAAAAGAGCCCGCGTCGCCAAGTCAATCCTAAGCCAAAAGAACAAAGCTGGAGGCATCATGCTACCTGACTTCAAACTATACTACAAGGCTACAGTAACCAAAACAGCATGGCACTGGTACCAAAACAGAGATATAGACCAATGGAACAGAACAGAGCCCTCAGAAATAACGCCACATATCTACAACTGTCTGATCTTTGACAAACCTGAGAAAAACAAGCAATGGGGAAAGGATTCCCTATTTAATAAATGGTGCTGGGAAAACTGGCTAGCCATATGTAGAAAGCTGAAACTGGATCCCTTCCTTACACCTTATACAAAAAATTAATTCAAGATGGATTAAAGACTTAAACCTTAGACCTAAAACCATAAAAACCCTAGAAGAAAACCTAGGCATTACCATTTAGGACATAGGCATGGGCAAGGATTTCATGTCTAAAACACCAAAAGCAATGGAAACAAAAGCCAGAATTGACAAATGGGATCTAATTAAACTAAAGAGCTTCTGCACTTTTCTTTTCTTCCTTTTTTTTTTTTTTTTTTTGAGACGGGATCTTGCTCTGTCACCCAGGCTGCAGTACAATGGGCCAATCTCCACTCACTGCAACCTCTACCTTCCGGGTTCACACCATTCTCCTGCCTCAGCTTCCTGAGTAGCTTGGATTACAGGCATGTGCCAACATGCCAAGCTAATTTTTTTATTTTTAGTAGAGACAAGGTTTCACCACGTTGGCCAGGCTGGTCTCGAACTCCTGGCCTCAGGTGATGCACCCCACTTGGCCTCCCAAAGTGCCGAGATTACAGGAGTGAGCCACCATGCCCGGCCACACTTTGCTTTATTGTGCTTCCCAGATATCGCATTTTTTACAAGTTGAAGGTTTGTGGCAATCCTGCATCGAGCAAGTCTATGGGGACCATTTTTTCCAACAGTGTGTGCCCACTTCGTGTCTGTATGTCACATTTTGGTAATTCTTGCAACATTTGAAACTTTATCATTATTATTATGTCTGTTATGGTGATTGGTAATCAGTAATCTCTGGTGTTACTATTATAATGTTACTATTATAATTGTTCAGTAGCCATATGAGATGGCAAACTTAATCGATAAATGTTGTGTGTGTTCTGACCACTCTACTAACCAACCATTTCCCAGTCTCCATTTCTCAGCTTCCCTATTTCCTAAGACAACAATATTGACCATTTCTCAGCTTCCCTACTTCCTAAGACATAACAATATTGAAATTAGGCCAATGAATGGCCCCACAACAGTCTCCGGTGTTTCAGTGAGAGGAGGAATCATTCATTGCACATCTCTCACTTTAAATCAAAAGCTAGAAATGATTGCATTCAGTGAGGAAGGCATTTGAAAGCCAAGAGAGGCCGGAAGCTGGGCTTCCTATGCCAAACTGTTTGCCACATTGTAAACACAAAGGAAAAGTTCTTGAGGGCAATGAAAAATGCTACTCCAGTGAACACACAAATGGTAAAGTGAAACAACCTCGTTGCTAATATGGAGAACGTTTAAATAGTATGGATAGAGAAAACCAAACCAGCCACCACATTCCCTTAAGTACAAGCTTGATACAGGGCAAGGCCCTAACTCTCTTCTATGAAGGCTGAGTGACGTGAGGAAGCTGCATAAGAAAAGTTTGACCTGGGGTCATTGTAAAGCTTAGCACATTGTTTGATAGCCTGGGTTAGTGGGAAGATTTGTAAAGACTTGATCTAAAATAAATTAGCTGTTGTCTTGAAGAAAATATAAGAAAACAAAAACAACACCCCAAAAGCAAAAATCTCTTAGCTGTTATGTATGAGCCAATAAGAGCCAAATCTCATAGCTCTTATGACAGTGGACTGATGGTTTCCCTGATATCCTGCTCAGTGGAGTGACCTTGGCATTGATTAAGGTATTAGAAATAACGCATTAGGCTTCATGAAAGAGCACTCCTGCCCTTTGCTTCCTGTTGTGGTCTCTAGACCACTCACAGGAAAGCACCAACACAACAGTTCCTATCTGTGATTCCAAAGGAGGGCCGTTTTCTCACACTTTTTTATATCTTCTGATGGGTCAATGGTTTCTGGCTTTTAATGGTGAACTGCCACATAGAGAAACAAGCACATTGGCTAAAATAGTTGACTGTCAGTTGACAGGAAAAATGAAAATCATAGAAGGTTGCTATTTTATTGCCATCTGTTGATCCAATTTTTGATAGAATTCTCATGCTATGATTTTACTTCATTCATTCATTCTTACACAAAATATTTCTTAAATATTTGTTTTATAATAGGTGCTGTTATGAGTGCCGAGGATACCATGGTGATTAAAATAAAGACACCAAGTCTCTGCCCATTAAGGTTCAAAGTCTAGTGAAGGGAAGAGATAATGAACAAACAATGTCAGTTATCTACAAGGACTATGAAAAATAAACATGTTGTACGTGGATTGAGAAAGATGGGGATGAAAATAGTATTTTAGGTAGGCTGGGCAGGGGAAGGCTTTCTGGAGAGATCTTTGAGCAGAGACTTGACTGAAGTGAAGGCGTACGTCCCAGGGAATTGTAGGAAGCGAGTTCCAAGCAGAGAGACCAACAAGTCTGAAGACTGAGTGTGGAGTGAGTTTTGTGTGTTCACAGCCCAGCAAGAGGCCCAAGGTGCCTCCTATTAAGTAAGAGAGGACAGAAAGTGTAAGGCAGAGATATAAGCAGAGGCCAGGCCATCTATTCTCAGAATGATGGGAAAGCAATAGGTTTAATTGTCAGTGTCGTAAATTAAATCTTACCTAGACTTTGGCCAAGTCCCATCTCAACTAAATGTCACCAAGTAGAGAATGGTGGTATTTATCCATGCACCCCCTCCCACCTCCACCAAATGGCTTTCATTAAAACTGAATTTCTGCCCAGGTTTACAGCTAGGGAAACCTAAATTCATTCTTTGGAAATATATAGCAACTTAGAAGCCATGGCTTCCAAACATAAAACGCTGGACTACATTTAAAACTAGAAAAATGCCTGTCTTATTATAACCATAGTATTATTTCTTTAAAAATGAAACAACAGAAGTAATCCACCCCCCACCAACACACACAAAATAAGCAGATCAAGCCAAAGACCTCTGTGTTTTAAACAACCTTCATTTTAGGCAACACCAGGAGTAAACTTCCTCAAAGAAACCTATTTGAAACTTCAGATACTCTCAGCCTATGTGGATCCCATGACAAGATTTTGGTATTTTGGAATATATATCAAATTGTTCTTTTTGGGGAGACAGGAGTGCTGGTTATGTGCACGTAATTATGATTCAGAGAAGTGTTTGGCAAGTTTAGCCATATTGCATCTTGGAGATGTGATGTAATTATGTAGTTGAACCTATTCATCTCTTTAATTACTCTTCCTCCCTACCAGAAAAACCGCTCTGTATTAGTCCATTTTTATGCTGCTGATAAAGACATACCCAAGACTGGCTAATTTATAAAGAAAAAGAGGATTAATGGACTCACAGTTCCACAGGTGGCTGGGAGGTGAAAGGCATGTCTTACATGGTGGCAGGCAAGAGAGAGCTTGTGCAGGGGAAATCCCCTTTATAAAATCATCAGATCTCATGAGACTCATTCACTATCACGAGAACAGCATGGGAAAGATCCGCCCCCCGTGGTTAAATTACTTCCCACTGGATCCCTCCCACAATAGGTGGGAATTGTGGGAGCTACAATTCAAGATGAGATTTGGGTGGGGACACTACCAAACCATATCATGATCTATTGGAAAACAAACTATATTGGCAAGCCGGCTCACCACAATATACTAAATAATGTGTTATACTAATAAAAGGAAATCTAAATATCATCTTTAAAAAAGGAAACCAACAACCTTGGGGAATTATACACCCAGACAATATAGAGTACTGGTGGTCTTTTTGTTCTGTCATAAGTTTTGGCCCAAACGGCAACAGTCCCAAAGGCTTCACATCCTTCCATCTCAGGCTCTGTATCTTCTTGGCCAGAGTCCTCCTATGAGGCTGTCTTCTGCTGTCCCTCAGATGGCACTTCCATTGGGTCCACTCTTCTCAAAGACCTCAGGCTTTGGGGGTCACCCTGATCTGCGTTATTAACTTAGCCATGCTCCGTTTCCCTAGTCTATAAAACTGAAGTAATAACATTCATTGATTCATGTGTCCTTTCAACGCATAGTTGCAGAGTGCTTTCTGTACTGCAGATCTGTGCTGTGCGCTGGGCATGCCATGGCCTGTGAGAAAGGAATGGTTCTTGTTCTCATAGCATGCACAGCCTGGTATGGGACACAGACTGTTAAACAGCAATACCAGATGAGCGTAATAAAGGCTATGGTAAGTAATTAAGGCCTCAGAGAAGCACTTAATCTTATCCACAGCATCAGAAACAAATGTGCCTGACTGAGTGAGTGCTAAGCTAAGATGCAAATGGTGAATGGGAACTTATTAAACAGACATGAAGAAGCCTGTGTGAAGACCCAGCAGCAAGAATGGTCTTGGGGACTGGATAATAGATGGGGTTTTAGAATAGTTGGGGCAAAGCCTGCAAGAGGAGAATGTCACAGAATGCAACTGGAGACCAAGGGCTCAAGTCATAAAAATCCTTTAAAATATCCCAAGAGTCTGGATTATACCAAAGGGCCATGGGAATATGCGATGCTTTTAAGCAAGGAAGTCACATCATCCAATTTGTGTCTTAGATCCTTTAGGTCCCTGAGTGAAGAATGAATTCAAGTGGGACAGTTCGTGGCAGGTAGACCAGTTAGGGGGCTGAGAAATCTAAATAAGAGGCAATATGGGCCTTGTCCTAGGTTGGGTTCCCTTGAAAGTAGAGTGTGAGGCACAGAATTGGCTGGCAGGTTATTTATTTGGGATGTCATTCCTGGATCCCAGAATGGAAAGAATGAGATTAGAAAGGGAGAAAAGAAAATCAGTAAAAGTTGCTTTAATGAGCTGGTTGCTGCTATGGGCAACTGGAGCTCATTCCTACTGGGAGCCTTCTAAGGAATCACGTAGAACAGTGGTTCTTGAAGTGTGGTCTCTGTACCAGCAGCCTCAGCATCACCTGGGAGCTCATTAGAAAGGCAAAATATTGGATTCCACCCCAGATGTACTGAGTCAGAATCACTGGAGACAAGGTTTAGCAATGTGTGGTTTAATCAGCTCTTCAGGTGATTCTGATGCCCTCTAATGTTTGAGAAGCGCAGGCACAGAGCAGGCCTCATAATTGCCCCACTGGATCGGAGGAAACTGAGGCAGAGGCAGAGAATTTATACCCTGACTCCTGTCCCTCAGTGATGGACAATTGTTTTTCACATGTCAAGGTTGCACCAGTAAGGTGGGTAAAGGCTCATGACTTCTGAGAAGGCCTGAGACAGCAAAGAGAGGGCCGCATCCCCTTAGTGCAGTGTCCTGGCAAAGTGTGTGGAGGTGGAGCTGTCCTCCCAGAGGTGCTGAAGCCGGGTGGACAGAGGGGCTGTGCCCCTTTCCCACATAACCAGACTACTCACTGTGACTGGGGTGTGGCAGTGGAGATGCAGAGAATTTGAGGATACATTTTCAAGAAATAATCATCAGCACCTGATAAAAAGAAATGAAAGAAGAGGATATGAAAGGAAATTCCATTTTTCTTTTTTGAGGACCTTAATGGATGGTGAACAGGAACAGGTACCATTTTGGAAACTTGAATTAGAGGTACCTGTGATATAAGCTAATGATGGAAGGATATGGTGCTCTACACACCAAGGGAAGATAAAGGCAATCATCGTGATGGGAGTGGGTGAAATAGCTCAGGAGGTTTGTTGAGTAAGATGTGGAGAAGATTGAAGACAACACCCTGAGAAGAAGGAGAGGGCCACAGTGGGGGATCCTCTCTTTAATAAGCAAGCAAAGTAAGAATTGTCTTGAGGGCAATTCTGGGAGGGGTCAAAGGATGGAACTAGGAGTACGTGAAACCCACTGAGTACTCAGGAAATGCTCACTTTCATTACTAAGTGACTCCTTGTGGGGGCTCCTGATTCTTTTAGGACAATTTCTTAGGCTGCCATTTTGTAGAAAAAAAGTATCTAGGTCGAATATTAATAGTTTCTTTAAAAAATATCTGCACTTTTTAAAAAATAAACTGCTGCTTACTTTAAAAAATTGGGAACTTTGTTGTCCCTAGGGATAATGGTCATTCTCATATGCTTAGAGCATATGAGAATGATGTCATTAGTTACATGTTAAACACTGGGTCCTCATTCAGACACTCCCCTGCCCTGGAATTTTAATCTTAGCTGGTGATGCAGCTGTCTCAAAGTGATGACAACCCCCAGGGGACCATATGCCTGTTGTCTTCACATTAGGCTCTGGGCAGGCAAAGAAATTTGTTTAGAAACTTATTACTACTTTTCCCAGGAATCCATCACCTCTAATTTTGCCAGGCAGAACTCAACCCAAGCATATTCTTAAGGTGTCAGATCTGAGGGGTGTGGCCTCAGGTCTTCTTGATGTAAGTACATGGATGTTCCCAGTCTTAGAGTTCTTATTGTAACTCACAAGTTCACTTTCATGAAAGGGACCTACGTATTCACTGGTACACGATAATAAATCACTTAGGGATTGAATATTTACATTCATGACAGTCTTCTGTCAAAATTTAAAGGAAATGTATATGATTTGGCTTATTCATGCACTTAGTAAAATATAGCATTTTCCTCAAGGTGGTCTCAAGTTGCATGGTATATCAGCCAAAGACCAAACATCTGAGCTATTAATTATTCTCTTTGCTATAAAAATTAAGAAGCTCACTTACTGCAGAAGCTTCTTTCTTAGGTCTTCATGTGACTGTAAATCACTGGGGTATCTGAAGAGAGAATTCCAATCTATGAGCAAAGAGGTGTACGTGGGAAATCCCCTGGCTACTCCTACCAGGGTCAGAAACAGTTTTCAATGATACGGGGTAATTATTCTACTAATTTAGGGACCGTTTTTATCTGTAACTACCTTATACTTACCGTATTTCTATGGTTGTTTCTCATATACACTTCTTTGATGAGATTTTAAGGAACATTTCGTTGGATTAGAACCAAATTGAGGGGAGGAGTAATGGATCAATTATGATTAGACATGCTTCCAGAGGGAATGCAAGAGATTTTCTACCCTGTCCATTGATGAGCAATTTCTTGCTCTTGGCAGAACTTGAGCCAAATGGAGCACAGAATGTGGATGGCTGCAGATTTTCCTTCCACCCTGCAGAGAATAATTTTGGCATGGTGTCTTCAACTTTGTCACCTGCTCTTGAGTTGATTGGTCACTTTTACTAGAAAACTTAGCTCTAAATAATCTCTACCATATTTCTTAGAGATAATTTCCTCACTCAGAGATAGTCATTCCTTATTATCTTATTTTAAATATATTTTCATTTTCTTAAATACATTTTGTCTCCGAATACCATCTACATGAAGTAACATTGCTTATCACTTAAGCAATATCTCAGAAACCCATTGGCTGTGTAAATTATTTATTTCATTTGCAAGTTGGGAACTTTGCTCATCAAGAATATGTCAGGCCGTGCGCAGTGGCTCACGCCTGTAATCCCAGCACTTTGGGAGGCTGAGGCTGGTGGATCACGAGATCAGGAGTTCAAGACCAGCCTGGCCAAGATGGTAAAACCCCATCTCTATTAAAAATACAAAAAAATTACCTGGGCGTGATGGCAGGCACCTGTAATCCCAGCTACTCAGGAGGCTGAGGCAGAGAATTGCTTGAACCTGGGAGGTGGAAGTTGCAGTGAGCAGAGAACATGCCACTGCACTCCACCTAGGCAACAGAGTAAGACTCCATCTCAAAAAAAAAAAAAAAAGTAAAAGCTAAACATACCTGCATTTACTAAATTAATCAACACTCTTACAGCAGTTAATATCTCCACAGTTCTGAGAACTTTTCTAATCTTAATTTATTTGATCATCTTAACAATCCTTAAAATGAGTTCCATAATCATCTCCAATTTTCAGATAAGTAAATTGAGACCAAGAGCCATTTTACAGTTTGCACAAAATTGCCCAACAGGAAATAGAAAAGCTGGACACCAAGCCAATGTGTTTAACACTTGGCTTTATGCTGGTAGTCATTATTTTCTGGTGCTTCTTCATGTGTAAATCATTCTACAGAAAGTAAAGCTAGAAAATTAAAAGCAATATTTTCTCCAGAAACACTGCGGTGAATTCCATCTCTGGCTGCTTCTTGTGTCTTGACATTTTCCCTTCCTCCTTTGTTATTTTATGGCCAAAGCGATCGTCACGTTGGCTCAGATCATTGTAACAAGCTTCTAAGCCCCTTGCTAACTTAGGCCCTAACCATCTTCTCAGTCTATCATATGTGGCAGCTGAGTTCCTATCTACCTGTAACACATAGGCTCACATTTATGTCTCAAAATTAAGAATTCTGTATCTTGCAAGGCTGATGAGATTAGCCTTACCAGGAATTTCTAAGTATCTACTATATGGTGTAGATAATTCATCTCTTCTCACATAGTTTATGACTGCCTCACTGAAAGTCTACCCTGTAATGAATCGCTGATCTGCTGGGAAAGATACGGGGATTAGAATACTTTCAGATGCTACCTTTTCTAAGAGATGTGATACATATTAAAATCCTAATGGCTTATCTCAAAAAATATGCTTTCTTTGGGGAGATATGTTTTAAGTGAAATCATGTTTATGTTTTAGGTAGGGATGGTTCTTTACAGCACCTCACAACATTCACCAGATAAGCAGTCACTTAATATCTTGTTTTTTATAGGCACACTAGAAAACCTTTATGGTACTTCACTGCAACTACTCTCCACAGTCCCCCTTTGGCCCACCGTGGTGCTGACATCTGGCATAACGGACTATGTGTTCTCACCAGAATTTTGGGAAAAGTTCAGTCCCACATTGTATTCTCGATTGCCTTTACGAGGTGCCTGTTATTTCTCACTTTATCTCCTGGTAGAGGAAAAATCAACATCGAATACTTTGACCAGTTCACATCCAAGATGAATACTTATATTTGATAATTACTATTTGAGGCACAAATATATATTTGATCTACTTTTTTTTTTTTTTTTTTTTTTTTGAGATGGAGTTTGACTCTTGTTGCCCAGGCTGGAGTGCAATGGCATTATCTCAGCTCACTGCAACCTCCGCTTCCCGGGTCCAAGCAATTCTCCAGCCTCCGCCTCCTGAGTAGCTAGGATTACAGGCATGCGCCACCACACCCAGCTAATTTTGTATTTTTAGTAGAGATGGGGTTTCTCCGTGTTGGTCAGACTGGTCTCAAACTCCAGGCCTCAGGTGATCTGCTTGCCTCGGACTCCCAAAGTGTTGGGATTACAGGCATGAGCCACCGCGCCCAGCCTGATCTGTTCTTTAAATGGTGATTCTGATTCAATTTTCCATTGAGGGAATTTCTGTATATTTTTGATAACACAATTAAAAGCAAAATATTCCATCCCTTTGATTTAGTCAAACTTCCTCCCTCGAGGCCAGTTTTCCCTAGTTCAAAGGGCTTTTACCTGTGACAAAAGCTCATTGATATGAATCAGAAAATTTTTCAGCACTGAAATTACTCCCTTAATTTGTCCCAAACTGCCAATAGTGTTTTTATTGTCCCATGTGTATGAAACAGTCTTCATATTTTAATATTCATTAAAATGATTCAGTTTCTTAGAATCATACCTTTACTCAGTTTCTGGTCTAGTCTTAATTACTGGTGACATTTCTCTCTTTTCAGTTCCTCCCAAGTTTGTGGTTCAGCCACGGGACCAGGACGGGATTTATGGCAAAGCAGTCATCCTCAATTGTTCTGCTGAGGGTTACCCTGTACCTACCATCGTGTGGAAATTCTCTAAAGGTATGGAGTTACTTGATCTACTTGTTACCTGTCAAACATTTGCTATGTTCTAAAGGATTAGATAAGCATTTCTAGATTTCCAGAGAAGTTTCTTGCAAGTAGATACGTATCTCTGTTTCCACCAAGCCTATCATTCTCTCATAGACATTCCTAGTTGTCCACCTAGGTGTTTTTATTCAGACACACAACGTGTCTGTTGTACATAACATGCCCTTGGAAAGGCCACAGAGGGATGGAAGTCTTTTGTGTAGATTGTTTCAGCACTTAGGAAGTCCTACCTTGCCCACCTGTATTACATAACCATGGTCTGCTTAGAGATCACTGCACACTCGTACATGAAGAGATGTGAGTTTAAATTGTCAGAACTACTCATAGCTGGAAAACTATTTCCCCAGTATTTAGAGAGATGAGTGGGTTTAGAAAGTTAAAGATAATATCATTGATTGTTTTATTCCCCTTATTACCTTAGAATATACAGATTACACGTCATCTCCTTGGCGTGCTCTTTTTAAAAACAAACACGCCCAATGTCCTATTGCGATTGTCTCATGTTCCCTGCTTGCACCCCTAATCATGTTTCCTCTTCTAATGCAGAACAGTAGCTCCTGGGTTTTAGGTGACATTGTAGATATTATGCAAGTAGAAATGTATGACATGGAAACGAAGAGTGGAATCATGTTAGACTTTGGAAAAACAATTTCTGTTCATTAGGGTGGCTTCTTCAGAACGCCTCCTTAACGGTACTTGCAAACATATTGGAAGTTCTCTTTCTTTTCTCATTTAGACACTTGAATTCAGTACTATATTAGTTGAGGGCCAGATATGTACTGGTGAGATCAAATAATCAGTCAATCATGACCTTTTTTTTTTTCCAATAACCTAAGACCTAGTATCTAGGTTTAATTATTGTGAGGTATTTGTATTTGTGTTGACTTAATCATCATTTATACTCTAGATCTTTCTTTTTTAAAATAGCATGTTGCATTTTCTCATTATGGAAGCAACAATGACCAAAGGAAAAATAAATGGTACATTTGTTGCAACCCTCCTGGCATCTCTCTTTTGAGAAGGAAGGTAAAGAAGTGGGGAAGGTTGCTAGACACTGTCTGATTGGGAAAATAGCTAAATTTTTAAAAGTCCCTGAAGCAACTCCCCTGTCACACACCACACACCACATCCACTGTCCATGTGCAAAGGACTTCTTCAAAAATAAAATCCTGTTATTCAGAGTCTCTGCCCCCATGACTTTTTATTTCCTGCCGTATTTGAAGCTCCATTGTGCATTATTACATGGAAACAGATAAACATCATAAATTTAATTTAGTTTCTATGGAAGTGCATATTTGATATTATGGACATTTTCCATGACATTTGCCTTCTTCAACATTATTTTTAATGCCTGTCGTTATGCAGGTGTTCTCTCTCTCCCTGAGGGTGTTTACAGTTTTCACTCTCATAAACACTCCAGCAAATGAACACTCCTGTATGTTAATTCAATGCGCATATGTGTAAGTGAAGTGAAAAGGCACCAGCCATATACAAGGCTCTTACTCTGTACTGCCCAAGGGCACTTAGGCCACCAACAGTATGGGTGGGTAAATGTGGCCCAGCATCCTCACCAACTAGATAACATTTTTTTTAAATAGTCTTTACAACCTGATGGTTGAAAATGCCCTCTCATTTTAATTTGCATACTTAGATTGTTAATGTTGTTTAACATGTTTTATCTTATGTTAACAGACCACTTCTACTTCTCCTTTGGGAAATTTCTTATTCATGTTACTTGCACGCTTATCTCTATGTCTTATTTATTTGGAAGTGTTTCTACATAGATTAAATAATACTTTGTCTGTCTTGGATGTTACTGACATTTTATCCCTTCTTACCACTAACTTAAAAATTAGGTTGTAATAGTAGCTTTTTTGTCTTTAAATTTCATATCCAATATCAAGTCATCAAAGAAAAAAATTAGAAATTGCAATTTTTTAAAAAGTTAAATTCCCCCCAATAACATCACTCAAAGATGATCAAAGATAACTGCTGCAAACATTTTTTGTCTCTAGACTGTCAGTCCTGTCCCCAAGCAATTGCATACCCATAGATACACATTATACATTTTTAAAAGTTTGATGATTGTTGCTGGCTTATAATCTTTCTTCAGTCAACAATATACTATGTATGTCTTGCCATAACAACAAATATGGTGCTTAATATGACTTTTTTTTTTCTGGAGACAGAGTCTTGCTCTGTCGCCCAGGCTGGAGTGCAGTGGTGCGATCTCAGCTCACTGCAACCTCCGCCTCCTGGGTTCAAGCAATTCTTCTGCCTCAGCCTCCCAAGTAGTAGCTGGGATTACAGGTGTACACCACCAAGCCTGGCTAATTTTTTTGTATTTTTAGTAGAGATGAGGTTTCACCATGTTGGCCAGGCTGGCCTTGAACTCCGTGACTTTTTAATGTCTGTGTAATGTTTATTGTAGTACATCAATAATTACGTTTATCTAATTACTTTAGTTAAGATTGAGTTCAGCCACTTAAATTCACAAGGGTTTATTTTTCTCATAAGAGGACTCTGGATGTCGACAGCTCAGGACTAGTTTGTTGGCTTGGCTAAGTCATCAGGCACCCAAACTCCTTATGTGTTAGGAAGAGTTCTGCCTCTCCTAGCAGCATTCTTCATCCTCAAACGATGGCCACCAAGCTATAGTGTCAACTTCCTTTCACATTTCCCTGTAGGAGGAAGAGCAAAGGGAGATGGCTGCCCCTCCCACACGACTCACCTCCCTTTAAGGTCCTTTCCAGAAGTGCATCACAGATCAATTTTGCCAGCATCTCTCTGGATCGCTGGCCGGGTCGCCCCTGGCTATAAAGGGTCCGTAAGCCATCATGGACATAATGTGTGTTATTTTCCTAAGTCAGAGGGGGTGTTGGATACCTGGCAACTGGATATCTCCAACACTATTGTTGAATGTCATATTTTTGGTTTTTGCCAGTTTTTCTTTTAGAAAAATATCGTAATGGGCCAAGTGCAGTGGCTCACACCTGTAATCCCAGCACTTTGGGAGGCCAAGGCAGGCGGATCATGAGGTCAGGAGATCAAGACCATCCTGGCTAACACGGTGAAACCCCGTCTCTACTAAAAATGCAAAAAAATTAGCCACGCGTGGTGGCGGCCACCTGTAGTCCCAGCTACTCAGGAGGCTAAGAATGGCATGAACCCGGGAGGCGGAGCTTACAGTGAGCTGAGATCACGCCACTGCACTCCAGCCTGTGCAACAGAGCGAGACTCCATCTCAAAAAAAAAAGGAAAAGAAAGATATCATAATGACTTCTAATGACTTCTGTCACATTTATCTTTGTATATGTGTTCATTTATCCCTGGGGATAAATTTCTATAAGTAGAGTTGCTGGCTCAAGGAGTAAATAATTTTTATAACTTTCAATATGTATTGACAATTTGCCAGCATTTTATTCATTTACACAACTCACCTCAGTTTGCAGTAGTGTCTGTCTCTTATAACCAAAATAATACTGGATATTAGGCTTTTTTTTTTTGACATTTTCCAATCTGATAGAGAAATATGGTATATTGTTATTTTAATTATGCAAGCAGTAAATCTATTTCTTAAGAACAATTTAGCCTTGCTTATGGAACATGTTTTCTTTCAATGAAATGATCACTAAGAGCTGAAGTGCAGCTCCCTCATAAATGACAAAACTGTATAAACAAAACAGATTCAGCTTGTTTCCTTGAGAGATGCAACAGTTTAATTCAGGGGAGGCAGAATTCCAGGGTAAATCACTGCAGTTTAAAGGTAGCTATTGTAGAAATGAAACAATCTTTGCTACAAAAAAAAAAAAAAAAAAAAAGTCATTACATTTTTGACCTTGGGTCTAGATACACAAAGTCTGAGACATTCAGTTCTCTTTTTTGATTTATTTATTTACATGAACAAATGAGGCCTCTTGCCTAAAAGAGATTTAAAAAAAAAAAATCAGGGCTTCATTCTGAGGTGGGTCTCACCTGTACTCCCAGAAGTCCACAGCTTAATGCCATTCTCTTGCATGTATGTCACTTATACTGGAGGGAAAATAGTTCAGGGCCATCTCCTTGTTACCTGCTGAGAAGCGAAGAGGGACTGCAAATGCGAGAGAATAGATGATGCATCAGCCTGGGGCCTGGCCTGGGCCTCCTTTGCTCTCTCTGGCTGTCCATAGAGTCTCTGACCTTCAGGGAAACTTGGTTGTGGGAATGTCCAAAAAGAAGAGTCAGAGCATGCCTGGGGGGTGACGCTGGAGGACAATGGGGAGTAGTTTGCATTTAAAATAGCATTGTCAAAATACCCCAGGAGTAGGGAAAGTCTGAGGAAAGACTTAAAGACAGATGAGTCCTGTGCTCCTGTCCTCCGAGGGAGACCGGAAGGTGAGGGGCCAGCTAGTTCCCAAGAGTTGGGGGTAGGGGGCGAGGCCGGGAGGTTGATGCCTGGAATGATCCAGAAACACCAAGGAGGACATTACAGCTGTGGCAGAGTTAGTGAAAGGAAGTCCTGGGAGAGGAGACTCCTGCACTGGGTCCCCATCAGTCATTGTAAGGACCTGGCTCTGCCCAAGTGGGGAGTGGGTATGGTGAGCAATGAGAGTGGTGATGGTGATGCGGTCTCTTCAGCTGCTGCTGTGCTGAAGCCAGAAGCTAGGAGGCTAGCTGGGTAATTGGAGAGAGATGGTGTGATCTGCCTCATGCTTTAAAAGGATCACACTGGCATGCTGTTTTGAAAGCAGACTGTGTGAAGGACAGGAATTTCAGCCGGAGAGCTGTTCTAAGGCCTTGGCCGGGATGTGGCCGGAACCAGGGTGACTGCAGTGGAGGAGGGACAAATGGATTCTGAATGTCTTTGAGTGATGGACATACTATGGGTGTGACAAAAGGGGAGAACCCCAGGCAGTGAGGATAGTGGAAGTGCCGGTGACAGACAGGACGACTCCAGGAGGGCAGACCTGTGGCTGGGGTAAGATCAGGGTTTTGGGCTCCTCTCTATGCAGATACAGCTGTCAATTTCCAATATAAGCAATGATAAATTTTCTAAATATCCTAGATTTTGATGAATATTTTCTGCATTGTCAGAGCTTAGACCCTCTATGTTCTGTTCTGCAGCCATATGCCCAACTTTTGCAATTGCCAGTTCTGTGTTAGATTGATTTTGTGCTCAGTATGAGTTATTTGGACATAGTGAAGAATATTCCAACCTCTTTCTGGTTTGCAATGGTTTGTTCCTTGCCTTTTTACACCCAAAGGACAGATATTGGCGGCTCACACTGTCTCCTTGGAGGGAGCACAGACTGCCTGATTTCCCTGTAGAAGGAACTTAATCTTTTTGGTTCTGTGCACCAAAGAGCTGACTTTGAAGTCTGGTAGTTTATTTTCTTTTTTTATTTTTGTGATGGAGTCTCGCTCTGTTGCCCAGGCTGGAGTGCAGTGGCACGATCTTGGCTCGCTGCAACCTCCACCTCCCGGGTTCAAGAGATTCTTCTGCCTCAGCCTCCCAAGCAGCTGGGACTATAGCCATGCACTACCATGCCCAGCTAATTTTTGTATTTTGGGTAGAGATGGGGTTTCACCATATTGGCCAGGCTGGTCTTGAACTCCTGACCTCGTGATCCACCCAACTCGGTCTCCCAAAGTGCTGGGATTACAGACGTGAGCCACCGCACCTGCCCTGAAGTCTGGTAAATTTTTAGTCTATAATTTGGTGTTTTCCATTTGGGGTCAATTTTCCCATAGATGTGGTGCATCTATTTAATATGTAGATTCAGGTTATTTTAAAAAATATTTTTCCCATGAATTGTATCTCTAAGTGTTCTCTTCCCTGCTTTAATTTTCTTCTTCAGGGTCTCTGATTGTGGTTCCATAGGATTGCCACCTAGTCTCTGTAGCTGTCATTTTCTCTCTGGTTTTTTAACTCATTGATTTCCATTTTAATTTGTTCGATATTTTTCCATTTCTGTTCTCCATGTCTTTTCCCCAGCAAGGTCTGTTCTTCTTTGTGCCAACTCCGGTTCTGCCTTCACTGCTGTGAGTTTATATTTTTTCTCCTTCTTTCTCTCCAGCTCTGCCAGCTCACAGTTCACCCTTCTTCAGCCATGGCTTTATAGACAAGTGACTGTTTTATTCACAGTCTTCATCTAAGTCGTAATACCTGGTTTCTTGTTCTGTTTTTTTCTTCTATTTTGCTTATTGTATCTTTGCTAGGTCTTGGTTTCCTTTCGAATACAGCAGCCCCAAGACCCCCAGGGGATGACTGAACCTTGGGGAGCACCAAACCCTACATATACTATGCGCTTTCCTACACATGCATACCCCTGATAAAGTTTAATTTATAAATCAGGCACAGTAAGAGATTGACAAAAATTATGAGTACTAGAATAAAATTATTATTACAATGTACTGTAATAAAAGCTATGTGAATGTGCTGTCTCTGTCTCTCTCAACATATCTTATGTGTCTATACTCCCCTATTTTAAGACTGTAATTGACCTCAGGTAGCTTAAACCATGGAAAGTGAAAATGTGGATGAGGGGGAACTACTGTACTTACATTTGAAGAAAATCCATGTCCCCAGAAAAAGATTGTTGTGTACAAATGCCTGATTCCTCAGCTAACCCTACTTCTAAAATTCTAAGCCACATCAGGCCTGGGGAAGTGCCACCCACACCCACCTATGCACACTGTTTTCACTGATGGAGGCTTGGCTCTCACCTGTGACCCACTCTGCTGGGACTTCTGAAGTTCACAGCGGTGGCCCTGATTCCCTCATCTTCCTGCATGCTCTTCTGCTCAATTACCCTGTTGGTTGCCCATTTACCCATTCTGTAGCTGGAAGTTTAGCTATTTTCTAATTTCATAGGAAATAGAGGTTACATTTTTCTAGGCTTCTCTCTCCCATTTGCTTTCATGTTGTTCCCAGGAAGAGAAGAAGTGCTGGTTTATGCCTCCATCTTCAAATATGAAATTCTATTGTTTATATACAAAGGGTCATTAAATTTGGACTTGATTTTAGTAAAATAAATAAAGTAGGAATCTAGGAGGAGGAGTAGAAATCATCAGTTAGGAGACTGGGCTATAAGTTCAAACCCCAGCCATAATACAACCCTGTCTGGTTGGGTGACTGCATGTAAATTACCTACCCCATATGAACCACAGCATCCTTGCAGCTGAAACAGATAAAATAAGGGGATAAATGTGATGATTTAGTAAGATGACTCATAGAAAGCATTTATTATGGCTTCTGGCACATAGCCATTAGTCAGTATGTATTAGCTATTATTAATATCATTATTGCCATTATCATGAACTTACATGGTTAGCCATTTGTCCTAAAACCATTTATTGAAGAGCCCAAACTTTTTCATTTGCGATACCTTATTGTCTAAGGGGAAAATGTGAATACTGGAGTCTGTGTTTCAGCCTTCTCTCTGTTACACTCAATTGCCTGTTCAGCACCATACGTATTAGAAGTTTATCTCCTTCTATTTTAATGTCTGTTTTGACAATACTCCCCTTGTGACTTTTATTTTTCAAAAATGTCCTTGCTTTTTCTGCATGGATTTTTGTTTGTTTGTTCCTTCTAGATGCATATTAAGATAACTTTATCAAGTTTCCAAAAAATCTGGAAAATTTGGAGGATCATAAATTTAAAGCTTAACGTGAAGAATGCTGATGTCATTAGAATATTGAGTCTTCCCAGCCAATACCATGGATAGTCCTTTCATGTATCCAAGTTTTTCTTTTATGAACATTAATAATTTTATTGCATTCTTTCCATTTGTCAGTGGTAGTGAATTTTTATAAGCTACGGCATCTGGTTTTCTTTTGTCCTCCTTGGTTTTCTGGGCGGAAAGGGGTCAAGAGCTGTCTACAGCCAATCTTTGTTGAGCTTGTCCTTATGTAGCTGTCCACATCTCTTTCTTCTCCCAGCAAGGGTAATGCTGTTCTTAATTTAGAGGAGTTTCTATTTTCCCCACTCTGTAGCTCATACTAAGGGCTGCAATGGTGTGTGACTCTATTTCTTCCTGTCTCTCTTGAGATTGTATTTCTCCCTGCCCCTTTTCCTGTGTCCTTTCTGCTCATTGTAGTTTCCCCAATTCCATATTTCCCTGGAGGCTCCAGAGAATCCACCATTATTTGGTGCACACACAGGTTTGCTTTAGCTCCTCCTTCTCCTACTGCACCCAGACAAGCTGCTGGAGGCTGTCACTTCTGCACTCACCACGCACAGTCCCCCAGAGGGCCTGGCTGTCCCTTACCACTAGGGCCCTAAAAGCACCCTCTTCTGCTCAGTGTCAGCCCACCTGGAGAAATCCTCCCCTGTGGTTATAGACTCATCACAGGGGGCAACAGGAACTTGATTCTTTTGTTGAGAGATTCATAGAAATAAAACTAGGCACTCCAGACAGTTAACTAAACGTTTCCATGCAAGATGGAGGGGAAAACACATGCTGTGCTCAATACTGGCCAAACTGCTCAGGTGACCCTCTCTGGAGTCCCCTCCTACTTTAGGGGCATGCCCTGGAAAGGCTCACCTTGATCCTGCCCACAACTTCCCTCCCAATGTCCAGGGGACATCCCTGGAACCTTCTGTAGTCCTCATGGCCTATGTCTCAGAAGACCATGAGAAATATGAGGGAAAGGACAAGCCTAAGTCCCTCAAGCAGGTTAATTCTAGAGCAGATTTTCTGCCAACACCAGTTTCAGACCTCTCTGGTGAGATGACCAAGTCAGTCCCTTCCTCAGCAGTCAAGAGAGGGCTCACACTGCAGATCACCTGTTAATCACACTGTGATCACACTGCACATCATACTGCAGATCACACTGCAGAAGACCCTGCAGATCACACTGTGGATCACACTGTGGATCATGCTGCAGATCATGCTGCAGACCACCTTGAGATCACACTGTGGATCATACCGTGGATGACATTGCAGATCACCTGCAGATCACACTGCAGATCACACTGTGATCACACTGCAGATCACACCGCAGATACCTGCAGATCATACTGCAGATCACACTGTGGATCACACTGCAATCACACTGCAGATCACACCATGGATCACACTGCAGATCACAACGTGGATCATACTGCAGATCATGCTTCAGATCCACCTGTGGATCACACTGCAGATCACACCTTGGATCACACTGCAGATACCTGCAGATCATACTGCAGATCACACCATGGATCACACTGCAGATACCTGCAGATCATACTGCAGATCACGCTTCAGATCCACCTGTGGATCACACTGCAGATCACACCATGGATCACACTGTGGATCACACTGCAGATGACACTGCAGATCACACTGAGGATCACCTGTGGATCACACTGCTGAACACACTGCAGGTTGTACATTCAAAAGATAAGTCTGGAAAGAAGCAAATTATCAAGAGACAGAAATTTGCTTAAATAAAATTCTCTTTTGTTTTTCCTCTGGGAAAGCAGGGGGTTTATATTAAAATAGCTCAATAGGGAGCACGTTCATAGGGCCCAGTTGGGATGATACTGAGTTTTCAGGTCCTCCAAGGCTTCTCCCCAAGTTCTGGTCCCTTTGTCCTGCTCTGTATGCCCTTGCATGTTTCACTCTGCGCCAGCCTCGTGCCTGAGTGCCCCCAGGTTCAGTGTCCAAGGCATTTCGTCTCATTCTTTTTTTGCCCTTGCTGCCACTCACTCTGACCTTGAATGCCAGTTCCACAGGCTTTGCTCAGACAAGTGTCTCTTTTGCATCCCTGTTCTGAGAAATTGGGTCTCTGCATTGTCTCTGACCCTTGTCTTGGTCATCTCCTTGGGACCAGTGGCTCCAATCCTGGCCCTATCTTAATCCTCTTAGTGTGGATCACCAGAATAAAACTTCTGACCACAAGCCTGACCTGGTGGAGGCTGCTGCCCTCCCACTGTCCCACCCCTGCCTGTGCATCTGCACACTATTCAGTGCTCTCACCATGCCCATTCCTAGACTCACCATTTGTCTTGCTCTGTGTTGTTTAGAGCACCCCAAGACTCCACACCCATGGTTTTGACCTCTTCCATGTCCTTCATTTCCTGAAGCAGCAGTGATCCCCTGCTCTGCCCCAGTGCACTCCTCTGATCCAGGCTATCAAGTCCTGGCTCTCACCCAGCACCCCGATTTCCAATTAGGTGATAAGATGCAAATATTGAATTAATATGGGGAAAGAATTCAAATAATCCAAAAACGAGAAGAAGGCAACATCTCTCTATGGCACACATGGTAAAAATAAACCCAAGTTCAAAGTCCGATATGGATCCCTCATGCACAACAAAAGGAGCTCTGCTTGTGTGTTGTGTGTTCCCCAAGAAGAGACAAGGGGCCTCACAAAGAAATAATGAGTTCTTGAAAACAAGTTGTAAGCTGAACAGAGAAAGTGAGTGTTCCATATATTGTTTTATTTTCTTCCTTTGATGGTAGGAAAAACCTTAGCAGAGCAGAAAACCTGCCTTCCTCTGTGCTACCCTAATCAGCATCTCAGTGGCCCTGGGAGCTGCTGCAGGACCTCTGCAGGGTCCTCACCTAAGGAAGTGTAATTACCCTGAGCCTTGGTGGAGCCACCAGGACAGTCAACCCTGGGGCCCATCTTGCTCTTCCTTTCTTTATTTTTCAGCACTCCTCCATCTTTCCCCCTCATTTATTTCCTGGGAAACTTTCTGGAAGCCTTCTTCTAGGTGTAGGCAGTCACACTGAAGACAAATGTTTGGGGGGCTCTTGCTCCAGGGAAACGGTGGCTGGAGACCTTGAATGGTAGACACTGCTGCAGGGCTCCTCCCAGGAGCAAGGCAAAGCACTGGTGGAATCTGCATAATTGAGTCACCTCAACCACTTCCAATATCACATGACCCCTTGACGAGTGCTGAATTGTGTTCAGTTCATGGATCAATTATCTGATAAGTGAGTGAAGGGCCAATTCCCTCTGGCTGATTTAAAAAAAAAGGATTCTTATGTATTAGTTACATAATTACGTATTAGTTACAGAATTAGACATTGAAGTGCTAGTGGACTAGCAAGTTGTAACAAATCCTGATTAGACACTAATCTAGACCATGAAATTTCCATTGTTGTCATTGGATAGCCTTCTTCAACATAGAAATGAAGGTATTAAGGAAAGATGACTGGATTGCACAGTGGACACAATTATGTGCACATTTACAAAAGAAGTAACCTGGACGGTGTCACACCTGGATGGTGTGGTGTGTTATCAAGAAGGGATTTAATAAAGGGAATTAGGGGCATGCAAAATCCTTTGAAGCGTGGACAAACTGCGCGGCCCTTTAAGCACCTGAGAAGTGTAGGAACTAAGATGCTTCTCCCGTCACTGCTAACAGCTGCTTCTAGTGCTCAAGCAGTGATTTGTAGTTCTCCCACAGGCAGCCATAAACCTGATGTTTGGGGTTGACCCATGCATCAATTTGCTGCTTCTAAAGCAAAATAATGGCTTTTCCACCCTTGCACCTACAAAATTGTTTTTAAGTGCCTCTCACTGGTAAAATGTAAACCAGAATCTAGTAACAAAGCCAGGGAATGTAGTTTTCAGGCTTTCAAGCCCTGCAATTTAGGGCAGAGTTTAGAGGGAAAGTGGTAGTGCTAAAGATCAACATACAGCATCTGACACAAACTTTCAGTGTCATAAATATTACCTGCACAGTGGTGGAAGCTTCTTTCTCAGGGATTGGAAATAGCTCTCCAGCCTGGAACCAAGCCAGTGGTGTCTCAGGACTATACCTCTGTCCACTTCGGGATTCTTCTTTGTAACAGAACTCTTCAGCACTCCTTCACTGAATAAGCATTGTATTTCAGCTACTAAACCTTATTTAGGTGCAACTGCTGTTGCTATTCTTGCTTTTTCTCTTATCTTTCCATTGCAACCTCTATCTTTTTACCCAATGCTTTCCTGCAATCCCCCAACTATTCTCAGAGAGGAAACCCCCCTTCCTAAAGAAGAAAAACAAATGCATTCTTGAGGAAAACACCACTCTCTCCATAAGGATGAAAGGGATTGTGTTTGATTCCTTGGTGAAAAGAAAGAACAGCTTACCGCCTGACCATTGTGCAAACCATTGGTGAGGCTAAAGAGACCTCCTTTCCATGGTCCTGCGACTCTTCAGTCTTATTTCACCCTACAAGGGGACCCCTCTGGATGAGCTCATTGACCAAGCTCTCCTTGCATGCAGGCATTTATACCCACATTCATACAATCTTGCTTCACTTTATGTGCACAACAATCCTACATCATATGTAAATGGATTATTCTCCTTATTCATATATGATGAAATTAAGGATGCAGAGAAAATAAGCCACTTGCTGTAAGGCATGGGTAGTTTCAGAGAGCATGAGAACCTAACCCTTTTGACTCTTATCCAAGTGCCCTCTCTACAGACCAGCAAAGACTTAACAGTGAAGGAAAAAAATTGAAACAATTTTCTTATTTGCTGCTGCCTTCAAAGTGGGCTCATTTGGTGACAATCTGCCGTTCTTTTTCCACTGTCCCCATACTCTCAGTCCCTGTGAACACAGCTATGCATATATTTGCAATAAATAAGAAAGGTGACCCAGAATTAATATAACTAGCAATTCAGTATGTGCCTTACATAATGCTTTAACATTTTATTTTCATGTAACGGAGCATTGAAATTGTCCCCACTTGACCCCTGCTAGCCACAGAAAATTGGCAGTGTTTTAATTAATGACTGCTGGTTACCACATTGTATCTTCTAGCTAATTACCTAAAGTGCTTACCTTGTGCTAAG
This sequence comes from Homo sapiens, assembly GCF_000001405.40. NCBI lineage: Eukaryota > Metazoa > Chordata > Mammalia > Primates > Hominidae > Homo > Homo sapiens. The sequence continues at coordinate 40,283,240 of NC_000021.9, read as the reverse complement.
AAGATTACAGGATTTTACATATTGATGCTTTGGGTTAAATTTTACTCTTTAGAATAAAGATGAATCTAAAGTAGATGACTGATAAATAATTCTGTCAAACCCTGGCGAAGTCTACTTCCCTCCAATTAAACAAATGCTAGCCCTTGGAACTGTAGTCCTCATAGTAGATGAATCAGTTGGCAGTGTGTTCACTATTATTCCATTTAGTAACCACAATTAGATCTTCAGATGCAATAACCCTTCAACTTAGGTTCATTTTTCTGATGAAGAAAAGATTTAATGTTTTCTTAAATGCATTTGAAACTTTATTTCTATCTTCATTAGGACCTTTTAGTAATAAAGAAACTTACTTCAGTCTAGATAGGAATAAACAGATCATCCTTTTCTGCTATTTAATTGAGACGACTTAGCATTGTAGTTAATTTTATGTTGTGATTCTTTAATATAAATGTTTCAACAATTACAAGCATTTTTCTGGTGAAAATTATTTAAGAAAAGGAAAACAATGTGTTGTTGACATGGATATTCATGTAAATTTTTCAAACCACACCAGCATGTTATTTGATTTTCAGTTTCTTAAATACAGTTTTATATAATTTGAAATTTTTAGATTACCTATCTTTTTTTTTTTTTTTTTTTTTTTTTTTTTTGAGACAGAGTCTCGCTCTTTCGCCCAGGCTGGACTGCAGTGGCGCTGTCTTGGCTCACTGCAAGCTCTGCCTCCCGGGTTCAGGCCATTCTCCTGCCTCAGCCTCCCTAGTAGCTGGGACTACAGGCGCCCGCTACCACGCCCGGCTAATTTTTTTTTTGTATTTTTAGTAGAGACGGGGTTTCACCGTGTTAGCTAGGATGGTCTCGACCTCCTGACCTCGTGATCCACCCGCCTCGGCCTCCCAAAGTGCTGGGATTACAGGCGTGAGCCACCGCGCCCGGCCTAGATTACCTATCTTATAGTTATATTTTTTCAATCCTATATTTGGTTGAGTTTTCAGGTTGTGTGTATTGGACTAAATCTATTCTCAATTTACAGTCAACTTTGGGAACGACATTAATAGCCTTTACTGATTTTCAAAGTGTGTTACAAATTTAAGCACTTAAATAAAAGTTGAAGGCTTTTTCCTTAATTTTAACTTCCAATAAATCTATTATCCTCACACTAATGAACACAATATCCACAAGAAGTAATTTGATAATTTATAAAAGCCAAATTCTTTAAAAATGCAGTCTAATTTTATAGGAGAAAAAAATGATTATCTCAATATATGGTTAAAAACTAGCTGATAATATTCAACATCCTCTTCTGATTGAAGCAACGAGAACAAAAAAAGAGTTTTGTAAAATAATTACATAGAAACACTTCCTTATAACCCAAAGTGCTTTGGAAAATGAAGAAAAAGACAAAAGCTCAGTAGAAAAATGGGTAAGGGATAAATGGGCTGTTTACTAAAGAACAAATACAGATGGCCAATACATTCATGATGCTCAAAATTATCTATAAACAGAAACAAACAAAAATACAAAAAAAATCCGCCAAAATGTGCAAATTAAAATAGTGATGTATAGCATTGATGCAGATTTAAAAGTTTAATAGCATACATGTATGAGGAAAAAATTAACCCTCAGCTAGCACTGAAGGAGATAACGTTTGTACATTTTTAAGGCAGTTTATTGTAAATATGGTAATATATTTTAAGATTTGAATATGCATCACCTTTGGTCCGAAATTCTTCTCCCTGAATTAAGCATACAGATTGCCTACCGCTATATATATATATTTCTCTCCACTGATGCACTGATTGATGAGTGGAGACATTCATTGCAACGTGGTCCCTATTCTTGTGGAATGGGAAAGACAGACAGCCATATAATCTTAAAATTATTAAATAATTAAAAAGAGAATGTTAGAAAGCACAACAATGTTGTTTGCTTACTATAAGCCATACCAATACATAGTTCAAGAACTTCAGTGCTTCTACCATCCCATAATGAAGGTTCTATTATTATTTCCATTTTACAAGTTAAGAAGCTGAAATATTATGTAACTTACCTAATTTTACACGTTAGGAATCTATTGCTTTGTAACAAATTACCCCAATTTAGTGGCTTAAGATAGTATACATTTAATAGCTTCCATTTCTGTAGGTCTGGAATGCATGTGTGGCTTAGCTGAGACCTCTGGTTCACCATCTTCCCAACATTGCAGCCAAGGGGTTGGCTGGGATGCAGTCATTTCAAAGCTTAGCTGTGGGAGGGTCTTCTCCCAAGCTCACTCCTGTGATGGTTGATAAGCTTTACTTTCTCAGACTGTTGACTGAAGACCAACTCCCAGTTCCTTCCCATGGGAGCCTCTCCACAGAGCAGCTCACAACATGGTAGCTGGAATTCCCCAGAGTTAAGACTGAGCGGGAGGGAGAGAGGGAAGAAGAAAAAGAGATGGCAGTCATGATCTTTTTAGCCATAGCTCCTCACCCAGTATTTGTCACAGTACAGGTGCTCAGTAATTAATAAAGTCCATTTGCATAAAAACGAAGGCTACATTATTTTATGTTTAGAAGATATTAGAAAGTCCGTAATCTCTCTGAAGGTATTTACTTTTTTACTGTTTGAATTTTTGACAAAAAATTCAGATTCCCTAATCCAAAATTCTCATGCTTTAAATCCCAATAAGTAAACTAGTAAATAGCTTTCATTAATTATTTTTCAAAATCAACCACTCTTATACTGATGTATTTATTTTTTCTCAAGCATTTGAGGCCAAGAACAATGGCTCGTGCCTATTTTCCCAACACTTTGGGAGGCTAAGGTGGAAGGATCAATTGTGGCCAAGAGTTTCAGACAGTCTGAGCAACCAAGCAAGACCCCATCTTTACAAAAAATTTTTAAAGGCCTAGCGGGGTATGGTGGTGTCTGCCGGTATTATAGTCCCAGCTACTTGGGAGGCTGAGGGGGGAGGATTGCTTGAACCCGGGAGTTCGAGGCCACAGCGAGCTATGATGGTGTCACTGCCCTCCAACCTGGGCAAAAGAGCAAGACCCTGTCTCAAAAAAAAAAAAAAAAAAGGCACCAAAATCTGCTGTGAACTTTCATATGAATTAAGGTTTTTTTTTTAATTATTATACTTTAAGTTCTGGGATACATGTGCAGAACGTGTAGGTTTGTTACATAGGTATAAATGTGCCACGGTGGTTTGCTGCACCCATCAACCTATCATGTAGGTTTTAAGCCCTGGATGCATTAGGTATTTGTCCTAATGCTCTTACTCCCCTTGCCCCCACCCCCTCACAGGCCCCAGTATGTGATGTTCCCTTCCCTGTGTCCATGTGTTCTCATTGTTCAATTCCTACTTATGAGTGAGAACATGAGGTGTTTGGTTTTCTGTTCCTGTGTTAGTTTGCTGAGAATGATGATTTCCAGTTTCATCCATTTTCCAGTTTCATCTATTTTATGGCTGCATAGTATTCCGTGAAGCATGTGTGCCACATTTTCTTGATCAAGTCTATCATTGATGGGCATTTGGATTGGTTCCAAGTCTTTGCTGTTGTGAATAGTGCTGCAGTAAACATATGTGTGCATGTGTCTTCATAGTAAAATGATTTATAATCCCTTGGGTATATACCCAGTAATGGGATTGCTGGGTCAAATGGTATTTCTAGTTCTAGATCCTTGAGGAATTGCCACACTGTCTTCCACAGTGGTCAAACTAATTTACACTCCCACTAACAGTGTGAAAGCCTTCCTATTTCTCCACATCCTCTCCAGCATCTGTTGTTTCCTGACTTTTTAATGATCACCATTGTGACTGGCATGAGATGGTATCACATTGTGGTTTTGATTTGCATTTCTCTAATGACAAGTGATGATGAGCTTTTTTTCATATGTTTCTTGGCCACATAAAAGTCTCATATGAATTAAGTTTTAAATTATCTACATTATACAAGTTGCTGGTGTAATTCTGAATTTTGTACATTTTGATAACTTATTTCCAAGGAGGGAGCAGATTTAGGGATAAAAATGGTTGTCCTTTTAGTCTCACTTTATAAAATACTCATTAGCTCAAGTGAGGAAAACATATTGAAGAGATAATAAAATACTGTTATGTTTTTAAATGTTTTTATCCCTGACTTTGAATTCCTTATGAAAAGAAGAATTTTAAAAACTTTTTCTACTTAGAATCATTTTATGAAAATTCATATTTTAGATATGTAATAAAGAACTAATGCAAACATGTGAGTTTTGTTAGTAGATGTTCCCTCTTCTAAATGTACAATTATCCTACATTTACATTTCTCTTAATTACCTTTAAAACAGATATCAGAAAACTATGGGCCACAATTCAAATTTGGCCCACATCCTGTTTTTGTTTTTGTAAATAAGTTTTTTAGACTATCTTATTTCCTCATAATGATCACCAACATTTATCACTATATGCTAGGACAAAGATCAATTCTTCTCAGATTCAGTATTTTTGAAGACTCCTCCTCCTCCTCTTCCTCCTCCTCCTCCTTCTCTTCCTCCTCTTCCACTTGTTTTAGAGACAAGATCTCACTGTCACCCAGGCTAGAGTACAGTGGAGCTCACTGTAACCTCAAACCCACCTCAGCCTCCCAGAGCATTGGGAGTAGCTAAGACTACAGGCATGACCCAACATGTCCAGCTAATTTTTAAAATTTTATAGAAATGAGGGCTCACTCTGTGACTCTGGCTAGTCTCAAACTCCTGGTCTCAAGTCTTGCCCCCACCCTGGTCTCCGAGAGTGCTGGGATTACAGGTGTGAGCTGTCATGGCCTGCCAATAAGTTGTTATGAAACACAATCATGCTATTTTGTTTCTGTATTTTCTATGGCTACTTTCATGACTCAGTGGCAGAGATGAGTATTTGTGACAAAGACTGTATGACCTGCTAAATTTAAAATATTTACTCTCTGGCCTTTACAGAAAGATTACCAACCTCTTTCTGAAAATGTTAAGCATTTTTATTCATGAACATGGTATAACTCTCTAATTATTTAGGTCTTATTTAGTTATTCTCAACAACTTTTACAATTTTCAGTGGGCTGGTCTTGCACATATTTTGTTAAATTTATTCTAAATATTTTATGGTTTTTTGCCAATATATTTTCTTTTTAATTTTTATTCCCAATTGGTTGTTACTATTATACATAAATAAAATTGACATTGATTTTTGTATATTGATGTTGTATCCCATGACTTTGCTAAACTCATTTTATAGTTATAGCAACTTTTTTGTTTACTCTTTTCAATTATCTATGTAGAAAATCATGTTATCTGTCAGTAAATACAGTTATATTCTTATCAATCTACATTCGTGTACTTTTATTTTCTTCTTATTATTTTTCTTTTTTTTTTTTTTTGAGACGAAGTCTCACTCTGTCGCCCAGGCTGGAGTGCAGCGCCGTGATCTCAGCTCATTGCATCCTCTGCCTCCCAGGTTCAAGCAGTTCTCTGCCTCAGCCTCTCAAGTAGCTGGGATTAGCAGGAGAATCACTTGAACCCAGGAGGCGGAAGTTGCAGTGAGCCGAAATCGTGCCACTGCACTCCAGCCTGGGTGAGAGAGCAAGACTACATCTCAAAAAAAAAAAAAAAAAAATTCAGGTTGTCGTATGTCCCCTCTAGCAGTTCCATTTTGATGGGAACCACCTGTTGTGGGGATTCTACTTGATCTCCTCATTCAATGTGAAAGGTCCCCTTAGGTACCTTATCAATTTCTCTCGTCTCTTCAGTGGGGCTAGAGACAAGTTGCTGAGAAATCTAAACCAGAAACACGGGAAAGGAAGGCACAGCCACAGTCTCTGCCATTGTGAGCTCGAGTGAGACCAATACACAAGTTGTCATTAGGGTATGGAGACAGCAAGAGGAAGTGTCTCCCATTCTCCTGTCCTCAGATGCAAAGTCTGAAGTTTCCTGCTTGAGGCCTGTGGAGACGTCTGACTTGTTCAGCTCCCGTGTAGGTTCTTGGGCCAGGAAGCTAGCACCTTCTCTCTAGAACACATCTTTGGCCCAAACGTTGAGCTTCCTCCAGGAAGATCCTCACCCCAGAGCTTTCCCCTCAAGTCCCCAGATACTCAGGCCAGAGAAGAAAAATGCCCTGGGAGAGTCTTTCAAGGCCTGAATCCCATTCTCCCAGCCCACCCAACTCCTCCAGGCCAGAAGCAGGCAGCATGGCAGGTTCATCCAGTCACCATCTTCCCAGAAGTCTTCTAGGACCTTCATAATCTGTTTCATTATTTCTAAAATCCTTTTTTTTTTTACCCAGTTGTATATAAATCCTTCATATGAATCATACCACATTCATTATAATAGCATATCATATCTGTGCCATTCCCTCCTTGCATGGAAGCACTCTGAGGAGAGAGGTGTTTTAATTCTGTGCTGTCTTACTGCACTAATCTGATGTATTTATTTAAATAACATTAAATGATATTAATGGTGTATTGTGTGTCTAGACCGGAATATAACCACCGTTAAAGAGAAACCTGCAATATTCCTATTCTCTTTGTAGCCTCAGACATGTGCAGTGAGCAAAGACTTCAAATGCCATGTCCCTGGAGCACTCCTTGTTTACATTCATATTAAGTCCCTGGGAACACAAGGAATTTATTTAGCACCATGAGAGTTGTCTGCTTCTGTGGTTGTTCTACTGTGATTTCTTTGAATAATTTATCAGCTACTTAACACTCATCAAATTTGGCTTTTTATGTAGAGAAACTATCTGTAAGTTCTGTTAGTTTTTATCTCAGAGTCTGAGATACTGTCATTTTAAATAAATGCTTTTCTCTCTAAACAAGAATTTTAATACTGGAGGAAAGAAAGAAAAACCTGGTGTATCCCGTGACTGCCTTATGGGATCAGTGTGAAGCATCTCTTTATGAGTCTGTGTGTACTTGAACTCGTTGTCTTCCCATACTTACTCTCGTTTGCATCATTGCTCGTCTTTCTTTTTCTGTCTCAGGTGCTGGGGTTCCCCAGTTCCAGCCAATTGCCCTAAATGGCCGAATCCAAGTTCTCAGCAATGGGTCGTTGCTGATCAAGCATGTCGTGGAGGAAGACAGTGGCTACTACCTCTGCAAGGTCAGCAACGATGTGGGCGCAGACGTCAGCAAGTCCATGTACCTCACGGTTAAAAGTAAGAGAGAAGAAATGCTTCGTTTTACCTAGTTTAAATACATAGGTCTCTGGGGGCTTCCTTTTTCAATTGTCTCCATACATACCTGTTTAAAAGCAACACAAAAGAAGACCCGTTGGTGTGATATAGCTGGGTTTAAAGTTTTGTTGTTCTGGAAACATGATTGAAGAGGATGGTAAACATCCAGCTAATTGTTGACAGTGTGCCCAGGGCCCCTTGTGTGTGGAGCATGAGCCACATTCTTCTCTTCCTTTGGTTCTCACAGCCATTGGTATGGGCTCTGGGCAACCTAGCAGATGAGTAGGTCTCTGCCTTTAACACCCACATTGCTACCCTGTTGATTTTCCCGTGGAAAAACTCAATACATGGTCTCAGATGTGCTCTTTACAAAGCCTTTTGTCATGCATTTTGTTATTTGCAAGCTGTCTTGTCCATGGATTTCCTTTTAAGGATCATTTTAAAATCAAGTGACTAGCGAACAACTACAAGACAGAAATGTGTAAGACTAGGCTTAATGCTGGCGCTGCTGGCCCAATATATAGAAAAAGGTGCGTTATAATGAAATTATTCTCATACATTGGTAACTGGCAACCAAGGAAAGGATATAAAGTGAACCAGTTTTACTGAGTTGTGCTTATTAACAAAATGATGGTGCATCTAGTTTACAGTGAATGGCTTATGCCCATTTATGGAATTTTCCATCGAATGAACTGTGATTTCTTCTTGATTACAAGGCTTTATTCAGACTCCCCTCCCACTTTTTTTTTGAGGCAGAGGCTCACTCTGTTGCCCAGGCTAGAGTGCAGTGGTGCCATCAAAGCTCACTACACCCTCGAACTCCTGAGCTCAAGGGATTCTCCCACCTCAGCTTTCTTAGTAGCTAAGACTACCAGTGTATGCCACTGAGCCCAGCTTTTTTTTTTTTTAATTTTTTATAAAGATGAGGGTCTCACTTTGTTACCCAGGCTGGTCTCAAGCTCCTTCCCTCAAGTGATCCTCCCCTCTTGGCCTCCCAAAGCACTGGGATTACAGGCATAAGCCACTATGCCTGGCCCTTGGATTTCCTCTTTTTTTTAACTTTAATTCTGCTATGGATAGTTTGGAAAAGTCTCTACTATATGATTTATTAGAAGAATGAGATTTAAAAGTGGCATTCAGGGGTGTGTGTATTTGTGTGTGTATGATATTGAAAGGCTAGCTAAACAGACAAGTATCCATCCTAACTCACGAAGAATTTATTTTAGTTAGTCCACTATTTCCAACAGAACAAAAAAAATCCAAGTGTTTATTTATTAAAGTTTTATATTGTGAAATGGATTATAATTATGAAATGGGGTTGTTTTGGAATATATTTTGCACATACTCAATACCTAGTTTTTGACTTTTAAATCGTATGCTCTGGAGGAAATGATGTGCAAGAATTTGATAACGAATTGTGGTACTGTTTAAATCCAGAGCTGAAATGGTAATTTTTAAAAGTTATAAAGGAAACCTAAAATCTGAGGAGCAATGTTGACCAGAGTCGGTCCATCTTTCCCCAAGGAAAGGGGTGTATTTTGCAGTTATTTTAATAGACTTTAAATGCATAAGACAATTTTTTAGTCCATAAACACATATCTAGGACCCAATATATATAAGACCCTATGAAGGATACAAGTACAATCAACCATGGGCCTTACCCTCATGAGTGACAAGCCTCATGTTTTGGAAGGGGAGATAACCAGGAAGAAGATAGAAGCCACTGATTACAATGCAGGGTGAAGAGTCACATGGATCATGTCTGTGACATTCAGAGGAGGATGGAAATGTCAGCTTGGGGGAATTAAGGAAAGCTTCATGGAAAATAGGCTTCAAGAATGGACGATGCCCCCATATGTCCTCTCTCCAGATCTCGGTACTCAGTGGCAGTTGTGCAGCATCAGGGAGGACTAAGGAGATGAGGTGGCCCCTGCCCTCTAGGAGCTTTTGCTCTCTGGGGATAATTGAGTGGATATATGTCCAATTCCTGTCTGGCAGAATACACAACTGGTGGAACAGAGCCCAGAACACCAGGGTTCATGGAAGAGGGTATGATTTGCTTCTGTTTGTAGAATCAGTGACCGTGTGGAATGAACTGAATGTCTGTGTCCCTTCAAAGTCCATATGTTGAAATCTTACCGCCAGTGTGATGATACTAGAATCTGAGGCCTTTGAAAAGTGATTGGGTCACAAAGGGGGAGCCCTCAGGGATGGAATTAGTGTCCTTATCGAAGGGACCCCAGAGAGCTCTCCTGTTCTCTGTTTCCACCATGCGAGGATATACAAGAAGGTGGCAACCTGGAGGAGGATGCTAGAACCTGCCCCTGCTGGCAGCCCCATCTCAGACTTCCAGCCTTAGAACTGTGAGGAATACATTTCCGTTGTTGATAAGCCACCAATGTATGGCACTTTGTTACAGCAGCCCCAGTTGACTAAGAAACTACGGAACGAAAAGCTGCAGCATCTGAGTTCGGTCTTAAAGACACAAGGGCCTTCAAAAGGCAGGACTGTTGAGGCTAGATAGGGTATTCCAGGGACAGGAGACAGAGAAGCCAGATACAAGAAACTGAAAGACTCCAGGCAAGAGTAACTCTCTGTTCGAATGTTCTACAGTACATGGAGGAGATGGGAGAGGAGAACATTTAAAGTGAACACACTTCAAAGAGAGATGATAGAGTTGGCCAAATTTTAGATTCTTAAACTAATACAAGCTAGTCATGGACAGGTGGATTTAAATAAGTTAAATGCACCTCTTCATGACTGTTTGTATTAGTTTATCTCTCTAGGCCTAGAAAATAGGAAGAACTATGCCATCTTCATAGAGTTATCATGAAAATTAAACAGGGTAACACATGTGAAAACACATTGTAAGACATAAGATACTCTAAATAAGTATTCCAATACATACATAGAGTAAATGATTCTTTGGTTGGAAAGAAAGAGAAAATGTATATTGATGGCACAGTGCATAGGAGCATTTCCAGAAAGTTATTCTGAAAAAAAATTAAAAGGCCAGAGGCTAGGAAAAGGGAAGAAGAAAGAGGACCTCCATGGCCCATGGGGAGGTATTTTCATCCTTGTCTAATACTCGTCCAAAGCTCAGCCCTGGAGTGGTGTCTTTAGCAACTCTAATGGCCAATGTCTTTTGCCTAACCCTAGTTGTTTAAGAACAATCAGTAAAGTGTTTTAGGATCTCAAACTGAAAAAAAAAATAGATATAAAGGAGAGTTTACTGGTCTAAATAAACACATTAAGTACTCTCCCCTTTCTGTAAGTCATTTTAAAAAATGGGCTGCAAATATTTCTAAATTCAATAGGGGAGACCTTGCTGTCTAATTGGATGATGTCAGGAAATTAAGACAGCTGCTCCTGCAGCAAGTCTGGACTCCCAGGATGGCCTGGTGCTGGCTGTAAACATAATTTAAAGACCCAAACTCTCCGGATAGGACCTGCTTCTGGGGGCTCACTGTGAGATCCTGCGAACCCTGCACAGAGGGTTTCTCCTATATGGGAAATTTTCTTACTGCTTTCAAGAAACATCACTCCAAAAATAAAGCATTTTAACAATAAACACCCACCACATACACACACATCTTTTTGTTGTTGTTATTGAATCAAGCATAAGGAAGCCACAGGCAAAGAAGAAAGCCAGCAAGCATGTATGGAATTGTCATGGAAAGCAATCAATGGGATGGAAGGTTACTGCATGCAAATCTTTCCAGCTCTGTTGGGGTTCCTGTCTGTGAGTCTACACTGTCATCACAATTCTGGTTTATGTTTTACCCAAAATAATTATCATGTGAGATAACGATTAGGAGGCTTGGCAGAAAAGGCAGAGGGAGTAGGCTCTGCTTGCAATCAAATTTGGCCTCTGGTGATGACATCCTGCCCTATGCTCCAGGCCGATCGGGGGCTACAGAAGCTATGCCACTTATGTGCCCCTTCCCCCAACCAGGAACTGTTTGAGGCCCAGGGAATGACTTTATGTTAAAAAAAAAAAAAATAGCTCTGTCAATCGAGGAAAATAATGAGACAAGTCTCAATCATTTTAGGATATTTATTTGCCAAAGTTGAGGATGCTCCCAGGAGACAGGTCTATTCCTTTCTCCGAAGGTGATTTTGAGGGCTCCAAATTTAAAGGGGAAAGGATGAGATATTGAGAAGCACACAGCTTTCACATAAACAAAAGGGGCAGAGGAAAACTGTGGGGAATGTGCATTTTACATACCACAGACAAAATGGAGAGGGGAACGTTCAGTTATACATTTGTGTCTGGTGGGCAGAGCGACTGCACCTGTAAAGATAGGCTATCAAGTTGCATTGCCATGGGGAAGCTTTAACAGCTCACCAGGAATTTCCTTGTGGGCAAAATATGAGGGAAGCGTGTAGCTTTTCATCTTGTAGCCATCTTGTTTAGGAACCAAAAGGTGGAGGCAGATTTGCGTGACCCAGTTCCCAGCTTGACTTTTCTCTTTGGCTAAACGAATTTGGGGTCCCAAAATTTAATTTCCTTTCACAGCTCCAAAACCCACTGAATCTCTTAAATGGATAGCCATCCCTAAGGTTTGTCTCAGATGCCCAAATTACATCCTCCCCGCTCCCAACTTTCTGCCACTGGCTGATCTGAAGCCTCGTGTTTCCGGGAACACTGGTTTCAGCGTGAACCTGTGGCCCACAGTGAACAAGCCGCTCTGCTTTTGTGAGCTGCTCTGCATAGGTCCTTTCTGATCCCTGCATGCAGGACAAAAGAGCACCGCTTATCAAACAGGAACAGGCGCTTCCCTGGAGAGTCAGTTACTCTTGGAATCTAGTGAACCCCCAAGCTCCCAAAGTTAGCCCGTGGGCTCTAGTCCAGCCTATGTAATGTGGTCTCCCTCCTCCATGCTGAATCCAGGAAGGTCTGTGGGTCGCTGTGCCCATCAGATTTCTGTACTGTCAGAATGCAAGTGCACACATGTGCATGCACCAACTCACTCAGCTCTGACCTGACCGTCTGCAGGGTCTTGGCTATTTCTGGACAGATCTCCATGTTATGATTTGACCTCAGGCCACTCTCAAGCCCTGCCATTGCCAGGGCAGATATGTTGGGCCTGACATATAATAACCCATCTCCTTTTCTGTTGAAAACATGTGTATCTATGCCTGGATAATCCATAGTCAACCTCCTTTACTTTCTGCCCTCACCCACTGCCACCAGTACCCACAAATCTTTATCCTAACCCCTAATTAGCTAAATGGAAATCTCCAGTCCCGGTAGCATTGCTCTGTGATACTTCTTGGAGGAGGAAGTAGCCCAGCCCCAAGCTGCCCCCAAGCGGCCCCCAAGCTGCCCCCCATGGTGAAGCTTTGGCCACCTTGAATTAACCCCACATGTTTCCCAGGCTCTTTATGATCACTCAGTCTGCTGAGCCAATCACCTCCCACCAAGCCCCTCTTCCAACACTGGAATTAAAATTGAGCATGAGATTTGGGTAGGAACACAGATCCAAACCATATCAATCATCATTTCTGAATTATAGTTTAAGTCCTTCCCAAACATGACAAATTAGTGCCTGAAATAGAATATGAGGTGTCCCAGGTTTGTGAACACCCAGCTTATGCACTTTCCTAAATTCAGTCACCAGCACCCCCAGCAGTCCTCCCCCAACAATTTATCCTGCACATATGCAACACTCAGATCCCTCCTGCTTCACTCTCAAGTCCAGTTGCCAGATACGTCTGCAACTTTGCTGGGAGTTTTTCCAAGGAAGGAGTCTCCCGCAGAAGCTTCAGAGGGACTGCAGCTGTGCCAGCACTTTGATTTTGCACTTCTGGTCCCCAGAATTGTTTAAGCATAAATTTCTGGAGGCAGAAGCAGAGAATGGGAAGAATCCAGGGAACGTAAGTGTGCTGGAGGGGACATTGCTTAGTGAAGGAAACCCCTCAGCAGCTGCCACGCCCTTGGTAGGGCATCCTGAGCTCCACCCAAACATATGCATTTCCCTTCCTAAGTCAGCCTGAAGTTCCACCAGCTAAAGATTCTCTGGGGTAAAAAAGGAATTTGTAAAACAGGAGGGTCCATATAGCAGATGCAATTTGATCCCTGCTCCAGTTTCAATTTCCCTCCTTTCTCTGTGCTAAAAATTGAATTATTTCCCGTCCACCCCCTAGATTTGTATGTTGAATTTGTAACCTCCAGTACCTTATATGACCATATTTGGAAATAGCGTACTTGCACATTGCAGGTATAATTAGTGAAGATGAGGCTCTACTGAAGTAGGCCGCCGGATCCCTAATCCAATATGACTGGTGTCCTTATTAAAAGGGGACAATCTGGGTGCAGACACAGATGGAAAACATAGCTGGGCAAAGACAGAGATTGGAGTTATGCTGCCACAGGCCAAGAGACACTGGGCAAGGCAAGGAAGGGGTCTCCTGTAGAAACTTCAGAGGGACTCCAGCCCTGCCAGAACTTTCATTTTGGACTTATGGCCCCCAGAAAGATGTGAGAATAAATTGCTGTTGTTTAAGCACCCCAGTTTGTGGAACTTTGTTACAGCAGCCCCGGGACACCATACACTCAGTGACAACAGAACTCTTTTGCGGTCTTGTGTTGGAGGGAAGCCCACCACAGGCCAGATCCCCTGCCTAAGCAGAAGAGTCCGAATCCATCAAAGCCACTGGGTGTGAGCCCTGGCCGGGACCCATCAAACGCAGCAGCTCCCTTTGATTGAAGGATGGGCAGACAACCAGAATTTGCACAATGAAACGTAAAAACAATTCTTTTGAGGAGTTTCTGGAGAAGATTTCCGTATTCTTAATACGGGACTCTGCAAAAGAGGTTTATCCCATTTAATTCTTGACCCCATGATGTCTGGCAGTACATGAGATCACCTGGGACTTTATTGCCTTTGCTGTCTAGGCCAATGTGGGTCAGGGTTTTTGCATTTGCAGCTGGAGGCATCCAAACTAATTAGCTAAGGAGAGAGCAGCATCTCCAATTCATGGAGTGCGATTCAGCCACAGTGTTCCCCTCGGTAATCCTGCTGAAATAAATGGCTCTGGGGGAATGAGGAGTTAGATCTGGATTGAGAAGCTATAGGGATTTGCAGTGCATGCTTTGGGCTGGGGCAGAACAGCTCCGTGGGAGGATAGCTGAAGGTGGATGGCAGCACTCGGACCTGGGCACATATGGTGGCTTACAGCAGGGAGCTCAGTACCTGGTGAGGGAGGTTCTCCTGCCTCAGCTTCCCGAGTAGCTGGGATTATTATAGATGCCCATCACTACACCTGGCTTATTTTTATATTTTTTCAGTATAGATGGGGTTTCACCATGTTGGCCAAGCTGGTCTCAAACTCCTGACCTCAGTTGATCTGCCTGCCTTGGCCTCCCAAAGTGCTGGAATTACAGGCATGAGCCACCACAGCCTTTCGAAAAATTACTGGGGCCAGTAAAAATCTTATGTTTCCACTCCACTGTTCTCCTCCTCCTCCTCTTCATCCTTCTGTTTTGAGGCACCCTTCTACCAAGCAACTAAAATGTTATTATTTTTTTTAACTTTGGGGTAATTGCGCCTATTTCAATGTTTTTCAGTTGATTTAAGGTCCTTCTGTTCCATGGCCTTCCCCTGTGGCCAGTGGCACTGATGTTCTGAACCCTCAATCAGCCATTACCTTCCACACTGGCATCTGCTGAGAAGTCTGAGTGCCATATGGTCCTTGACTGTGGGGTCACTGCTTAGTTCCCTTGGAATCTCCTCCTGTCTTCTGGCTGCCCCTGACCAGACCCACCCATTTGCCCATCAGCAGGGTTCACTGAATGCTCCCTAGTGTCAAGAATTGTTCTACATCCTGCGTGCTCTGAATAAGACCAAGTATTAGTTCACCGTCATGCAGCACAAATTCCCTTGAGAAAGACATGGAGATGGGTATATAACATAATGCCTGGCAGAGGATACAGTGATGTAAGAAAGCAAGGTGTGCATACGTCTTGGAGAAAGCATTCCAGGCAAATGAATTAGCAAGGGCAAAGGCTGAAGGGAGAAATTGGTTACATCTGTGGAGCAGCAGGGACCCTGTTTGCTGGAATGTATATATGTGTGTGTATTTGTATATACTTGTGTATATACGCATGCCTATGTTTGTATATATACACATACAGTATACATAGACCCACACAATCCAGATTTTTCTTTCTTTTTTTGAGGTGGAGTTTCTCTCTTGTTTCCCAGGCTAGAGTGCAATGGCACGATCTCAGCTCACTACAACCTCCACCTCCTGGGTTCAAGTGATTCTCCTGCCTCAGCCTCCCAAGTAGCTGGACTTACAGGCACCTGCCACCATGCCCGTCTAAGTTTTATATTTTAGTAGAGATGGGGTTTCAGCATGTTGGCCAGGCTGGTCTCAAACTCCTGACCTCAAGTGATCTGCCTGCCTCAGCCTCCCAAAATGTTGGGATTACAGGTGTAAGCCACCACACCCGGCCCATAATCCAGATTTTATGTTATATAGTTATGTGCTGCATAACAACATTTTGGTCAGTGATGGACCACATCTATGACAGTAGCCCTTAAGATGGAGCTATAATGGTTAACATACATCTAATATATGTGATAATGGACAACATCCTAACATTGTAACTTAATGCATGACTCACTTGTTTGTGGTGATGCTTACATAACAAACCTACTGCCCTGCCAGTGTACGAAAGCAGAGCACACATTATGTACACTATGTAATACTTGTGATAATAATAAATGACTATTCATGGTTTATGTATTTACTAATTGTTCATAATTACTTTAGACTACTCCTTCTACTTATAAAAAAAAAAAAAGTTAACTGTAAAACAGCTCAGGCAGGTCCTTCAGGAGGTGTCCAGATGACCTGTTACTTGTTTTTTCATTTTTTAATTTTTTCTATTTCAATAGCTTTAGGGGTACAAGTGACTTTGATGACATAGATGAATTGTTTAGTGATAAAGTCTAGGATTTTAATGCACCTATCATCTGAGTAGTGTACATTGTACTCAATATATAGTTTTCTATCCCTCACCTCCCTCCCACCCTCCCCACTTCTGAGTCTCCCGAGTCCGTTATAGCACTCTGTATGCCTTTGTGTGCCCAAAGCTTAGCTCCTACTTATAAATGAGAACATGCATTATTTGCTTTTTCAATTCCTGAATTACTTCACTTAGAATAATGGCCTCTAGTTCCATCTAAGTTGCTGCAAAAGACATTATTTCATTATTTTTATGGCTTAGTAGTACTTCACGATGTGTGTGGGGGTGTGTGTGTGTGTATATATATATATATATATATATGCATGTGAAAATTTCAAGATGATATATATCTAACATATATATATACACACAAGATATACAAGATTAATCTATATATAACATCTTTATATATATAAAATTTCAAGATTATATATATATATATATATATATATATATATATATAAAACATCTTTGTCCATTCATCAGTTAATGGACACTTAGGTTGATTCCATATCTTTGCAATTGTGAATTGTGCTGTGATAAACATAGACATGCAGGTGTCTTTTGATATAGTGACTTCTTTTCCTTTGGATAGATACCCAGTAGTGCGATTGCTGGATTAAATGGTAGATCTACTTTTAGTTATTTGAGAAACCTCCATACTGTTTTCTGTAGAGATTGTGCTAATTTACATTCCCACCAGCAGTGTGTAAGTGTTCCTTTTTCAATACATCCATGCCAACATCTATTGTTTGTTAACTTTTTAATAATGGCCATTCTGGCTAGGGGAAGGTCGTATCTCATTGTGGTTTTAATTGGCATTTCCCTAATAGTTAGTGATGTTGAGCAGTTTTTTCACACGTTTTTGGCCATTTGTATATCTTCTTTTGAGAAATATCCATTCAGGTCCTTTGCCCACTTTTTAATGGGATTATCTGTTTTTTCTTGCTGATTTCTTTGAGTTTGTAGATTGCGGATATTAGTACTTTGTCGGATGCATAATTTTCAAATATTTACTTCCATTCTGTAGGTTGTCTGTTTACTTTGATGATTATTTATTTTGCTGTGCAGAAGCTTTTTCATTAGGTCCCATGTATTTACTTTTGCTTTTGTTGCGTTTGCTTTTGGGGTCCTAGACATAATTCTTTGCCCAGGCCAATGTCCAAAAGAGTTTTTCCTAGGGATTCTTCTAGAATTTTTATGGTTTCAGGTTTTATATTTAAGTCTTTAATCCACCTTGAGTTAATTTTTGTATCTGGTGAGAGATAGGAATCCAGTTTCGCTCTTATATATGTGGCTATTTGATTTTCCCAGCACCGTTTATTGAATAAGTTGTATTCTCCTTAAATTGTGTGTCTAATCCATTATGTTTTTATATGCTTTGTCAAAGATCAGTCAGTTGTAAGTATTTGGCTTTATTTCTGAGTTCTCCATCATGTTCCATTTGTCTATGCATCTACTTTTATATCATTACAATGGTGTTTTAATTACTATAGCCTTGTAGTATCATTTGAAGTTGGGTAATGTGATTCTAAGAATAAATCTTTTTGCTTCGGATTTCTTTGGCTATTCTAGCTCTTTTTTGGTTCCCTATGAATTTTATGTTTTTTTTTTTATTTTGTGAAAAACGATGTTGGTATTTTGATAGGAATTGCATTGAATCTGTAGATTACTGAGCAGTATGGTCATTTCCACAATACCGATTCTTTCAATCTATGAACATGGGATGTTTTTCCATTTGTTTGTCATCTATGATTTCTTTCAGCAGTGTTTTGTAGTTCTCCTTTAGAGATCTTTTCACCTCCTTGGTAGAGTATATTTATTAAGTGTTTTAAAAATAAAGTGTTTTATTTTCTTTGTAGCTATTAAAGGGGTTGAGTTCTTTTTTTTTTCTTTTTTTTTTGAGACGGAATTTTGCTCTGTCCCCCACACTGGAGTGAATGAAGTGGTACGATTTCGGCTCACTGCAACCTCTGCCACCTGGTTCAGGCGGTTCTCCTGCCTCAGCTTCCCGAGTAGCTGGGATTATAGATGCCTGTCACTACACCTGGCTAATTTTTATATTTTTTTTCAGTATAAATGGGGTTTCACCATGTTGGCCAAGCTGGTCTCAAACTCCTGACCTCAGTTGATCTGCCTGCCTTGGCCTCCCAAAGTCAGGCGTGAGCCACCATGCCCAGCCTGAGATCGTGTTTGATTCTCAGCTTGGTCATTGTTGGTATATAGCAGTGCTACTGATTTGTGTATATTGATATTGTAACCTAAGACTTTACTGAATTCATTTATCAGATGTATGAGTCTTTTGGAGGAGTCTTTAGGGTTTTCTAACAGAGGTAGTTTTACTTCCTTTTTTCCTATTTGGAGGCCCTTGATTTCTTTCTCTTTCCTGATTTCTCTGGCTAGGACTGCCAGTATTATGATGAATGGAAGTGGGGAAAGTGGGCATCGTTGTCTTGCTTCAGTTGAATGCTTTCAGCTTTTCCCCATTCAATTCAGTATGATGTGGGCTCTGGGTTTGTTATATATGGCTTTTCTTATTTTGAGGTATGTTCCTTCTGTGCCTAGTGTGTTGAGAGTTTTTATCATAAAGGGATATTAGATTTTATCAAATGTTTTTTCTGCCTCTATTGAGATGATCATATGGTTTTTGTTTTTAATTATGTTTATGTGATGAATCACATTTTTTGACTTGCGTATGTGGAGCCATCCCTGCATCTTTAGAATTATCATGGTGAATTATTTTTTTGATGTGCTATTGGATTCGATTTGCTATTGGATTTGGTTTGCTAGTATTGTGTTGAGAATTTTTGCATCTGTATTCATCAGGAATATTGGTCTGTAGTTTTCCTATTTTGTTATGTCCTCTCCTGGCTTTGGTATGAGGATACTGGCTTCATAGAATAAGTTAGGCAGGATTCCCTCCTTCTCTGTCTTTTGGAATAATTTCAGAAGGATTGGTACCAATTCTTTTTTGAATGTCTGGTAGAATTTAGGTGTGAATCCAACTGGCCCTGGGCTTTGTTTTGTTGGCATTTTTTTTTTATTGCTGATTCAATATCACTGCTTGTTATTAGTCTCATCAGGATTTCTATTTATTCCTGATTTAAGCTATGGGGTTGTATGTTTCCAGGAACTTATTTATTTCCTCTAGATTTTCTAGTTTGTGTCCAGAGTGGTGTTCATAGTAGTCTCAAATGATCTTTTGCATTTCTGTGGTGTCAGTTGTGATGTCTCCATTTTCATTTCCAATTGAACTTATCTGAATCTTCTTTCTTTTCTTGGTTAATCTAGCTAGTGGTCTATCAATTTTATTTATCTTTTCAAATAACCTCCTTGTTGTTTCATTGATCTTTTATAATTTTTTTGTTTCAATTTGATTTAGTTCTGCTCTGATCTTTGTTATTTCTTTTCTTCTGCTAGCTTTGGGTTTGGTTTGTTCTTGTTTCATTCCTTGAAATGTGATGTTAGGTTGTCAACTTCTGATCTTTCAGACTTTTAATGTAGGCATTTAGTGCTGTAAACTTTCCTCTTAGCAATGCTTTTGCTGTATCCCAGAGATTTTGATAACTTGTGTCACAGTTATCATTCATTTTGAAAAAAAATTTAAATTTCCATCTTGATTTGATGGTTAACCCCAAAATCATTCAGAGGTAGATTGCTTAATTTTCATGTATTTGTATAGTTTTGAGGGTTCCTTTTGGAATTGATTTCTGGTTTTATTCCACTGTGGTCTGAGAAGATACTTGATATGATTGAAATTTTCTTTGCTCTGCTCACACGTTTATTCATCCAGGTAAACCTAAACATGATTTTGTCTATTTCAAAAATAACCATTAAGTAATTATTTATAGAATAATTTAATGTGAGGGACCCACCTTTTTACCATATTGAGTCATTATATCCAGAAATGAAACTTCTCTTTATTGTCTTTAGTTTTCTGGTAGATTCCTTAACGAAGAGGCACAGTTGTCTCCATTTTGGACTTAGACATATTTTATTAATTTTTACCAAAGAATTTTGAATTTTGTATGGCATTTTAAAAAGGTATCTTGGCTTTCTCTTTTATTTGTATAGCCTAAGCACACATCCTTATTAATTTAATACTATTGGACTCTTAATTATGTTTGAATATTTTTGCAAAATTAACAGCCTCATGGTGAGATGGCCAATGGCAAGAAAGCTCCAAGGTGCATGCACATTAGTTTCAACAGGAGCTGCCTGATTCTTTTCATTGATTCAAGAAACATTTGCTGAGTTCTTACCATGTGCCAAGCACGGTATTAGGCACAGTCAGCCAAGCCTCTGAGCTGGGATTCCCAAACTGCTGTCCTTGTACCTCATTTCTATCACTGCCCTCCAGCCAAAGCCCATCAGTCACATACTTGTAGGGTACCAAGTTGAGTTTATTCTTGTCATGAGCTAAAGCATACAACATGGAAACAATGAGATGCCTTCATAAGAGGGTGTTGGGAAGGACGTATTATAAACTTGGGCTTGTGTTAGGTGATTTGGGGGAAGGTTCAAGTAAGTAGGACCTAACTCTGGAGTGACGCTGCCAGAAAGTGGGAGTAATTCTATGATTGGGTATTGTCTTGATTTGTTTTCTGTTGCTATAATTATTACTTGAGACTGGGTACTTTATAAAGAAAATAGGCTTATTTCTTACAGTTCTGGAGGCGGGGCAAGTTCAAGGTGAAGAGGCTGCACCTGTAAGGGCCTTAATGCTGGTGAGGACTCTCTGCAGAGGCTTTTTGCTGCATAAAGCATGACATGGTGAGGAAGCTGACCTCATCTAAATCTAATTATCTCCTAAATATCCTGCCTCTCAAATACCGTGGTTAGATTTCCCACCCTCTTTTGGGAGGTGGGCTTAAACAACAGAAACTTATTTCTCACAGTTATCGAGGCTGAAAAGTCCAGGATCAAGATTCTAGCAAGGTAAGTTTTATTCTGAGGTCTCTTTTCTTGGCTTGTGGGTGGCTGCCATCTCACTGTGCACTCACATTACTTCTTTATGTACACATGGACAGAAAGAAAGAAAGAAAGCGAGAGGGAGAGAGAGAGGGAGGGAGGGAAAGAGAGAGAGAGAGAACACTCAAGTTAACTCTCAGGTGCCTTTTCTTAAAAGGATATTGATCTAATCAGACTAGACCTTCTCATGACTTCATCTCACTCTAATTACCTCTCAAAAGTAATTACCTCCCTGTCTCCAGATACCATTACATTGGTTAGGGCTTCAACATATGAATTTTGGAGAGGTACTACCATTAAATCCATAACATTAAATTTCTATTTGTCAGGGTTCTCCAGAGTAACAAAGCCAATAAGACATATAGAGAGATAGTGCTATTTATTAGCATACATATTTATATCTCTTTATATTGGTATATATGTATATACTTATATAAGAATGTGTGTGTGTGTGTGTGTGTGTGTGTGTGTGTGTAGAGAGAGAGAGAGAATAAGTTTATTATAAGGAATTGGCCCACATGATTATGGATGCTAAGAAGTCCCAGGAAAGCCAATGTGTAATTCCAATCTGAAAGCCATCAAGCTCTAGACCCAAGGAGAGCCAATGTTTCACTCGAAGTCCAAAGACAAGAAAAGACCAAGGTCCCAGCTCAGCCATCAGGCAGGCAGAGTTTCTTCATACTCAATCTTTTTGTTCTTTTCAGGTCTTAAATGGATGGGATGAGGCCCATGCACACTAGAAAAGGCAATCTGTTTGACTCAGCCTACCAATTCGGCTTTAATCTTGCCCAGAAACACCCTCACAGATACATATAGAATCATGTTTGACCAAATATGTGGGCAAGATTTCTCACCCCCTTAGCACAGTTATATAATTGTGGTTAAGTTTCACTGTGAGTTTCAGAGGGGACAAACATTCAAACCATAGCAGATATTTAATAAATCTTGTTCATAAGATGAGAGAAATGAAGCCAGGCTAATGCTGTTATGGGTAAAGAAGCAGTGGTCAGTCACGTTAGACAAAAGAACAGATGTTTGGTCATTGTTGTGGTTTCTTTGAACAATGCTCATGCTATTGTCTATGTTCAAACATGATAACGGAGGGGTCTTCTTTTGTCTTGATCCATCTCGGTCACAGAGCTGTTTTGTCTGATGTTAGTGTTTTGTGAAATTGTTTATCTTCAATAACAGAACACCAAGGCCCAGGTGGGAGTTCCCAGCCAGCTCCTGGATGTCGGGGGCTTTTTTCCAATCTCTAGTTTCATTATTATCATGTAATCATTTTTAATATCATTCATCTTGAAAAGGATGCAGAAGACAATACATAGTTTTGTTTAGACTTAATTAAGAAGAGAAGCTACACATAAGTGCTTTCATCAAGGGCCACTAGACCAGTCTTATTGCAAACTCAGCTGAAACAAGCTCCTGACCTGCAATGGGCCTTGTGAATGGGTACATGGAAATAAGCTGATGGACAGGCAAGGCTTGGAGATGTTTCTCTGATGATTTATTCTTTGTAGAATGCAAGTGCCTGGTTGTGATGCTCACTTTTCTCTTGAGGACTCCCAGGTGTGACCCTCTGCAGGGACCATCCTCACTCCTCATGTTAGGACATATCCAAAGACAACAGCTACGGAGCAGAGTCACTGATGCACATTTGTAAAGCAATGGCAGGTCATGGCAAGTGTCCATGCTACAGGGCAGTGACCCACCATCTGCTCTTTGCAGTTCAGCTGTGGCTGAGGCAGGAAGGCAGAGACAGGGCTGGAGGTGGTAGACTTTTGAATATACTGTTTTCCCACCTATTTATTTCAATTTCCACACCCTTAAGCCAATTGATTCCAGAACCTCAAGTTAGATGTCCACTTTTTGTGGCTATCCGTTTGGCTACTGATTGTAAGACACATTACAGAGGTGTACAGTCCATGTATACACAGGCAAGTAAGGATCTTCTCATTCCAAAGATGCTTGAGCAGAAAAGAGCACCTGATTTTCAGCTCATTCTGAACACTGGAACTGTGACTTTAATCATCAGTATGTTGTATAATAAAACCTGAAGGACTACACAGGATAAGCATTGTTAGTTAAGAATGGCTGACTCGGCTGGGCGCGGTGGCTCACGCCTGTAATCCCAGCACTTTGGGAGGCCGAGGCGGGCGGATCACAAGGTCAGGAGATTGAGACCATCCTGGCTAACACAGTGAAATCCCGTCTCTACTAAAAATACAAAAAACTAGTACTCTTGTAACTGTACAAGAGTACACCGAACAAAGGAGACAGGGTCATTTATAACAGGTGTGGTGGCGGGCACCTGTAGTCCCAGCTACTCGGGAGGCTGAGGCAGGAGAATAGCGTGAACCTGGGAGGCAGAGCTTACAGTGAGCCGAGACTTCGCCACTGCACTCCAGCCTGGGCGACAGAGCGAGACTCCATCTCAAAAAAAAAAAAAAAAAAAAAAAAAAAAAAGAATGGCTGACTCAAAACTTTCATTCTCTCTAAGAACTATTCAGTAACCAGTATTCAACTGATTCCAGTTGTAGCCTTCTTTCTAAGGAAATGGAGGTAACTTTTAACTTCTGGGCCCAGATGCATCGCCTCTTTACAGGTGTGGCCTAATTCTCATCTCTGGTTGGTGCTGTGGGATCTGCTCCATACTGGGAAGTCCCTGTCTAGCTTCTTGCCCCTTATTACTTAGCTTCTGTATTTGCTCAGAGTGGAGTCTTTATTCTTAATGAGAAGGAGGGAAGCCATATGCATTCCAGGGAGATGGTATAACCAGAGAAAAGGCCCTATGGCAAGAGGAAGCTTGGTGTGTTTCCTCCATGACACTGCTGGGGTAAAAAAAAAAAAAGAGTTCATTAAAGAGGAGATCAGATCCTTCGAGGGAGGTGAGAACTTTGCATTGCACTCTGGATGGATGGCCAGGCTCTTCATTTTTCCTTTTTCCTAGTAGGCATATTCATATGTGTAAGCGTTTTCTCTTTTAAGAAAATGAAATCACAGAGTATATGTTAGTATGCATTTGCTTTTTAAGTTGACAATATATCACAGTTGTCTTTCCAGACGTTAGAAATACTTGTTCCTCAGTGCCATAAAGAAATAGCACTTCAACATAAATTTAATCTCCTCAGCAGTGCCATTTTTACTTTCTGCAGAAGGGGTACACCCGCCAGCAGTTTTGCCCCAAGAGTACACCAAACAAAGGAGACAGGGTCGTTTATAACCTGAGGTGTCCACTCTACTGCTGTGTCTGGTTTCCATTGGCTGGAACGGGACCTCACATTCTGTGTTTGTCTCGATTGGCTAGCAACTTAGAACTTTTTAAAAGAGGTAAAGAGAGAGGAGAACAAAAGAAGGAGGAAGTAACTTGTGGAATGCTGAGAAAGGTAGAAACACCTTCAAATAAGGAAGAGGAACAGGCTATGACCTAATGCTTGTTTGGACCAGTATAAGCATGCCAGGGCAGATATTTAAGCTAAATTGTGGGAGCTAAGAACATAAAGTACCTTGATTTCTTCATTGCGGCTAGCAGACATTTAAGAATGTTAGCACAGGTCTTTGAATAAATTTCGCTTCTAAGAGAAGTTACTGTTTATTCCTATTTAGATGGGGAGGAAAGTCTTTGAAGAGGAACCTCTACTTTACTTTTTACACAGATAAATACACATAGCTCCATTTTATTGTATTTCAGGAGTAGCTCATATTTCACTTTATGGTTTGGCATCATTTTGCAACTGTTATCTTAGTTGGACATTCAGCTTGGAAACAATTTCATGTGTTCCTGTCATTTGAGAATAACATTTCTAGGCCTTGGAAGTAGTAGGTTCTCAACCAGTGTTTGCAGCAGGAAGAAATGCAAGAGGGAAAGAGCAGGAGAGCTGATGCCAGACATAGAAGAAGATCTCCAGGAAGAAGTTTTGGAAGACATGCTTTTAGGTTTTCATCGCTTCTCCTTTTTGTATATGGTACTGCTGAATGCTGCTAGGAACAATACTTTCTCCCCGGAGATGCAGGTCAGATGCCATGTTTTCTGTGGCTCATTTAGATTGATACAGAATGGGCCATTGCTAGAAAATGGAAACAAAACAGTCAGAAAGCACTTCACAATTCTGAGTCTGTAGCCATTGATTGTAAATGTGCAAGAGGAGAAAAGAGCACTTTTGCTTAAAACCCCATTGATAATGCAGCAAGGGGAAGGTACATTGCTCTGTGAAAAGAATAAGGAGAAAGGGGCTTTCTGTAGCCATAAACTGCATTAACAGGCACATAATACCATGAGTGTTGTCATTGTCATCACACCATGGAGCCACCTCTGTGCTACCTTGGCCATGTATTGAAGCCAGGAGAAAAAAACAAGGGTAAGTGCATGAGCATTAAAAAAATTAACGTTTGGAAGTCCTGAGTTGTCTTTTATTTTCTGCGACCTCTGAGAAGCCCCTCTTTCTCATGTGCCACTGTAAAATTATTTCCACAACTGTAAAAATTGGGATTGTAGTAATGCTAAATGAATCCATTCTGCTCATTCAGTCCTGTCTCCCAAGGTAATCACTGTAAAAGGCTAAGGATGATGCATTATGAGAGAATAGCATAGCCATGTGGAGAGGCAGTGCCAGGGAGTGCGTTTGCCATTGTGTGTGTGTGTGTGTGTGTGTGTGTGTTCAGCAAATACAGCCAGCCCTTTGAATCTGCAGCTTCCACACTCATAGATTCAACCATCCTCAAATAAAAAATATTCAGGGAAAAAAAAACAAAAAAATACAACAATAAACATAAATACAAATATAACACAGTACAATACAACAACTATTTGGATAGCACTTGTATTTTATTAGGTTTCATATGTAGTCTAGATGGCACCTAAAGTGTGCAGGAGGATGTGTGTAGGTTAGCTGCAAATACTAGGCCAGTGCATATGAAAAGTCTTGAACTCTCTCAGAGTTTTGTATCCTGTATGAGGGGTTCCTGGAACCAATTCCCCAAAGATACCAAGAAACAATTGTATCTTTGTTTTCTTTCCTCTCTTATCCCATTATCATATAACATATGATACATTGATTTGCTATCATAGTATTTAAGTATTGTCAACTTCACATCATAGTAGTAAAGTTACGGGACATTAAGGAGAGGCATGAACATCACCAAAGGACTTTGCTTTTCTTTTAGGGACAGGGTTTGTGTGCTTTCAGTTGTGCTCAGGGTAGTGATATTATGTGAAGTGGAAGTATAACCTTGTTATTGTCTTTATTTGAAGAGTAAGTATGGTGTAAGCAGACGTGCATGGATGCCGAGTTGACAAGGTGTGGATTTGTGATGGTTAATTGTATGTGTCACTTTTGCTAGGCATGGTACTCAGATGCTTGGTCAAAAGCCAGCCTAGATGTCGCTGTGAAGGTATTTCTTAGATGTGATTAACATTTAAATCCATAGATTTTTGAGTAAAGTAGATTATCCTTCATAATGCGGGTGGGCTTCATCAATTAAAGGTCCTTAGAAAAACAGACTGAAGTCCCTGGAAGAAAGAGGAGATGCTGCCTCCTTCGGACCCAAGCTGCACATCAGTTCTTTCCTGGGTACAGCCTGCTGGCTGGCCCGGCAAATTTTAGACTTACTAGCCCACACAATTTCATGGAGTGGTTCCTTATCATAAATCTCTCTGTCTCTTTGTGTGTGTGTGTCTGTCTGTGTGTGTCTCTCTCTCTCTCTGTCTCTCTCTCTCTCTCTCTGTCTGTCTCTCTCTCTCCTATTGGTTCTGTTTCTCTGGGAAGCCCTGACTAATGCAGATTTTGATATTAGTGGCCTAAAAGTTCAGGAAGGATTATATTCCCACACACATGCCTTGTAGCACCCACAGCCTAAATACCTAAATACCTCCCTCAGCAAAATGACACATATTAACGTGTGCATATTTTAACATGCCGTGAACTTCCATGCTGTTTACAAAAAGTTGAAACTGCAAATTCACTCTGTAAATGCTTCAGGGTATGCTGCATTTTAATTTGGGAATACAGAGTTTTAAAGACTCAAGTCCAAAACATACATTGGATACCTTCTGTATTAGTTTTCTCAAGTTGCCATTACAAACTACCACAAACTTAGTGACTTAAGGAAAATACCCTTTTATTATCCAGAGTTTTGCAGGTTGGGCATCCAGTGGCTTGGCTGGTTTCTCTGCTTCACATATCACAAAGCCAAAGTCAGAGCGTCCGCAGCACTGTGCTCCTCTTACTGGAGGACCTGGGAGAGAATTTTCTTCCTGGCTCTTTCTGACTGTGGGCAGAATTCTGCTCCAGGTGGCTGTGAGACAGACATCGCTGCTTCCCTGCCAGCTGTCAGCTAGGGGTTGTCCTGAGCTCCTATAAGCCTCATTCTATTCCTTGCATATAATCACTTACATCTCAGAATTAGCCAAGTGTGGGGTGAGTCCTTCTGACACTTCAGATCTCTGACTCTCCTTCTGTTCTGTTTCTTTTGCTTCTGTTTCTGCCACAAGGCATGGACTGACTCCTCTGCTTTCTTATTCTGCATTTAAAGTCCCATGCGATGTCTCTGGACCCACCCAGAGAATTTAGGATCTTCTCCCTATTTTAAGATCAGTTAATTAGCAACCTTCATTCCATCAGCAGAATACCTTTCACTGTGTACAGTAACATATTTATGTTCCCTAGATTAGGCCGGGGAGGTCTTTGAAGCACCATTATTCTGCCTACTGTATTGCTATGAGCAAGGACTGTAAATGTCCTCGCCTTTAAGTCTTTTATAGACTCACTGGGGAAAAGAGCCACATACATGTAGTAGATCATTTGTAACATTATCTCAAACCATAACATGGGGTTGCAGAGCGGAACCCGGCTTCATGAATCACACCACAAAAACGGAGCGGGAGCTGTCTGAGTCACCACTCTCTGGCACAGAACACCCAGCACACAGTAACATACACAGCAGGTACTCAATGGTTAAAGGGATGAATGGATATAGAGGAAAACTGAGTAGGAGACTTAAAAAATGGAGTCGTCTCCTCAATGGGATTTAACATCCTTTATTTACCTGTTTATTCCATAATTATATATTGGAAGTCTAATCTATACAACTGCCAGTGCTGGGCCTTAGAGATGCAATTGTGATTAGACCAGGGGGCCTTTACCCACACGGAGCTTATAATTTGACATTAATCATATCAGCAGATGAATAATCTCACAGTTAAAACATGCACCAAATATAATGAAGGCACTTACTAGATGGCACGTGAGAGATAAGGGAAAGCCACTCTGAGGACGCTGATTTTTGAGTGGAAAGCTGGATAAAGGAGGATTGTCTTAGGCTGGCTTCTGGCAGGGATCTGTGTGCTGGAAACCTGCTGGAAAGCGCTTGGGATCAACGCCATAGGGGGAGTACAGGAAGTTGGAGAGGCACAGAAAGAAGCTGGGATGCAGATGCAAGCAGGGCCCAGCTGATCCTGCAAAGAGCTCTGAAGCTGGGTGGCCCTTCCAAGGTGGCTGGGGCTGGGGGCCTGGGCTTTATACCCACCCCCGTGAACCAGTCACCTTGATTCTGTGTGTTAAGTCATAATGTACCTCAGTTTTCTGGAGGTGAGACCTCTGTTTTCAATGGTTGGAAAAGCTCATGACTATAAGCATCAGATGCATTCGTATTGCCAACTGTATCATTTTGTATGCGTCAGAAAATCCTTTCTTGCTTAGAGGAATGGGGGAGCATAATGAATCAGTTTAAATTTGCTCCCATCACCACCTTCCACCGGGTTCTGAGCTTTTACTTATTTCCTTATATCATCATAGCCAGTCCAACTTAAACTGTGATATTCCACCCTCCCCCTGCCTGGAGTGTTTGGTCTTTTCATTCAGGGTAACTTGCCTCTATTGTAATGGGGTGATATGATATGAGGAGATCATGCAAAACAAAGGCTCTGTCATTTATCTTAGCTGTGACTATTTATCTAATATTTACTGACCATCAAAGCCCTCACTCTGTATGGAAAACAGCCTTCAATATTGTCTGACACCAACTGGGTATCCTACAATTTAGTTTGATTCAGGCACTAATTACCTGGAGTTCGTATCAGATCCCATGAGTTAAAGGGCAAGATCCCTAACAAGACTGCTCTTATGTCAGACACCAGCAGTGAGTGGGGTCCCAGGCTTCCCACACTTCTGCCTGGATAGCTGCAAATTCAAGATAGCACACCCTCCTTGGGTTTGATAATCTGCTAGAACCTCTTACAGCATTCAGGAAAATGCCATACTTAACAATTACCATTTTACCAAAAAGGACATGAGTGAACAGCCAGATGCACAGGTACATGTGGCAAGATCCGGAAGGGTCCTGAGCACAGGAGCTTCCAGCCTTGTGGATCTGGGTTGTGCCGCCCTCCGGGCGTACCCATATATTCACCAACCAGGAAGCTGTCTGAGTTGCATTGCTCAGAGTTTTTATCTAAGTTTTATTACGGAGGCGTGATTGATTAAATCATTGGCCACATGACTGAGATCTATTTCTAGCCCCTCTTCCTTCCCCAGAGGTCAGGGGGTGAGGCTGAATGTCCCCCTCCTCTCATCACATGGTTGGTCTTTCCAGAAGGCCAGCCCCTCCTTGATAATCATCTGAGGGCCCACCATAAGTCACCTCATTAGCATAAACTCAGGTACTGCAGAAGTAGAAAGGGTCTGTTGTGAGTAACTGAAGACATTTCTATCACTCTGAAAACTCCAAGAGGTTTTGAAGCTCTGTCCCGGAACCAGGAACAAAGACCAGATATATTCTGCATTGTATCATGTAATCAAATACATGCAATTTATTTGGCAGGGAATTTCCAGGCTCCCTGCTATACAGTCCCTAACAGAGTTAGGAGAATGATAAAGAGGTAAATAACATCCTCCCTCCCACGATGCTCCCCAATGCCTTGCAGAGACTTGTGCTACAGAATTCCCTCACTGTGGACCAACCATCCTAAGCCCAGATAGTTTCTGTAGTGTCCATGGAAACTTAGGCATCATCGTCCTGTGCTCACACTTCACCTGTCTTCTCCCTCCTGGTTTATGTCTTCCTGCTCAGGTATGTGTAAGGCAGATAAACATGTCACTTCCCAATTAAATAGCAAACAGAAGAATATAAATTCCATTTACCCACTTTACAGGCACTCCCAACCTCTGTGAGTGATACGTTCTCAGCCCCCCGCCCCTTACTTGGGTCTAGGGGGACAGACAACTCGAGCCTTAGCACTCTCTAGTAACCCAGGACAATTTTCTCTTTCTCCCCACTTCCCCCAATTTTGTTTTATACGTTGGGAAGTTGTGGGGACTGGAGTAATGATTGAGAGTAGCAGAACTTAAGCCTTTAATGGGAATCTGGTTCCCATAGTCTTGAAAAAAGTTTAAGGATGTGATACTTTGATCCTCAATCTTGAATCATAGAAACAAAGTCTAGGGCAATAGTAAAAAGTCCCTATCAAAACTCACTTGCATGTACCTGGCCACCCGGCTGGCCCTTCTTAGTATTTTTTTTCTGATTATAACAATTACACAGGTTCCCATATATTTTAAAAATAAAATAATAGATTGAAAGGTAGAAAAATCTCTCCTTATCCCAACACTCAAAAGATGGTGATAGAAATATTTCTCTTTTTCCTACTCAAGATCTGAAATTTATGAGGGAAACAAAGGAGGAAAACAACAAAATCTCATTTGTCAAAGATAAAATTCATGTGAGACAATGCTGTTTATATCTATGGGCAGATACTCCTCATAACTTAAGCTAAGAATCCAGTAGGCTTACCCAGACAGTCCTAGGCATCACAGGACCCCAATACCACCTCTGTACCCTACCAAAGATTAGGGCCACCCATGCATACTTTATGGCATAAAGGTCTGATTTTATTATCTATGTCTTTGTAACTAATTATCACAGATTTTGCAGCTTAAAATGGCATACACTTATGTTCTTACAGTTTTTGTGGGTCCAGGAGTCCAGACATAGCTTACTGAGGTCCTGGCTTCAACCATCTGAAACAAACAGCTTTCTCAATGTCTTCCTCAAGGCTGCAATCAAAGTAGTAGCCATGGCTTAGGTCTCATCTGAAGGCTCAAGTGGGGATCTGCTTCCAAGTTCATGTAATTGTTGTCAGGAGTCAACTTGTGGCCTCACTTACTCTTTGGCTGTTGGCCAAGTAAAGGTCACCCTTGGTACCTTGCCATGAGGATGTCTGCAACATGGCTGCTTGCTTGCAAGTGTCGTTTGTTTGTTTTGTTTTGTTTTAAAAAAAAGAAAGAAAAGAAAACATGCAAGTGGAGAAGGCAACAGAGAGAGTTGAAAGATGGAAGTTATAATATCATGTGAGCTTATCAAGGAAATGATGTCCCACTATCTTTGCCATATTTAAGTGATTAGAAGAAAGTCACAGGACCTACCTACACTCAAGAATAGGAGATTCCACAAGGGCATGAATATCAGGGGACAGGATCACTGGGGGCTATCTTGGAATCTGCCCACTACAGGGTGTTTCTTAGGAACTGTCAGCTCCCAACAAAAAGTACAGGAAAGGGTAGAGCTGTATATGCCTAGTTCCCACTTCCAAACTCATTATCAAGTGTAAGTCATTCCTTCTATCCCAAATTAAAACAAGGGAAGACTAGGAAATAGGAGAAGTGTTACCTCAACAGGTCTGATCTACGTAGAAGGAAACATCGGGAATGGTGAGAAAAACCCTCCCTCACAAAAAAAAATTAATATAGTGATAAATCTCCTTGTGGCCTATTTTTTTTTCTCTCTGCTAATATGTGCTGAAGCATTTTTCTGTAACTAGAAACATCTGAATGTACTGTTTAATAACTTAGCCTTTATTCTGATCTATATGTGTTGATTTTTTTCTGTGTTACTCAGTATTCTTCTGCTATGTGCCTTTTAGTGGTCTGCACTCTCTATCACATGGCCAGCCCAGTAACTGTGTAGCCAGCCCTCGATGGCCCATTTGACTCTGGTCCCTTACAGCCTCCAAGCTGCATCAGCAGCATAGCTCCCTCCACCATATTTCATTGATGACAGAAGAGAAGGCAGGCAGCATGCTGCAGCACAAGGGCTGTGGGAGCCCAGAAGTCTGCAAAAAGGCCTCCACTCCCTTTTCAGGATATCAGGTGATAGAGATTGAGCAAATGCTCTGTGGTGTTATCAGTGCCCAGAACTGGTCTGATAAGCAGGGAAAGACGCCAAGAAGGACAGGGTCTTGGAGATGCAGGTAACATGTGCACCCAGCCCAGCCATCACCCTTTTCCCATTCAAATCTTGAACTTGCCAAGGTAGCCCTTTATTGAAGAGTGCTTAATTACTTCCGGCCACCTCCATGAACATGAACATGTCAGTAATCTTTCAAGTCTTCTCATTAGCAGTGAGGTTGGGAACGTCAGCCCCGACCCAGTGCAGCACAGCAGCCCTCACTGAGCTGTCGCTGCCACTTCAGGAAAGTGTCTTAATGTGAGGGCTGCCTTTTCACAGATTAGTGACGGGGATGAAAGGAGGCAACAGTGAAGCCATCTGGGGATTCAGACATTCTGGGTTAATTCTTTGTGAGAAAATGTAAAATGGCCACATTTTGCACTGTATTAGCAGGCCATCTATCACAACTGTTTAAGTGTGGAATTTTTTAAAAAATTATGAAAGAACCACAGAAGATGCATCAAGCTAAATTGAAATTTTTATCTGCAGCTTACCACATAGTGTCATATATACACTCTTACTTTATGTCTTCCTGTCTTGATACAACCTTAAAGGAAGTAGCCTTCATCTCCCTTTATTCATATTTCTAATTGAGGCCCTTGACTTTTTTAAAAAACACCAAAATTCCTTACCATGTAGAAGTTTTTCAGAGATGTCGCAGACCACATGAAGAGTGTTGGGGTCCCCAGATGCTGCATGAATTAAGCTTGCGACAGAGGCTGTGAATCCCCAAACCGTCATAGGTCATTCTACTGGCCTGAACCCTGCAATTGCCAAACCCAGGCAAGGATACGACATTGTCTCATGTTTAAATTCCAAGGTCATGGAGTCAAGGTCAATGTGAGTAGAACCTGCAAAAACAGTACAAAGTGACCATGTTCTCAAGGTTAAAAGTCAAGAGAAGGACCTCAGCTTCCTTTGAAATGGCTCCACCCAGGTCTCAGATGTGTGTCAGCTTAGGGTTTCCTTCCACTTGGAATAGTGCCAGGAGGCCTTGATCTCAGACAAAATACCTTGAGGCCTCTTCCTTATTAGGGGCTGGGGCTACACACCTAACTCCTTCATCCTTCTTTGGAGCTTGGAGGTTGTTCTCTTCTCTTCTGGCTGCAAGGAACCCCTGCATTTTCCCCATGAAGCCATGATTACCTCAACTCTGTGTTTCCTAAAGCTTAACTCCCAGCATACCAGGTTGCAAAGAGAGCTCACTTCTGACCCTGAGACCTGCCACATCACACACTCCAGAGAGACAGCTGCCTTCATGAACAACTTTCTCAAACCTGCTGAAATGTTGCTTTCATACTCGTGTTTGTTCACCCTTCACAATTCCCATGATTTGAATATATTTCTACGCTAATGTATCGTTTTGTTTTCATGCTGCTAATAAAGACATACCCGAGACTGGGAAGAAAAAAAGTTTAGTTGGACTTATAGTTCCACGTGGCTGTGGAGGCCTCAGAATCATGGTGGGAGGCAAAAGGCACTTCTTACATGGCAGCGGCAAGAGAAAATGAGAAGGATGCAAAAGCAGAAACCTCTGATAAAACCATCAGATCTCATGAGACTTATCCACTACCATGAGAACAGTATCGGGGAAACTACCCCTATGATTCAGATTATCTCTTACCTGGTCCCTCCCACAACACATGGGAATTATGGGAGTACAATTCAAGATGAGATTTGGGTGGGAACACAGAGCCAAACCATATCAGCTAATATCCAACAATACTGCAATTTGCATAACTATCT